>NC_000008.11:133839222-134464222 GCF_000001405.40 Homo sapiens
TACCTGGCAGAAATTATTTAATGGCCTGGGATAATGAAAAGTTCTGGAGGCCGGGCGTGGTGGCTCACGCCTGTAATCCCAGCACTTTGGGAGGCCAAGACGGGTGGATCACGAGGTCAGGAGATCGAGACCATCCTGGCTAACATGGTGAAACCCCATCTCTACTAAAAATACAAAAAAATTAGCCAGGCATAGTGGTGGGTGCCTGTAGTCCCAGCTACTGGGGAGGCTGAGGCAGGAGAATGGCGTGAACCCAGGAGGTGGAGTTTGCAGTGAGCTGAGATTGCACCACTGCACTCCAGCCTGGGTGACTGAGCGAGACTCTGTCTCAAAAAAAAAAAAAAGTTCTGGAGCTGGATATTGGTGATAGATGCCCAACAATGCAAATGGGCTTAATGCCACTGAATTCCACTTAACATGGTTAACATGATACATTTACGTTCTGTGCATTTTTAATTTTTTTTTTTTTTTACAGACAGGGTCTTGCTCTGTTGCTCAGGCTGGAGTGTAGTGGTGCGATTATAGCTCACTATAAACTCAAACTCCCGGGCTCAAGCTCTCCTCCTGCCTCAGCCTCCCAAGTTGCTAGGATTACAGGTGTGAAGGCACAGCACCAGGCCTTTAATTTTTTTTTTTTTTTTTTTTTTTTGTGGAGGTGGAGTCTTGCTATGTTGCCCAGACTGTGTTCTATGGATTTTACTACAATAAAATTTCTTTAATTATTCTTCATCATTGCAAAACACATTTGTGAGGTTTATAGGAACCTTGTAGAAACTCGAATCTCCCACCATGCAAGTTTCATTCCACGCACTCTGATCTTAGCTGCACCTTCAGCAATTTGTCATTCCTAGCTGCACTTTTTTGTCTTCCCACCTTCCATTTCCATTTCATCTGCCTGATGTGTATTTCATCTTCCCCTCTTTCCTACTGCCTGAACATCTACTCAACCTTGAAGATCCAGGTCAACAAGATACTGTCATCTCCCTCATCATTGGCCTCTTACTGATAGCATTAAAGGACTATTTGTTTAATTTTAATACTAATACGAGATCAGCAAAAAAAGCCCCGGATATTTATAAGGGGTATACCAGATATATGTCAGATAAAGAGAACCTCAGTAAAATGAACACCACTCATTCTACGCAAAAGATAACCAACATCTTTGCAGTTGTGTGTATGTCTGTTCCCAAACTTCTTCCCTTCCTTCCTCCTTCAGATTTGACTCCTACCATGAATTTCGTACTTGTCCATCAATTTGTTTTCTTCTGTTTTATCATGCCAATTTGTCTCCCTGCGCAGCAGATCACGTAGTTGAACATGCTTTTGAATTTTACATAAATGGAATCATACTGCATCTTCTCTGTGACTTGCTTTCTCCCCGCCAAAATTAGGTGTGTGAAATCCATCCACTCTTTTGCATGTTATTGCAATTCATTCGTTTCACTGGTATATACTGTTTAATTGGATAAATATAATACATTTTAAAAACCTATTCCTGTTGGTGATGGGAATTTTAATGGTTTCCAGCTTTTGCTATAAAAAACTGTGCTGACGTAACCTGGCTGTCTCTGTGCAGGTTTCCTGGAGCAAACCCAAGATTCTCCAGGTATATAGACAGAAGTGGAAATGTTGTCGCAGACTTACGCATCTCCTTAACTACATCTGATGATGCCAAATTGCTGTCTACTGTGACTTTATCAAATTACACTCTCACCTGGCATTGGTTAAGAGGAGTGATTGTTCCATTTCCTTGCATCATTGATTATCAGACTTTAATTTTTGCTTACTTGGTGGATGTGAAATGATATCTCATTGTGGCTTTATTTCACATTTCCAAATGACTAGAGAGGTTGAGTTCCTTATTGCATGTTGATTGTTGATTCATATTTTCTTTTTTTATTGAGTAAAATCTGTCTTGCTCATTTTTTCTACTGAATTTTTGTTTTGTTCTTATTGATTTGCAGTTCGTTATATATTCTGAAAAGTACTTATTAATTTATATATTGCAAATGTTTTTCTCTAGCTTTGACTTACCTTAACACTCTCTATAGTTTCCTTTGATGAGTCAAAACTTTTAAGTTTAATGTAGATGATATTGTCTATTTCTTTCTCTTTCTTTATTTTAGAGATAGGATCTTGCTCTGTCGCCCAGGCTGGAGTACAGTGGTACAATCATAGCTCTCTGAAGCCTTGACCTCCTGTGCTCAAGTGATCTTCCTACTCCAGCCTGCTGAGTAGCTGGGACTACAGGTACGTGCCACCACACCTGGCCAATTTTTTTTAACTTCTTGTAAATACAGGGTCTAGCTATGTTGCCCAAGCTGGTTTCAAACTCCTGGACTCAAGTGATCCTCCTGCCTTGACCTCCCAAAGTGCTGGAATTAAACGAGTGAGACACTGCGCCTGGACATTTTTCTCTATTGTTTATGCTTTTTGTATCTTGTTTAATAAATCCTTTCCCAGCTTGAGGCCATAAAGGCCTCTTCTCTGACATCTTTTAAAATTTTAATAGTTTTACCTTCATGACATTCAAGTCTACTGAAGTTGATTCTTACTTACAATGTAACAAAGGTGTCCCAGGCAAAATATGTTCCCCTGTGGACGACAGTGATCCCAGAATCACTCATTGCACATCTGACATCTTCCCCCAGATCTGCTGCAGGGCTTTCATCGATTGAGGTTCTGTCCCTGGGCTTTCTATTCAGTTCTAGTGTCTATTCCTGGGTCCTCACCACACTGTCTTCATTCCTAGAGCTTACTAATGTGTCTCAATATTAGTCAAGGCAACTTACCTCAGCAGTTCTTCCTCTGAAATGCCTTGACTGTCTCTATTTCTTTACTTTTTCATTTACATTTTATTATAAGCTTATCAGATTTCATTAAAAAGTCATGATTTGAATTATATGATTCTTAATCATGGCTGTCATAGTGTTTTATATGATGCACATAAATCTGTGCACACTTATTTGTACCCAGGATTCATATCTTATCCTTAAAGCTTTTCATAGCACCTGATACATAGTAAGCTCCTTAAATGAATGGATGAATGATCAAAGTTCTCTATTCAGCTGTGGTTCTGTCTTATACAAAACCCCAAATGTATAGTGTAATTAAATTATTCACCTTTCAAGAGGATCTATCACTCCACGAAAGAGCAGGGAAAGGCCGGGCGTGGTGGCTCATGCCAGTAATCCCAGCACTTTGGGAGGCTGAGGCAGGTGGATCATAAGGTCAGGAGTTCGACACTAGCCTGGTCAACATGGCAAAACCCCGTCTCTACCAAAAATACAAAAATTAGCCAGGCATGGTGTCGGGCACCTGTAATCCCAGCTACTCGGAAGCCTGAGGGAGGAGAATGGCTTGAACCCAGGAGGCGGAGTTGCAGTGAGCAGAGATCATGCCATTGCACTCCACCCTGGGTGACAAAAGCAAGACTCAGTCTAAAAAAAAAAAAAGGCGGGGGGAGGGCAGAAGAGTACCTGCCATTATCTGATCAGCTACCACATGCCAGGAATGTTGCTAGGGCCATGCTTCCTGACCTTTGAAGCTGTAGTCTTGAAGCCTGGTTTCAAATCCAGGCTCTGAAGTTCCCTGAACGTCTGACAATAGGTGGACACTTGATCTTGGGGAGGGGCGAAGTTGTCACTGAAATGCAGAATGGAAATAACCAGACTTGTCTTCCATGAGGCTATGCTCTTGGGATGAGGAACCCCTCATAACCAGTAACGTGTCATGGAAATTCTAGCTCACTCATTCATTCACTCAAGAAGTATTCACTGAGCACCTACTATGTGATGGGCTCCACAGAAGAAGTAGACACACAGCAATTGTGTGTTTTAGGAATTGTCTTTTTTTTTTTTTTTTTTTTTTTTTGAGATGGAGTCTCACTCTGTCACCCAGGCTGGAGTGCAGTGGTGCAGTCTCGACTCACTGCAACCTCTGCCTCCAGGGTTCAAGCGATTCTCCTGCCTCAGCCTCCCAAGTAGCTGGGACTACAGGCGTGCACCACCACACCCAGCTAATTTTTGTATTTTTAGTACAGACGGGGTTTCACCCTGTTAGCCAGGATGATCTCGATCTCCTGACCTCGTGATCCGCCGGCCTCGGCCTCTCAAAGTGCTGGGATTACAGGCGTGGGCCACCGCACCCGGCCAATTTTTGTAGTCTTAATAGAGACAGGGTTTCACCATGTTGTCCAGGCTGGTCTCGAACTCCTGACCTCAGGTGATCTGCCCGCCTCAGCCTCCCAAAGTGCTAGGATTACAGGCATGAGCCACTGTGCCCTGCCTAGGAGCTGTCTTTTGCTAGTAATAGAAATCCAACAACCTTGGTTAATACAAGCAGATGCTCTTGGGATGGGAAAGCCCTCACAACTAGTAACGTGTCCTGGGAATCCTAGATCACTCATTTGTTCACTTGAGAAGCATTCGCTGAGCACCTACTGTGTGCTGGGCTTTATAGTAGAAGTGGATGCACAGCAATTAAACAACAAAACTCCTCCCTCAGGGAGCTGGTCCAGTGGTAGGAGACAGACACTAAACAAATCAAGAGCTATGGAGAAAAATAAGGTTGCCTAATAAGCGGGGTGGTGACTGTGGGAGTGGGAGTAGTGATGGGAATATTGTATGTGAACTGGACAGGAAAGGCCTCTTTGACCAGATGACACTTGAACAGTGGGAACTGACATAAGTAAGGGAGTGAGCCCCAGGCTGTCTGGGGAAATCCTTCCAAGCAGGAGAAACTCTAAGTATAAAGTCCCTGAGACTGGAGGTCACCACGGGGTGGCAGGTGACCTGAGGTGGGTTGGGTGGGGCTTGCAAGTCTGGTGGTTGAATCCTCTGAACAAGGGTGTCCAGGGGCACGGCCCATGATTTTCTAGTCTGCAAGTGTGAGGATGAGTGAAAAGAATGTTAGATGAAGCAGGACTCAAAAGGAACCCCTCTTGCACAAAATGCCTCCCTTTCAATAAAAATTTATTCAGCCAGTTGGAAAGGGCTTCCTCCAGAGTCTATTTCCATAGACTTAGTGAGTGACTAAGTCTGTGATTTAAGTCATAGATTTAGTGAGTGACTGATTCATATCACAGCTCTGTGAGGTGACCTGTGAAGTCAGCTTCCCCAGGAAACAGTCTCTAAGGTGGAACTTACTATGTGGGGCATTTATTAAGGGGTGTCATTGGGACCAACATCTGTGGATGGAAGGAGAAGCGAGCAGGATTGGGCAGAAGGGGAAGTCAAGCTGTGATGATGTCCCTAAAAAAGTCTCAGGTGACAGCCTGGGAAGCTCTGGAGCTGGAGTAGCCCTGCAGAGTTGTTTGGAGTGAAAGGGTGGGGACTGAGCCTTTCTGTGTCTCAGCATGGATGAGTCCTTACTTCCAGGCTTTCCTTGGAAGGAGGCATGACCTTGGGTGAGGTGGCTTTCGTCAGCTAAGGCAACCCTTGTAGGAACTGACACTGAGGGCTGTTCATCAGCAGTGGGAGTATAAGGCTGATATTGTTTAAGTCTGTGTCCCCGCTCAAATCTCGTGTTCAATTGTAATCCCCAGTATTGGAGGTGGGCCCTGGTGGGAGGTGATTGGATCGTGGGGCAAGTTCCTCATGAATGGCTTAGCACCATCTCCTTGAGGCTGTCATCCCCAAAGTGAGTGAATTCTCATGAGATCGGATTGTTTGAAAGTGTGTGGCATCCCCCACCCCTTGCTCCTGCTCTGGCCATGTGACGTGTGTGCTCCTCTGTGGCCTTCTGCCATGATTGCAAGTTTCCTGAGGCCTCCCGCAGAAGTTGAGCAGATGCTAGCATCACACTTCCTGTACAGCCTGTGGAAGCATGAGCCAATCAAACTTATTTTCTTTAAAGATTACCTAGTCCCAGGTATTTCTTTATAGTAATGTGAGAATGGACTAAGGTCATGAGTTCTGGAAAAGATCTGGACTGTATTTCAGTCGGCCAAAATCCTTACAATGCTCAAGCTCATTTCTTCATAGAGGCTTTTCCATCCAGAGGCCTTTCCTGTCCAGCTCATGTAAGGACTCTCTCCTCAGGGTTCCAGTGGCCTCTCTTGCTGGGGAAATGTACCAGTGGACATTTGTGGAAGGCACTATAGCCCCAACACTGCAACTTGTCATGGGCTGCAAATGGCAGACCATGCCTCCCTCCTCCATTAACTGTTCTAGATTCTACTCACCCTCAGCCAGCACCTGTTGGGCTTAGTGGCTTACCTGCCTCTCCTTATACCAGAAAACTCTGACACTCAAGTCACCATGCTTTTCTCAGGGTGGGGTTGCCACACTTGCCTATTTACAGTCAAAATTTTAAAAAAAGAAGTATCAAAAGGAGAGGTGCATAAGTGGATCAAACATATCCCCCTCCTTCCCACACACATTGTGTAGCAGCAACACTTCATCTCCTAGCTATCAAAGTCCATAACCCCGTAAGATGGTCCCTGAGCATGAGGGGCACTAGCTTATAGTTCCATATGACTCCTGTTGTGTGCCTTAGAAGTAGTCTTCTCCCTTTGGGAGCCAGGGCCACCATCTCTGCAGAGTAGAGATGTACAGACAGGAAGCGCATGTTCTCCATGTGGTCACTGGGAGTGATGGCCAGAGAGGCCACTTCCTTCTCTCCTTGGCTCCAGGGTCCTTATGTTCTTCCTGCTGGGGACACAGCCACGTATAAAGGGCTTTGATTTAAACATACCCTGCATTCTGGAGGATGTTGCTCTATTCTCATAATGTCATGATTTCTGAAGGGTTTCTATGAGCTCTTGGGTAGGCTATTCCACAGATCCCTCAGGCTGACAGCTCTGGGTGATACAGTACATGATAAACCAGCATACCTCAGCATCAGGCTCATTCCTGCCCCCCCTGCCTTGGCTGTAAAGTGGGGTCCCTTCGTCTGACACAATGTTATGTGAGTGCTTGTGCTAGTGAACAGAACATTCTGGAAGCCCTAGGATAATGGTGTAGATGAGCCTTTGTTGGCAGGAGAGGCAAATGCATACCTGGAACATTTGCCTATTCCTATTAAAATTAACCACTGCAACTTCCAGTACTGAAAGTGTCTCAGATTGTCACTTTGCCACTAAGTGGCCAGTGGGTATCTTCCAAGAGGGCTGCCATGTCGGGGGTTCAGCGTTGGTCTCTCTTTCTGGCAGGCTGGACGCTTGGCAGTTGCTGCGGCTAGATCAGCTGTGGAGCCTGCCCTGTTGGGTCCATGCATGGCCTCTAGCCCTGCCACCAGGGCTTCTTCATTCAGGCATCATCTGTGTTAGCAATGGGGTGGACAGATTGGGGCTGGCTGGGGTCAAATGCATGCATCATTAGGCCTCCCTGTTCTTCCTTGCTGGGCATTTTCTGGTGGCCTTTAATTTTGGGGGAAAAAAGGCCTTCCCACTCAGGGCTGCTCCCACAAGTGCATGCCTCCTCCCCAGACCTCCTTGCTATTAGTCTTCTGTCCTTTTTTCTTGCAATCCCCTGAGCAGACAGGAAAGGAACTGCACTAAGTGCTTCATCTGCACCTCTCGTTTGACCTTCTGACTCACTCAAAGAGGATGAACATCATTTTACAAAAGAGGAAATTGAGGCAGAAATAAGTTAAAGACTCAGAGTCGGCCAGTTGCGGTGGCTCACTCCTGTAATCCCAGCACTTTAGGGGGCTGAGGCAGGCAGATCACGAAGTCAGGAGATTGATACCATCCTGGCTAACGTGGTGAAACCCCATCTCTACCAAAAATACAAAAAATTAGCTGGGTGTGGTGGCGGGCACCTGTAGTCCCAGCTACTTGGGAGGCTGAAGCAGGAGAATGGCGTGAACCCAGGAGGCAGAGCTTGCAGTGAGCCGAGATCACGCCACTGCACTCCAGCCTGGGCAACAGAGCAAGTCTCCGTCTCTAAAAAAAAAAAGAAGAAAAGGAAAAAAAAAAAGACTCAGAGTAACACATCTTGTGTCTGTCAGGGCCAGGATTGGAACCCAGGCTATATAACTCTGCAAAGTGCACTGAACCAACATGCTGGCCACATGTGGAAAGGGGGGATGAATGAAAACTATAATCTTAGCCATGCAAAGGAACTTTCAACACTGGTGACAGACAGGAGTCTGGGCCCAGCAGGATGAGATCCTAGGAAATCCTGAGGACAGTTGTTCATTCCCACTTCAGAGAGATTCTGAGCACTTCCGTATGTCCCATCACTGTCTGGTCATTGTTCACCGGAGGAGTTGAAAAAGGAGGTAGGAAGAATAAAATACACCATCTTTAGTAATGTGTTCTTTCCTTCCTTCCTACATCCACACCTTCTTTCCTTCATCTCTTCACCAAAAAGTAACTAAGCCCCTGCTATGCCCTAGAAATTGTGCTAGGAGCTGTGATGAAATGGGTCCCCCACTCCAACTACATCTCCCACTATCTCCCTCCCTCATGATGGTTCTTTCTGTATCTAGAACCCAGCACATTGCCTTTCTGGCTTCAGAGCCTTGGCAATTGCTGTTCTTTCTTTCGAAAATACTCCTTTCCCTTGTATTTCCGTGGTTCATTCTTTCCTATTTCATAGGTCTCAGCTGAGATGTTACATCTTCAAAGGGGTCTCTGTGTTTATTAGGGACTGTCTCTTGCTAGTAACAGAAATACAACAACGTTGGTTAATACACAAAGGGTTTATTCACTCACATTAAGTGCATCCAGAGAAGGCAGCAGAGCTCTGGAATCGATGTTCAATGAGGTCATTAAGGAACCGGGCTTGTTCTATCAATCCTTCCCCCATTGATGGTGGGGGATTGTTTTCATCCTTAAATTTTAGGAAGGCTGCTGGGGCTCCACCCATCATCTATACATTCCAGATGGGTAGAAAATAAGAAGAGTCGAAATAGTATCCACCCTCTAGCAATCTGTTTCTTCTCTTAAGGAGCTTTCTAGGAAATCCAACTTCAAAATATTACACATAGATTATCTACTCTTAGCTGCAGGAGAGGCTGGGAAATATGACACTATCCCAGGTACATTATTGCTGAGAATAAAATAAGCGTTCTAAAAATGAATAGAGTGGGGAGTTGGGTAAGCGGCTAGTTACCTCTGATACACCTTTCCTGGCTACTGTAATACCACCCTCTCAGGCTCTCTTGACTTTGTTATACTAGCCTATTTTTAATTTTTTGTAGGAAACATTATTATCTGAAATGGTCATTCTCTGTTGTCTTCTCCACTAGACTGGAAGCTCCCTGAGGACCTTTGCCTGTTTTGATCTCTTCTGCATCTTTATATTTCTGTACAGCTCTTAGAACACTTAGGTTCTCATGTCAAAAAAAGAGTCAGTGGTAGCAATATATACATGGATTTATTCATTAAATCATTTATCTATTAATTTATTCTGCAATTAATTTTTAAGCTCTGTGTTGCTTTACATTAAACACTGGGAGAGATAAACTGCCTCTCCTAAGGGAGATTGATATGCAGATGTAGAAACTGAACAGTGATATGAAAAAAAAAAAAACTCAAAGTCATGTGTAGAAGCTGTAGGAGCCTAGAAGGGAGAATGATTACCTGTCTGGAGAAGGAGCTTCTTAATGGGGCACTGTAGTTAAGTCATGCAAGACTTCTGCCAACAGCTTGCACAGTTCCCCTAAGAGGCAGGAGGGGTGATTGTGTGTGCCTAAAGTTTCTTCAGCTTTTGACACAGCCACAGATAAAATCTTTAGGCAAGGAAATCAAGCTGTAGTAGAGAAGAGCAAACTATCTGTAATGGTGAATATGAAATACAAATTAATACTCCAATTCTGTCATCTACATGGGTATGTATACATCAGTCAGGGGCTAATGAGCACAATTCAATACTCGTCAAACATCTATTGAGCACCTGCCATATAGGTGCTTATTTGCAAATAGCTTTATAGTTTACAGAGCATAGATTTGCACTGAAATAGCCAAGATTTTACCGGTGGCAAAAAAAAACAATGAAAACCAGTTCTAATTGTCACTTTTTAAAAACATGTGTGTGTGTGTATGTGTGTGTGCATGCGCATGTGTGGTGGATGAGATTTACTGGGAGAATACTAGCACAGTTCAGAGACACAAACAAAGAACATCTAAGACACAGGAGGGTAGGAACCTTGGGCCCTTTGGGACTGCAGGCCACCAGGTAAACAGGGCTTTTAGCTCCAGCATCTTTCTCTCCAAATGAGCTAAGAAAATGCAAGCTATGACCTAAGCAAGACAATTCAGTCTATTTTTCTTCTTCTGCAGGATGTTTTTCATAATGCCTATAAGACTGTGCGCTCAGGGGATGCTGATGAAGACAGAACAAAGGCTCTCACCGGGGTCTCAGGGTCTCAGAGGATTGTATCTGGGAGGGAGGAGAAAGGATGACAGAGATGGGAGAAGGCGCTCAAGGCTGTATAAAAAGTCATTATGGGCTTTTAAGTAAATTCTCAATTATAATTATTCTAATGGATTTAATAATTCTGCAATTTGGAACTACAATGTTCTTACGTGTCAGCTGTCATATGCCTCAGTGAAAGAGTCTCTTTTTTCCTTTGAAAGCCAATAGTAAGAGGGTACCTGCTATGGAGAATTCTGTCAATTTCTCATTCAACAGGGGTTGGGACTTTCTTTTATATATGTATATATATATATATATTTATTATACTTTAAGTTCTAGGGTACATGTGCACAACGTGCAGGTTTGTTACATATGTATACATGTTCCATGTTGGTGTGCTGCACCCATTAACTCGTCATTTAACATTAGGTATGTCTCCTAATGCTATCCCTCCCCCCTCCCCCCACCCCACAACAGGCCCCGGTGTGTGATGTTCCCCTTCCTGTGTCCAAGTGTTCTCATCGGACTTTCTATCTTATTTTAAGACCAATTCAGCCACCAAGGTGTACTTATAGATCGCAGCCCAGAGCTGTCCACCCTGAACTCTACTAACTTTGACTATTAACTAATTGATAGCAGCAGAGAATGTGCTAGTGGGAATGAGTGACTGTGGCAGATGCCGCTTAAATGATTTGGATTAAAATTCTGTTTCTGCCTCATCGTAACGAGGAAACTTTGGCCAAGCCAGTTTCCTCCTCCGTGTCTCAATTTTCTCAGTTGTAAAATAAGGATGATGACAATGCCTACCTCACTGCTCTGGAGGAATAAACAGTCTCATGTGTGCCGAAGCCTCTGCTTGACATATAATGGACTTTTCTCATGATAGCCAAAGTCTTTTTTTTTGCAGATGAGAAAAAAAGAATAAGCTGGCTGTCCAACATCACTTAGCAACAAAATTGCTAGCACGGTGAGCCAGCAAGATGATGCCAAAAGAATACCTTGAACTTGGGCATCAAAAAGACCTGGATCAAACCCTAGCTCTGTCATTTATCACCTTTGTGGCTCTAAGCAAATTTCTCTCTTGCCTCAGGGCTCTTTCCCATTGCCTGAGGTGTTCTTTCCCGACATCCTTCATGGAAGAAGACATATTCCACTCCTTCAGATCTCTGCTCAAAAGGCCATTTGATCAGGGAAGGTTGCTGAGTGTCCTGCATCACTCCTTTACCCTGCTTGAGGTGGTCATCTGACATATCAACTTTTTAATTCTTTTATCTTCTGTCTTGCATTGCATGACAATGCAAGCTCTTTGAGAACAAAGATATCTGTGTGTTTTATTCCCTGCTAAAGCTCTATGTCCTAGAACGCCACCCGGCATAGACAAGGTACATAATGCATATTTGTTGAATAGGTGTGGAATGAAAGGGTCTTAATTTCTCTAAGCTTAAATTCTTCATGGAATGAAAACACCTATCTCACCAGATCATTGTGGAGAAAGCTTTTAAATGCTTAGCATCAGGACATGAATTGCTGGCCGATATCAGTGCAATGATAATGGTGAGGTCTATAGACCCCTGTGGCTGTGGCAACACTTTTCATAGGCTGCCCCTGCCTCTGAAAGCTTTTGTCAAAGGAAGATTTGGGTCAGTGTTTCCCACATCTGGCTGCAGATCAGCATCCATGGGAGCCTTGTAGAAGCGCAGCTTTCTGGGCCCTGCTGTGATCATTCTGACCCAGATCCCTGGATGGAGCTCAGGAATCAGTGTTTTTAAAATATTGCGGTAGCCATGGAATTTCCCCTTTAGGAATTAGAAAGGAGGCAACTCCAGAGAGAGGTATTGTGATGTCAGTTACCAGTGCTTCCTGTGAAGATCATTATCATTAAAAAGAATAAATACTTCCTGAACAACATAAAGGGTACATATAAAAAGCACAAGTATAAGTGAAGGAAAGGGAGCCAAGAACTATTGACCAGAGAGAACTTGCTCGCAAGGAGTAAGCAGCTTGGTGAGATACAGAAACTACTCTAGCCACATCCATAGCAGACAGGCTGCATTTCTGTAGATGAAGCCAATGAAAGCAACGTGATAATTATATTTCTTTTTTAAAACGCTGACACTGCTGAGTAGCAAGCAGGTAGTAAATGCTTGCAAGACTGTTTGCATTGCTGAGTGTTTAATCTTTTAATTATTACTCTTGGAGTTTTTTTTTTTTTTTCAATGTAATGCTAATAAGCAAACACATGGCCTCTTTCTTGAACTTAATTTCGTGCATGGAGTGTTGACACAACTGTGAATCCCTGCAGTGCAAAATACTGGGGCCAAGAGTTAAACCCATTGGATAAACAAACTGAAATCATCCTGTGTTTACAATAAAATAAGAGTATACATAAGTAACCAGGCTGATATTTTCTTAGTAATTATCTAGATCCGTGCTGTCCAATACTGTAGCCATTAGTCACATGTGGCTTTTTTAATTTAATTAAAATCGAATTAAAAATTCCTCAGTTGTCCTAGACACTTTTCAAGTGCTCAGTGACCACATGGGGCTACGGGCTATCGTGCTGGACAACACAAACTAGAGCATTTCCATCATGACATATGCTGTTGGACAATGCTGATGGAAATTTTCTAGAAGTGTGTGGAAATCTGCAACATATGGTATACGCTAAACAACAAAATGGGCCCAAAGCACAAAAAATGTGTTGTTGAGAAATTTGAGTCTTAGAGCCAGATTTTACAACCTTGTTGTCTTGAACATTTAAGAAGGGGCTGTAAATTATTGATAGGAGGACACTATCTATATATTAAGGAGACAATTGAAGTGGCTGTGCGTGGATGTTTGGAAGCTCTCTCCCAAAGAGTGACTTTGCTTGGGAAGGAAATAGAAAGATGAGACTTCTGTTCTTCCTAGTCTCCCTTGCAAGGATGGCTGTGCTTCTCACAGCCCCTCACCAGGGGAAGGAAGATAAAATGAGAAGCGTTCATATTTGGATCAGTATTTGCATTGCTATGCCCTAAGAAAGAAAACCAGATTGGATTTGAGAGTGATGTTACCTGAACTCACACTGTCTCTGCCCTGTTGATCACCTTCTCTTCTCATAGCAAAGGCAAGCTGGAGTCCTACAAACCGGGGGCTGCTTCACTGTAATATTTAAACTGCAGAATCAGCCTTAATAAGATCTGGCTGTGTGACATTGGTCAAGTTATTTCACCTCTATGAGCTTCAGCTATCCTGTCAGTAAAATGGCAGTAACAATGTGTCCATCTGATGGAGCTGTTTTCAGGGGAAAATAAGACAGTGCATAAATGCACTGAACATGGTGCCTGCCTCATGACATACACATAATAAATGGTCTATCATAATGCATGCACGCAGCACCAATCTCAGTTTTGCTATTAATTAATTGCTTCACTAAACATATTAATGCTTTTGTGTTGATTTCCTCATCTGTAAGTTGTCAATGATGTTACCACCTATGTGGAAGTTTGTTATGAGAATCAAATGGAATGAACTACGCCAAGGAGCACTGACATGGGTTGACACACAGTAGGAGCTTCATGGACGTTGTTGCTACTTTTGGCCTAAAAACGTCTTTGGGAGCAAAACCTATTTAATTCTCAAGCTTTTAAAGTTTTTCTAGCATTCTTTCCATTCTCCAGAGGATAGGGGTGCAGAGCTCCATTCCATATCAGAAGGCCCCTGAGTACCATGGGCAGGTCAGTGGGTGAGAACAGAAAACGTCAACTGGGCTTGTTGCTGAAGCCTCAGCTTCTTATGTAGAGAGACTTCGTTCACTGGAAGCTGCCTCCCTGCAACAGCTGGGCTTGTGTGCTGGTGGAAGAGTGGCAGCCCTGTGGATCTGCTCTGCTTTTCCCCCCTAGAGTAACTAATCTGCACATTTACCTGGGGCTTTCCACCACTCCATGTGATTTTTTTTTTTTTAATTTTTAAAAATTTGTTTAACTTTTTTTAGAGACAGGGTCTTGTTCTGTTGCTCAGGCTAGAGTGCAGTGGCAGGATCAGAGCTCACTGCAGCCTTCAACTCCTGACCACAAACAATCCTCCCACCTTGGCCTCCCAAAGTGCTGGGATTAAAGACATAAGCCACTACACCTGGCCACCCACGTGGTTTTCACAGCACCCCAGGAAGAAGGCAGATTGTACTGATGTGGAAGCTGACCCTCAGAAAGGAGGAATACTTTTTGCGAAGACAGCTTGTACATGGCGAGGCTGGGACGAGAGCCTAAGACCTCGAATCCTACTTCTGTTTTGCTTTGTCTTTTTCACTGTAACTTCCCTTGCACTGTCTCTCAGAGCTCTGTATCCTCTGTAGCATCCCCCAGGCCCTGCCCAGCCTTGTTTTGCCTACTGCAGCCCCTGCTCCATGCATACCCCATCTCCTCTAATAGCTTCATCCTTACAGCATGACTGAAGTAAATGTAACTTGACCAAAATGATTCTTTCTAAAGGCACAATGACTAATATTTACCAGAAGGTTTGGAAAAAAGAGACTGGATTATTCTAACCACATCACATTGTGGCGAATTCCAGGCACTCAACAACACCAGATCTCGAGGCAAGGGGCAGAGTGGGAGGCATAGCTTTGCTGCTAATCGGCAGGTGACATCGGGCTGTCTTCTTAAACCTGAGCCTCAGCCTCTTCATGTATGAAATGAAGTCATTCAACCCTAAAGCTTTCAGAAGGCACATCCAGCTCTAGGATTCTTTGAAATAAGGAGAAGCATTTCAACCGCTGAAGAGATCATGTTGCTTCATTCTCCTCCTCCTGTTTTGGGTAAGGATGCACCTGGATTTGGAGATCGTATCAAGGTGAGACATGGTCAGTTTCCCTTGACATCCTGCAGCAACTCCCTGTGCAGGGAGCTATGGGGACATAAACCTCAAGATTCCACTCTCCTTGGAAATCCCTAAAGATTCTTCCTTTTTCTTTAGTCTCCAGGGAATCTCTTGTTCCCTTTTGGACCAGGTCCAAAGGTTGTTACTATTCAATTCTTACGTTTGTCTCCATATCTTCTCCTTCTGCCAATAGCCTGCACAGTTCTCCTAAGAGGCAGGAGGGGTGATCGTGTGTGTCTAAAGTTTCTTCAGCTTTTGACACAGCCACAAATAAAACCTTTAGGCAAGGAAATCAAGCTGTAACAGAGAAGAGCAAACTATCTGTAATGGTGAAGATGAAATACAAATTAATACTCCAATTCTGTCGTCAACATGTATATGTATACATCAGCCAGGGTCTAATGAGCACAATTCAATACTCGTCAAACATCTATTGAGCACCTACCATATAGGTGCTTATTTGCAAATTGGTTTATAGTTTACAGAGCATAGATTATGCACTGAATTAGTCAAGGTTCTACCAGTGGCAAAAAAATGAAAACCAGTTCTAACTGTAACTAACTTTTTAAAAACGTATGTATATGTGTGCACATGTGCATGTGTGGTGGGTGTGATTTACTGGAAGAATACTAGGGCAGTTCAGAGAAACAAACAAAGAGCATCTAAGACACAGGAGGGTAGGAACTTTGCGCCCTTTGGGACTGCATCAGTCAGAGTCAAACTTAGTGAACCAAAACTATTCTAGGTCTTTTGAGTAGATGGCATTTAATACAGAGAAGTGGTTACACAGGAGATGGAATAACTGAAAAATCCAAACAGAGGACAGCAACGTCACCCAGATTAGCAGTAGCAAAAAGCCTACTTCTGGGGCTAAATGTTTTCATTTCATTGGGAGAAGGTGATACTCAAATTCACAAGTGGGGTTCTGTACTAAGAGCTGGAACTATGATAGGGCTGCCTCATCAGGTGCTAGGACACCAGGGTGAGATGGTTACTTTAAATTGGCATTGAAGCTACTGAAAAGAGACAAAATCACTGCTGAAGACACCAAAGGGAACAGAAAGGTGGGAGAAATACCTGGTTCTTCCCTCCCCTTGCCCACCAGTCTTCTGCCTGAGCTTCCCGCTGCCTGAGCCTACCCAGAAGGCAGCTGGCAAGGGTGCTGGGGTATGCAGCTGCCTGCAATACAGAGTATTGCAGAAGAGAAGAGTCTGCGAGGAGGCAGGCAAATGGCCAGCTTGGAAACCTCAGCCATCCTTACTCCAGAGCACGGCCCCCAGTGCTAAGCTAACTAAGCTTGACTTAGCTAAGCCAACTTTAGTCCCTGGCTTATTGTCTTAAAGGTTCAAGTTCCCAGCAAGGAATGTAATGGCCCCAGCTTGCTTCAGGCAATTCCTCTGGAAGCTCAGCTATGGTCAAGGCACAGGGTCAGTAAGGGAACTGTTGGGAGTTCCCCCATCCCTGACCTCCTCCAATATAAAATTATAGCAGATACATTTTCTCACTTAATGTCCTGGGAACTGGTCTTTATTTTCAGCTTACTCTGCAGACAAAGACACTGAAGCTCAGCAAGAGAGAATAATTTCCCACATAGCGTGTGATGGCCAAGAGCTACGTGGAGTCACAGAGTTTGGACTCAAATTACGACTTTGACTCTCATTGGCTGAGTAACGTTGAACAGACAATTCGACCTCATAGCATTATTGGGAAGATACAATAAGATCACACACACATACATCCACACACACACACGCACATGCAGGTACACACAGACCTGGCAAAGCTGGTATTCAGAAATCCCTATTTCCAACAGAGCAGCTGCTTTTCTTTGCATGTCATGACCCAATTCATGGAAGGTTTTAGCAGGTTAGTGAGCTTTCCCATCTTATTAAATAAGGCTGTTGTGATGCAAAAGGTCACTCAGAGTGATCTGCATTACACAGGAAGATGCGATTAATATCTTCTAATCCGTGCATTCTCAACATGGTGCCAGGGGATGGTGGTGGTACAAAAATTGGTTCTTGAGGAAAGAAAGTATCTTACTCTTTTTGTGTATAGAGCACATATACACACATAGAGTATGTGAAGGACTATAGAATATGTTTTTGGTATTAAAATTTCATGGGGGAAAGTGGTGATTAGGAAAAACATATGTAAAAGGCTCCTTAGGCAGGCAATAATCAGATGCCCTTAGCTCTCACTAGAAAGTCTTTTATTGCTCAATAGAGAGTCATTCCTGCCATGCCCATGGGAGACTTTTGGGGGCAGGTAGCTGATATCCTCTGACTTAAGAGAAGCACGGGGCATAGAGGTCATGCTATGGGCTTTTGAATCAGATAGAAGTGACAGTCTCTATTGCATCCTAACCACATGCCCTGGGAAGCTACTTTGCCTCTCTGAGCCTCAGTTTCTTTAACTCTGAATTGTGGATGGTTATTTTTCCTTGCAGACACGTGGAAAGTGTGGGAGACAAAACCTGTGAGGCACAGTAAGTGGCACGTTTTTGCTGCTCCATGCAAGGCGCTTGGATCACCCTAACTTTGCTCAAGGCTGAGACTTGAAGCCTTTTTCTCATTTCTGATTTTCATATCACGCTGTCTTGTTCTCTCTCTCCCATCTCCTGACTCCTTACTCCTCCCCACCCCTGACTCATGGGCCTAATATCTTTCCCTGCATCTGACTTTCCTCCAACGTATAGGACCCACCCTGGGGTCCACACCAGTCCTACCAAGTGCTAGACTTTCCTTGCCTGCCCTTAGTGGCTTTTGAGAGTAGATCAGACAGTCTTGTCTGTCCCTGAGTCCTGTCCACTCACCCTTAGCCATACACCAGGGATGCAACAATTATCCCATGCAATGATTATCCTGTGTGGCTTAGATGGTGGTTCTGCCTTCAGAATTCCAAGACAAGGCATTGTTCCCCACGCAGTCTCAGAGGCCTGGCATTGCAGAGCCAGTTTCTCTGTTTGTGCCCAAGCTGGCAATTCTCTAGCTTCCTGCCTGGGTGCTAAGTCTTTAATGCTGCCCTTCCTATGTTATTGCCAGTGGGTGGTGGAGAAGTTCTCTGCAAACACTCAAGATCTGCCTCCTTCACAAATGACTGCTTCTGCTTTGTCTCAGTTCACCTATAGGTTCTTCAAATACAGACCTGGCTCTAAACCCCTCTGCATTGGTGTTTTTTACTAATTCATTTATCGTTCATCCATCCACCCATTTGATCACTCAGCAAACATATATCAGTCACTTACTGTATTAGTTTCCTAGTGCTGTCCTAACAAAGTGCCACAAAATGAGTGGTTTGAAACAACAGAAATGGACTGTCTCATGGTTCTGGAGGGTAGGATTGCACATTCAAGGTGTGGACATGCTCCCTCTGAAGGCTCTAGAGAAGAAGTCTTCCTTATCTCTTCCTAGCTTCTGGTGGTTGCTGGAAATCTCTTGGGTTCTTTGGCATGCAGATGCATTACATCAATATATTCCTCCTTCTTCATACCATCTTCCCTGTGTGTCTCTCAGTCTCTTAAATTTTTTTGTAGAAATGGGATCTCACTATGTTGCCCAGGTGGTCTTAACTCCTATCTTCAAGTGATTCTCCCACTTCAGCCTCTCAAAGTGCTGGGATTACAGGCATAAGCCACTGTACCTGGCCTCTCTCTGTCTCTTCACATATCATTTTTATCTCTGTGTATCTATCTCCAAATTTCCCTCATTTTATAAGGACCTGAGTCATAGAATTTGAGCCCACCCTAATCCAGTATGGCCCCATCTTAACTTGACTACATCTGCCAAGTCCCTGTTTCCAAATAAGGTCAGATTTACAGATACTGAGGGTTAGGATATCAACATATCTTTTTAGGAATGTGATTCAACCCACAATATCTACTATTTGCCAAGGCCTGTCTGTGCTAGACTGTGACCAAGCAATGGACTCACTGCTAAATTTTATTGTGAGTCAACTGGTAAGGAGACAGGAGGCGACACTCAAAGCTGTCTCCCCTATCTGGGATGAGTCAAGCTTTTATGACGTTCCTAACTAGTCCCAGGTGATGCTAATGTAGCCGCTCAGCCAGGCTGGTCATGTTAACAGTTAGAAGGTTAAGGCTTTTTCCCATTGAGCATGCCCAAGCCACATGACTTGCAGTCTTTGCTCTACCTTATCTATAGCAACTTAAGCAATGACTAATTGGCTTGAGCTGGTCCCATGGTTACAGTATTACTGCCCAATTCTTAGTGTGGGCTCCATGAGTTCATACCTTCAAGGTACATTCAAGCCATGAGGGGTCATCAAACTAATTCTTTGTTTCTGCCCAGTCATCATTCTCAGGCAACTGCCTGGATCTCTGGCCATCTCTTTCCATTAGAGCTAATTTTTTCAGATTTAAACAACAACAACAAAAAAATCATTTAAAAAATCATCCCATTGTCTGTGTCTAACCTCTAGGAAACAAAAAGTTTAGCTCAGTGGCCTATCTGTGCAAACATCTGCCAGGATGAGGCTGTGCTGCTAGCTCAGAGTATAATAAGAAGAAATGAGAAAAGGAATTGAATTAGAGGGAACAAGAATAATCACCGGTCTCAGGTTCTCTTGGAAGGAGAAAAAAAACAAGCAAACCATGATTTCAATCATTTTCAGGGGAATCCGCACTCCCAGCTTCAAAGATCCAAAAGCTCTACTCAATTTTCCCTTTGGAAACTGGCAGACTCAACAGTTTCCCAGAAAAATCACTTACTGCAAGGGTCAGCAAACTCGTTCTACAAAGGGCCCAATCGTGAATACTTGTAGCTTTGTGGCTGCAGGGTCTCCATCACAACTGCTCAGCAATGCTGTTACAGTGAAAGCAGCTGTGGACAATCCACAAAGGACTCCCCCAGCTGTGTCCCAATGAAACCTTGCTTACAAAAAGAGGCAGTGAACCAGACTTGGCATGTGGGCCATACTTTGCCAACCCTTGGGTTATGGCAGAGAATTATGAAGAACCTCCAAGGAACTAAATCTGAGAACCAGAAAGGGCCTTGAATATGAGCCGGTGGCAGGGAATTGGACTATCTCTGCACAGCCAGTCTAGCTTGCATGTCTCACGATGGGGGTAGGTATGTCTCCAGATCATGTACTCCATCTATTCTGTAAGGAAGTTCTTACTTACGCTGAGCTGAAATCCATCTCCCTGTGTCTTCCTCTATTGGTCCTTGGGGCCACATAGAACTGCCCCAAACTCTTGCACCCAATAGCCCTTTGAATATTTATATCCCCCGAGTCTTCTCTCCTTCAGATAAAACATTCTAAGTTCTTGTGATTATCTTTTTGGCTAACATGGCTTTAATTCCTCCCCTTTTCAAATCACCCTCATCATGTGGAATGACGGTTTCAGACAGAAAAGCAGAAAGAGCTGTTACTTGAGACACTCACCAGGAGGGCGAGGTGATTGGCTTCTGGGTGGCAGAGGACCCTCAGCTGGGGAATGGGATAAGGATGCTGAGCTCACAGAGTTGCTGTGAGGAGGAGATGGAAACTATTTGCTCCCATGAAGCCTGGCACACAGAGGGCTCTAGGTAAGTAATTCAGGTACTATCTTGGGACACCAGAAGGAATGGTCAGGGCTGATGAGGAGAGATGACTCCTGGAAGGTGACTGGCTCCTGCAATGGTGTAGAGAGTGGAAGAGTCCAGCTTGGTGCATTGAAATGGCTTTAATGATTCTGACACAGATGTAGGTGGAGTAAAACCAGGCAAATGAGGGAACCCATCTGAGTCAATCAGGGCGCTCCCACTGGGGAGATTTATTCGTGTGTTGGTGGTGATGCAGGTGTGCCAGCAAGCCAGAGGAGACCAGAGCGGAGGTGGTCTTGGCCTCGAAGGGACTGGCAAAATGTCAGCTTGTTCTCTCAGGACGGCTGAAGGATTCTTTGTGTCTCCTCAATTATGTTAATTCCGATCTTGCAGAATTCTATTTTCAATGTGTGCTTGATTAGAAGGATGGGGACTGGGTTGGGGGTAGGAAAGACTATGGGCCTCTCTCTTTTTCTCCCTCCCTCCCTCTCTCCCTCTCTCTCCCTCCCTCCTTCTCTCTCTCTCCCTCCCTCCCTCTCTCTCTCCCTCTCTGCCTCCCTCTCTCCCTCACCACCCCCATCTCAATCTCTTCCTCTCCCCATCAACCTGGTCCAAAGGTTTGAAACAGTGGTACTTGCTTTGCTTCAAAATATCATATCTCCTCACCATCCCTCTCCCTCTGTTGAAACAGACTTTACAAACTATTCAGATTACATAGGAAGAATGGGGGCCAAACTTGGCCTGAATAATGTTAACAATTGCAATTTTGTAATTCTAAGGTTCTGAGGACAGATCTGACTGGGTGATAAACTGCCGTTATTTCTCCAAGAGCAATGAATTATTAACCACCCACTCACTTTATCCCTGCCGTCCCCCTCCCTCAAGGAAACGAAGAATTAACTACCCTGAGGTTATTTTTCCCAGTGTGGTAAAATACGAAACTCCCTTCTCCTGATGCTCCAACTTGGGTTTCATCCTCTTTCTGGTCCCTCTCCTGGTAGATAAAGTTAACATGGGGATTCTGATTTAATCTATTTGTCTGGTCAAATAGACTTTCAATTTAAAAACATGTCTTGAAAGTCTACTATATATAAGCCCCCTGTGCTAGGCAATAGAGGTGCAAGTATGAAAATATAGCCTTTGACTTATAAAGTACTGCAGTTCAATTTGGGTGATAGACTTATAAGCAAAAATTATCCTATGACAAGATGATTAATTAAGGTATGTATTTGTGGTATCGGGACCATAGGAGAATAAACTTAAATGTCATTGGCAGGAATAGAAAAGCAGGAACACGGCTGGGTGCAGTGGCTCATGCCTGTAATCTCAGCACTTTGGGAGGCTGAGGTGGGCGGATCACCTGAGGTCAGGAGTTTGAGACCAGCCTGGCCAAAATGGTGAAACCCCATCTCTACTAAAACAATCCAAAAATTAGCTGGGCATGGTGGTGGCATCTGTAATCCCAGCTACTTGGGAGGGTGAGGCAAGAGAAACCCTTGAACCCCGGGAGGCAGAGGTTGCAGTGAGCTGAGATCCCACCACTGCACTCCAGCCTGGGTAACAACAGCGAGACTCCGTCTCAAAAAAAAAAAAAGGAAAGAAAAAAGGAAAAAAGAAAAGCAGGAACACAGGGTTCCATGAAGGAGGCAGCATGAGAGCTGAGTTTCCTAAGCAAAGACACTTGTGGCTGCAGAGAACAGTTTGTACAAAATGTTGAAAGAAGCATCGTCTTTGGACATCCCGATCTGGAGATGAGAACAATTTTCTTCATTACTCAGTAGTGTTCTAATTGGATGCCATTCATGAAAAATAAAGCCTCTATTGACTCCCAGTTGGTCTCCTGATTGGCACTTTTTTGACGTGTAGGTTGGGGGTCTGGTATTTAACCTAGATGGTATTCATGAGTTCATGATTTTTATGGACCGCCTGCCATTTGCCAAGCACTGTGGTAGGAAATGGGGATTTCCTGATACCAGTTTGAGTTCTCTGGAAGCAGATGCTGAGGCTGAGTTTTGGGTGCAAGATATTTATTTGGAACCAACGCCTGTAAAAGGGATGAAGAGGATGCAGGGCTAGGTGAAGAAAGAGTTTGAATTTCGAGGCTGACTGGAAGAAGCTTACATTAGTAAACCCAGGGTTTCTCAGACTCAGCCCATTTGACATTTGGGGCCAGATAATTCTTAGTTGTGGAGGCTGTGCTGTGCATGGTCGGACATTTAGCAACATCTCTGGCCTACACCCACTAAGTGCCAGCAGCACCCTGCTAAGTAATGACAACAAAAATTATCTCCAGAAATTGTCAGACCTTTTGGGAGGAGATGGGGGTACAATCACCCTTGGTTGAGGGCCACTGAATGGTGGGCTTGGATCAAGACTTATCTCTCAGAGTTGATTCAGAGTGGGCAGAGACATTCAGGTCTTCACTTCTCAGTCACTGCCTGGGGCTGCCCTGGAAAGCTTGACCCAGGAAGGAGCCGACAGAGGTGGTTGGCCACGTTCTGCACAGCAGGACAGCGTGCCCTTCCTTGAAGGGGGTCCAGGGCATCTCTCCTGTATGACAGCCCATGCTTGCATCCTCAGCTTCACTTCTCCATATGCCATGGGAGGCAGCTGCTCTAGGATGTTGGCTAGCTCTTTGTCCTAAGGGGATGACCACAGCCTCTGCCACAGCCGTTGTCATCGGGACCACAGTTGACACTCTCTGCTTCTCTTCTCCTGTCTCCAATCTAAATTCCCCTCAGACTTAAATACCACCCATCCATCTGGCTACCTCTGAAATCTCAGCTTTATAGATGGCTGGATGCAATGCCCAGTGCTCTTCTCACTGGGAGGCATTTCTCTTGCTGCTATCCTTCAAGGCCACTCCTGAATGGGGCCAAAGTCCATGTTGGGTTGCAGCTGCATAGCAAACTGACCCATCCATGAACCAAGCTCAGACATTTTCCCCACCTTCAGCTAGCCATACAGCATCTCCCATACAAGCCCAGGTGTGAGCTGGGAGGCACCCTGCTGTGACAGCGGGGAGGCCATGGCAGTCTGCAACGCCTGTTCATTCAGCTGGCATGTACTCTCCAGTCCTGCTTAAGCTTAGATGACCACTTCCATCTTGCTGTGGATGGCTGCTCATCCTGCCCAGCCTACGAGTTAGTGATTCTGAGTGGACCCAGCTCATGATGGGCAATTCCAGCCAGATGGTCACATGGTGTTACCCGGCCAGCCAGTCTATCTCCACCAAGTGGCCAGTAACAAACAGGAGTTGTTTTGAAAAGACATGTGATTCTGTTTTGTAAGTGACACAGCTTTTGGCTAAAATCCAAGGGACTGTCTGGGATCCATTTCCTGGAGCTTGCCACAAACTCGAGATGGCATCTCTCTCCACCACTGACACCTCCAATGGCAAAGGCTCTGTTGAGTCCTGTAGCCCATGAGGTACAACTCCTTGTACCACAGGCTGGACCTGTTGCAGAGGCCCTGTGTGGTCCTGTTCCCCCTCAAAGCTGGTCGCCTGTTATGTCATCAGCCTAAGAATCAAAGCATAGAATACCATGGGTGGCATGTGCTCTCACAAAAACCTGAAAAGACCCACCAGATGCTGTGCTTTCTGATTTGTGGAGGGAGGTTCAAGATAAGGGAAGTTCCCTTTTACTTTGTAGGCAATGTCCAGGCCTACATGCATGCCTCTGGCCACTGGATCCATGAACATTCTAGGGATGGTGGCAGGACTTGAATCTTGGTACGATTTCTCTGCTAACCTGGGGAACATGTGTCTTATCAATGCCTGCAGTGTGCCAGCACCTCTTGCTCATTTGGTCCTATCAATATAACATCACCAAGGCAATAGATCAAAGGGAAGCTCCGTGGCACATCCAGTGAGTCCCAAGCTCTTAGATACTGTTATGAAAGGAGGCCAGAGAGCTGATATAGCCCCGGGCTCTCTGAGTGTCTATGGTTGTCCGATCGGCACGGGTGAAACCATCTGTGATCTTCCTTCCTTATTCTAATACGACAGAACATATCTGCCAAATCAGTGGCTGCCTACCATGCCCTGAGGTTGTTTTAATCTGCTCTAGTAAAAATACCGCAGCTGGCATATAGGCTACCATCAAGGGCAACCACTTGTCTGAGCTCGCAGTTGTCTAGAGTTGTTCTCTTGGATCCATCTGATATCTGCAGGGGCCACACCCATGAACTGAATGGGAATACAATGAAGGTTACCAACCCTACCTGCAACCTTAGATTCTTAAGAAGGGCTCTTTTTTTTTCCCCACCTCCCTCAATTGGGGATTGTTTTTATTTGCCATTTACTATATTGACCGGTTGGGGGAGGGCACAGCTTTAGAAGTTCCCTCTTAGTCTTCCCCACTGTGATAGCTTTCATTCCACAGGCCCAGTGTGGAGCACGACATAACTAACTACCTACTTTCTAGTCTCTTAGAACATGTGTTTCCAACCTTTCTCTAGATCGATAACTGTTACGTGGATTTGGTATTTGCCCCATCTGTAGCTATAATATTTCAGGAAGGGTGTGTATGAATTAAACTCATGTCTTTGGTATCGAGATGTAAAGAGCACCCAGGGCTCACAGGAAGGTACTGATGTCACCAGGGGACCAAATGCTCACAGGAGAGCCAGGACCATCCTCAGAGGACCACATCTCCACTGTGGCTGCTTTGAGGCTCTCACTCCTGCCCCATTGCGCTCACTCCTCTTTTCTATTTATTTATTTATTTTTGAGACGGAGTCTTGTTCTGTCACCCAGGCTGGAGTGCAGTGGTGTGATCTTGGCTCACTGCAACCTCCGCCTCCAGGGTTCAAGTGATTCTCTTGTCTCAGCCTCATGAGTAGCTGGGATTACAGGCATGCACCACCACGCCTGGCTAATTTTTGTAATTTTTAGCAGAGATGGGGTTTTGCCATGTTGGCAAGGCTGGTCCCGAACTCCTGATCTCAGGGTGATCCACCCACCTTGGCCTCCCAAAGTGCTGGGATTACAGGCATGAGCCACCGCACCCGGCGTCACTCCTCTTTTCATAGGATGTGATTGTTATGCAGATAGAATAATGAACTTGGAGCATCTATAAAAGTGGGGAAATTGGGAAGATGAAATTTTAACCAAAATAAACTGCTCCAAATTACTCTTTTACAATGGACCTGAGAGGTCACATTGCATCACCAACAAAAGACTCAGCAGAGGCAACCAACACAGAAGATCACAAAGGACCGTGGAGGTCACATTTATTTCCTTTGGTCTTCCCGATGAATCCTGGGGTCCTGAGCTGAAATTCTAGATGGAGGAGAGAGGAATAGGTAACAGTAAAGTCTCTTAATAGTAAAAGCTGCTTGAAAATACCAAGTGATCTGCTGTTAGTCTGATGGGCTTCCCATTGTGGTTAACCCAACTTTTCTCTCTGGCTGCCCTTAACATTTTTCCCTTCATTTCAACTTTGGTGAATCTGACAATTCAGTGTCTTGGAACTGCTCTTCTCGAGGAGTATCTCTGTGGCATTCTCTGTATTTCCTGAATTTGAATGTTGGCCTGCCTGGCTAGGTTGGGGAAGTTCTCCTGGATAATATCCTATAGAGTGTTTTCCAACTTGGTTCCATTCTCCCCGTCACTTTCAGGTACAACAATCAGACATAGATTTGGTCTTTTCACATAGTCCCTTATTTCTTGGAGGCTTTGTTCATTTCTTTTTACTCTTTTTTCTCTAAACTTCTCTTCTCACTTCATTTCATTCATTTGATCTTCAGTCACGGATACCCTTCCTTCCACTTGATTGAATAGGCTACTGAAGCTTGTGCATGCATCACGTAGTTCTCGTGCCATGGTTTTCAGCTCCATCAAGTCATTTAAGGTCTTCTCTATGCTGTTAATCTAGTTAGCCATTCGTCTAACCTTTTTTCAAGGGTTTTAGCTTCTTTGCGATGGATTCGAACATCCTCCTTTAGCTCGGAGAAGTTTGTTATTACCGATTGTTAACAACCCACTGTCAACATTAGACAGATAAACGAGACAGAAAGTTAACAAGGATATCCAGGATTTGAACTCAGCTCTGCACCAAGCAGACCTAATAGACATCTACAGTACTCTCCACCCCAAATCAACAGAATATACATTCTTTTCAGCACCACATCACACTTATTCCAAAATTGACCACATAGTTGGAAGTAAAGCAATCCTCAGCAAATGTAAAAGAACAGAAATTATAAAAAACTATCTCTCAGACCACAGTGCAATCAAACTAGAATTCAGGATTAAGAAACTCACTCAAAACCGCTCAACTACATGGAAACTGAATAACCTGCTCCTGAATGACGACTGGGTACATAACGAAATGAAGGCAGAAATAAAGATGTTCTTTGAAACCAATGAGAACAAAGACACAACATACCAGAATCTCTGGGACACATTTAAAGCAGTGTGTACAGGGAAATTTACAGCACTAAATGCCCACAAGAGAAAGCAGGGAAGATCTAAAATTGACACCCTAACATCACAATTAAAAGAACTAGAGAAGCAAGAGCAAACACATTCAAAAGCTAGCAGAAAGCAAGAAATAACTAAGATCAGAGCAGAACTGAAGGAGATAGAGACACAAAAAAACCCTTCAAAAAAAATCAATGAATCTAGGAGCTGGTTTTTTGAAAAGATCAACAAAATTGATAGACCGCTAGCAAGACTAATAAAGAAGAAAAGAGAGAAGAATCAAATAGACGCAATAAAAAATGATAAAGGGGATATCACCACCAATCCACAGAAATACAAACTACCATCAGAGAATACTATAAACACCTCTATGCAAATAAACTATAAAATCTAGAAGAAATGGATAAATTCCTGGACACATACACCCTTCCAAGACTAAACCAGGAAGAAGTTGAATTCCTGAATAGACCAATAACAGGCTCTGAAATTGAGGCAGTAATTAATAGCCTACCAACCAAAAAAAGTCCAGGACCAGATGGATTCACAGCCGAATTCTACCAGAGGTACAAAGGGGAGCTGGTACCATTCCTTCTGAAACTATTTCAATCAACAGAAAAAGAGGGAATCCTTCCTAACTCATTTTATGAGGTCAGCATCATCCTGATACCAAAGCCTGACAAAGACACAACAAAAAAAGAGAATTTTAGACCAATATCCCTGATGAACACTGATGCAAAAATCCTCAATAAAATACTGGCAAACCGAATCCAGCAGCATATCAAAAAGCTTATCCACCACGATCAAATTGGCTTCATCCCTGGGATGCAAGGCTGGTTCAACATATGCAAATCAATAAACGTAATCCATCGTATAAACAGAACTAAAGACAAAAACCACATGATTATCTCAATAGATGCAGAAAAGGCCTTCAACAAAATTCAACAACCCTTCATGCTAAAAACTCTCAATAAACTAGGTATTGATGGAACGTATCTCAAAATAATAAGAGCTATTTATGACAAACTCACAGCCAATATCATACTGAATGGGCAAAAACTGGAAGCATTCCCTTTGAAAACGGGCACAAGACAGGGATGCCCTCTCCCACCACTCCTATTCAACATAGTGTTGGAAGTTCTGGCCAGGGCAATCAGGCAGGAGAAAGAAATAAAGGGTATTCAATTAGGAAAAGAGGAAGTCAAATTGTCCCTGTTTGCACATGACATGATTGTGTATTTAGAAAACCCCATCATCTTAGCCCAAAATCTCCTTAAGCTGATAAGCAACTTCAGCAGAGTCTCAGGATACAAAATCAATATGCAAAAATCACAAGCATTCCTATACACCAATAACAGACAGCGAGCCAAATCATGAGTGAACTCCCATTCACAATTGCTTCAAAGAGAATAAAATACCTAGGAATCCAACTTACAAGGGATGTGAAGGACCTCTTCAAGAACTACAAACCACTGCTCGACGAAATAAAAGAGGACACAAACAAATGGAAGAACATTCCATGTTCGTTGATAGGAAGAATCAATATCGTGAAAACGGCCATACTGCCCAAGGTAATTTATAGATTCAATGCCATCCCCATCAAGCTACCAATGACTTTCTTCACAGAATTGGAAAAAACTACTTTAAAGTTCATATGGAACCAAAAAAGAGCTCACTTTGCCAAGACAATCCTAAGCCAAAAGAACAAAGCTGGAGGCATCAGGCTACCTGACTTCAAACTATACTACAATGCTACAGTAACCAAAACAGCATGGTACTGGTACCAAAACAGAGATATAGACCAATGGAACAGAACAGAGCCCTCAGAAATAATACCACACATCTACAACCCTCTGATATTTGACAAACCTGAGAATAGCAAGAAATGGGGAAATAATTCCCTATTTAATAAATGGTGCTGGGAAAACTGGCTAGCCATATGTAGAAAGCTGAAAATAGATCCCTTCCTTACACCTTATACAAAAATTAATTCAAGACGGATTAAAGACTTAAATGTTAGACCTAAAACCATAAAAACCCTAGAAGAAAACCTAGGCAATATCATTCAGGGCATAGGCATGGGCAAGGACTTCTGTCTAAAACACCAAAAGCAATGGCAACAAAAGCTAAAATTGACCAATGGGATCTAATTAAACTAAAGAGCTTCTGCACAGCAGAAGAAACTACCATCAGAGTGAACAGGCAACCTGCAGAATGGGAGAAAATTTTTACAATCTACCCATCTGACAAAGGGCTAATATCCAGAATCTAAAAGAACTTAAACAAATTTACAAGAAAAAAAATCAAACAACCCCATCAAAAAGTGAGTGAAAGTATGAACAGACACTTCTCAAAAGAAGACATTTATGCAGTCAACATACACATGAAAAAGTGCTCATCATCACTGGCCATCAGAAAAATGCAAATCAAAACTACAATGAGATATCATCTCACACCAGTTAGAACAGTGATCATTAAAAAGTCAGGAAACAACAGGTGCTGGAGAGGATGTGGAGAAATAGGAACACTTTTACACTGTTGGTGGGACTGCAAACTAACTCAACCATTGTGGAAGACAGTGTCGCAATTCCTCAAGGATCTAGAACTAGAAATACCATTTGACCCAGCCATCCCATTACTGGGTATATACCCAAAGAATTATAAATCATGCTGCTATAAAGACACATGCACACGTATGTTTATTGTGGCACTATTCACAATAGCAAAGAGTGGAACCAACCCAAATGTCCACCAATGGTAGACTGGATTAAGAAAATGTGGCACATATACACCATGGAATACTATGCAGCCATAAAAAATGATGAGTTCATGTCTTTTGTATGGACATGGATGAAGCTGGAAACTATCATTCTGAGCAAACTATTGCAAGGACAGAAAGCCAAACACTGCATGTTCTCACTCATAGGTGGGAATTGAACAATGGACACAGGGTGGGGAACATCACACACCAGGGCCTGTCGTGGGGTGGGGGCACCGGCGAGGGATAGCATTAGGAGATATACCTAATGTAAATGACGAGTTAATGGGTGCCGCACACCAACATGGCACATGTATACATATGTAACAAACCTGCACGTTGTGCACATGTACCCTAGAACTTAAAGTATAATTTTAAAAAATTAAAAAAAAAAAAAAAGAAAATGATGAAGTGAATCAGCACCTGCTCACCTCTTTATCATTGTAGCTAGATTGATGTGAGGTTGACAGGGAAGAACTGGTGATCCCATTTTACAAAGAATGGAAAAGAGGATCTGGGAGATGTAGTGAGTTTTCCAAGGCCATGTGGTCAGTGAGAGACAGTGCTAGCCGATTCCTCAGGAACCCAGGCTCGTTCAGTGCTTGTGTGACCACCATAACATATCACAGGCAGCTTAGAGCCAGAACTGGGACCAGAAGCCTGTCCACCTTGGCATTATTCTTCTCCCTGCTGTGTGGGAGTAGTGAGGGTATGTACTCTGTGCCTTCCTTGGCAGAATCCTCACGCTTATCAGTGTCACTGAGGAGGAAAGTGACAGCCAGCGCCAGCTCCCTTTGGCTTCAGAGAGCACGATCCAGTCATCTCAAAGAAAAGCAGTGGGGGAGGCAATCTGTGGCAGACACTGTGTTATTACCTTCCAGGATATGCAGTGGGACTCAGGAGGGAGCCTGCTGAAGAGGATGGAGCCCAGGAAAGTGTTGGGACACAGCTCTGGGGCACGTGATGGAGGGATGGGCCAGCAGGCTGACCCAGCCACTGGGACACTAAGCCTGCCCCTGGATGCCAGTCTGGCAAGGATGGAAGTGGAAGAAATGGCAGGTCTAGAGAATGGCTCAGACCCAGAGAGAGAAGTGGTGGGGCCAAGTCCTCACGACTTGGTAGCCATCAGGGTGAAATTAGAAACTCATCTCCAGATTGCAAAGCTCAGGCTTTGCTATACAGCCAGCACTGCTCATGGAGCCTCACCGCAATACTCAGCTGTCCTTCCTTTCCACATCCATCCTCCCCACACACGTACCCTGGGCTGGGTAGGACTATAGGCACCATGCGGGCCCCATCCTCCCTCCCCACAAGCTCCGACCCTGTACCCCCACCTCTGGTAGGTTCTCAACAGCTATCTCAGTCACTGCCACCCAGGCTGGGGCACAAGCTATCCTCCAGCACCTCTGCTATTCTCTAGCCCATCCGGCATTAAGCCCTGGTAGCCTGCAGAGCTATGAGTTCATTCTCTGCCCATCACCCCTGTCACCTCGGCCGGCTTCACCAGATGTTTCCCTGGCTGGCCTCCTGCTCCTTCCTCACCCTCCTTTCAGCTCGCCAGCACCACTCTTTCATCCAAGCACTTGCTTGATCATTTAACCAATATGGGTTGAAGCCCTGCTATGTGCTGGGCACTTTTCTAGACACAGCTGTGAATAAAATGAATAAACCTTGTCCTCATGAATCTTATATCCCAGAGGTGAGAATGCAGACAATAAGCAAATCAATAAGCAAATGTGGTGTGTTGGGATGATAAAAATGTACACAGCAAAACACACACACACACACACACACACACACACACACACACACACACACGAAAGAGCGATAGGGAACCTGGGGTGAAAGGTTGGTGTTTTAAACATTTTGGTTAAGAAAAACCTTATGGAATGGGGATTTTTTTTAAGTGGCTAAAATTTATCTTTTTAAAAATTTTATTTTATTTTATTTTAAGCTCTGGGATACATGTGCAGGACGTGCAGGTTTGTTACATAGGTAAACATGTGCCATTGTGGTTTGCTGCACCTATCAAACCATCACCTGGGTGTTAAGCTCTGCATGCATTAGCTATTTATCCTGATGCTCTCCCTCCCGCCACCCCGCCACCAGGCCTGACCCAGTGTGTGTTGTTCTTCTCCCTGTGTCCATGCTTTCTCATTGTTCAGCTCACACTTGTAAGTGAAAACATGCGGTGATTGGTTTTCTGTTCCTGTGTTACTTTGCAGAGGATAATGGCCTCCAGCTCCATCCATGTCCCTGGAAAGGACATGATCTCATTTTTTTTATGGCTGCATAGTATTCCTTGGTGTATATGTATCATATCTTCTTTATCCAGTTTATCATTGGTGGGCATTTGGGCTGATTCCAGGTCTTTGCTATTGTGAATAGCGCTGCAATGAATATACACGTGCATGTGCCTTTGTAATAGAATGATTTATATTTCTTTGGGTATATACCCAGTAATGGGATTGCTGGGTCAAATGGTATTTCCGGTTCTAGGTCTGTGAGGAGTCACCACACCATCTTCCACAATGCTTGAACTAAATTTACATTCCCACCAACAGTGTAAAAGTAAGGAACGGGACATTTGAGCAGGCTCTGAAGGAGGCCAGGGAGGGGTCCTGTAGTTATCTGGAGGAGAACATTCTAGGCAGAGGAAAGAGAAAGTGCAATGACCCTAAAGTAGGAATCACTAGGTGTGTCCAAGGCATCAAGGAGGCCATGGGCTGCAGTGAGAGGGACCCATGGAGAGACTGGCAGGGGAGGAGGTCAGAGGGGAAATGGGGCTGGCTCTGGAGGCCAGGGCAGGCCAAGGCAGGGAATTTGACATCAGTATTTGGAGCTCAGGAGTTGCACCATCTGACTTGCACTTTGAAAGGATTCTTTTGGCTACTGCTCAGGTAACAGACCTCAAGAGACAGAGAAAGGACACTGATCCACTCTTCTCGGCAACAATCAACTGACAGAAGAGGGTGGGTGAGAGGGTGCTGGCAGTGGAGATGTTGGGATGGGGTCAGGTTCTGCCTATGTTGTGAAGGTAGTGCTGGGAGAATTTGCTACACTTTGGGTGTGAGTGGAAGAGAAGGGGCAAGGTTTTTGGCCTACAATCTTAGAGGACTGGAAGGACCATTTACAGAGATGGAGAAAAGATTAAAAGAAGCAGGTTTTGCAAGGAAAAGATGAGGTGTTTAGTTTTGATACCATCCAAATTATCAAGCATTTGCTGTTACAGAGCATTTTTAATATACATTCTTTGATTGGATTTCATCCTTATAACAAACCTGTAAAGTAAGCAGGAGCACGCACGTGCACGCATGCACACCGCACCCCGCCCCCAACAAGTTTCCAAATATATCAGGATACTTTTCAGAAAGGGGACAGATACATTCCAGAGAGGGCAGTTGCCACAGCAATTACTTTTATCTTGTCATCTTCTTTATTCCAAAATTATAGAAGGTTATTTCTCTCTTGTATAACAGGGTAAAGCTAAGTGTTTCTGGGAAATCTATTGTCCTCTGTCTCTGGTTCTAAAACAGTGGTTCCAGTCATACCTGGAATGGAGAAAGAGGATGAGAGGGCATGCCCCTCGTCTTTGAGAAGCACAAGCTGCATGGTGCACACAGTGCCTCTGCTTACATCCTGTTGGACAAACATGAATCACATAGCCTTCCCCAGCTACAACAGAGACGAGGAAGCAGAATGTTTGCAACTGGGTGGCCATGTTTCCAGCTATAGTTTGGAGAGGTCTACCCCTGAAAAAAAATGTGAATTCATAAAAGAACCATGCCACACTTATCCTCCCCCAATCCCATTTAACAGAGAATCTGACCTCAGCAAGATGACAATTTTCTCAAATCACCAATCTGACTGTTAATGTCCTAAAGTGTAATATATTCCGTCACTGATTTTCTGTCTCCAACAAAGGGTCAGTAAAAGAATGATTCCACTGTATAACATCCTAGAGACCTTCCCGAAGTCTTCTTTACCCAACATCTCTCTCCCCCAAATCTCAACCTCAGCTTAGCTTATAAATGTCATTTTAGCTTCTGTTGACCTTTCCATTCCTATCTCAAGCCAATCACCAATTAGCAAACTAAAGTCCAGACAAGCAATACAAACATTTTCTAGATCATCAGGAAGGAGAATGGAAGGGGAAAAGGTATGAATAATAATAATGTAATGTTTTGACACATATATGTGTGTGTGTGTGTGTTTGTGTGTGTGCATATGTGTGTATGTGTGTAACATCTGAGTGGTCTCCCTCATAAAATCTCCTCAAATCACCTAATGTCCATGCAGTTAGAGGCTGAGGTTTCTTTCCTCTGTCCAAGACCTATGCATAGATTTTCTTTTATTATTATTATTATTTATTTGTCAACCAGGAAAGCAGGGACACATTATGGAGCCCAGAACCTCAGAGCCTTCCTCTGTCTCCTTGCTCCAGCTTTTATGCATACTCTCGGGAAAAATATACACATTTCTCCCTTTTGTTTTGCAGCAAAATTCCATTCCAACTAGAAGGAAGCAAATCTATCTGAAGGGATGAGTTATGGTTTGCCAGGCAGGCAGGTAGATGGCATTTCAGCATTTCAGTTGGGGCAATGGATAGGCCTCTGAGGTCTTCCCCTATGTTAGCTCCCCTGATGTTTGAATTTCATGTATAATTGTTCTGGCCCATTGAACACCTTCTCTCTCTCCTTACCTCCATAACAATTCACACAAAAAGTAGTGAAAACTGGAGATACCCAGTTGCCTGTTCATTCGTGGTTCATCTTGGATCTCTACAGGAGGGAAAGCAGCTATTGGCTGATTGTGTTCAGAGTGTGACAAGAGAATGACCCACAAACTAGCCAGAGCCTCTGCAAGGAGGCCGGGTTGAGAAACCCACTGGTGCCACTTGAGGCACCACATTGCAGAAATCAGCCACAAAGTGCCTGGAGAGCTTGGGTTGGGGGGAGTGGGGCAACCCAGAGGATGTGGGTGGGCAGCCAGGGGCAGAGGCATTCAAAGGTTTCAGCTCTCTTTCTGGCTCTGCCACATCATGCCCTGTGCCCATTCTAGCTCTTCTGGGAGCCTGTGCCTTCCCTGCTTCTCTGTTCCTCCCTTTGTATAATAGGAGCTTCTCCTGTTTCCACAAACAAATTAATGACAATGACCCCCCATTCCCAGGCTGGCCAAAGGAAGGCTGGCTACATAATTTGTGCGGTATGGTGTAACATGAAAATGCAGGTCCCTTTATTCAAATATTATTAATTATTCCAAGACAGCTTCAGCAGTGTGGTGAATGAAGCACAGAAGCTCCCTGGGTGAAGGTGTACTCACCTCACCCTGAGTTTTGGTGAGGACAAAGCACATCCAAGCCATAGCAAGGGCTTTCACAAATGTCTGTTGCACCAAGCTGACCCTACAGTTCTTCATCCATGTCACATCTGCCTTAGAGAGTTCTCACATAGATTCCACACAACAATAGAAGAGAAAGGGCTGAGCACAATGCCTGGTGCAAAGTTGCTGTTTAATAAATGGCAGCTGCCTTTGGAATAGAGTAAGAATAATAGCAGCTACGTCTTGTTTAGTGCTTACAATGTGCTGGGGATTAGTTGAAGCACTTTTCATGCATAGTAACTCATTTCAGCCTCAAATGCGTCTTATGTGGCTGGTACTATCATCATTTTCACTTTACAAAACTGTGCCTGTGTACGCATTCAGTAAGTGGTGGCACTAAAATTAAAATGAGGGCAGTTGGGTTGGAGTCTGTGCTCTTAGCTCCTAAGCTTGCTGCCTTCCTCGCAACACAATATGAACCAGGGCCTTTAAGTGATCTCTGATGGGGCAAGGTACCTGCAGATGTTCAAAGCTGCATTTCTTTACTTTCTAGTGATACCATTTAATGATTTATTTCACTTTTTAACTTAAAATTAAAAAGAATTTTAATTGTGGTAAAATACACATAACATAAAATTTAGCATCTTAACTATTTTTAAGTGAACTGTTCAGTCATGCTAAGTACATTCACATTGTGTGCAACCAACGTCCAGAACCCTTTTATTTGCAAAACAAAATTCTATTTCCTTTAACCAACTTCTCATGTTTTCCTCTCCCTAGCTCCTGGCAACCGTAATTCTACTTTGTGATTCTGTGAATTTGACTACCCTAGATTGCTCTTGGAATCACACAGTGTTTTTCTTTTCATAACTGTCTTATTATACTTAGCATAATGTCCTCAAGGTTCATTCATGTTGTAACAGAATTTCCTTTTTTTAAAGACTGTATAATATCTTATTGTATGCATATATTATTTTTTCTTTATCTATTTATCCATTGGTTAGCAAGTGGGTTGCTTCCCACCTCTTGGTTGTTGTGAATAATGCTGCTATATACATGGTATATGAATAATTTTTCAAGGCCCTGCTTTCTTCCTTGGCTATTATTTCAGAAACAGAATTGCTGGATCATATGGCAACTCTACTTTTAATTTTTTAAGGAATCACCATGCTGTTTTTCACAGTGGCTGTACCATTTTGCATGTCTACTAACAGTATACAAGGACTCTGATTACTCCATATCTTTGCCAACATTTATTTTCTCTTTTTAATAGTATCCATTTTAATGGATTTGAGATAATATCTCATTATGGTTTTGATTTATGTTTTCCTAATTATTAATGATGCTGAGCAAATTTTCATTTGTTTGTTGGTCATTCGTATGTTTTCTTTGGGAAATGTCTATTCAGATTCTTTGCCCATTTTTTAAATTGGGTTATTTGGTTTTTGTTGTTGTTGTTAAGTTGTAGTTCTTTATGTGTTCTGGATATTAACCACTTATCAGATGTTACATTATTTGCAAATATTTTCCCTATTTCATGGGTTGCATTTCACTCTGTTAATTATGTCTTTTGATGCACAGAAGTGTTAAATTTGGATGTAGACAAATTTGTCTATTTTTACTTGTGCTTTCTCTGCCTTTCACATCATATTCAAGAAATCCTTGCCAACTCCATAATCATGAAGCTTTCCCCTATGTTTTCTTCTAAGAGTTTTATAGTTTTAGGTCTTATGTTTAAACCTGTAATCCATTTTCAGTTAATTTTTGTGTATGGCATATGGTAAGGGTACAATTCGATTCTTTTGCATGTGGATATCCAGCATTCCCAACACTAACTCCGTCCTTTTCCCATTGAATAGGCTAGGCGCCCTTGTCAAAAATCATTTGACCATATATCATTTGGTTTATTTCTGGGCTCTCTGTTCTGTTCCATTTTTCTATAGGTCTGGCTTTATGCCAGTAACACACTGTTTTGATTACTGTCATTTTGTAATTAGTTTTGAAATCAGGAAGTGTGAGAATTCCAACTTTTTTTTTTAAGATTGTTTTGGCTATTTGGTGTTCCTTGAGATTCCATATTAATTTTAGGATGGATTTTTTATTTCAGCAAAAATTTCCATTGAGATTTTGATAGAGATTGCATTGAATCTGTTTATTACTTCGGGTAATATTGTAATTGTAGCAATATTGTCTTTCAATTCATGGACATAGAATGGCTTTCCATTTATTTATATCTTCTTTAATTTTCTTCAGCAATATTTTGCAGGTTTTAGAGTATAAGTCTTTTTCCTTCTTGGTTAAGTTTGCTCCCAAATATCGTATTCTTTCTGATGCTCTTGTAAATAGATTTATTTTCTTAATTTTCTTTTAGATTGTTTATCATTACTACACAAAATGCAACTGATTTTTCCATGTTGATTTTGTATCCTGCAACTTTGCTGAATTTGCTTATTAGTTCTGAAATAATTTTTATATAATATTTTGGATTTTTATATATAAGATTATGTAATCTTCAAATGAGGGTAATTTTACTTTTTTCTTTCCAATTTAGGTGGCTTTTCATTTTCTTGCCTAATTGTTCTGGCTGAGATTTCCAGTACTATATTTGAATGGAAGCAGGAAAACTGGGCATCTTTGTCCTATTTCTAATCTCAGAGGAAAAGTCTTTAGCCTTTTGCTATAGAGTATGATATTATTTTGATTGGTAGGCTATTAATTACTGCCTCAGTTTCAGAACTTGTTATTGGCCTATTCAGGGATTCAACTTCTTCCTGGTTTAGCCTTGGGAGGATGTATGTGTCCAGGAATTTATCCATTTTTTCTAGATTTTCTGGTTTATTTGCATAGAGGTGTTTATAGTATTCTCTGATGGTAGTTTGTATTTCTGTGGGATCAGTGGTGATATCCCCTTTATCATTTTTTATTGTGTCTATTTGATTCTTCTCTCTTTTATTAGTCTGCCTAGCAGTCTATGTATTTTGTTGATCTTTTCAAACCAGCTCCTGGATTCATGGATTTTTTTGAAGGGTTTTTCATGTCTCTATCTCCTTTAATTCTGCTCTTATCTTAGTTATTTCTTGTCTTCTGCTAGCTTTTGAACTCATTTGCTCTTGCTTCTCTAGTTCTTTTAATTGTGATGTTAGGGTGTCAATTTTAGTTCTTCCCTGCTTTCTCCTGTGGGCATTTAGTGCTATAAATTTCCCTCTACACACTGCTTTAAATGTGTCCCAGAGATTCTGGTACGTTGTGTCTTTGTTCTCATCGGTTTCAAACAACTTATTTATTTCTGCCTTAACGTCGTTATTTACCCAGTAGTCTTTCAGGAGCAGGTTGTTCAGTTTCCATGTAGTTCTGCGGTTTTGAGTGAGTTTCTTAATCCTGAGTTCTAATTTGATTGCACTGTGGTCTGAGAGACTGTTTGTTGTGATTTCCATTCTTTTGCATTTGCTGAGGAGTGTTTTACTTCCAATTATGTGGTCAATTTTAGAATAAGTGCAATGTGGTGCTGAGAAGAATGTATATTCTTTTGATTTGGGGTGGAGAGTTCTGTAGATGTCTATTAGGTCTGCTTGGACCAGAGCCGAGTTCAAGTCCTGAATATCCTTGTTAATTTTCTTTCCCATTGATCTGTCTAATATCAACAGTGGGGTGTTAAAGACTTCCACTATTATTGTGCAGGAGTCTAAGTCTCTTTGTAGATCTCTAAGAACTTGCTTTATGAATCTGGGTACTCTTGTATTGGGTGCATATATATTTAGGATAGTTAGCTCTTCTTGTTGCATTGATCCCTTTACCATTATGTAATGCCCTTCTTTGTCTTTTTTGATCTTTGTTGGTTTAAAGTCTGTTTTATCAGAGACTAGGATTGCAACCCCTGTTTTGTTTAGTTTTGTTTTGCTTTCCATTTGCTTTATAAATATTCCTCCATCCCTTTATTTTGAGCCTATATGTGTCTTTGCATGTGAGATGGGTCTCCTGAATACAGCACACTGATGGATGTTAACTCTTTATCCAGTTTGCAAGTCTGTGTCTTTTAATTGGGGCATTTAGCCCATTTACATTTAAGGTTAATATTGTTATGTGTGAATTTGATCCTGTCATTATGATGCTAGCGGGTTATTTTGTCCATTAGTTGATGCAGTTTCTTCATAGTGTTGATGGTCTTTACAATTAGGTATGTTTTTGCAGTTGCTGGTACTGGTTATTCCTTTCAAGGTTTAGTGCTTCCTTTAGGGGCTCTTGTAAGGCAGGCCTGGTAACGACAAAATGTTAATGATAAGCTTTTCTTTTCTGTTTTCTTTTTTTGAGACAGAGTCTCACTCTGTTGCCCAAGCTGGAGTAGGCAGTGGTGCAATCTTAGTTCACTGCAACCTCCGCCTCTTGGGTTCAAGCAATTCTCCTGCCTCAGCCTCCTAAGTAGTTGGGACTACAGGCGTGCGTCACCACCCCTGGCTAATTTTTGTATTTTTAGTAGAGGAGGGGTTTCACCATATTGGCCAGGCTAATCTCGAACTCCTGGCCACAGGTGCTCTGCCTGTCTCAGCATCCCAAACTGCTGGGATTACAGGCGTGAGCCACTGCACCTGGCCATATAAGCTTTTCATAGATGGCCTATGTTATGCTTAGGCAATTTCCTTCTATTTACTAGTGTGTTGAGTGTTTTTATCATGAAATGGTTTTGTATTCTGCTAAGTGCTTTTTTTGCAACATTTGGGATGGTCACCTGTTTTTTCCATCATCCTGTTAATGTGGTATGGTATATTGCATTGACTGATTTTCATATGTTGAACTATCCTTGCATTTCAGGTATAAATCCTTTTAACAGTAGAATCATTTTAATAGTGATATTATTTTTGTTAAGTGTACATGGTGCACTGTTATTAATAATATCAACAACTTATGAAGATTATTTCCACTATTTCAAGTGGCATTATTATTAATAATAATTCATGGTATATGTACAGTACCTGATAGCAATCAACACTGAACTTTTGCAAATCAATGCTGATACTCCTAGTTATCCTATAGGTAAAAGAAGGTAGTTTTAATCTCCGTTTCATAGATCACAAAACTGTGAAAACAGAAAGGTAAAGTCATTTTCTCTAGGTCACCAGTAAGAATAGTCAAATAGCTGCTATATGAATATAAATTATTGATTAGGCCTGTTCTGTGTGGCCCTGATGAAGGTAAGTAGGAATTCTTTGGTAAATGGCATGTGAAGATGGGCTTTAGTCAGCAAAATTACAGCACTCTGATTCTCAGAACTGCTTAAAGTGAGAACGGGATGCAGTAGGCAGTGTGGTCTTCATTTTAGGGGATTTACTTGCAAAGGTGAGAAGGTCTTCACCAAGAAAGATGCTGTTGAGGAAATGGCTGAAACAACAGATGAAGATGAGAAAAGAATGGATATTGTTTAATACATCTCCAGGTCTTTATTATTTTTGTAGCTCTTTTCAGCACTAAGCACTAAAGGTAAACAAATTTGGAATTACCACAATGTTCCAAACCTGTACCTATATTCTAAGAAATATGATTTAAGAAGAGAAAGATCTAGAATCTAAAGACAATTCCTCCACTCTGGGTATTCTTGAAGACAATAGCTTTGTCTTACACATTTCTTTATCTGTAGTGGTTAGTGCAAGACATGACCCATAAATATTTGTTGGATGAAAGGACAAAATAAATAAATGGATGAAATAAAAGGAATTCATCGGCCGGGCGCGGTGGCTCACGCCTGTAATCCGAGCACTTTGGGAGGCCGAGGCGGGCGGATCACGAGTTCAGGAGATTGAGACCATCTTGGCTAACGCGGTGAAACGCCGTCTCCACTGAAAAAAAAATACAAAAAATTAGCCGGGAGCAGCGGCGGGCTCCTGTAGTCCCCGCTGCTCGGGAGGCCGAGGCAGGAGAATGGCATGAACCTGGGAGGCGGAGCTTGCAGTGAGCCGAGATAGCGCCACTGCAGTCTGGCCTGGGTGAAAGAGCGAGACTCAATCTCAAAAAAAAAAAAAAAAAAAGGAATTCATCTTCCTCCAAACTAATTTCAAAAGGTTTTTTCATAGCTGGTTAAGGAAAGAATTATTGTAGAGATCGTTAATTCTACTTGTCTCTTTTGATAAAAGGAATCAATGACCAGCAAGATTCAGAAATTTGCCAAAAGTTAATTTGGTGAGGTTGTGTTCCTTCCCTTCCTTCCTGATCATAACTGTTATAGACCTGTTACCAGCTGTTATGGACCAAGTCCTTGTGTTGCCCTAAAATTCACATGTTAAAACCCTACCCCTTAATCTGATGGTATTAGGAGAAGGGGTCTCTGGGAGGGAATTAGAACTAGATGAGGTTGTTAGGCAGAGCCCTCAAATAGAATTAGTGTCCTTCTAAAAGTTTCAAGAGAGCTTGTTTCTCTTTCCAGAAGAGAGAGCTTGCTTCTCTTTGTGTAAGGACACAAGAATAAGACAGCCATCTATAAAACAGACCCTCAGCAGACACCAAATCTGCTGGTGCCTTGATGTTGGACTTCCCAGCCTCCAGACTGTGAGAAATAAATGCTTGTTGTTTATATCACCTAGTTTATGATATTTCAAGATTCAAGGTACCTTGTGTGTGCCTTTTAACAGCCCAAGCTAAGACACCAGTTAGCACTGACATCTGCTCGTTTTTCCAGTATATCCCACAACAACAACAAAGTGTTTTTATATGATTATTGAATGTATTTCTAGAGGGCTTGCTCTAGGGTACTTACCAAATTCAGTTTCATGGCAAAGATAAAATTCACAAGTGGTATTATTTACTTTGGAAAGATCTTTTAGGGCCTAATCTGCTACTGAGTTTCTCCTTGTAGTTTACTTTAGTCTCTCATGCTATAATTTCTGAGTTATCTCTTATAATGCTGAATTCATATGTCCACTATTCTCCGGGCTCTGCGAATGTCTTCTATGAAAGATCTTACACTCTTAAGATTCAGAGTACCCTGTGTGTCTCTCTCACTAAAGGACATGCTGCTTCAGGCCAAGGATCCTGCAGGTGCCAGTGCCATGGATGGGGCACTTGGAGCATGGCCAGGAGATGTGTTGAATCAGATTAGCCTAGAAGGAGCCCCAGAGACCATGGGGTACTGTGCTTTCATTGTACAGTCAAGGAAACACAGGTTGCACAACGTATTCAAAGTCACATTGCTATTGTGTGGCAGAGCTAGAACTCAATGATTTCAGCCACTCAAATAACAAAGATGATGACATCACGAAAGAAACAGCAATACATCTTTAATTTTTCCAACACTTTGCTATTCACAAAGAATACCTTTGTGTCTGGATCAGGTATCCTCACAATACCTTTATCATTATTATGGGTCTGATAATACCACCCCAACTCTCAAGGTACCTAAAGTTGAATTTAGGGAAAACTCTTCTCAGACTTTCCTCCACCACCACCTTATTCACCTGAAATTCCTGTTCATTGAACAGAAAGATGATAGTACTTCTTTGTAGTATTCACCGAATGTCCTATTCTAGGCAAAAGTAAGTACTTTCTGATCTATTTTTCTCTTTCTGTTTTATACATTCATTCCCAGCATTCTCTTATTTTTAGAACAAAAGTTCATAACACAGTCTGCCCTCTACCTGTTAACTTCATTTATCTAATTTAACTTTTAAGTGATTTGAAAATTATTTTAAATGCCTCAATGAATGACCTGCATTTTTATTAAGGACTATTCAATGACTTGTGATAAAAATACAAATATAATTTGTCATGTATTTTTGCATGACAAAATCAGACAACTCTTCTCTGATGGAATTCCCATATCTTGACCACATTTTCATCTTCATTCTTATGTCTATACTTTCTTTTTTGCAGATGGAGAACCAGAGTAAACCCTCGTGGTGTCCTGGCTTCTAAGCATTTTGTTGGCAAGAAGGGATGACCAGGCACCCTGTTCATCTGCATGTACAAAGTCTGCAACACAGGTTTTGATGAGGAGTAAACAAGCTGCTGAACAAGCTGTTTGTCCACACACAAATATTGAACTAACATGACTGGCCAGATGCACTGAAAAGAGAATTGAGACACTGAACTCAGAGCACATGGAGAAAAAGAGAGGGAGAAAGATTAAATTTTGTCTAACTGCTCTTGTATGTTTCCTCAGTTTTGTCTTGAAAGGAGGTAAGAAGAATATACTCTCAACTCACCTTTAAGCCACATCTTACTACCAAGAAACGAAATCTCAAACCAACCACTCCTCCGTCTCCTGCCTTCTTCCCTGTGTGCCCCTTGGATATCTATGAAATCAATGGACTGAGTGCGGGGACTGGTGCTTTGCACACTGACTTAAGACATTCTTCTTAGGGAAATGTGATTTTTTTTTTATATAGGGAGATATAAACATGCATATGAATAGGCAATTTTATTGCTTGATTTGAGCATTAAATTTTATTAGTGCAGTGGGTGTGTTTTGTCATATCCCTTATTGTCTGTTAACAGTGAGGATAAGAGTGTTGTTCTAGCTTGCATGAAGAGGGACATTCAGAATAGTGTTCTGGGGGAGCTCCCTGCAATATTGCACCAGATTTCCAAAGCACCAGTCTCATGAGTCACAAGTTATTTGATGCTCTGTCTATTTCTGCAAGCATTACAGGACAGTTGTCTCCTTATGGGCAAGGAGTACTCATTAACTCTTTATCTGGTATGTGCCTGGTGTACAGTTGGTGCTCAGTAACTATCTTGATTTCCATTTCCTTCTTTTGATTGTAATTGCAATGTTCTCCCCTCTGTCCTGTGCTGCCCTTAGAGATAGATCAGGCTTTTTGTGCTTCCTCCAAAGCTCGTGCTTTATCATTCACCAAACCATCCTTCTCTGTGCCCAGGATAATGTGTCCAAGGATGGTGTGTGGCCTTGCTGATGCAGCATTCCTTGGAGAGGCTGTCTCCTGTCCAAGGCCCTGTGAGAGCAAAGGTTGGCAGGGTCCCATCTTGCCACAATTGACCTCTGTGTGATCTGCTCAGGAAATGAATTGGCAGGCAGGTTGGGAAATTTTGCAAAATGAATAGTCACTTATAAGGGATCAGGAGTTGGAGCCAGAGCCCGAGAGAAACTTATTACCAAACACTAAGACTTAGTGAGAGGTTCCCCAGGATGCTAACTCCTGTGCTGAGAGCTCTTGTTAAGCTATTTAAGCCCCTGCAAGAGAGATGTCTGCAATCATAGAAGAAATGAAGAGTAATCCTGAGTCATGGCAGGAGAAGACCCTGGAGCAAGGCGAACGGAGTTCACATCTGTGCCCTCCACTTACTAGGAAGGCTTTGCGCAGGCTGCTTAAGGTCTCTGAGACTCAGCCTCCATAAAATGGGTACCAGAACACCTTTTTCTGTGAGAGGTACATGAATTAGTAGGGATCCGGTGGTGAATAAATAATCTGTTGAATGAATGATTTAATATAAATCACCTTTCCCAGTGCCTAGTTCCTCATTTATGCTTTTAATGAGTGAATAAAGAATATATTTTTCCTACCATAATGCATCATATATAGTCTGTTTTTAAAAATAAAAAGTTAGCTCTTTCCCCCACTAAAATTTCACCCTCTTCAACTTCTTTTCTTTCGTGATTTGTAATGTCTGGCCCAGAGAAAGGAAATGATCCTGTGAAGGTCACAGAGAGCCAGCAAGTCAAAACTCGGTCTACTGCCCCTCACCCCAACTCCTTTTCTCTATCTGACACCTTGTGTTTTCTTTTCTACGTAATTTACTACCGTGTATTGAATTTGTATGCCTTTTGTCTGTCTGGGAACACCTTGAGGGCAGAGATTCTCTTATTCATCTCACATGTTGTAGCACAGAGCAAAGTTGTATTTTAAAAAAAGAAGGAAAAGAGGAAGGAAGGGAGGGAGGAAGGAAGGGGGGGAGGAAGGAAGGGAGGGAGGGAGGAAGGCAGGCAGGAAGGAAAGAAGGAAGGGAGTAAGAAAGGAAGGAAGAAATAAAGGAAGGAAGGGAGAGAGGGAGGGAAACAAAATGGCCCAAAAGAAATGCAATACCGGCCTCCATTGATGGGAATGAGTCACAGGAAAAGAAGAACCAACTGGAAGACCTCCTGATGCCCAAAGCTGGAACAATATGAACAAGGAAATGAATGAATATTGGATTAAACCCAAAGTATAAAATATTCATGAGTACATGCTCATATAAATAAATAACTGAATTAATGAATGAGGAAATTTTTCAAATAATTTATGTAGATATTCCATCCTCCAAGAAGAGAAACATAACTTTCTACTTCTTAGGTGTCAACCATACATGGTGACTTTCTTCTAAAGAGAACAGTAAGGAAAGAGGGAAAAATAGCAACTTTTCAGTGAAGAAACCTGACAAACCCTACCTCAACAAGGTGATCAGGGTTAAACATCAACAGTCATAAATCATGTTGATTATGTGTACCCTGATATGATGTGAAAAAAATGGCACTTCATCTCTTCCTCCCAAAAAGTCCAATCATAAGGAAAAAAATTAGAAAAAAATTCAGTAGTGGAACATCTTACAAACCATCCTCAAAACTGTTAAGGTCAGGCTGGGTGCAGTGGCTCATGCCTGTAATCCCAGCACTCTGGGAGGCCGAGGCGGGTGGATCACCTGAGGTCAGGAGTTCAATACCACCCTGGCCAACATGGTAAAACCCTGTCTCTGCTAAAAATACAAAATTAGCCTGGTGTGGTGGCGGTCACGTGTAATCCCAGCTACTTGGGAAGGTGAGGCAGGAGAATCATTTGTACCTGGGCAGCGGAGGTTGCAGTGAGCCAAGATTGTGTGACTGCACTCCAGCCTGGGCGACAAGAGCAAAACTCCATTAAAAAAAAAAAAAAACCACAAAAACAAGCAAACAAGAAAAAAAAAAAAAGTCAAGTTCAAGAAAAACAAGGTAAGTCTGAGAAAGAGCCAAGTAGAGCCTTAAAGAGATGTGACAAGTAAATGTAACAGGGTATCCTGGATGAATGCTGGAACAGAAAGAGAACATTAGGTTAAAACTAAGGAAATCTGAATAAACTGCAGACTCCAGTTGGCAATATGGTATCAATATCACTTTACTAATTGTAACAAATGTAACATGCTAATGTAAGATGTTAAAAATAGAGGAAACTGGGTGTGGAGTAAGTGGAAACCTGTAATATTTTCTCAAGTTTTCTGTAAATCTAAACTGTTCTAAAGCATAAAGTCTATTAGAAGAATAAGAAAGTCGGACAGTTATCAAACATCAGCCTATAGTAATGTCTTGAACTTCCTAATTTGGACCTTGATTCACAACAAACAAACAACAGCAACGAAAGAGTGAGAGAGAGAAAGAGAAAGGAGGAGGGAGAGAGAGGAGAGAGACAGAGAGAGAGAGAAGGGGGAGTAGAGTGAGAAAGAGACAAAAAGAGAGAGCAAGAGAGAGAGACTGGAGAAGGAGGGAGGGGAAAGAGAGAGGGTAGGGGGAGAGAGGAGAGAGGGAGGAGAGGAGAGGAGAAAAAAAAAAAAGAGAGAGACAGAGAGACTGAGAACCAGGACTCACACCCAGGGCTGCACCTTTAAGTAAGGCTATACTTATAACCTGTGAAAAACAAAGTATTTTTGTTTCTTCTACTGATTTTCCCTTCTCATAGAAGATTACTCCCAGAGCTTAGTTTAAGTAGCAAATTCCAGTTTAGCCTTAATCTTTCAGGTTTGGGAGACTCATCTCCCTTCACCCCAAGCCTAGCTCATAGTAGTGATTTTTATTCTGAAGAGGGAAATCAACTAACAAACAGGATGAGTGAGGACAATATCCAGATATTAGCTCCTCCTCATCAGCCACAGAAGTTTGTGTCTACTCTCTAGCTCCACCTACTGGACCTTGTGTAAATCACCTGAATAAATGCACAAGCGCTCACTGCAAGACCCCATGCTATACAAGGCACTGAGGGAAAGGAAGCAACATTATTCTTTCAGGGACTGCTAGGATTAAAAGAAACTTTTAAGGCGAATCTCCTCTTTTACTGAAGAGAAAACTAAGTGCTAGATGCATTGGGCATTTGCTGCATGTGGAGTCAAATTGGCCAGAGTTTGAACCATGGTCCTGCCACTTCCTGATAATGGCACCTCAGGTAAGTCACTGACTCTCTTTGGAATTCGACTTCCTCCTCTGTAAAATGAGGATAACAAACCTATACTCCGTGGTTGTTGCTATTGTCGTTTTTTATTTTTATTACTTAGTTATTAACCTTTAATATGAGGGCAAAGATATTTTTGGTAGATATTTCTTGATGGATACTTGAACTTATAACTGTCTTTTGGTCCACATACACACACATGTGCACACACACATTCACACATATACATCATCCTTCTCTTGGGAGTTTTGGAGAATGGACAGACAGCAAGACTTGAGTTGGACCATTTCAGTCTAGGCTGGGGCAGGTAAGGAGGAAAAAAGGCAAAAGAAAGACAGCTGGAACCAGTAAGATTAGCAAAAGTGAACATCTGGCTCCATCTCACTGTCACATTGCATGAAACCCATTATATATTCACGCATTCAAAAATATTGACTTCATACCTTCTATGTGGGTGATCTCTGCCCTCATGCCACAGCATCACAGCTATTGGACTTTCATTGCAAAGAAATTCCTATAAGAATGGTTTTTGGTTTCTCTAGTAATATTCTCAAAATGTGAGTGATTGTCTGGCAATCAGTATCTGATTAACTGAGAAGTTCAATCTTTAGGCAAACGTGGGTCATCAGACTACTATTGCTCCAAGTCTGTAGTTATTAAGATCCTAACTAACTCCCCTAACCCCACAGCTTATGGGCAGCAACTTTCAAACTAGTAACAACAAATCTGAATGTAGCTTTGTTTCCAGGGATCAGATGTTCTACCCGACAGATGCCCTCATTCTGGTTTTTCTCTTAGTTACACTTTCCAGCCACTGTCACCTAATGGTAGGACATAAGGATTTCTACATTGTAGAAGCTCAGTTTATGTCTGTTGAATGAATGAATGAATGAATGAATAAGTGAATAAATATTAGTCTCTACATAATGTAATAGTTGTAAATTAACAGCAAGAGACAGGTCGCCTCTCCACTAGTCAAATGGAGATTTTGACTTGAAGATCAGACCTTGGGGTTGTACGAACACCAGGAAAACTTCACCCATTTGCTTGTAAATGAAACACAGAGACAGCCTCAGTTTCTTATGACTCAGTACATGACACCCAGTTTACTGCTTGCTTGCATACCTTTTGAAGGTCATATTGCAATTTTTACCAATATACTTGCTTATATTCTTAGTTAGATTGTTAACTACTTTTGAAAGAAAAATCCTCAGAACATGTTCTCAAACTAAGGCACGGGGGTCCTTACCCATCACTCTGGCTCTTGCTTCGACCCTCATTCATTAACTCTTATCTGCCGAGAGTCCACTGTGAGCCAGGCATTGTGCTAGGCTCTTTGAAATAAGGATCTACACCTTTTATCACAACATTTTTTTCCCTCTCATTCCTTCATGAAGTCATTGCAATTTGTGTCTTTATCCTCCTACCAACATAAATGTGTCTGATAAGGCAGTGGTTCCCAACCTTTTTGGCACCCAAGACCGGTTTTGTGGAAGACAATTTTTCCATATATTGTAGTATGGGGGATGGTTTCGAGATGAAACTGTTCCACCTCAGATCATCAGGCATTAGTTAGATTCTCATAAGGAACAAGCAACCTAGATCCCTCAAATACAACCTCTCACAATAAGGTCCACGCTCCTAAGAGAATCTAATGCCACCACTAATCTGACAGGAGGCAGAGCTCGGGGGTAATACTTGCTTGCCGGCCACTCATGTCCTGCTGTATGTCCCAGTTCCTAGCAGGCCATGGACCAGTACTGGTCCGTGGCCTGGGGGTTGGGGACCCCTGTAACAAGGGAAACCATTGACCGCTTTGTTGCAAAACCTAATAAACACATCCCTTTATTACTCTATCAGACTTCTCTGTGGTATCCAATTCCATTTACCATTCCATTCTCATAGAAAGTCTTTACTTTTAGCCAGGAGCAGTGGCTCATGCCTATAATCCCAGCACTTTGGGAGGCTGAGGCGGGTGGATCACCTGAGGTTTGGAGTCTAGACCAGCCTGACCAACATGGAGAAACCTTGTCTCTACTAAAAATACAAAATTAGCCGGGCCTGGTGGCGCATGCTTGTAATCCCTGCTACTCGGGAGGCTGAGGTGGGAGAATAGCTTGAACCCAGGAGGCAGAGGTTGCAGTGAGCTGAGATTGCGCTGCTGCGATCCAGCCTGGGCAACAAGAGTGAAACTCAAAAAAAAAAAAAGCCTTTCTTTTTTCTGCTTTCCATGTCAATACTGTCTTCTAGTCTTTTTCACTTTCTTTCTGGAGCTTTGAACCAACAGATCCACAGTAGCCTCTCAAGCATTGTAAGTTCAACATATCTGAAATTAAACACATCACTACATTCCACTGAAAAAATGGTACTGAGAATAAAGGGGTGTTTTCTGAATGGGGCACTCAGATTGGGTCGAAGTGCAGATGGTTGCATTCCAAAAAGATTTTGAGATCAAAGATGATTCCACGACTCCAAAACCAAGTGGTCAATGCAAGGATCTAGGTGCAGAATAGGAGGAGATGGCTGTGAAAACAGGAGCGCTGCAGCTGAGTGGGAGATGGACGGCAATATTAGAAAATTAAAATGCTGACATGGAGATGCTAATGAAGTAATTTTTAAGCTGCTTTATATGGATGCATGAAGTTCGTTTAAATGGGCAGGCTGTCTGCTTTCAAAGCCCAAGTCTTTTAAACTATGAGAGATTTCAGGCAGGGGAAAGTAATATATGGCCGATGAAAATGATATTAATGGAAACCCAATAGAGCTATCCTTGAAATGGGCCCTGCAAACTCTACAGTAAAGGGAGCTTAGAATTCTCAGTGCAGAGAAACAAACACATTGGTGACCACATGCACGGCAGTCTTCTCTTTCTAAACGAATTTGACTTCAAGTACAGAAGTCCTCATAGCCGTATGCTGTAGACTTCCAACTGATAGAGTCCAGGAAAATAAAATTGGCAAGAATTGTCTTACATGTTACATGCTTTTGCTTTAGAGGAATGAGAGGAGAGAGAGAAAGAGATAGAGCAAGAGAGAAAGAGAGAGAGATATGTGAAAAGGTTAATTAGTATTTAAACACACAGTTGTGTTTTCTATTTGGTCTGACTGGGAAAATAAATTATGTACTTCAAAGCACAGGCTTGCAGGCTATAATTGAAAATAGGCATGGTGAGTACAGCTTTGCCAATGTGGCACAAAAAAACAAAAGAGAATCAAATAGAAACAAGCAGAAGAGTTACCCCCCACACCAAAGCCTGGGGCTGAATGAGAAAGCGGAGAGGGGGCTGCAGCAGCCGAGAAGCTCGCTTTTTACTCTGGCCCTGCCGCTTTTCTCAGGTCACATTGGGTAGGTGACCTGGCTTTTCTGAACCCTGGGATTTTCATTTATAAAATGATGGTAATAATGTTTTTTTCTCAGTGTGTTGTTAGGAGTTAATGAGATAGTGTTTGGGAGAAGGGCTGGCATGGTGTCAGGCACAAAGTGGTTATTCAGGAAGTGCTTGTCCCCAATAAGTGTCTGTTCAGTCTACTTTCATCTCCCTCGTCTCTGAATTCCTGTAATTTTATAAAAGCTGGAAGAAGCCCCTAATGAGATGGTGTCTCCTATTGTTCCTTAATTGTATCATGTTTAGGTTGCATCCTTGTCAATTCAATCCAATTTCATTCCATTTACTTTAGCTCAGTTAAAAAATATTTGTTAATAAGTGTGTTCCTAGAACAATGCTTGGGAATACAAACATGAATAAGAACCAGTAAATGCCTTCAAAGACCTTAAGCACATTGTGAGAAATAAGAAAAGTATTCAAGGAGCTCCAATCAGCATTTGGACACCTGTTATTAATCAGTGGGGGAGCTCCTACAAAGACGTGAATCAACACGTCCATCATCATTTTCATAGCAATCTCATGAAGCGGTGACTGTACAGATCGGGAAACTAAGACACAGAGAAGGTAACTGACTTGCTCAAGGTCAAGACAAGAGGATGGGCCCTGAATCCACATCTGCGTGCCGGAGGCTCCTCTGCGCTTTGGTTTTCTCCAGGACTTCTGTACCACTCCCGCTCAGCCCAAGGCATCTCTTATCTTCCAGGGCTCAGTGGTACCGGTGTGCTAAAGCCCAGCTATTTGCAACTCTTCATGCTAAACCCATGGGATGAAGACATACATAATACATCGAATATGCTCATTGCTAAAGACAGTGGCATTGGGGTTCTCAACAAGAAGACTTCCTTTTTCCATGACCATCAGGGAAGCGCCCTAATATAGTTTGCATATTTGTCCTTGCCGACATGACATATCACATTGAAATGTAATCCCCAGTGTTGCAGCTGGGGCCTGGGGGGAGGTGTCTGAGTCATGGGGGCAGAGCCCTTATGACTTGGTGCTGTCCTTGTAGTAATGAGTGAGTTCCACCAGATCTGGTTGTTGTAAAGTGTGACACACTCCCCACCACACAGCTCTCTCTCTCTTGCTCCTGCTTTCACCATGTAACATGCCTGCTCCTGCTTCACCTTTTACCATGAGTAAAAGCTCTGTGAGGCCTCCCCAGAAGCCAGCAGAAACCAGAGTCATGCTTTTCTGTACAGCCTGCAGAACTGAACCAACGAAACCCTTTTTCTTTATAAATGTCTTTCTTTCTTTCTTTCTTTCTTTCTTCCTTCCTTCCTTCCTTCCTTCCTTCCTTCCTTCCTTCCTTCCTTCCTTCCTTTCTTTCTTTCTTTCTTTCTTTCTTTCTTTCTTTCTTTCTTTCTTTCTTTCTTTCTTTCTTTCGACAGAGTCTCACTGTTGCACAGGCTGCAGTACAGTGGCACAATGATAACTCACTGTAGCCTTCACCTCCTGGCCTCAAGCAACCCTCCCACCTCAGCCTCCCATGTAGCTGGAACTACCATAACCTGCTAATTTGGATGTTTTTTTGGTAGAAACAGAAAAAATTTCCAGCCTCAGAATTTTTTTACAGCAATGCAAGAAATGAACTAACTCATATCCCAAAGGCAAGTCCCTCCCCATATAACACTCCATCTACAGTTTACATGCACCACCTCTTTTTTTTTTTTTTGAAAAAACAAAAAAAACAAAAAAAATAAAGTGACTCTCAGCATTGTCATATGTTACCAAGGTTAGTCTAGGAATACATTACAATTTACATTAACAAAACCATGCAAAAAAAGACTTTTCCGTCTGCTCATCTCTGTATCATCAATGCCTAGAAGAAGGCACCTAACAGGAAGGTGCCGGATATTTGCATTCACTGCAAGATGATGACGATTTCCATTCTTTCTGCTGTTAAACTTTATTTCCAATATTCACACTCAACTAATTATTTTTCTAACAAATTCTACATTTATTCTTGATCTCAATCATTCTCATAAGGCACATATTATCTCACTTTACTCATTAAACATCCCAGTATCTTCTTTGTTATTAATTTTAATTTCACCAACTGTAAAACACACAATAGCAATCATTATTAATTTCTTGAAGTCAATTGTTAAATACGCTTTCCACTATATTTTACTACTTTCTGTGATCACCTGTATTTTCTCCATCCTGATCCATCCTCTTGCTGATTTTGTTTTTCAGTAAGGGCCAACGAGTAGTGCATTTTTTGTATTCTACACGTCTTTATTTAACTCTCATATTAAATAATCGTTATGCTGAATACAGAGCTCTAGGCTACCATACAAGTGCTCAAAAATGGATGCCTACTATTTATTGTTTATATTAGATTGTTAATCATTTCTCCTCAGCACCTTCCTGATGATACACCATCTTTCATGACATCTGTTGTTGGGGAAAAAAGGTCTACTGAACGTATAATTGCCATCCCTTTATAGGTAACCTCTCCTTTTCCCTGATGACTTTGAATACTATCATTTTCACTTTGATGGTCTGAGGCTTCTCTCTGAAAAGTCTAGTCAGGGGCTGCCTGTAATCTACCCTTTGGGCTTGCCACCTATGGGGTGCTGAGGGGCATCTCCTGGCACTCTTGTCTTGGGGCTGGAGCCATCAGTATCTGGTGTCAGCTCCTCATCCTCTCCTGACAGTGTGTCCCCAACACACGCACCTCCTTCCTTTCAGTCACGTGGAAAGATCCATGGTGTTTCCTCACATGCCAGGTTCTTTCACAGCTTCTCACCAGGGCCGGGGCTAGGGTGAGTCATGTGAGGCACCCAGGGTACACGACTGAAGGAGGCTCTCACTCCCATGCACTGGCCCTGCACTTGCACCACCCTGGAAGCTAAAGTCATCCTGAGTTAGCAAATAAGAAAACCAAAGCAGCCCGGCACAGTGGCTCCTGCCTGTAGACCCAGCTACTCAGGAGGCTCAGGCAGGAGGATTGCTTGAACCCAGGAGTTCAAGACGAGCCTGGGAAACACGCAAGACCTGTTTCTTCCAAAAAAAAAAATTGGCTGGTTGTGGTAGTCCCAGCTACTTGAGAGGCTGAGGTGGGAGGGTTGCTTGAGCCCAGGAGGTGGAGGCTGCAGTGAATTATGACTGTGACACTGTACTCCAGCCTGGGCAACATTGAGAGTGTCTCAAGAAAGAAAGAAAGGAAAGAAAGAAAGAAATAGAAAGAGAGAAGGAAGGAAAGGAAAGGAAGGGAAGGGAAAGGAAAAGAAAGGAAAGGAAAGGGAAGGAGAGAGGGAGGGAAAGAGAGAGGGAGGGAAGGATAGAGGAAGATAGGAAAGAGAGAGAAAGAAAGAAACAGAGAGAGAAGGAGGGAGGAAAGAAAAGAAAGGAAAAGAAAGAGAGAAAGAAAAGAAAAAAGAAAGAGAGAAAGAAAAGAAAAGAAAAGAAAAGAAAAAAGAAAGAAACCAACGCAGAGGGAATTAAATACATTGCCCAAGAGTTGGTGGCTTATCAGAGACAAAACTTGGATTGAAGCTCTGATCAATCTGAAGTCAAAGTCATTCTTTCTAACAATCCTGGGCACAAATCATTATGCAGCTCCTGCTCAGTGAGATGGGGCTGGAACAACTGCCATACACAGGCGGAATGGGCATGGGATGCAGGAGGGTTCCTTGTTTGCCCACATGCAGGGCTCACTAGCATGGAGGCATCATACTGCATTGCTCTGTTTTTAGCTACAGTTTGGGTTTCACTTCTGCATCAAAAAGTCCTTCTGGAGCTATAGACTTTCTGACGACTAGGAGGGGTTGGGTGTTGCTGCTCAGAGAGGCCCATGTCCTGCAGACTCTTGCTATGTCCACCTTTACTCAGGTTCTGAGCCTCTGTACTTCAAAGACCAAATTTGGCCATGGTTTTTAGAATCACAGATGGAAGCCAGTGTCTATCAGCAAAAAAAAGTTGTGTACATGGAGCTCTGGGCTAAATTCCAGCTCTTACACCACATGCGTGTGTGCATACACACACACACACACCCCCCACAAGCACACACACACACAGGGGCATTGAACAATATCCTATTGCAGACTTACTGAATAACCTGGAGGCATGACATTTATTTCTTCTCTCAGAAAATCAGGTTTTTATTAAGTAGCTAGTATGTGCCAGGATCATTTGTGATATATATATATATATATATATTCTGGGTGAATAAATACATCAAAGTGGGGTAGGATGAGAATCACAACACAATGCCATGCTCAGTAAAGCCTGGTATTTATCTTTACTCTCTCATCATCCCAAGACTGCCGCATGCCGAAGACCCTTACCCTAGCTGTTCCATCATACCTATCTCCCTACCACCGACTTTCAGTTTCTCCTTTCTCCCACTTCTTCCTTCCAGATTCATTGTGTTAAAGTTCAGTTTTGATCGTGTGATTCCCTTGCCCAAAAATACTTATTGACTCCCCTATTGCCTACTTGATTATGTACCAATTATCTGGCTTAACTCCCAAGTCTATCTATCTGGGAGATCTGTCCTTCAATTTTTACCTCTGAAAGCTCCATTGTGTTTACCTTCATGAGGCTCTTCCTAAACCCCCAGAGAACAATGTACAGCATAGCCTTCATGCTGGATCCAGCTAGCGGGTTCATCCCTCAGCTCTTCTATTTACCAGCTGTGGGATCTTGGGCAAGGTGTCTAGGACAGCACCAGTTTCAGAATGGCATTGTGAGATGAGATGCATTGACTCAGCGTGAAGTCCTCATAACACTGCCTGGCACATGCTAAGTGCTCTGCAATATTTGTGTCCTTGCAATGAAGTCCCTGGGCACTCTGTTTATAATAGACTTATTTTTAGCTGTATGCCTAACATTCTAGATAATTGTATATTTTTTAAAATCTTCTCAACTCTTGGAGGATGGGGACAGTGTCGTGTTAATCCTCTACAGTACCTACAACAGGCATTAAACTAACACCAATGAATGTCTGTGAAATGGAATTATTTATCAAATGAACATCTAGAATGTATATGTTCAGCTCTGTTGGGTTGTGCCAATAGCACATTTGGATGAGTCAGTCTTCTTTGTTAGCTCATTTATTCCACACTTGATTATAAACACTGTCCAAGAAGCCTACATGACCTCCCATAGAAAATGAGGAATAAGTGGGAGAGGCCTGCTGTCCCAGGGTCCTATAACACTTATGCCAGACCAGTCTTCAGAGAGGCTGGAATCCACCCCCCAGGTGCAAATCTGATATCTGGGCTTGGAAATTTCCATAGTTGACTCAAGGTTTCATGGCTGCCTATAAGTAGATCTGAGTTCCCCTTCCATTCTGAAAGTTCTCCCCCAAATGGAGGAGTGAAGCAGCAGATTTCTGCTTTCTATAAGAATTCTAGAATACTACAAATTCTTTCATAATTCCTCTTGTAGATGATTTGAACATCACTTTCAAGTGGGATGGAAATCAGATAACCATCATGGCTCTGAGCTTGACATGTGGCCAGCTGGACCACCAGCCTTGTATTTCAATTCCAACTTCTCCATGTGGCTCCCAGCAGGGCTGGTAACTCTCTAGAAATGAGAGATATATTTTCCTCACTGGACTATTTAAGGTTTCCCTCAACCCCTTAGGAAATAGCAATAGAGTTGATGTCAGAACCATCTCCTTTGCTGTGAAGTTTATTGAAGTTATGCACAGTTACATCACCTGTGATGTAATAAATACCACCTCACCACATGGCGTGTGTTGTCTTTTACTTTTAAAGTTTTATTTTTGACTTTTGTGAAGTGTAGATTAAAAGACCCCTTCAGTTAGTTCAAATCAAAACCATGCCAGTCCCCATATCTCATGCATTCCAAATACCTACATGACTGCTAGTGGTCGTGTCGACTTGGACAGCTGTTTTGGAAATCAATGTGGTAATATTTGTCAAGACTCTTCAGGATCTCAATTACTTTATTTCAGTAATTTCACTTCTAAAAATTTACCCAGTGAAAAGAAGTAGAAATGTAGACAAAGACCTATATGTGTGTAGGTATGCATTTGGAAGATCATCTTTTTGGTAAGAGCACAAAGTGGAAACAACCTATCTAACAATATCGTGTCATTAAAATGACAGTACATTGGAAGGCTAGGATATAATGCAGCCGCTAAAAATGACATTTATAATGAATGTTTAATGATGAGGCGCAATATCATGATGTGACATTAAGTGAAAATGCAGAATATAAAACGGTATGTGGATCTCAACTGTGATATTTTACACATGCATTTGATTAAAATGTATTTTTTTCGTAAAAGAACAAGAATTAATATATGATGGATCTAGGTTAATGGTTCCCAACTGGAGGTGATTTTGCCCCCTAGGGCAATGTCTGAGGACATTTTTGACTGTGATGCCTTTGAGGAGGGGAGACTGCTGGCCTTGAATTGTAGAGGCTGGAGATGATGTTAAACAGCCTATGAATTGCAGGACAGCCCCCCGACGGCAGAGAATTTTCCAGCCCAGCATGCCAATGGTGCTGAGTTAGCAAACTCTGTGTCTTCACCTCCTCTCAGACTTTTTCTAACATGAGTAAATTTCCTCATCTCTTCCTCCCTCTTTTCCTCTCTTTCTTTTTCTCTCTCTTCTCTTTCTAATATTTATTAAGGCCTTAGTATAGGCCAGGCGCTGTCTTAAACATTTTACCACGTATTAGCTAATGTTAATACACAACAGCCTCATGAGGTAGGAACTGTTATTGTCATCCTAGGTGAGATAACCTTTCAAACTGTTTTGTGGTTTCAAAATAATTAATCAAGAGTGCTTAGTAGCACAGTGTCTGATACACAGATAAATACATACATACATATATGTGCATGTGTATGTATACACATACACAGAAGGAGTGTATATGTTACCTGTGCATATTATGGCAAGATTATAGAAATGACTAGTTTTGGACAATGGAATTGGAAAAAAGTTTTGTGTTTTTTCTTTATACTTTATATTTTTCTATATTCACACATTTCTATATTTCCACATTTTCTTCCATACACATAATTTATTTTTGTTACCTAGACAACCTGATAGTATATTAGAGCCCCAGAGGGCTTAAGGGCTGTCTATGAGAGGAACAGTCCCTGTTACATGAGAAAGTTTAAAGACACTCTATTCCCATCAAGCCACATACTTCACTAAAATAGAGCACTGGATCACATTGTCAAAACAAAACTTCAGCTTCCTCTGATTCAAGGCAGTCAGCATTAGGGCCACAGATCCTCTTGTAGCAATCAATTTGCTTGTTATATTTTGCCACGGCTACCTCCCTTGGGATTAATCATTTCCTATTGATCTCATTATGCAACAGAAATCTTTTTCATTTATCCTTTGAATGACCCTTCTCATTTCCTCTCAGTCAAATAACACTCTAGTAGGGCAGACGTAGGGTTTTCAACTTTGTTTACATATCAGATTTATCTGGGGAGCCCTTAAGAAATAAAAATGACCCATCCCTATCTTGAGAGATTATGATTTGACTTCTCTGGAGCTGAGCACTATATTTTTAAACTTCCTAGAGCTTTTCATATGCAGCCAGGTTTGAGAATCACTGCCCGAGCTATAGTCATGCTTACAATTTTTGAACTGGCCCAAAGAAGAGGGAATTAACCTTTCAGATGCAGCCTACATCAAGGAAGCTGCCTGCTGTTAGGGGAACAGGATACCTGCAGAGGCTCCGGTCCTGACAATGCCTTCAGCTCCACCTCCCACCAAAGACCTGTGTGGTGTCAGCAGCAGCCCCATTTGCAGGTGAGGACAGAACTTAGAGCCCTGACTGTTGGGACCCTCTCCACCTAAAATGCAACCCCCTGAGGTGCTGAGGAGCACACCAGAGCCTTCTTCCACTTGCCAGCCCTTCAGCTATTTACAGGTGGGCCTCACATCCCTCCACAGTCTTCTCTGCCCCTCCAGATAAACATTCCCAGTTTCTTCAACCATCTCTCAGGGGATAAACATGCTCCTCACACATTCTGTTTCTCCTGGTTCCTGCTTTCTATCAAACAAGTTGTTTATATCACCTGGCTGATCCTTGCCATATGTTACTGCTCATTTCTGGAGTCTGAATAGTCTGGCTAATTATCATTTCTCCCATGGGCAGAACTTCCCAGAGCAGGTTATCTGCAATGGAAGCAGTGATGCAGCACCCACATGTCCCAGAGGAAGGGTTGTCAGCTGACAGCTCACAGCTGGATCACGCTGGGGGATTTTTTTTCTTTCCCCTGGAGAAAATGCATCTAATGACTGATTGAGATGACGAACAGAAGTCTGGCCCTTTGCGTAAGTATGAAAGGTCTTTGAAGGGCCTTGTCAACTTCTGCACTCCCCATGGAATCAGCTGAGATCTCTGTTTCAACTGTATGGCAAGTTAACCTTGCCCTCTGCCCAATTCTGCTTCCTTTATCACTTAGGTTGCTGATCCTGACAGTGCACCATGATAAACCTTCTGCATAGATATTTTCATCTCGGGGCCTGTTTCCCAGAGAGCCCAACCTAAAGACACCTGCTCGTCAATGCAAAATGAGCCTGTGAATTAACTGCCTTGAGTCAGATAGTTAGAACTCATGGTTGGCCATAACTTTCTTTAGGAAAAAACAGCCTAGGGACAAGGATAGAGCTGTTTCCTTTACAAAGGGGGGATAGGAAGGCCTGTCTCCATGACCATACCAGAAGAAAATGCTTTCGAATTCCTTTGCCACCCTGACTCCCTTCTCTGCTTCACTTTTGGTGGTTTCAAAGGTCTTATATAGGACTAGAAACTTCAGACGGGATCTGGATAGTGGAGAATGGAGATGGAACCTCACACCATAAATAATTGCCACTAATTTATGTACTATTCTAGCTCCAATAGCTACAGTCCTGTGTTTATTAGCCTAAATAGGACCTGAAGTTGTGTTGTGATCTTGGCTAGCCTTGTTTCTCTGACTATATCTCCTGACATAATCCTGTGTTGCACCCATTGCGATAGCTTGTATACTCTATTTACTTTAGTATAGCCAGTATATGCCATAGCCATAGTATAGGTTGTGCTGTCTGTAACTGAAGTTGCCACCTGGCTTGAACCTCTTTTTCTTTTCGCCAGCTATTTCCCCTGCCCACTTCAGTCAGCCTGAACAACTTCTGTACTTCCTTGACACCTCAATTCACTCATCACCTTCTTCTACATTCTTAGCACCTTTGCTGACCTCTTTAAGCTTAGATGGGTCATCCCCACTTTGTGCTCCCACCCTAGTTGCCCTGCAGACCTCCATCACAGCATTTGCCATTTTTCTTTGCAGGACCCTATCCTTCAGGGCACTGGTCACATCCCATCCACCTTTGTACCTCTAGCAGCTAGCGCAGTGGTCACATCTCATCCACCTTTGTACCTCTAGCAGCTAGCGCAGTGCCTAGGACATAGACAGTGGAATTAGAGTAAACTAAACTCAAATTTTATAGTTCTAATTTTGAGACTTTCAGCCTATTAGAGAGATACCAGCTCTGCCAACCTACCACATTGCCTTGTGATACATTAGGCAACTTTGCAAGCAGTTTCAAAGTTTCCGTTTTGTGACTGACCTAACTAACTCCTCCCTAAACCCACAGGAGGGAAGTGTGAAATGGGCTCGATGTTTACAGTAACAAAACTAGACATGCAAGTTGCTTCTGTTTGTTTTGATTCAGAAATATTTCAGCACAGAGCATTGGATTAAGGGGGATGCCTGGCGGAGGTGAACCATGTGATCATCCTGACTTTATGTTTGTGGCTACTCCTGAATCATGGCTTAGGAAAGGGGAATCCAAGCAGAGCACAGCAGGTTTGCTAAACTGGGGAGGCAGAGATTAGAGTTTAAAGTTTACAAAGTTTCAGGATGACAGAGAGAACAGAGCTGCATAAAAGAGCAGCTCCAGAAATTTATGTATCAGTCCCCTTAAGGCACTGGATGCAATTAAAGTATACATGTTTAGGGCAAGACTACCCAACCTTTGGCAAAAACAACTTCTGGAGAGCTACAAGATGAGCAGAGATCATTGATGATACACAGTGCTGAGAAATATAGGTGTTCCAATAATCCAGAGTGGAGAGAAGACCTCAACTGAGATCCAGAAAGACTACATCTGAGAAGCAGGGTTCCTCTCATCCTAGAGTAAGAGTACTCTAGAACGACTCTAGCAAAGCTTAACAACAAGCCTTAAAAGATCAATCTAATCTTCCAGCAAATTAACTGTCCGCAATAACAAAACTTAGCATTCTCTGAAAAAAACAACAAAATGCAGACTCTCAATGTAGCGTCACAATGTCTAGAATACAATAAAAATTTATAGACAAACGTAGAAGCAGGAAAATGCAATCTATGCAAACATAGCTAATGAAAGCTGATCCTAAGATGACTCAGATGTTGGGTCAAGAATTTTAAAGCAGCTTTATAAATATGTTCGAGTACATAAAGGAAAATGTAGTGATAATAAATTAACAGACGTGGAATCTTAACAGAGCAATGTAAATTATAAAAAGGAACCAAATTAAAATTTTAGAACTATAAAGTACAATATCTGATGTAAAACATTAACTGATGGGCTTAACAACCAACTGGAGACAACAGAAGAAAGGACTAATAAACTTTTACAAATTAATAGAAATTTTTCAGCAGAAAACAGCTGGCAGAAGTGTCAATATCTGGTAAAACTAATATTTATTTTAATATTAGTTTTGCCTTAAAATACTTCTCTCTCTCTCTCTCTCTCTCTCTCTCTCCACTCAGTTCTCTCTTTTTCTTTCTATTTCACAGTGATAACTCCAATTTTAATTTAGCACCATAGGGTTGATTCTAGCTTTCTCTTTCCTATATTTGTCACTCCCTTCTCTGACGGTGCAAAATCTAGGTCCCATTTTCTTTAATACTATTACTTATTGGATCAATCCTCCACATATGTTTCAATCATATGTATCCCACACCATCACCACCCTCTCTCTTGTGCAGGTGCCCTCCTCACTCTGCTTAGGCTCTGAAAGCCCATGCCAAACCACTGCCCTCTGTGGACACTGCCCTTAACATTCTCTAGCTTAGCTGCCTCATTGTGTTTCCTCCCCAACCCTTGCAAGTGGAAGACTCAACATTATTAGACCACTTGGATTTATGAAACATGCCAGACTCACTTGCATTTCTGCCCATCCTCAAATTTTCATTCCCTTTGCATGGAATATCCTCTCTGACATGACCAATGGGCAGAGTCCTCTTTTTAAATTTGAGTTTAAATATTTCCTAATCTTCAAAGCCTTCTTCTGTGCTGGGGATGGTTGCAATGCTCCTTTATCCTAGTCTTAATCTTGCATGCCCCTCCACTGCCCAGGTATTTCCAGACCCTTGTGCACCCTGGTGCACTCTGAATTCCTTGCAGGGTGAGCATCATCAGCATCTCACACATCAAAGATGCCTGATGGTGTGGCCACCGAAACTTACCCCTGTTGCAGCAGCACCAGGGATGTGAGAATGGCTGTGTATGGCGAACAATGTGTGAAGTTAATACACCAGCTTCAAGCGTGTTTTGGGGCACCTGCATATCTATCTCTCATGCCTTCCGCTCTACTGTGACGGGTCAGTTTCCACCCCCTGCCGCTTCATTGCTGGAGGATCCTAATAAATTCAAGATCATTTTACTCCTTAGTTGTTTTTCAGGCTTTGGACAAAGTCTGCTACCCACAGTGCAGTTTTTGTCCTATCAAATAACTTGGGAATAATTCTGTCTTCACAGTTAAATGAATATGAACCTTTGAAATCCATAAAATAAATAGAATGAAAATTTAGCCCATCAGATTTGGCAGCTTCAAAAAACTCACCTAAACTTTCTTGTGCCTCTTGGATTCCAGTTTCCAGCCTGAGGCGGGGAATGAGAGACAAGCTGATGTATTTAATACTCATGAGAACCACACCAAGGTTGGAAAGGGAACCCCAAGAGAAAGGTTGTGTGAAGAAATAGGTGAGAAGGGCCTTCTTTCTGCCTCTGAACATAACACGCAGGAAGAGGCTGGTTTTTAGTTTGGGGCTAGTCTGCATTTCTTCAAGGGGCAAAGTAAAGAAAGAGGTTTTGGTTGCAGGATTCAGGATTCCCTGAAAGATAAGGGTGAAACACTCCCTCTCCCCACCTAAGCCGCCACCATCTTGGGGCAGCCACCATCAGATCTCTCTAGAATCCTGAGGGGCCTCTCACCTGGCCTGCCTGATTTGAATCTCTCTCCACTTTGATCAGGTAACTTGTCTCTTTCAGGTATCTGGGCTGCTGACCCAATAAAATGGAGCCCCTGTGACCTGCTTTCAGGGCTTTCACAACTGGTCCCGCATGACGACCCTGCCTGACAACCCCAACTTGGCTTCAGCCTTCCTCTTGCTGGATGACTTCAGCAAGTCAGACACTCTCCATGCATGTGCCTTCTCGTTTATAAAACAAAGACAGGATTATTGTGAGAATCAAATAAAATAATGGATATAAGCATTTGTTGATTGTCAAGTGTTAAAAAAGTTGTTATAGTTATTGTTGTTATTACAAAAACTCAATGAGACATGTTAAAATGAGTTTCTCAGTGGTTTGGATAGTTAAATATTATAAAAATTACTTGAGAGACATGTGGAGCCTCTTTGAGTGGATCATAAAATCAAAAACTGAGAAAGACCGTGGTGGTGATTAAATCTACCACCCCAAACCATGGCTTTATGATGACTATCAGTATCTTAGGGTTAAGTACATGCCTTTATCAGTTCTATGACATATGGAGCCTAAAGGAAGTCCAGGATCTTGCAATCTAATCCTGAAAATTCATAAATGAGGAAAGAGAGCCCCCAAACAGCATGGTTTGCTCAACGTTGTACAGCTAGCAGAAGTGCAAATAATAATAAAAGTAAAGGACAGTACACTTTCAGTGAAACGCCATTCTTACATGACCTCACTCCGGCTTCAGAACTGCTCAGGACGGACATTAACTAGCTTGCCAGAGTTTCTCAGATACTCATTTTTCAAGCCAATCCCTGAAGATAGGCTACAGACATTCTTCAAAAACCAAACAAACAAAACCAAACAAAAATTCTTTAAAGGTTTCTCCCCCCATCCAAAAATGGAGATTTAAATGTTCAGGGAAACCATGTGCTGCTTTTATCTATTTTATGATAATGTTGGGGTTTTGCTAAAGACTCCCTTTGAAACACAGGGTCTGCTACTGAAAATGCTATGAAAATCATTGATCTAGAAGAAAACAAGTATGTGAAGGGAGCAAGGATAAGACTGCATGCAGATGGGTTTGTATGTAAGTGTAGAGGGGTGGCGTGTATTCAGATGGGAGCAGGGGAAAAGTCAATGTATTCATCAGATATTTTTCAAGTCCCTAACATGTAAATGTGTCAACAATGGGAAGTGGATTTTACAGTTCCCCAAGTACACCAGAAAGTATTTTCTATGCCACTCTCTGTTGCTAAAGCTCTTTCATAAGGCCTCCTGCCCTTGTCTAGCCAAGTCATCTGCAGAACACACATGGCTCTATTCTATGAGGACAGATGGATTTAGCCCTCAGGTAGGAGCAATGAACACAGGTTACTCTCTATGTTCCTATGGATGTTGCCATTGAAGTGCTCTCATGAGGAAACATATCAGGGAGTCCTTTTATTTTATCTTTTATTTTTGATAAGGGCTTTCTCTTAGAAAGAGAAGAGAGAATGCTGTGGATAATTCCAGTCAATGGGGCTCCAACATTTTTTATGTAAGAAAAACTTAAGATACTGTTTTATAAACTGCCTTGTCCCATGACCTACAGTAAAAAATGTAGTTTACATTATACTCCAATATGCACACATGCACACAAAAGACATAAAACAGAACCAAATATATTATACAATACTCACTACAGGCAATGCACTCATTCCATTCTATACTCTATAATTTTTGAACATCTGGAAAGTACCCACTAAATTGACTTGAGCATCCACTAATATAGCTTGTAGTTTTAAAATATTTACTAAAGGGCAACAATCTGAAAGTTGGCAGCTAGAGGACTAATCTTAAAACTGGTTTTGCACTGCGTGTGACAGTAGATTGAGACTATGTCACTGTCCATATCAGTGAAGGGAACAGGTAGAGATTATGGGGGAGCTTTTCACCTCCACTAGCTCCATGTCTCTCTCTGGCATGGCCACTGGTGCTGATGACGTATCGGCACCTGCTGATTTGCCACACATCGACTCCCCAAAGTGTTCCCAGAACAGAGTAACCAGGTTGGGAGGGGACTTCATATCTGGTCTTCTGAGGAGCTGGGTACTTAGGGGAAGAGGTGGCTTGGGGCAGTTGAGCATGGTTTGAGCATGGACTTCCAAGGACAGGGTCAGGAGGAAGTATGGAGACTCTAGGGAGAGGGACTGGGGTGCCCTGTGAAGGTGGGACCTTTTTGCAAGCCATCACTGCCTTCAGGGGCTGAGTGCCCAGGGAGGGAGTCAGTGTGGGGAGAGCAGAAGCCGTGAAGAGGCACTTCCAGGCAGGCTGTGCTGAGCCTAAATGCGTATTTCCTGCCTCTTTTGTGATGGTTATCTATCTACTGATTGTTAATATTAGCTGATTGTACAAAGAAGTCATTAGGTGTCAAGAGCTGTTCTAAGTGCTCTATATATAAAAACTCATGCAAGCCACACAAGAACCCAGGAGGTAGGATTTATTATTATCATCCTGCTTTACAATTGAGGAAATGGAAGCCTGGAGAGATTAATTGCCCAAGATTGCCAATTCAGGTTTGACCTCATGTGTCGGGCTCAAGAGCTCCCCATTCACCACAGATCCATGTGGATTTTTGCAGGGCAGCCACGTGCCCAGCATGCTGGCTGACACAGGTCAGGGACTGGGTGGACTCACCATTACCTGTAATTGTTCTCTTATAGCACAAACTATGAAGCAGGGATTGACAAGATGTAAGGCTGCAGAGACAGAGGACATGCGTGATACTCTGGGCCATCTACATCCTGCCTGAAACCTTATACTCTAGTCTATAGGTTGGGGTTTTCTAAAACACGGGTTCTGAAGGACAGGATCAAATATGTTTTTAAAATATTAGGGTTAAAAAAATTAAATAGGTTCCTGCTATGCAGGTTCAGTCAACACTTGAGGCTGGGGTGAGAATATAGCCTACAACATTCCCTTCCAGTATTCTAGGCTCTTGGCAGCACTGATGAGAGAACAACTCCTCCAGGCATCAGAAGTTATCTTGAGGTCTGACATGGGGGCAGTGATATGAGGGGCTTGCATTTTAGAAAGATCATTCTGGTTTCAGAGTAGAAAAAGGATAGTGTGGGAGGCTGGGTGGAGGTGGAGGGACGTTGCTCGGAAGACCCATTGGGAGGCACATCCACCAATTCTGGGTGAAAAATGCTTAGGTAAATAGAAGATAATCCGTATATGCTACAATGATGTATGAGGAGCATTTGTGGATGGGAAGGATTGCAACATGTGTTAATTTTCAAATGTAATTGTACGTGTTGTGGAAAGGAAACAGCCCAATTAGAGCATCCTAAGGTGAAGATAATTATATTTTGGACCTTTCATTTTCCTAGAAACAGAGCACATGGATTATGGCCTCTTTCCCCGATATGAACATTGTCAGAAAGTAAAAACGAAAAAGCTATTCCTTGTGGTTGACTTACAGGCATTCTCTCTAGTCCTTCTTCAGGTTGATAAGAAACTAAGAACCTGACCCCTTGACTGCATTCTTTAGAAATAGAGGAAAGATTGTATCCCTTGATGATGTCTGTCAGCTTGAGAGAGCTATGAATCACAGCAAAATGGCATTTTATATTTAGTTATTCATTTCCCATTCAAATCCAGGTGACAAATCTTGTGCAAAACAGCTCCGTATGACTCACATCAACTTTTAAAGATGTTGGTAACGAAGTCTGACGAATCGTTATTGACCCAGCTTTGAGAGTGTACACAGTTTATCTCAGCTATTAATAAGATATGCAATCTTCATCTGGTTCAGAACATAATTATTATTATTTTCTCCCTCGTCATGACTCTCATGACAAGAGGGAAGATGTATTCCTGACTTAACAGAGCGTCTGTGAGCTATGTCGAAAGAAATGCTTCTGGATTTTACCACATCTAGAAGTCTTGGAATGGATTCTAGATATAAGACAAAAGTGAGGAACACATAAAAATGGGCATGTTACAATAATAATAATTTTATTATTAATAGATCAATAATTTATTAATGTTAAAATTTATATAATAAAAAGTGCAACAGGTTGAAGAGATGCTAAACATACAGGTGGTTCAGAATCACCCCATTGTTGTTTCTTGTGGCTCAAGCCTGGGTTTTTTTCTATCATCCCCTCTGATTGGTTGTGCCAAATCTGACCTTTGTTATTTAATTAGTTAACTCATTTTTTGAATGGATAGGTATTCAGAAAACATATTAGGTGCTGGAATATGAAGCTGGATAAGGCCTGGTTACCAGCTAAGAAGGTGCTCACAGCCCCAGGGAGAAGTCCATGATACTCACAATTCACCTTGATTCTGCATAGATTTAGGTAGGCATATGCGACCACAGAGAAGAGACTGAGCAATTTTGTGTGTGTGTAGATTCCCCTCAGATTTCAGAGAGGAACAGATATTTGATTTTCAGTACAGCACAGTAATTAAATCACAGAATTGGGAGTTAGTGGCTTGGGCTTGAGTCTTAGGTTAGAAACTTTGGACATGGTGTTTACCTTTCTAGCTCTCACCTTTTTCTTTTGTAAAATGGGACTCATCATCTTTGCAGTAAAGGGAGGCTTAAATGAGCCTATATGAACAGGCTCACAAGAACACATGAAAAGCATTTAGTAGTGTGTTTGGAGAGTCATACTGAAGACCTGCTTTCTGAATGAGTAAATGAATACTCACTCTGGGTCAGGCATTTGGCAGACTTAGAAACCCCCTGCCAAGCATGAGCTGGAGGAGTTGGACGGACTTGAATCTAGACCATGAGACCTCCACACTGGCATCAACAGCTGTCTCTCTGGTGTCCATATGCATATGTATCTTGGTGCAATATGAGAGATGGCTTCTTCAGCTATTTTCTCTTCTGTCCTTGCCTGCTCCCTGCTTCACCTTGTTTGTGTCATTATCAATCTGATCCTTACATGCATTCAGTGGCACATAAAAGACAACGCAAGTAATGAGAGTTTCACCACCAATGGATTTTTTTTTAATCTCACGTTAAACTGTTTTGTTGGAAATCATTAAAAACCAGTGCCTACCATGCCATCTCCATGTTTGATGTTGTGACTCATCCTCATGGTCACATGAAAGCTGCTGCATCTCCAGGCCTGCTATCTACATTCTAAACAAGAACAAGAGAGAAAGGCACAGGAGCAAAATGAATGGATGCTGGGCTGAAGTGTATGCTAGCTGGGTCTCTCTTAAAGTGTTCTACCCAGGGACTTCTGATATTCCACAGGGCAGACTGGGCCATATGATCACTACTATCTATAAAGGAGTCTGAAAAGGAAGGCAAGGAGACAAGGAGTTGTGTGGTTTGGGGGTTGCCCTAACATGGTGTGTGTAACACCTGCCACCCTTCAAGTCCTAATTTAACTATCACTGGCCCCATGAATCCTCTCTTGACAATTGGCATCATGCCTGTTACTCTTGCCCCATGAAAGGCCACAGCATTCGCCCTGCATACCACATTGTCAAGCCTTAAACACTGACATTGATGACAACACTGGTGAGCACATCACTTCACAGTTAACAATGCACTTTCTACCATGACCCCATGACTTCCTATTCAACTCTAACAACCGTTCAGTGAGCCATACAGCTTTTCTGAGGTTCCAAGAAGGAAATTCCCCAATCTCACACAGAAGGATGGTGAGAGAAGTACTAGATTTAGTGCTAGAAGTAAAAACTTTTAGTCCTAGCTTAGGCGTATTTTGGAATCAGGTGGAATCAAATTCCCATGTTGGTTTGGCCACTTATTAGCTATGCTAATCTGGTGTCTTAGTCCGTTTTGTGAGGCTATAACAGAATGCCACCGACCAGGTAATTTATAAGGTGCAGAAATGTCTTTCCTTATATTTCTGGAAGCTAGAAAGTGCAAGATTGCAGGACCAGCTTCTTGCAAGGTCCCTTCTTTCTGTGTCATCCCATTGTGGAAGGCAGAAGGGCAAGAGAGAGAGAAAGGGAACTGAACTCACTTTTATAATGAATCAACTCTCATAATAAAGGCATTAATTCATTCATAAGAGAAGTTAGACAAGAGATTTCAGCCTTGATTTTTTGAACAAGTGAGCAGAAACAAAAATAGCATGGTACAGAAGGAAATAAAATAAGGTCAAAAAGCACAGATACTAAGGACTGTGTGATGGAGCTTCATCTGGTTGCTTATGAAGGACTGAAATTCTAAGATACAAGTGTTTTGCTCAGCTCACCTGAAATGCCATGCAGAAGATAGGATCCAAGTCTCAGAATACCCAGGGCAAGTGTCTTTCCAACACACTCTTCATAAATAAACCAAATAAGCAGCTAATGTCCAGAGTATATCTCTTCAGCTTTGTTCAAGAGGAATGATGTAGCCACTTGTTCAGATTTTGCAGCTGGGACCTCAGAATGAGATGAACGGTAAATGCCATTGCTAAAGCCCCATTCAATGCCCAGATGCTGTTTCTGTGGAACAATTTATTGTTCTTGTTGTTGCTTCCCTTTCTTTTTCTAAAAGTCGTTTACTCCTTCATTCATTCTGCTATAGATATTTATTATTTATTAAGCACCTACTGTGCACCAAGCATGCTGCCTCCATCTGGCTCTTTCCTCTCCCCACTCACAGTGTGGGATGCCACACTGAATGAGAGGAGCTGCTTCATGAAGCTTTGAGTCTTGTGCAGAAAGAAACTCATCAGGTAACAAATAAACATGTCCTAACAAACAGAAGAGAAACATGAGGGAGGAAGCTCACCTTCTGGCACGAGGAAGAAACCAGGGGTGATCCACATGGTTAAAGAGGTCAGGAAAGACCCTACTGATCAGGAGACATTGGGCAGACAGACTGCAGGGCCAGGACAGGAGCTGGGATGAGTGCTTAGGAACCCAGGTAATCCAGAAGCTTCTGAGTGACAAGAGTTACCAGCCGGAATAACACAGTTTCTTGAATTTTCAAACACTAGACTTGTCTGCAATTGAGCAGATGCACACATGCTATTGAGCATCTGGCAGAATGCAGGAGGGCTTTCAGCAAGGCAGGCAGTTAGCATGGCTCTTTGCCAGGAAAGCCCTGCCTCCTGGTGGATTTTTAGGGAGACCATGCAGGGATGGGCTGGGGAGGAGGGGCATGTCAGAGCCCCCGAGAAAGGAGGGCATGGTTGGTACAGAGAATGTCTAGGCAGCTCTGGGCACTCCATTCTCTGGCTTGCACAGGATCTTGTTCCAAACCCTCTCATGGCCCTAATCCTAAGACATTTTGCAATTTACTTCCACATCTATGTCCTTGGATGGAAGAAGTTTCTCAGAATGTTCTGAGTAGAAACTATCATCCCTGCCACCATTCTCCTCATCTGCATCTCAATAAATACATCATCCCAATAAATTCCCATTGCAATAGAAACTATTTTTCTTACATAAACTATCTCCCTTGCTTCTTACAGTAAGGCAATGGCACAGACAGTGTGCCAATTATTCCCACTTTACAGAGAAGAAATGAAGCTCAGACCTTGCTGTGTGGAGAGTAATGGGAGAGTTGGCATTTGAACTCAGGGCTGACTCCAAATCCGATGCTTTAAGCCCTGTGGAAGACCACTTCCTCCTTGAAACAATGTGTTTATAGCCACCAGGAACACCATGTCTTGTGATACTTACTAGTAGTAACATCAGCAGCAGTAGTAGCAATACTACTAGCAGCAGCAATAGTAGTAACCGTATTCACAATAGCAGTTGCAATAGTGGTAGCAGTGGCAGCAGTGGTAGCAGGAGTAATAGTAGTCGCATCAGCAGTAGTAACAATAGCAGCAGTAGTAGTAACACTTTCTGAGCACTGCCTACGAGTCAGGCGCTGCTTTATGTGATTTCTGTGAGTCAGCTCATTTAATTTCAGAACAATACTGAGAGGTAGGTAGTACTGATGTCTCCCTTTTCCCTGCACTGAGAATCACAGAAGGTAAGTAGCTTGTCTGAAGTCACACAGCTGGTAGGTAGCCATGTGGGTTTTCTCCCTTCCCCTGGCCCTTTCCTCTCCCCACTCTACCTCTTTCTAGGTTTTCAAGTGGAATGTCTTCATGTCATAGATTAGAAGGTGGGTGATCACAAAGGGCAAACATGGCTATGATGAGACTCAGGTAGGCCCCTGTCGAGATTCCAGTTCTACTGGTTACTCAACAAAGGACTTTACCTTTCTGTCCTCAGTTTCCCCTTACATAGATTGGGGAAGGGAATAGAGTCCAACTAAGCAGGTTGTGTCAAGAGGACAGAGGCATTCAGCATGTAGTTGGCTGGTGCAGGACTGGCCCTGCATGTCTTGCAGCTCATGTGAAGAGGTGTTGGAGAAGTCCAACCCGGGTCCCGTCCAACATGGCAACAGCCCAGTGCATTGCTGACAACCATGCATTAGCCTCAGTCTGCAGGCATTAGTGGAAGGAGCTCATCTGTCCTGCAGCAGCCCATCCTAATGTGAGTCTCCTAGAGGACTCTGAAAGGAAAATAAAATCGCAGGACCCCAAACTGACTATGCCAAAGGGAAAATTTAAACTTGGACACTGACTCATGCCAAAAAAAAAAAAAAAAAAAAAAAGCCTGCTTTTCCTTTTGCTCCTAAACAAATAGCTACAACACAGAAGACCACACATCTCCCTAGGTGGCCTCTCTCACCCTGACAATGTAAATTAACAGCTTATCTTCACAGGTACAGGACAAAGACAAAACTAGACATCATCCTTCTGCCTACCCAGAGACAAATGCAGATTTACTGAGCATGAGATGAATGCATAATTGACTATTCTTCTACCCTCTCCTTTCCAATGTGACATACGGATTCAGTGAGCACTTCTCAAGTGCTCACTTATTTCACTACGAATCCTCCATTTTTTTCTTTCCCCCTTCCTTCCTGCCTGCTCCTTTTCCTTTAAATATTGAAACCAGCAGGTGGGGTGGCTCACACCTGTAATCCCAGAACTTCAGGAGGTGAAGGTGGGAGGACCGCTCAGGAGTTTGTGACCAGCCTGGGCATAGTGAGACCCCCATCCCTACAAAAAATAAATGATGGTGCATGCCTGTAGTCCCAGATACTTGAGAGGCTGAGGAAGAAGAATCACTTAAGCCTGAGTAGTCAAGGCTGCAGTGAGCCATGATCATGTCACTGCATTCCAACCTAAGCAAAAGAGTGAGAACTTGTCTCAAAAAAAAAAAAAGTATATATACATATATATATGTGTGTGTGTGTGTGTGTATATATATAGGGGTGTGTGTGTGTGTATTTCCAAAGAAGGTTTTGAGGGCTTATATATGTGTGTGCACATATATAGGTATAAGCCCTCGAAACATACATATATAAATATATATGTACACATTCACATACCCCCATATACACACACATATAAACACACATATTTGTGTATGTGTGTGTGTATGTATGTACATGTGTGGTATGTGTGTGCATGTGTGTGTGTGTGTGTGTATGGGCTTATATATACATATAAACCTTGACAACATAAACATCTAAATTGATTGAGACCTGCCTCAGACACTTTTTGTCTCACAACACAAAACAGACACAATCCCTGTCCTACATGTGGCAACGCCCTTGAGCATGCTTTCCTGTCAATGACAGATCTCAGCTGAACTCCCCAGTTCTCTCCAATGCAGTAGCTTGGCCCACGAACCAAATGTGTACCTTGATCGTTGCTCTACTTTTCTTTTTTTTTAATTTTATTTTTAATGTTTTTAACTTTAATTTTTTTTTTAACTTTTAGGTTCAGGGGTACATGTGAATTTTTTTTTTCTCAGGGTGGAGCTCTGCAGGCCTGCCATACAGGGTCCTCTTTCCTGAAGAGAACGCAGCCTTTCTGGCTCTTCCTTGGCACCTGTGTTCTGGCCACTTTTTCTCCAAATCTTCTGCTTCTTTGTCCTGCATTCCTTCCATGGAGACCCCACCCTGCATCCAGAGGACATTTCTGGGGCCCCTTGCTTCACCTGGCATGATCCCAGCTCCTCACCATTGTCTAAGCTATGCCCTCTGCTAGTATGCCCTCCCTCCTGCACCTGGGGCCATTCACTCCTGCACCGCCCAAGCACCGAGGGACTGCTTGGCAAGGAAACAGGCAGGTAACCAGGTCATGCAAGTCTAATTCACACTCTAGGGAGAGAAGTGAACAGAGCCTGTCCCGATGATGCCAGCAGAGGAGCTCCTCATGAAACGTGGGAGGAGGAGATGGGGAAGTCCAGGAAGGCTTCCTGGGGGAGGTACCATCTATCTGCACTGGAAATGTTGAGAGGGCCTTTGCTTGCTGAAAATGGGGCAGGAGTCTAAGCAGAGGGAACAATGTAAGCAAAGTCATGGACGAGAGAACAGCTGGTATGTAGGGGAAGCACTCACCATCTGCAGCTTGTTGTGTGTGTGGGAGAGAGAGAGCTTGGAGCCATGGGCCAACCTCTGTGCCAGGGGAATAAGCTGACTTTACTTTGGAGTCTTGGATGGGTTCTAGAAAAGAACGCGCCACAGTATTTTGGAAGTACTACTACTCATCCTTCAAACCTGCAATTCAATCCCCACTTCTCTGAAGGGCCACCCGTGCTCCTCTCTCACAAGCAGTAGGGGAAATGTGGTCCCAGGAGGCAGACAGCCAAGGCAAAGGCCAGGCAGTGCTATGTCTTCACTGTGTGACCAGCAAGTTACCCAGCCTCTCTGTGCCTTAATATTCTTATCTATTAATTGGAGGATATTTTAATCCACTTCACAGGGGATTTTTTTTTTTTTGATAATTAAATGGGATGCGAAGTACATTCAATAAAAATTGTTCTTTTCCCCACTAGAATGGAAGATCCGTGAGGTCAAGAACTGTGTTTTGTGCACTGCTGCATCCCCGCTTCTTAGAGGAACATGTGCCATATCGATGTTTAATGAATAAACAAAGGAATGCAATACAAGATGACATAACATGGTATGAAGGGATGTATTGTTCTTAGTAATCTGTTTATCTCCCCACCTGGCCTCTGCCCTCCAGGATAAAGGTCTTTTTCACTGGCCTCTGAATCCCAGTCCTCACGCTGTGCCTGGGACCCAGAGGGTCCTCACACAGCCTTTCATGAATGAATGAATGAATGAATGAATGAATGAACATGTAGCTGAAAGGAGTCCATAAATCAAGGTGAGTATTGGCAGAATGGAGGTGGGATGCTGCAGAGCCTAGGCCTGATGAACTCCTTTGGTGGTCCTGTTTAAGGAGCTTCTCTTGGCATCTCTGAGAGGCTGGTGAAGGGGAAGTTGCCAACTTCAGTCTGTGGCTCCATAAGCACATGCTGTGGATTGGAGGCTGAGTCCTCTTTTAGACCTTCAGGATGCTCGAACTGTCATTTGTGAGATTTGTCCAGCCCTGGTATCACAAATTTACACCTCTCAGCTGCCCTTGACCACCTCCTCTGCAGGAGCTCGAACTTGCCGGAGTCTTATTACTCTTTTCAGAAGCTCCCTTTCTGCCAGCACTCACAGGTCTATTCTGCATCACTGATGGCTATTGCCTAACAGCTGCAGATGCAGCTTCCCATTCACATTCACCAAAAGCTGTGCTCCTCCAGCCTGTGAAAGCAAAGCTGGGCCGTCTTAGAAGGCAGGAGCCAGTGTGGAATAGCGCAGGGGCAGGTGGGAGGTGAGACCCTGGAAACAGAATTCTAAGGCCCAATTGTGCAAGACCAGAGCGGTGAAGAGAACACTCAAGCAGGTCATAGGAAGCAGATTGATGCCTCTCTGCACTGATCCTTTCTGAAGAAAGAATGGGAAGATCATTATAGCTCTCTTGGGGCTTTTTATTCCCTGTATGTATGTATGTATGTATGTATGTATGTATGTATGTATGTATGTCTTTGCCCAGCATCTTCAAGCACCAGGTACTTCCACACAGAAATATGGATTCTGAGATGCAAGTGCATTGCCACTCCCCCTACCCTATGGTGCCCGGTTGATTGTCCCCAGTTAGGGAAGAGACTCTTGTCCCCAAAACTTGCTCCCCATGGCAGGCTTTGTCTCAGCCTCCCTCTCTTCTGGGCTTCTTTCTCAAACTCTCCACCCTGGCTCTCTCTGCTTCCCAACAATCTTTCTCAACATTTCCACACCCTTTTTCTTTCTCCCCTCTGCATTTCTGTCTTCTGACACTCTCTGGATCCTACTTCATTCTTTGTGTATCTCCTCTTCCTCAGTTCTCCTATTGTCTTATTGCTCTTTCTCTGCTTCTGTCTTTTCTCTCCTTTCCCATTCTCCGCGTCTCCCTTTGGCATCTGGATTCTTTTTCTCATTCATTTGCTCATCTTAGATTCAAGGAACACATGCTTAGTTAGCGCACATTGTGGGTCATGCACTCTGGCAGGCTGTAGGGATGTGGTGGGGACTTTATAAATAGCGGGATAGGCAGTCACTGATCTATACTTAGCACCCTTCTCCCCTCCTCACAGCTCAAGACACTTGCTCTCTTTGGTCTGTGTGGAATAATGTAAGAAGCATGAACCTCAGTCATATGAATCTGAATTTGAACTCTGGTTCCCTTGCTCACAAATGGTAATGTAGGGCAAAGCTCTGGATCCCACTGAACTCTCCTCTCCTCAACTTTGTGTGTAAAGCGGTTGGTTATTGCGACTGCTTAATAGATTTAAATAAAGGGAAACCTTCATCTCCACTCTCAGTCAGCAAACAGAGTGTCTGCATTACGACAGGCACTAAACATTATTAATAAGACAAAGTTATATTTTTCTTTCCAGCATCTTACACTCTAACGGAGAAGAGAGATTGTATATAAATGACGCTGTAATCCAAGTATAATTTGTGTCCACATGTGGTTCAGACCCTGCGTAAAATCACATTTAAAGAAGCCCAGTCCAGCTACAAAATGTCATTTTCAGAAAGCAATTCCCAACTTCTCTTGAGTCTTTTGAGAAACTTGGACAATGATACAATTTGTAATCCACATCAGCCTTTCACCGTCTTCTTCCTTGAGTCCTTGCTCCTTCAGATTCTGCCTCTGCTCAGAAATGTCTCACATGCCACCACCCCAGCATCTCCTTCCAGCTTCCAGGCCACCTGGCTTAGCCCTCCCGCTCGTCCTCTTCTTCTGCCCATCCTCTTTAGTATATAAATTGACTTTGCCTCTTTGGCTGAGATCTTGTCCCTTTCCTCTCGTCTCTCATGTTGGGATATTCTTTTTCTGCTCTTCTGACAAGACATGAAAATCATCTTGTAACCACTCTAGCCAGTACTTGCCTTGCATTGAGTACAATGGTAAAATAAGGGTTGCATGTATTAGTAAATCCTGCCCCGGTTATGATGTTAATGCAACCCACATGTTGATAATTACTCCTAACAGTTAATAACTATCAAGAATATGTTGTCTTCATGTACACTGTCCTTCAAAACTCAGAAAACTTCAGTGAAAATGTGAATGCTGAGTTGCCTTCATTTAGCTCCTCCTCCTCTTTGCCAGGGCCTAATGAACCCATCCAAACTGCGGGAGAAGATGCAGGGACACATCTTACATGGTGCGTAGAGGTGGTTCTTCTCTCTCTGCCGCTGGGGATGAACAATAAACAACCGGCCTCAGCTGCAAAGGGAAGCAGTGCTGAGGGCAAAATGAACATTGACAAGAAGGCCAAAAATCATGACGAAATGGGCGGCAACTGGTCACCCCATGCCTGGGCTCACACTTCCTCCTGATTTCCTGCCCAGAAGTGTGCTTATTTATCAGGTCACTTTAACTCAGAAACCCACTGACATGTTCAAAGCTCTAAGATTTAGGGTGATCTAATGGTTTTCTTTTTTCAATCCTCCAAGACATCTGAATAACTTTCTTCTTGACAAAGTGTCACTTCCATATTTCCGGCACTAAACTTGTGGGATTTTAAAGATAAAACCAGAAAAAAATATTGACAAGAAAGAAGCAATTTCTATTCCCGGGTTTCTTCAGGGTCTTTCTGTTTGGAAGCAGCTGTGTAGAAGGGCTGGGCTGGCTGTTAACTTCATCACGCTGGTTTCAGAGCACTGACCTCACTGTTGACTTTGGAACATGTTCTAGGCTCTGAAAAGAAAAGAGAGTCTCCACCAAGTAACTCCATGGGATTAAAAGCAACTACAAGCAATAGTTTCCTTTGAAGCTCAGCTCTGAAGAGAACCCATTCATTTCATAATCAAATTAGATCAGAGGGTGAGAAGGCAGCCCAGCAGAAGGTCCTCATGAGATCTCCCAGCCCTTGGATCTGAGGAATAACTGAGGAAGAGTTGGTCTTAAGAGAAGAGATATTAGCCGGGTGGGGTAGCTCACGCCTGCAATCCCAGCACTTTGGGAAGCTGAGGCAGGTGGATCACCTGAGGTCAGGAATTCCAGACTAGCCTGGCTAACATTGTGAAACCCCATCTCTATTAAAAATAAAAAATTAGCTGACCGTGGTAGCAGGTGCCTGTAATCCCAGCTACTCAGGAGGCTGAGGCAGGAGAATTGCTTGAACCCAAGAGGGGAAGTTTGCAGTGAGCCAAGATGGCGCCATTGCACTCCAGCCTGGGGGACAAGAACAAGATTTCATCTAAAAAAAAAAAAGAAAAAAAAGAAGAGGCATCATCTTTAGCAAACTAACACAGTAACAGAAAACCAACTACCACATTTTCTTACTTATAACTAGGAGCTAAATGATGAGAAGTCATGGACACAAAGAGCGGAACAACAGACACTGGGGCCTACTTGACAATGGAGGGTGGGAGGAGGGAGATCAGAAAACTTAACTATTGGGTACTAGGCTTAGTGCCTCGGTGATGAAATAATCTGCACAACACACCCCATGATATGAATTTACCTATCTAACAAAAATTCACATGTACCCCTGAACCTAAAAGTTAAAAAAAAAAATTAAAGTTGAAAACATTAAAAATAAAATTAAAAAAAAAAGAAAAGAAGAGCAACGATCAAGGTACACATTTGGTTCTTGGGCCAAGCTACTGCCTTGGAGAGAACTGGGGAGTTCAGCTGAGATCTGTCATTGAGACTGTCTGTAGACCCCCAGCCAGCCCCCATGTCTTCCAGCCTGAGTTTGAGGTGAGAGAGCTATTGCCTCAAGGCTCTCTGAGACACTGGAAGCTCAGAGCTGCCGTGCCTTGGGATGTGGGGGTACAGTGGTGGGATGGAGAGAGACCCTGCCTTGAGCTGAGTGCACATGGGAGCTGTGTGGAGCAGCATGGCAGGGCCGAAGCTGCCAATTAGTTATGAAAGAACAATCCCCACTGCTTGTGGGCAGGTTTCAGCAACGGGGTCCCAGACATCAGGAAACCAGAGCCCCAGGAGGAGAGGCCATGGCGAGTCCCATGCATCTGAGCAGGCAGGTAATCTTGCCCCTCATCAGGATCCCAGAAATGGGTGGGCATCCCTGGTCATGGGAAAGGTTAAAAGCCTTTACTGGGTGGTCTCCTTCATTCCCCAGCTGGAAAAATCTCAGGGTTAGCTCAGATTAAAAATGCAAAGACATGTTGTCCTTTATAATAGAAACGTTAGGCTGGGGGCAGTGGCTCACACCTGTAATCCCAGCACTTTGGGAGACCAAGGCAGGCAGATCATGAGGTCAGGAGACTGAGACCATCCTAGCCAACATGGTGAAATCTTGCCTCTTCTAAAAATATAAAAATTAGCTGGGCATGGTGGCACGTGCCTGTAATCACAGCTACTCTGGAGGCTGAGGCAGGAGAATCACTTGAACCAGGGAATCGGAAGTTGCAGTGAGCCCAGATCACACCACTGCACTCCAGCCTGGCAACAGAGCGAGACTCTGTCAAAATAAGAAAAAAAAGAAAAAAAAAAAAAGAAAAAGAAAAAAAGAAATGTTAGGCACCATTGATTGTGTTTAATTTCTTTTTTTTTTTTTTTTTTTCTGTTCAGACCCCTGTTTCCCAATGGAAACCAGTCCACTCCCTGACTTTAGCCATCCAGATCCTGCCCTCTCAGAGCATAGGAGACAGAAAAAAAATGCAGGTTCTGGGCAGTAGCATGTCCCTTGAATAGTGAGGGATGCAAGCAGGGAATCAAAACTTTTCTATGAAAAATGATACATAGATTCTGGGAAATAAATGGTCTTCTTTTTACAGGGATCATGAGCTATAAAAATACAGGCATGGGGTACACAGAAGGCATCTTTTCTACCACCATTGCAGGAAGTCCAACTGAGAGTGAAGTCAACAAACAGGAAACAGGCAAAGTGCTGCTGGAGACATAGAGACCAGGCATCCACTGAACCCCTAGACTTGATGTGCCTGTAGCCAGTTTCCACCTTGGATTTCCTTCTATTTTAAGCCTACATTTTCTTCCCTCCCTCCCTTTCTTCCTTCTTAATTTACTTTTAGTTGAGTTATTTTGAAAGATTTCCATTTAACCAAGAAATTAGTGCTTGGAAGTGACAAGCCCTATAAAACAGGCTCACCTGGGTCAAAGTGAGGTGTAAGGTGTGAGGAGTCCCCTGTTGCATCTGGGAAGCTGGCAATCCCTGGTTTGCAGTAGTAACAGAACAGTCTGTTAAGCTGTTACAATGCATATCTAAGGCCTCAGTCCCTGATCCTTCTGAGAGGAGTAGTTGGTAGTCACTACCAGGACATTAAGAAGTAGACTCCTATGGCTTTAACTATTGCACACTCCATCCAAGCCAGTTATTTTTAAAGAAGGAAGGAAATGGTGGACATTTTGTTTAGAGGCATTTTCTGCCTCTGGGCAGCTGTTCAAGATCACGGAGAGTCAGATTTATGGGGCCTGTAAATTTGCAAAAGCCCTGTTCCTTACTTCAATAAAGCTAGTGAAGTTGGAAAATATAACTGGAAATAAGATCATGGCCCAGAAGGAGTTGGAAAATTGGGAAAGCCTGACCCCTCATATTCCTCCAGAGATATTCTCTCTGTACACTCTGTTTTACAGCCTGGAGGCAGAGCACAAGGAACAGATCAGCCTCCCTACTGAGCCAGCCACCCAAATGGAGGCCATTTAGCTGAAGAATATGGGAAAGGACAGAGCTTTAAGATCCATTAATAAGTAACAAAACCTATGGCCGGGCACGGTGGCTCATGCCTGTAATCCCAGCACTTTGGGAGGTCAAGGTGGGTGGATCACGAGGTCAAGAGATCAAGACCAACCTGGCCAACATGGTGAAACCCTGTCTCTACTAAAAATACAAAAATTAGCTAAGCATGGTAGTGGGTGCCTGTAATCCCAGCTACTTGGGAGGCTGAGGCAGGAGAATTGCTTGAAACCCGGGAGGCAGAGGTTGCAGTGAGCCGAGATCACGCCACTGAACTCCAGTCTGGCGACAGAGGGAGACTCTATCTCAAAAAAAAAAAAAAAAAAAAAAAGTAATGAAAACTTCAAGGGAGTATCCAGATTCGTGGACTCTGACTCAAAAAGCTCTTGTCTTGGTTACTGGCCAGTGGTGTTTTCAGAAATTGCATCAATTAACAGATGACTGAGACGTTAGGGGATTTTTTGTGACAGGAGGAACTTCAATCCTGGTAAATGCAGGATGGTGGTTACACAACTTCCCAGGCCTCTGAGACAACAGGAAGCAGGCTGCCAAGTGACTGCAGGCCGGGGAGGGGAATCCTTCCAGTGCTTGTCTCAAATGCGGCATAGGGAGGAGTGGACAAAAGCAAGCTGTTTAAAGAGGAGAACTGGATGGGCCAGGTTGACTGATCAGGAAACTTCCTGACTTGCCAAAACAATTGAATCTGACTCTGCTGCCCGACACGATGGCTGTGCAAACATAAGTCATTTCCCCTCCCCATTTATCCAAAGGTGGAGACAACCTTGATCTTTTTCTTTCTTGTTTTTCCTCTACTATTGTATACTGGGAGTCAAGACTAATTAAAATTATTATTCATCTCATAGGTCAATCGACCATGAAAAATACACTGGAAGATAACTAAGAAGAATTTAATCAGAAAACTGTGAATTTGGAACTGAATGTAGTAACTGAAAACATCTTGAAGTTGTCTGTCTTTGAGGAAGGAGTGGGTACATTTTCATTTATATATGGGATAGTTCTCTTTCTTAAGAAAGTAATATTTCTGGAATTTATGAAAATAAGGGTTCAGGAATGCACAGGGCAGCCAAGGGGTGGAATGTAGTGGTGAGAGCACATCTATTTTCTTTGGGTCTACTAATTCCCCTCCCCATTTCTATGTGTTCACACTGGGATTGTCCATCATGATGGACCATCATGATGATGGACCATCCCAATGTGATTGTCCGCCCTCATTAGTTACAAGGTGTTTCAGTTATCCATTGCTGTGTAACAGATGACACCAAAACTTAGTGGCTTAAAACAACCATAACGCATTATATCCCATGATTTGTGGGTTGGCTGGATTAGCTTGGCCCTGCTGCTGTTCTGTGTGATTGTTGTGGTACATTCTGCAGGTAACTCATCTGCTGGGATATATCCAGGATGGCCCCGAAAGACTAAAAATGAAAGCTGCAAGGTCTCTGACGACATAATCCCAAAAGTTATACAGTGCCACTTCCACCACATTCTATTGGTCAAAATGAATCAAAAGGCCAGCTCAGATTCAAGAGGAGAAACATAGACTGTGCCTCCCTCTTAAGGAGAGGAGCAGTACGCATAGACAAGGATGAGAGAATGTTGGTAGATCTCTTTGCTGATGATGTATTACACTTCACCCTGGCTACAAATATTTATGTCTCTCATGTGTACAAAATACTCTCAGACCCTTGCAAGATCCCTGAAGTCTCATCCAATCATGGCATAAGGCTGCTCCAAGTCCAAAATCTCATCATGTAATGAGGTCTAGGTGCAGATTAAACTTCTTAGGTGTGATTTCTTGAATGTAATGCCTTGGGTGCAACACCACTTGATCCAGTGGCCTGGGCACTAAAAAAAAAAAATGATCCTCTGCATAAACACTCAATATGCAATGATAAGACAGGACCAAAGAGCTGCATTTGATACTTGTGTTTATGAATGGGAAAGGAGGAAGAATGGGAAGCACAAAGCCATCATTAGCCACTCTGAAATTTAGCCAGGCATATGTAACTTGTACCCTAAACTTAGTTGCTTAAAAGAGAAAACTATAACAATTTATTCTTTGTTGATGATTCTATACATTGGCTGGGTTTTGCTGGATGGTTCTGCTCCATGAGCCGTTGGCTGGTGTCACTCAGATAGCTGCAGGACTAGCTTCATGAGCATGTGACCAGGGCATTTTAAGGGCCCTGTACTTAAAGGGCCTCAAGATTGAGGTTTAAAGCTTTGTGGTCACTATCTTAAAATAGTGATCACATTTATCTTTGAATTTGTGTTTCGTAAATAATAGGACAACTGAATATTCACAGAGGGCTTGGAACATGTGGCCCTGCTTCCCACTGTATCACTCCTGTCTCCCCACCACATCCCCAGACAGGATTTTTAGCCACCTTCTCCATGTACCTTGATGTCCTGGGCTCCACCTAGCATTCCTCTCTTGGCTTCTGCCCCATGACCACTGTTGCCCTCCACCTGGGATGGTGACCAGGTTGGGTCAGCAAGGGGAAAGTCTGTTTTCTGCCACCACCCTCTACTCTCTAGTGTTGGAGGGACCCAGGCACAGGGTGTTGGGAGGGTCTAGGTCAGACATCCATGCCCCATGGCTTCTTGGGGTGGGTCATGGCAGTGGCCATTCCTGCCCTTGGCTGGCAGCATCACAGCACCATTTGGTGGGGGACTCAGCACTTGGGAGCTTCTTACCCATCTGTGACTCACATGTCCTGGCATGGAGGTTGCAATACCCTTGAGGATTGCTTGTTCGCTATGGTTGGGGTGGCAGGTTATGGGATGAAAAAATGCCTCACTTGACTTCTCCATTCTCATCCCAGTCCTGGCCACCATTCCAATAGTTTGTGGAAGGAGGATCCCAGTGGCCAACAGGCTTGATCCCAGATTGCAGGGCAGGAACCCCAGAGACCTGTGAGAGTCTTCACCTGCCCCATGAGTGTCCTAAGGAGGCCCTCCCTTGGTCTTCTCTGTGCCTGGGGTGTCCCACTCCCAAGTTTTCTTCTGGTCCTCTGGAGGCACTATCCAGTGATGATTCACAAGACACAAATTGTGAAATTTCAGTGATTCTGCATGTGAGTTAAGTGCTCTGATGTTTGTACTTAAAAGTAGAATTAAGAATGAATGGTAAAATTCATGCTAATAATTTGGTATCTTAATGTTCTTTACTTAAAACAATATTAAATTGCAAATTTTTTAAAAAGTCACAAGTGGAGAGATAAACCATGAACTAAAGGGGACAACTTGTATACTTTAATACATTTAATGGTACTTTTTTTCTGCTTTTTGTACAAAAGGCTCCATATTTTTATTTTGCAGTGGGTCCCAGGAATTCTGTAAGCAGTCCTGTGTGGATGCAGTTAACTGGGAGCTTGGCTAGTGTTGCAACATCCAACACAGCTTCACTCCCAGGTCTGTGGGCTCAGCAAAGAGGCTGAAATGGCTGGGACTACCTGTACCTCTCTCTTGTGTGATCTGTCACCATTGAGCCGTTTAGCTCAAGCTTCTTTATGTGGTGGCTTGCTCCCAAGAAGATGAAAATGAAGGTAAGGGAGCTCTAAAAACTTAGGACTGAGAGTCTTACATTGTCACTTCCACCGCATTTATGAGTCAAACTATATCACAGAGACATCCCAGATTCAAGGGAGAGGTTACAGATATACTTCTTGATGGGAGAAGTGGCATGTTCAACCAGGGTAGAGAGGGATTGTAGTCAGCCTTGTTGCAGACAACCAACCACAGAAGAACAAGCGACTGGCTGCTGAAGTTAGGTTAATCATCATGCCCTCTCCCTTCAGTAGCAGTCAGAAAGTGGTCCCCAGATGGACACATGCCACAAGAACATCTATTCAATTCACAGCATCTAGCATTGATACTCTGGAAGAGGAGTTTCTTTTTCTTTCAGATTGTAGTTGTACGGATTTAGACTTGAAATGATCAGTAGTCATTTTTCCTTTGAGGTAGAAAAGCCTGATCATCAAATGAAGCAACAGAGAAGCAGTGTCCTGCTATCATCTTTGGAAGACCTGGAGCATTTATGCATATGGCCAGCATGACCCTTAGCTTCCCACTGTGTGAGTCAACACTATTTTTTGTGCTTAAGCCATCTTGAATTTGATCTCTGTCATATCCTCAAAATATTTAGTGATACAACGAGGCACTATAGACAGGCTATGCACATTGTTTTACACCATCCTTTCAATAACATTATCCTGTTGCTTAAGCCAAAAGCCTAAGAATCATGACCCTTTCTTTCCCTGCCTTTTCAGACTTTAAATCTAATCTATTAACATTTCTTTTTGACTCTATTCCAATCTAAAGCCTAAATTCATCTACTGCTGATCATCCTTTCTCCATAATTTAAGCCAACATCATCCTTCTTCCTATAACAGAATCCTAACAAACCCTCCTGCTTACACTCTTGTCTCCTTATAATGAATCATCATGCAGCATAGTAATTTCTAAAATAAAATGAAATCATAACACTCCACTAATTACAATCCTCCTATGGCTTTCTATTGTGTTTAGGTTAAAATCTAAACAGTTTAATGGCATTTACAAATCCATTATGTCCTGGTGCCTGTTTATCCCTCCAAATAAACCTTGGACCCACCTCAGCTCAAGTTCTCTGCACACCAAACACATTGTCAGGCTCTTCCATGAACAACTTCTGACTTTTCCGTGTACAGGTTTCTCCTTCTCACTTCACACCCATGATTTCCATATGTCTTCTCCTATTCACCCTTTAGGACCCAGATCAAATGTTTTCTTTTCATAGAGTCTCTCCCAGAAGCCTCTCTATCTGTCTAAAAGAGCTTCCTCCCATTCACCGTCAATCACATTGTAAGATAGAGATAATTTCTGTGGTAGCACTTGCCATTCTGTGGCATTATTTTATTATTATTTGTAAAATTTTGGTTTGTCTACTATCTGAATTTTTCTATTAAAATATAAGCTCCTTGAGGGCAGGCACTATTTTCAGTGCCTAGCACAGTTTTCTAGACATTCAACAAAAAGTAGCAACAATGAAAACCAATAAAACAAAAATCCATACTATGAGGCATATGTTGTAATCCTCATTTTACAGATTTAAATTCTAAGGCTCAGAGAAGTCAAATGACATGTCTAAGGTCACATATCTAGGAAGAGGTGAAGCTAGTATTCAGGTCAAACTTTGCCTGTCTCCAAAACCTAAGCCCTTGCTGCCTTTCTGTGCCCTTTTTATAAAGATGATCTACTCACGGGTTATATTTGAAGGTCTTGTAGATCAAGAATCATCCACAGTGGGACACTGAAGCTATGAGGCAATCAAATGGTGTCTTGGCTCCTCTCACTATGTTCTTACTACCAAGCATAGATTCAAATAATTCTCAAGCATGGCTGTCAAGGTAAAAGGTAGCAAATGGTAACACACAGCCTCCAGGTGAGTCCAAAGGGTTTCTTCTTGACTCTGGTGAAAGTATTCAGGAGCTGGCTTCACATTTAAGAGTTTTGTTTTACCATTAAATAAGTCACTTTCTTCTCTCCATTTGGAAAGAGGGAGGGATCTCCCCTTGAAAGCTTGGAGTAATTGACTTAGTTTGTGCTAAGATGTTCTTTCCTCATTTACCTCACCTTCTACAGGTCTTGCTCCCCCTTCTTGCTAAGGTTTCTGCTCTAATGACCTCCTTAGGGCAGCCTACACCCACCACCCTATGCACTTCTGTGTCCTGAGCCTGCTCCTTTGCCTCAGTGCACTGCACCAATCATTACCTGCCATATTTTCTACATATGTGTCTGTGTCTATGTCTACCAGGACAATGAAAGCTCCCTGGCATCGAGGACTTTATTTTATTTACCACGCATACCCGGGGCCTAGAAAGATGTCGGTGTATAGTAGAAATTCAATAATATTTGTTGAATGAGTGGATAAATACATAAGCGAATCCTTTCGAGTATGGATTTAGAGTGTGCTAAGGAAGACCCTCTCTGCTCGAAAGGAATGGGAAGGAGCTGCCATTTCTTGAATTTCCCTGATGTCTAGGGCTCTTTCTCCTAAGAAACTCACTTGTCCTTCCCACTCTGCAGTTAGAGAGCTATCTATAATCATGCCCATTGGTCTGATGAGAAAGCTCAAGTGTTGGAGAGGTTGGGTGACATGTGCATGATACACAGCTGGAAAATAGTGCGGCTAGGATTACATTCTGTTCAGTCCTACTTGAAAGGCCATGCTCTTTCAGCTAAGGAATATTACACAAGGCTAGGTGGTAGGGAGACTAATATTAATTACAATATTGAAATAGAATTGTAGTAATTCAAAAGTATGAAAAATGTCCTACTCCCATTCTCTATTAGGCATTTGACACTTTCCTTTCAAAGTAGAATGAAATTTTATAGCTCTGGATGATCAGACTTTTAAAAAAATATGGCTCAAAAGGTTTTTTCTTTGTCCTTTTGGTTATTTCACCATTTTCTTTGCAGTAGCATTTTTATTTCTAGAATCTTTCTTAGCAGAATGAATTCCCCTGGCATGTAAAATTTATTTAACTTAGAATTTTAATTAGGTAATTTGGAAAGCTGAACTCATCAATTGAGTCATAAATCTTGGACTATTTTAAGACAAGCCCTCCAAACACATAACCTTCAGGACTCTGATCCTGCCTCGTGTCATAGTAAGGAGAGAAAGCAGTTATTATGGGGTCACTGTAGAACACGTTGTAGTACAGATGCTCTTTGACTTATGATGAAGCTACCTCCCGATAAACCCATCATAAGCAGAAAATATCATAAGTTGAAAATGCATTTAATACACCTAACCTACTGAATATTAGCCTACCTCAAACATGCTCCAAACACTTACCTTACCCTACAGTTAGGCAAAATCATCTAACACAAGGTTTATTTTATAATAGGGTGTGGAATATCTCATGTAATTTATTGAATACTGACAGTGAAAAACAGAATGGTTGTATGGGTACTATCAACTAAAAGCACACAATATAAATTTGGAAAGGAGACTTTATTTCCTATAAATGGTTTCAGCCTGCAGGGTGGCCATCTGACAGGCTGAGAAGTGCAGTCTTTGGCCAAAGCCATTAGCAGATCTTCACAGTAGGGAAGGATGAGATGGGAATCTATGTTGCACAGGTTAGCCAAGTGTACACATTCAACAGGTTATAGGAGGAGCTATGAATATTCATGAAGGGGGAAGAGTATTCTGTTTATGTATACAGAGCAAACATGTATGTTACCTGCAGCCCATGTTCACATTGGCATGGAGACTTAATATTTAAATGTATCACAATTGGGCCCTATATGTCAAAAGATGAAGTGAGGACACAAAGGCACTCCGTGCACAGCCTCCGTAAACCAGCCAGAATCAGTCCATAGTCAGTGATCTTTTTTTTCAGGTAGAAGTTACTGAAATCAATCTCTTGTTCAATTGAAGCTGTAGTTACGGCTTGTGGAGCAGGGAGTAAGTCAGTGTCTGGCAGTAGATGAGCTGCAATTGTTTTCATGTTGCTTATTTTGAGGCCAGTGCTTGTTTAGCTGCTAGAGAAAAAGAAAAATCTTGTGGCAGTTAGAAAATAGTTTATCCTTTCAGTGCTGGGTGTGATATGGCTTGGCTGTGTGTCCCCATCCAAATGTCATCTTGGATTATAATCTCTATAATCCCCATGTGTTGCCGGAGGAACCCAGTGGCAGGTGATTGGATCATAGGAGCAGTTTCCCCCATGCTGTTCTCATGATAGTGAGTGAGTTCTCACAAGATCTGATGGTTTTATAAGGGGCTCTTTCCTCTTTGCTCCTCACTCTTCTTTCTCCTGCTGCCTTGTGAAGAAGGTGCCTTCTTTCCCTTCTGCCGTGATTGCAAGTTTCCCGAGGCCTCCCCAGCCACACGGAACTGTGAGTCAATTCAACCTCTTTCCTTTGTAAATTACCCAGTCTCTGGTGGTATCGTTATAGCAGTGGGAAAATGGACTAAAACAGGGTGTGTGACTTAATCCTTACTTGGCACGGTCTTAGGTTCTATTTATAATTTGATATCTTGTTGCCACAAAGAGTTCATTCCATCAATCTTACAATCTCCATTTCAACATCAGTGCTGGTCACTTATGTCTATACCATAAAAGGCAGGGAGTATAATGAAGTGTGTCTCTGACATCCCATCCTGTCATGGTTTGGAACCCAGTTTTTAATTAAGTTTTCTCTGAGGTCCCCTGGGTCAAGAGGAGGTCAGATAGGGGATTTAGATTTTATTTTTGGTGCTAAGTACTCATCATTAACATACAGAGCTAAAAGCACACTGGGCCTGAAGAATGTTTGAAGCATTAAACTAAAATTAATTGCTGGCTGTTGGGGAAGCTATAGCAACAGGATCATCAATTTCTCTCTCTTCTGATGAAGGGAACAGAAGAGAGACTGGAACAGTGGTCCCCACCCTTTTTGGCACCAGGGGCCAGTTTCATGGAAGACAATTTTTCCATGGACCCCGGTTTGGAATGCTTCCATGGAGGGGATGGTTTTGGGATGCTTCAAGGACGTTACATTTATTGTGCACTTCATTTCTATTATTATTACATTGTAATATATAATGAAATAATTAGACAACTCACCATAATGTAGAATCAGTGGGAGCCCTGAGCTTGTTTCCTGCAACTAGACAGTCACATCTGGGGGTGATAAGAGACAGTGACAGATCATCAGGCATTAGATTCTCATAAAGAGTGTGCAACCTATATCCCTCACATGTGCATTTCACAATAGGATTCATGCTCCTATGAGAATCTAATGCCACTGCTGATCTGACAGGAGGTGGAGCTCCAGTGGTAATGCAAGTGATGGGGAGTGGCTGTAAATACAAATGAAGCTTTGCCCACTCACCCACTGCTCATCTCCTACTGTGCAGGGGTTGGGGACCCCTGGGCGAGAGATTGGCAGGTAAAGGCACTGAGACACCAACACTGTATAGTGTTCTTCAAAAGGATATCAAATTTTGACTGCATAGATTTTTTCTTTTTGTTATATATTTCCCTATAGCAAGCATGACCATCCTGTTTCTGCTGGTCGGCTCCTGTGAATCTCTTACAATTGACTATTTCTTCTAAATTCCATACACCACTTCTGATAGTAGCAAATACTTTGGCCAGTTTCTTTGCTGTTAACATTCTTGGTGCCTCAGGTATAACTTCTCCTCCCTCTGCCTCAACTTCTTTACATTTTTTTTTTCCAGTTCAGTCTTCCAGGTCATCATTGGAAAGCTCTCCAGCCTCAATGCCAACAAGCTCGTGAGTATCCTCTTCATCATTGTCCAACTCTAGCAGTTCCCAAGCAGTAATATCTTGTGTTTGTTTTACTAATTTCATCCACAGCAGAATTTTTGTTAAAGCCTTTGAATGTGTTCACATATGTTTTCAAAACTGTCTTTCAAAAGCCATTTATTCATTGCTGTGTGACTTCTTCCCATACTGCAGTGATATTCTGGACAGTATTTAGGATGTTAAAACCTTCCTAAAACTCAGATTCAGTAAACTTCAGATACAGCCAGATTCAGTCACTTCAACAGCCTGCACAAACGTTTGGCATAAGTAGTGTGCTTTAAACACAGCTATTGTGCCTTGGTTTGTTGGTTGAATCAGTGCGGTTGTGTATGTGTGGTGGCAAATGCACAACTTTCACAGCAGGATGCATGTCCCCAATATGCTGTGGATGCCCTGGAGTATTGTCTAAGATCAGAAGAATCTCGAATGAGATGTTGTTTTGCCTACAATATTCTCTTGCCTGTGGAATAAAACTGTTCAAAACCAGTCTTCAAACAATGCAGATGTCACCCAGGGTTTCTTGTTATAGAGCTAATAAAGGGAAATGCATACTTGCTCACGTTTGTGAATGCTCTAGGGTTCCCCATGGTAGATTAGGAAAGTCTTTTATTTGCACCTTGCAATACTTCCATCCCAAAGCAGCATTACACAGTTCTTGAATGCCTTGATCCTGGCATTGTTTGGACTTTTGATGAGTGTATGTACTCTCCAGCATATGCTTCCAGAACAAGCTTGTTTTATTGACATTAAATATTTGTTTCAGCAAATATTTCTAATTCACAATTACCCTCTGCAGCCCTTTCTTAAGAGCTTCAACACCTTCAGTATTGGCACTTGCTGCCTCACTACTGACCTTCACGTTATAAAAATTAAAATGACTTACGAAGGATTGGAACTGCCCGTGCCTTGCTATAAGCATGTTGTGTACATGAGGTCACTGAAACTCTCTTTTAGTGTATTGAAAACACTTCTTGCCTTAGTCTGGACCATTAGGAGAATAAGTGGTGTGGACTTCTGTATCTGGTCTTCTGTCCACATGACAAGTAATTTTTTCATATCATAAATCTGCTCAGCTCTTTTCTTCATGGTGATGATGGATTTAACCAATGCTGACAATTTCACGCATTACTGATTTACTTCTTTTCCTTTAAGACGGCCGAGATAGTGGATTGTGAAAGTCCTAACTCCTCTTGCACTGGTCATTACTGGCTTGCTGCCTTTATGCCAGGCAATTATCTTGAGTTTCATCTCAAGAGTAATTGCCTTTCTTTTCTTCTCACCAGAAGCAGGAGATACAGATGGGCATTTTGTAGACATGATGGGATGTGAAAACACTAAACACTGTTTACCGCTCTGATCCTGTGGCTGACTGGGAGCTGTGGCTTGCTACAGCATCATGGCAGAGTAATGCTAGCACAGGAAAAGATCAAAATTCAAAATGTGGTTTCTAGTGAATGCATATCACTTTTGTGTCATGATAATGTAAAAAAAGTCAAGTCAAAACATCATAAGTTGGGGACCATCTATAGTCTGTTTTATAAAACCTTTATAAAATTTATTTCTCTCCATTGACCTCGTTAATATTACAAGAATGTTACCTGAATTCCACTCACACCCATCTAACCTCTAACCAGATTAAGAAATAGAACAATCCTGGAATCCCATAAACTCTTCTTAGGCTGTGACCTGCTACTCCCTCTTCCCAGAGGCAACCACAGTCCTTGCTTCTCTTGCTCCAGATTAATTATGCTGGTTTATAAACTGTGTATTAGGTTATAATATGGTATCCACTTATTATACCTAGTGTTTTTCCCTAATGACATGACTATGTACTTTATTATGTGGTTGTATGTAACAAAGTTTAACTCATTTCCATGGGTGTTTTGTTTCCCATTGTATGGACATAACATCATTTGTTGATCCATTTCTTATGACAGACATGTGGGTGGCTACCAGTTTGGGGCTTGTCATAGGTCGTGTTTCCTAGAAGCATAACTTAAGACAGGAATTCCTGTACAAGTGATTCACTGAGAAGCCGTTTTTAGAAGAAACCAGTAATGAGGTGAAGGAAGCAGGATGGGGAAAGTTCTGTGGCTAGGGGAGAAGCTAAGGGTAAATGTGGGTTCAGGTAAAGCCCAGCCCCAGTCTGATCCTGTAGGAAGCTCTGGAGCATAAATTCCACCACGGAATCTGGCCTGCCTTAAGGAAAGAGAGTGAGGCTTTTGCTTTCTCCAGTGGTCAGTCCTGGCTCCGGGCCACCCAAGGTGGTGCATATGAATTTACCTCTTAGGAAGTTTTGGGGAAGGCAGTCCCAATTGCTCAGGGCAGTGCTCTGAGGAGGTTGCAGGTACAAGCCATTGACAGTGGCCACTGCAACAGGAAAGCAGATGACATCCGGGGGTCATTTTTAACAGCGTCCACTTCAGCTGATATAAAACATGCTGCTATTGGGGTCAGGACTAGTGTGAGGCAAGGGAGGCACCTAGGGAACAAAATTTAAAGAACCAAGCACCCTCAAGGCTCTGCAAAGTGCAGGATCAGCACTTACATGATCCTGAGAATGACAGCCTATTTCAATTGTGCACCCTAGGTGCCTTGCTGACCTCACCCTAGTCCAGGACTTGCTGCTATGAACACTTTGCACTTCTTTAGTGCATATATGCCTATGCATCTGCTGGATATAGACTCAGGAGTGGCATTGCTAAGCCATAGAGTATGTGGGTATGTTTATATCCAGCTTTAGTAGATATGGCCTAACAGTTTTTCAAAAACGGTTGTATCAATTTTCACACCCACTATCAGAGTATTGAATTCCAGTGCTACACATTCTTTGTATTTTCAGTTTTTCTAATTTTAGCCATTCTGGTCAGATATATTGTTATCTCAGTGGGTTTAATTTGCATTTTCTTGATTACTAGTGACATTGAACACATTTTCATATTCATTGATTATGCATTGTTTAGTGCTTTTGTTTTTTATTCGTCCAATTGTGTTTGTTCTCTGATTTTTATTGATTTATAGGAGGGAGAGAGAGAGAGAGAGAGAGAGAGAGAGAGAGAAAAGACAGAGAGCATTATCCTGGACACAAATTCTTTATAGATAATATTTATTGAAAACATCTTGTTCCCACCCTGTGGCTTTCTATTTACTCATTTAATGGCATCTTTTGATGAACAGAAGTTCCTAATTTTAATATAGTCCAACTCTTAGCAATCTTTTTTTATAAGGTTTTCTTATTTTTGTGTTCTGTGTAAGAAACCGTCACTACCCCGAGGTTATGTATATTTTAATTTATCTTCTAGAAGTTTTATAGTTTATATTTAAATAAATTTTTATTTTACGGTAGCCTTAGATTTCCAGACAAGCTGTAAAGATAATGCAGAAAGTTCCTATGTATTCTTCACTCAGTTTCCCCTATGGTTAGCATCTTATATTACTGTGGCACATTCACCACAGCTAGTGAATCAAATACTGATGCATTATTATTAACTAAAGTCCTTACTTTATTGAGATTTTCTTAGTTTTTTCCAATATCTTTTTTTTTAATTTTTGAGACAATGTCTTGCTCCATCACCCAGGCTGGAGTGCAGCGGCATGGTCTCAGCTCACTGCAATCTCTGCCTCCCCGATTCAAGTGATTCTCCTGCCTCCGCCTCCTGAATAGCTGGGATTACAGGCACCTGCCAACACGTCTGGCTAATTTTTGTATTTTAGATGGGGTCTCGCCATGTTGTCTAGACTGGTCCCAAATCCAATATCTTTTATCTGTTTCAGAATCCCACTCAGGATACCACATCATGTTTAGTCTTCATGTCTGCTTAGACACCTATGGCTGTGATAATTTCTTAGATTTTTTTGCTGTTTTTTTTTTTATGGCTTTGACAATTTTAAAGAGTTTTAATCAAATGTTTGTAGAATGTCCCTCAGTTTGGATCTGTCTGATGTTCTCTCCTGCTTAGACTAGGGTGATGGGGTTTTGGGAGAAAGACACAGTATCTTCCCAAAACACGGTCTCAAGAATACATGCTATCAACATGACTTGTCACTGATGATGTTAATTCTGATCCCCTGGCTAAAGTCATGCTGCCAGTTTTTTCCATTGTGGAGTCACTATCCTCTCCCCCTTTTCTACACTGTACTCTGGAGCAAGTTCCTAAGCATAGTTTGGAACTTAAGGTTCTATCTCCTTGAGGGCACAGAAGCTACATAAATTATTTGGAATTATTCTGTATGGTGGATTTGTGTCTTTCTCCTCCTCCATTTATTTATTTATTCAGTCATTTATTTACATTGATATGGATTCATGGATATTTATTTTAGACTTTGAGTTATTTATTTTTTTGTTCAAGTTGTTTCAGTTTTGACCAATGACTCTGTTGGCTCATGTGTCTTTTTAATATGACCCAATCCTTCTTTTTTATTACTTCTTTACTTTCTAGCACCTCAAGATTCTTCAGGTCAGTTTTGCATCTTCCATGCCCCCATCCCAGAATCAGCCATTTCTCTAAAAAGCCCTGGTTCCCTTTATTGGAGAATGGTATTAGAAACCAAGATCTGAGTGTTAGGTGTGCTTGTTATACTGGGGCAGGTGTCATGTTTCTAGGCCTTCTCAGAGGACTGTTAGAGAAAAATTATTTAATGATATGTATTAAAGCATGGTAAGGAAGATTTTATTCAAGGCTATCACAGTTGATGTAGGGGCTGCTGCAACACATCTTCCAGTGGAGGAGAGAGATTGGATTCAACTCTGAATACAGCATGAGCAAGTGGGAAATGATAGCCAAGGAGCAGTATGGGAGTCAGTGAGTGAGAATTTACTAAGAGTAAACATCAGGATAAAGGAAATTCTGGCTCAACTGACCTAAAAGGATTATTGCTGAAGATAGGCCAGAGTCATCAGACATTGCCTGGGGGTGGGGGAGGATGAGGAACTTGATTAGATATTAAGGATGAGGGCTTCTCACTAAACTGAGTTAGCAGGTGTATTGGTCCATTTTCATACTGCTATAAAGAACTGCCTGACACTGGGTAATTTATAAAGAAAAGAGATTTAATTGACTCACAGTTCAGCATGGCTGAGAAGGCCTCAGGAAACTTACAGTCATGGTAGAAGGCAAAGGAGAAGCAAGGCACCCTCTTCACAAGGCAGCAGGAAGGAGAATGAACGCAGGAGGAACTACCAAACACTTATAAAACTATCAGATCTCTTGAGAACTCACTCACTATCACAAGAACAGCATGGGGGAAACTGCTGCCATGATCCAATTACTTCCGCTTGGTCTCTCCCTTGATATGTGGGGATTACAGAGATTATGGAGATTATAATTCAAGATGAGATTTTGGGTCGGAACACAGCCAGACAGTATCAGCAAGATTCTTTGTTAAAACTGGAATTTGCAAGGAAGTGCACAGATGGCGCTAGCAAAAGATTCAGAAGCCTGACTAAAGTTTGTCCAAGCAAATAATCTTTGTCAGGACAGAGCTAAGAAATATATGTATGTGCATTCAAACCATTTATGCACGTATCACACACATCTGTAATTATTTTTATGCCTATGCAGTAGTATCTATATTAAGCTAAACATTAGTTAATACCGATGGTTCCAACTTTAATTCAATATCACATGGATAATTCTAGTCTTTCTGCTTGTCTGTAACCTCCCAATACAACAGTGAAAAATCTAGTTTCCACTGTCTATTTACATATTGTTTGGTCACTGTATGCATTCACAGTGGGTTTCAGAATTGTTTTTGTTTTTCTTTTTGAGTCTGTTAGATATGAGTTCTAAATTTCTCTTCAAATAATCAATATGTCAGTATGTTCAATTCTTTGCCTTCTACTTTTAAACTTAACTTCTTCATAAAGCAACTTTTTCTGATTACCTGCTCCACCCTGACTCATTCCAATTACTTGCTCATTCTCTACCCTGACTCATTATGATTTCCTGCTCTGCCATAACCATTTTTCCCACCAAACCACTCACCCTATCACTCTCTTTAAATTAGCCAATTGGAATTAGTTTAGCCTGTGCAGTCTAACCCTAGCCAACAGGGGAATGACACAGCAGCAGGGGCCATGTGTGTCAGGAATAAGACCCCCTTTTCCTCCCTTGTCCAGGTATGCACTCACCATTGCTCCATCTGTGAGGCCACACCCTTCTATAGAAGTAAACTGCTTTGCTGAGAAGAAAAAAAGAAAATTTTATATTCGAGTGTTATTTCTTTTGCGAAACTGAAACTTTATTTATAACATGACAGAGTCTTGCTCTGTCACCAGGTTGGAGTGCAGTGGCATGATCTTGGCTCACTGCAATGTCCACCTCCCGGGTTCAAGTGATTCTTCTACCTCTGCCTCCTGAGTAAGTGGGATTACAGGTACCCACCACCACATCCCACTAATTTTTGTATTTTAGTAGAGATGGGGTTTCACCATGTTGCCCATGCTGGTCTTCAACTTCTGGGCTCAAGTGATCTGCCTGCCTCGGCCTCCCAAAGTGCTGGGATTACAGGTCTGAGCCACTGTGCCTGGCCTTCAGTGTTGTTTTAATCTGTGTTTCCATAAAGATAATTAATGTTGAACATCTTTTTACATGCTTATTTACCGTCTGTATATATTCTTTAGTGAGGGATGTCAATCAAGGAAAATGACCAAGGCAAGACAATCATTTTAGATTTATTTGCCAAAGTTAAGGACACGCATCCTGGAGACAAGTCTACACCTTTTTCTGAAGATGGTTTTGAGGGCTTCAAATTTCAAGAGGAAAGGGCAGGATATTGAGAAATACACAGTTTTCATGTGAGGGCAGGTAGAGGAAAATGGTCATTCATGCATTTGTCTGCCTCAGTGAATCTGCATTTTTACATAAAATAATATAGACAATAGGGCAGAGGAAACAATCAGATATGCATTTGTCTAAGGTGGGCAGAGGAATGACTTTGAGTTCTGCCCTATGTCCCAGCACCTGTGAAGATAAGCTATCAATTTACATTGCCAGGGTGAGTTTTAACAGAAACACTTTAGGGTAAAGATCTTGGGGCCCACAAGAAATTTCCTTGTGTGCAAAATATCAAGGAGGCATATAGCTTTTCATCTTTGTAGACATCTTGTTTAGGAACCAAAATGGGAGGCAGGTTTGCATGACCCAGTTTCCAGCTTGACTTTTCCCTTTGGCTTAGTGAATTTGTGAGCGGAATATTTACTTTCCTTTCACAGGTGTCTGTTGAGACATTTTGCCTGTTTTAATTTGGGCTGTTTGTTTCCTTACTGTTGTGTTTTAAGTCTTCTTTGGATATTCTTCATATAAGTCTTTTATCAGATATTTGATTTTCAATATTTTATCCCAGTGTCTTTTCATTCTCTTAACAATTTCTTCACAGAGTAAAAAGTTTTAATGTTAATGAATTCCAACTTATCAATTTTTCTTTTATAATAAAGTCAACTTTTCAATTTTGCTGTACTTTTTGCTATTGTATCGAAAACTCTGTATACATAAAATATGCATCCACAAAATATAAAATAAAATAAAAACTCATCACCAAACGTAAAGTCATGCAGATTTTCTCCATGTCTTCTTCTAGAAGCTTTCTAACTTTGCATTTTATATTTAGTTCTGTGATCCATTCTCTTTAATTAGAAGCTTTATTTCTTAAGCTCTTACATTTAGATCTAAAAACCTCATGGAATTGATTTTTTTTTTTGGTAGGGGACAAAATAGGGGTCAAAATTCTTTTTTTTCTCCATATGAATTTTAGTTGACACAGCACTATTTGCTGAAAAGATTGTCCATTACTCACTAGTCTGCAGTGTCACCTTTGTCATAAATAAAGTGTCCTTATTTGGCTCTATTTCTGGACTTTATTCTGGTCCACTGGTATATTTGTCTGCCTTTGTACCAAGGCCATACTGTCTTAATTAGTGCAGCTTTATAAGAAGCACTTATACTGGTTAGTGTAAATTCTCCAACTTTCTTCTTTTTTAAGATTGTCTTGGCTATTTTTTTTGACTATTTGTATTTTCATATGAATTTGAGAACAAGCTTGAAGTTTCCCTAAAGAAACTAGGAATCCTGGTTAAGATGGTATCAAATTTATAAATTGTGGATAGTACAATATTAAATTTTAATAATATTATAATAACCCTTTCCAGGCATGAACATGATATATTCTGCCATTTATTTGAGTCTTCTTTAATTATCCTCAATAGTCTTTTATAATTTTTTTTGGTTGCAGAGTTCTTGAATATCTTTAATTAAATTTATATTTATGTATTTGGAGTTTTTTAGTTACTCTTTGAAAGGAAAATATCTTGAGGCCCCCAAAACACTAAGCTAAAGGGAAAAGTCAAGCTGGGAACTGCTTAGTGCAAACTTGCCTCCCATTCTATTCAAAGTCATCCAAAGTCTGCCCAATGAGATAAATACATATCTGATTGCCTCCTTTGGAGAGGCTAATCAGGAACTCAAAAGAATGCAACCATTTGTCTCTCATCTACCTATGACCTGGAAGCCCCCTCCCCACTTGGAGTTGTCCCACCTTTCCAGGCTGAACCACTGTTCATCTTACATATTTTGATTGATCCCTCATGTCTCCCTAAAATGTATAAAACAAAACTGTGTTCAGACCACCTTGGGCACGTGTTGGCAGGACCTCCTGAGGCTGTGTCATGGGTGTCAGTCCTTAACTTTGGCAAAATAAACTTTCTAAATTAACTGAGATTTGTCTCAGATTTTCAGGGTTCACATTATATACGTGTGTATGTGTGTGTGTATGTAGAGAGAGAGATATATAATTAATTAATTTATTTATTTATTTTATTTTTATTTATTATTATTATTTTTTTTGAGACAGAGTCTTGCTCTGTTGCCCAGGCTGGAGTGCAGTGGCGCGGTCTCGGCTCACTGCAAGCTCCACCTCCCAGGTTAACACCATTCTACTGCCTCAGCCTCCTGAGTAGCTGGGACTACAGGTGCCCGACACCACGCCCGGCTAATTTTTTTTTTTTGTGTGTGTGTTTTTAGTAGAGACGGGATTTCACCGTCTTAGCCAGGATGGTCTTGATCTCGTGACCTCGTGATCCGCCCACCTCGGCGTCCCAAAGTGCTGGGATTACAGTCGTGAGCCACCGCACCTGGCCATATATATTTAATTTTTTATTCTTTATTCCTGGTATATAGAAATACAATTGACTTTTTTAAGTATCAATCTGTATCTAGTGATTAATTGTAATAGTTCTCTTTATTTTTTCTTTGGCTACTGGGCTGAATATCTTCCATGTGCCTCCCTAAATATGCATTAATGGTCTTCCACTCTTCTCTGCTCTAATGATTAATGATCAAAGGATCCAATGCCTTTTGCTCCCTGCTGAGCTTGGTCAATGGGAGCTTCACTGGAGAGAGTTGTCGGTGAGGGAGGAGAGTGCAGCCAGGGTATTTATTCCTGTTTCTACCCCTCTGGGATTGCCACTGGCTGGCTGTATCTTTCAACAGATGATCATAGCTCCTCTTAAAACAGCTGATTCCAGAGGGATCACTCTCCTAATTTCTAAAACTGCTTGTTCCCTTGGGCTTAGAGGTGATGAAAATTCTAGTGCCTGCTGGCCCTGGGTCTCTTCACTATTCCTTGTGCTTCCACTACATTCTGCCTGCAATTTTCTAGTTGTCCTCTTGTAAGTAAATTCTGTTTGAACTATCCCAATTTGCATATGCTATCTGTTACTGTTGAGATCTTAACTGAAACAGGTAGAGACTTCCAAAATAGTGGAGCTCATATTGCATGGATGGGAATAAAAAAGTTTGTAAGTATCTTCTTAGGAGAGCCACAACTGCCTTATTTCTACTTTTGTCCCTTAGTTCCCACCTCCTATTCTAGCAATGGGAGAAATGGCACCAAACATTGGCTGCTGGTTCAGAATATATTCCACATATGCAAGATAGTCCTCATGCTTACAAGATACTGGAGGTAAGGACTTCAAGATGTGAGTTTTGAAGAGGTACAATTTAGTCCATTACAGAAGATAAAATCATGTATTTTCTGTATTCTTAATTGATCTAATAAATAACTGTTTGCTCAATATTATAATAATATCACTATATTGGGTGATTATAGTTTATGGATAAATGAAATAAAAGACAATGTGTAATGACAATAAAGAAAAGGGAAAGAAAAATCAAGAATACTCTGTTTTAAGGTACCTACACAACCTGTGAAGTGGCTGTAGAGAAAGTAGACGGATTAATTGTAAATGTGTACTATAAACTCTAATATAACTATGAATTTTTTTGAAATAAATATATACTAAGATAGAGAGAAAATGGAGGTATATAAAATGATAGGACCAGAGAATGCAGAAAAAAAAAGGAATTTTTTTTTCTTTTTTTGAGATAGAGTGTTGCTTGCTCTTGCTGCCCAAGCTGGAGTGCAATGGCACGATCTCAGCTCACTGCAACCTCTGCCTCCTGGGTTCAAGAGATTCTTCTGCCTCAGCCTCCCAAGTACCTGGGACTACAGGTGCATGCCACCACACCCAGCTAATTTTTGTATTTTTAGTAGAGACAGGGTTTCACCATATTGGTCAGGCTGGTCTCAAACTCCTGACTTCATGATCCACCTGCCTTAGCCTCCCAAAGTGCTGGGATAACAAGCATGAGCCAAGAGGAATATTTTAAAAAGAAACAAAGAAAGGATAATGAATAGAAAGTTACAAATATGGTTTAAATTAATCCAACTATATCAATAATAACTTTAAATGTGAATGGTGTAAATACACCAATTAAAAGACAGGCTGTCAGAGTAGATAAAACACAGGACCCAACTATATATTGTCTAAAAGAAAGCTATCTTAAATGTAAAGGTACAAATAGGTTAAAAGTAAAAGGATGAAGAACAATATACCATGATAACACTAATGAAAAGAAAGCTGAAGTAGTTATAATAATTTAAATCAAAGTTGACTTCAGAGCAAGGAAAATTATGTGATGAAGAGAGGCTTTACATAATAATAAAGGGGCCAATTCTCTAAGAGGGTGTAATAATCCTTAATAAGTATATGCCTACCTGAGGCAAAAACTGATAGAACTGTAAGGAATAATAGACAAATTAACAATTGTCTCTGGGGACTTCAATACCCCTCTACTAGTAAATGACAGATCCAGCGGGCAGAATATCCTAACGGCATAGTCGATCAACTGAATTTAATTGACATTTATGGAATACTTCATCCAGCAATGCCAGAATACACATTCTTCTCTAGCTCACATGGAATATCAACCAAGACAGACTACATTCTGAACCATAAAACATATTTTAACAAATTTAAAATAATAGAAACCATACAAAATATGCTGTCAGACCACAATGGAACTAAACTAGAAATCAATAACAGAAAGATAGCTGAAAAATCCCCAAATATTTAAGACAACATACTTCTAAATAATAAATGGGTCAAAGAAGTCCCAAGAATAATGTAAAAATATTTCAAACTAAATGAAAATTAAAAATGCAATTTATTAAAATTTGTGGGGTATAGCAAAAGCAGTATTTAGGGGAAAATTTATAGCATCGAATGTGTATTAATCTGCTTGAACTGCCATAACAAAAGACCACAGATTGAGTGGCTAAAACAATAATTTTTTCTCTCTTAGCCCTAGAGGCTAGAAGTCCAAGATCAAGATGTCATCAGGGTCTCTTTCTGGTGAGGCCTTGCTTCCAGTCTTATAGATGGCTGCCTTCTTGCTGTGTAATCACATGGTCTTTTTCCTGTGGTCCAATCTAATAGGACTGGTGTCCTTATAAGAATATCTTTATGACATCATTTAATTTTTATGGCCTTCTTATAGACCCTAACTCCAAATATGGTAACATTGGGAGTTAAGGCTTCAAAATATGAGTTTTGGGAGGAACACAATTCAGTTCATAATATAATACATATTAGAAAAAGGAGAAAGGTCTCAAATCAATAATCTAAAATTCCACTGTGGGAAACTAGTAAAAGAAGAGTAATTCACATCCAAACAAGCAGAGGAAAAAAAAAATAAAATCACAGTGAAAATATAAAAAATACAGAAAAATAATTAAACCAAAAGAGTAGTAAATTAATAAACCACTATCCAGCCTAACCAAGAAAAACAAGAGAAGCCCCAAATTATTTATATTATAAACAAAAGAGTAGCCACCACTATTGATCTCATGGACACTGAAATAATAATAAAGAAATATTATGAACAATTTTGTGCCTACAAATTATATCTTAGATTAAATGGACCAATTTCTTAAAAGAAACAATCTACAAAAACTTACACAAGAAGAAATACATGATATGAATATGTCTGTATCTACTGGAGACATTGAATCATTAATTAAGAATCTTTGGCTGGGCCCGGTGGCTCACGCCTGTAATCCCAACACTTTGGGAGGCCAAGGTGGGTGGATCATGAGGTTGGGAGATTGAGACCATCCTGGCTAACACGGTGAAACCCTGTCTCTGCGAAAACAACACACACACAAAAAAAATTAGCAGGGCATGGTGGTGGGCACCTGTAGTCCCAGCTACTTTGGGAGGCTGAGGCAGGAGAATGGTGTGAAACCAGGAGGTGGAGCTTGCAGTGAGCCAAGGTCACGCCACTGCACTCCAGCCTGGGCGAAAGAGCGAGACTCCATCTGAAAGAATCTTCCAAAACAGAAAGCATCAGGCCCATGTGGTTTTAGTGTTAAACGTTATCATATATTTGAGGAAGAAATTATACTAATTTCTATGACTTGTTCCAGAAATTAGAAGTAGGGGGAACACTTTCTAACTTTTTTTCTGGATCCAGATTACCCAAATGTGAAAACCAAAGACATGACAAAGAAAAGCAAAACAAAAGGAAACTACAGACTAATATGTATCATGAACATAGATTCAAAAATCCACAAAGAATTTTAGGAAACAAAATTAAACAACGCATAAAAAGAATTATACACCACAGCCAAGAGGGATTTATTCCAGGTATGCAAGGCAAGTTCAATATTTGCAAGTCAATTAATGTAACCCATCACATCAACTGACTAAAGAAGAAAAACCATATGATTATATCAATTGATATAGAAAAAAACATTTGAAAAAAATTCAACATTCAATCATAAAACTCTCAGCAAACTAGAAATAAAAGGGAATTTTTTCAACTTGATAAATAACATCTACAAAAGACCTACAGTTAACATAATACTTAATGGTGAAAAACTAGAAACTTTCCCATTAAGATCAGGAACAAGGCAATAGCATCCTGTCTGATCATTCCTATTCAACACTGTGCCGGAATTTCTAGCTAATGTAGTAAGACAAGAAAATAAAATAAAATGTATATAGGTTGGGAAGGAAGAAATAAAACTATCTTTGTTCACAGATGACATGATTGTCTACATAAACAAATCCCAAGGAATTCAAAATAACAATAAAAATTCCTGGAACTAATAACTGAATTCCGCAGAATATGAGTTGCTTTTCTATGTACTAGGAATGGACAAATGAAATTTGAAAGTAAAACACACACACCCTTCAGAACCTAAAGAAGGAAGCAGATTTCAACTTGGAATGTAAATGAAATTAATCTGGCTAGGACTAATGAATCAGAAAGGGTGGAGAATGGTAATATCTATATTTTGAAACTTTAACCCCTCTATGAGATCAAAGGAAGAGAGATCTATTTTGTTCAAAATTTAAATTTTATGTGGCACACAATCTGGTGTAACCTGTCTGGTAAATTTGTTTAGATAATCAAATTCAGGTTTTACTTGAGACCTAGAATAGTAGATAAAATCTTGGGATTCTGTGTAAATTCTTGCAATACTCTGATGTATTTGAGGAAATGTTGTGTATAAAATGAAAGAAATATTTGCAGAAGCCCTTGAGGGGCTGGGGAAGGAAACCATGAAACTGTATGCATTGCAGCTAAATTGTACGGGAAAGACCCATCTTCAAGGTTCATAAGTTGACCAGGTATTGTAACCACACAACAGGTTCTTTTGCCCACTGTACAGAAAAGCCAATACATTGAGAGCATGGTATTTCAGTAGAGAAAGAGTTTAATTATCATAGTGTTAGCCAAGCAGGAGGATGGGAGATGTTTCTGAAATCCACTTCCCTGAGAATTCACAGGCTAGATTTTTTTCAAAGACAGTTTGGTGGGTATACGGCTAGTGAATAGTGAATACTGATTGGTTGGGTTAGGTATGAAATCATAGGGGGTCAAAAATAATCTTTGTATACTGAGTCAGCTTCTGAATGGGGGTGATAGGACTGGTTGAGTCAGTTCCTTAGTGTCAGTCATAGGTCTAAGTGATTCCAGGTAGAGTCGGTCAGTTATCAGAATGCAAAAACCTGAAAAATATTTCAAAGACCAATTTTAGGTTTTACAATAGTGATGTTATCTATAGGAGCAATTGGGGAAGTTACGAATCTTGTGGCTTCTGGCTACATGACTCCTGAGCAGTGATGAATCATAGAAAAGCAAGCTAGGGGACAATGGCTGGTTATCATTTAGCTACACCTACATCTTAGAAGAATTCAGGCTCTTCCAATAATCCTAACCTTCTGGCCTTTCATTAGTTTTACAAAGGTGGCTTTTTGTTCCTGAACAAGGAGAAGGTCAGTTTCAGGAAGGGGCTATTATCACTTATTTTGAGCTGGGACATCCAGTTTCTCTTGCCCCCAGACATTGGTTCCACAGCCTTTGAACTCTGGGACTTATATCTTTAGCCTCAGACTGAATTACAGCATAGACTTATCTGGTGCTCCAGCTTTTAGACAGCATGTTATGGGACTTCTTGGCCTCAATAATAGCATGAGTCATTTTTCCTATTAAATCTCTCTCTCTATATGTGTGTATATATATACACGTATATACATATATACGTGTATATATATATATACACGTATATACATATATGTGTGTGTATATATGTATACACGTATATACATATATGTGTGTGTATATATATACACGTATATACGTATACGTGTATATATATACACATGTGTGTATATATATACACGTATATACACATATACGTGTGGGTATATATACACGTATATACATATATACGTGTATATAAATACACACCACTTATATACATATGTATGTGTGTATATATATACACGTATACGTGTGTGTATATATATGTATACACATATATATACGTTTATATGTATACACATATATATACGTATATGTGTATATGTGTGTGTGTATATATATGTATATACGTATATATATAATCTCCTATTGGTTCTGTTTCTCTAGAGACCCTGACTAATAGAATTGTCCAATTTATGGGAGATAAAAAGAGTCTCCATGAGATCAAAAGAAAAAGCAGTAAGACATTATTAACCCCATTGATTTTGAAGTTAGTGAAAATTACTTTTTTGGTTTTCACTAGATTTACCGTCTGTTTTGGTAAATTGCAAAGGAATTTGTTTTTGCCTTTGGCTGAACCTGAACTAATATCTAAGAAGAGGTAGAGCAAGTTTATTCAAGCTATAAGCTGCTACGCACACATGCATACACATATACACATAATGTGAATGCATTAAACTTTTAAAATGCTTTAACTTTTTAGCCTTGGAAATAAAGAAGTAAATACAAGGGCAACAAGGGAGCTTGTAAAATGATACAATAGACTTTGGGGACTTGGGGGAAAGGGTGAGATGGGGTGAGGGATAAAAGACTACACACTGTGTATAGTTCACCAAAATCTCAGCAATCACCACTAAAGAACTTATTCATGTAACCAAAAACAACCTGCTCCCCAAAAACTTATGAAATAAAAAAATGCAGTAATACAAGGGTAACTTTTGTTTATGTTATGACTGTATACATATAGGCTGACAGTTCCTAATTGTCCATCTGTCCTTCCTTCCTTCTTCCTTCTTTCCTTCCTTCTTCCTCTTCCTTCCTTCCTTTCTAACTCAAGCTGCTTACATCCCAGAGGTAGAGATTTACTCCAGTCAGAACAAACTGGGAAGTGTCAGGCAGTAGTATAGGTTTTTCTCTGTACCAGAGGGCTGTCAATAGTAACTATCCTTGGCACAGCACTACTGTGCCAGCTATGAATTCTGGTAAATATGCATAATTTGAAGATAAAAGTTAACTACAGTTTGAATTGTTTGCTCCATACAGAAAAACATCATTTGTAATAGGTCTAAAATTATTCTTTTCTTTAAGAAAATAACTTACTGAATTCATTCAGCCATTCAAGGTGAACTAGACTGAGTGATGCTTAAAATGATATGTCGTCCTACAACATAAATTTTCAATTCTTTGAGAACCTCTGGAGAGAGGGCTGAGGGGCCTAGAATTAGAAGAGGGAGGAAAGAAATCTTCAGAGACAAAGGAGGGGCCACAACAAATGATATGGGTAGCAGGAATTCATGGAAGGACATAGCCGTGGAAGCTCTCTGGTAGGGGAGAGTGTCTAAGAATTTCTAGGAACAAGGATGTCAGACATTCCATTTGAACTATCCTCCATGGCAAATCCTGTAGAATATATTACTCAATAGCCATTCCAACATTTTACTCTCTTCCTTCTCTTCCTCTACTGCAGAGTCTGGGAAGCTAAAGACTCTCATGCTCCAGCAGATGCCTGCTGAGGATTTGGGAGAAAGTCTTTGCTTCCTAATTACAAAAGCTATTCCTGCTTTCTCTGCTTCCTCTGTTCCTCCTTCTTCCTTCCTGAATGGAATTGCTGGAGCTATGTTTATCTTGTGACCACAAGGGAAAGGCCAAAAGATGTCCATAAACTTTAGCCCTGCTATCACAGGAGATATGCAAAGGAAGCTCAAACTATTTGGGAACTATTTAAGGAATCTCACAAGTTATAGGTGATTTACAGATATTCATGTACTGTTACATTAAGGTGTTCCTGCTTAATTTTTGCTCTTAAATACAAAAATTTTGTCAGCAGTAATTGTAAATATAGATCATGATTTGTTTGACATGCTGATCAAGAAAATGGTGTAAAATGGTACTTCATATGCATATTTCTAAATATACACAATATTCACAAGCAGCTAATTGAAACAAATGAACAAGGGATGATAATGGGAATATATTGCAAAATGCTCACTTTTATGTAAGCATTAAGTAAAATGCATATACTGTCTTAATTAGTGAGATTGTCTATTATTCTTAACAGTCATGCATGCACCATCTTAATTATTCCAACTTTGCCTTTTGCTATAAGGTTTTAAGTTGCTCAGCCATAAAATTTTCTACTGTGGGTTCCTTTAGGAATTTGAATCTTCAGAGGAAATGCTAAGTCTATGTCCCCAGGAGACTGATGTGGACTTGAGATAAGAGATAGTCAGAAGGGGTCAAATGAAAGCCAGTCTGTAAGGAAAATGGCCTTGTGAGCCCCCCTTTGTGACGGTCTCCACCTTCATCATGCAGCTTGTTCTGCCAGTCAGAGGGTAGCAAGGGAATCAAGAATGACATTTATCCAAATAGGATGAGCAAGTTAAGACCCGGTGACCCTGGAAGGCACACAGTGGAAAAAGCATGTGCCAGTCCCTCAGTTCATAGGCAGCCCATCTCCCACAGACCCTGTCAAAATATTACCAGTTTCTAGGTATCTCATGAAAATATTGAAAGCTGTGCTTTATCATCCCTGCCCCCACCTTGACCCTCTCCCTGCTCATTGGTCCTGGCTACCAGGTGTTGCTTTGAATTCTAGCTAGGGTAGCCAACTTCTCTACAGCTGCCTGAGACTTTTCTGGATTTTGCACCAAAAATCCTGCATCTTAAAGAAATCCTCTGTTGAAGTCAAATTGGGAAGCTGGTCCTCTTGGTCCTGGAAAGGCTGCAGGTGCATGAAGACTCTGCTGATAACACAAAGCTTAGCCTCAGGATTGTCTTGAAAACATCATGCTAAGATATGGGCAGCATTGCATGATATCCAGGCTCAGGTCTCTGGAGCTTTCCTGGAATCTGGCAGAATGGACAGCTACAGTTGACTTTCTTATTGCTAAAAGCCAATTTTATAATAAGTAATAAGGCTTATTATAATAAAACTGATTTAATATAACATTACAAGAAAAGCTTATTAAAAATGTTTTCTTACAAAAACTCAAAGAGGAAAGCAACCAAAAAAGTATTGAGGTAGCTAGAGAAGATATAATTTTAAAAGTGCTCAAAGATGATATCATAAAGTATTGTAGCAATTTTTTCTAAAGGAAGGATATGTCTTTGGAAATCGCAAAAGGCAAGATTAAAAGTGAGGTTTATATGTTTCAGCAGAAACTTAAATAAGTGAATGAACTTTGTCAAGAAAATGAAGGGGACTTGCAGGAAAGTAAGTCTAGACCAAAGAGATAGTTTAGAGAATGCAGAGAAATTTGTCAAGTAGATAAAAGCATGAGTCTTGCCTCTGAAGAGCCAGGGAGCTTCAGGGGAAAAAAATCTACAGGTCTAAGGGAAGAAATGGAAAGATTCTTTGAATCTTTCAAATGTCAGCTGATTATACTTGATATCAAAACTTCTAATAAGTGGTTGACAGTTAAGGCTGGTAAGACTGGTCAAAGAAACCCCAGTGAATTTAGAAAAGAAAATACATATCACAGATAAAATTTCCCTGAAGCAGATATTAAATTTGAGCCTTTACAGATGATCTTCAAGACCTCCGTATTTCAAGATCAGCATCTGGCAGAGGCTTATGGGAATAAGGGAATCCTATGAGCTATCAGATCACTGAGGCTTCAGGTATGTTCAGCTGGGATGGCTCAGGGATCTGGTGTCCAAGGTGTATTTTGTGGACCAGAAGCTACTTCCACAGTATTCAGATCTCAGGATGAAAATTCCTCCACCAAGGCAGCCACATCCTAGAACAACTCTTCTTCCTCAAACAAAAACGCAGAGTTTGCCCTCTTGTTCCCAACTTTTGTTATCTCTTTCAGACCAACAGGGTACCGATGTTTTTATATGTTTCCTTTTAATGAGGCAAATGGCCCAAGATCCTCAAAAATGATGTTAATGGGCTAGGCACAGTGGCTTATACTTGTAATCCTAGAACTTTGGGAGGCTGAGGCAGGAGGATTGCTTGAGCCCAGGAGTTGGAGACCAGCCTGGACAACATAGGGAGACCTTGTCTCCATGAAAAATAAACAAAATTAGCCAGGTGTGGTTGTACACACCTGTACTCCTGGCTACTCAGGAGGCTGAGATGGGAGGATCACTTGAGCCTGGGAGGTCAAGGCTGCAGTGAGGAGAGATTGCGCCACTACCCTCCAGCCTGGGCGACAGTGCAAGACCCTATCCAAAAAAATGAGGTTAATAACACCTTTGATATCTTAGGTTCTCTTGATATGTCTCTCACACTTGAGAGTGGCGCAGCTGATCCAGGCTTTGTTCCCCCACCTCATGAGCCAGTAGGAGGGACCAGGAAATCAGGCCCTGAGGATGGTTCTAGGAGAAGGATCTCCTTTCCTTCCCTCTTCCCTAGAAGCTCATCTGAAGTCTTGATATTAGTTTGCTTTGGCTGCCATAATAAAATATCACAGATTTGGTGACTTAAGCAATATAAATTTATCTTCTCACAGCTCTGGAGGCTGAAAGCTTAAATATCAACATGTCAGCAGGGTTGGTTTATGGTGAGGTCTCTCTTCCTGACCTGCAGACAGCTACCTTCTCTCTACATTCTCACATGACCTCTTCTGTGTGTATGGGGTGGGGGTGGGGGGGTGGCTGGGGGGAGGGAGAGTAAGAGAGAGAGGAGAGATGTCTCTTTCCTTTTTATTTTCTCATAAGGATACCAGTCCTGTTGGATGGAGCCCCACCCTCCCACCCTAAGACCTCAGTTCATCTTACCTCCTAAAAGACCCTATCTCCAAATGCAGTCACATATGCAAATTTTAGGGTAAGGGGACAAAATGCGGTCTATAACAGCCTCCATAGATTACTTTCTGCAGTCCAGCAGGCTTCCCTGAACCTCCCTATTTTCTAATAGCACTGAGGACCCTCTAGTCACAAGGGAGTTTCCTTGTCATTCTTGTCCAAACACTGCATGTCCCCACATCCTGAGAGAAGAAGTGAATGTTCACCAGGGCTCAGTCCATCCTCCAGGGTACCTCCTTCTGAAGGTCTATAACCAGATAAATACTAAAGTCATATTGAATTGCCTTCCTTTTAGTTAAACTACTGGTGTTTAAGAAATTGCACAAGTATTCAAATTGTACCTTGATAATATTATAATTCATAGAGTTATAATTTATAAATAGAGATTATGTTACATATAAAGAATCCTATAAATGATTTTCATTTTGTAATTCTCTAGGTAGTACATGTATTGGATTTGTATTGCATTTTGATATCATTAACCAGTCCTTTATAACATAAAATCCTCTACCAGGCATTTTGCATGAGCACTTCAGCAATGAGACATATTTAAAATTTTAAATGCCACATTGGGTTGCCAAGAGTTGCTTTTAATATTGTTAAAAGGCAATTGTGGAAGGAGCTTAAAGTTTACCTAAATAAATTTGCATTGGCTAAAAAGAATCAGTTCAATATATGAAAATCAATCAATGTAATACAACACATTAACAAAATGAATACAATAATACACGATCATTTCAGTTGATGCAGAAAAAGCATTTCATAATGCTCTTAATACAATTCAACATTCATGATAAAAGTACTTAACAAAACTAGGATTAGAAGAAACTACCTCAACATAATAAAAGCCATATATTAAAGAAATACCACACAGTTAATATCATACTTAATGGTGAAAGATTGAAAGATGTTCTTGTAAGATCTGGAATAAGGCAAGGGTATCTTCTCTGGCAACTTACATTCAACGTAGTATTGGAAAACATTGCAGAGCAATTAGGTAATAAAATAAAATAAAATAATTAAAAGTGAAAAGGAAGAAGTAAAATTCTCTTTATTCTCCGATGGCATTATCTGTAGAAAACCCTAAACATTACACACACACACACACACACACACACACACACACACGCATTAGACTCAATAAACAACTTAGACAAAGTTGCAGAATGTCAATTTAACACACACAAATAAGTTATTTTCTATACACTAGGAATGTGTAGTATATATTAAAAAATTAAAAAACAGTTCTATTAAAATAGCATCAAAAAGAATAAATATTTTGGAATAAACTTAATCAGAGAGGTAAAAGATTTGTACACTGAAAACTACAAAGCATTGCTGAAAGAAATTCAAGAAGATGTAAATGAATAGAAATATATTCTGTGTTCATGGATTGGAAGATTTGATATTATTATGATGCCAATTCTATCCAAAGTGATCTACAGGATCAATGCAATTTCTATCAAAATCCCAGTGGCATTTCTTTTGCAGAAATAGAAAAATCTATTTTGGGAAAAAAAAGGGGCTGGGTGCAGTGGCTCACACCTGTAATCCCCGCACTTTGTGAGACCGAGGCAGGTGAATCACTTGAGGTCAGGAGTTCAAGACCAGCCTGGCAAACATAGTGAAACCCCGTCTGTAATTAAAAAAAACAAAAATTACTCAGGCGTGATGGTGTGTGCCTGTAATCTTGGCTATTCGGGAGGCTGAGGCAGGAGAATCACTTGAGCCCAGGAGGTGGAGGCTGGAGTGAGCTGAGATCATGCCACTGCACTCCAGCCTGAGAGACTGAGTGAGACTCTGTCTCAACAAGAAAAAAAAGAAAAAAGGAAAAAAAATTGATAGTTTTACACTTCCTGATTTCAAAACTTATCTACAAAGCCATGGTAATCAAAACAATGTGGTATTGGCATAAAAAATAGATATATAGAACAATGGAATAGAATAGGGACTTCATAAATAAACCATTGCATATATGGTCCAGTAATTTTTGAAAGTGGTTCAAAGATTACTTAATGAGGAAAGAACAGTCTTTTCAACAAATGGTGTTAGGAAAACTGAGTATACACATGGAAAAGAAAAAAGTTGGGCCTTTACCTTATACTGTATTCAAAAATTAACTCAAAATAGACCAAAATATAAAAGCTAAAACTCTAAAATTGTTAGAAGTAAACTTAGGGGAATAATTTCATGACATTGGATTTGGCAAACCTGTCTTGAATATGACACCAAAAGCATGGGCAACATTTTAAAGAAATATAATTTTGCCTACATTAAAATTAAAAACCTTTGTGAATCAAAGAATACTATCAAAGGGAGAAGGCAACCCATAAAATAAGAGAAGACATCTGAATATCATGTTCATTGTAAGGGATTAATATCCAGAGTATATAAAGAACACCTACAACTCAACAACAACAAAAAACAAACAACCCAATTTAAAAAGTGGAAAAGGACTTGGACAGACATTTTTCCAAAGGAGATACATTAATGGCCAATAAGCATATCAAATTATGCTCAACATCCTTAATCACTGGGAAAATGCAAACCAAAACTACAATGAGATATCACTTTATAGCCATTAGTATGATTATTACAAAAAAATCAGAAAATAACAAGTGTTGGTGGGGATAGGGAAAAAAATGCAACCATTATGTTCTGTTGGTGGGAGTGTAAAATAGAGAAGTATCTAAGGAAAACAGTATGGTGATTCTTCAAAAAATTAAAAACAAAATTACCATATGATTCACCAATTCCACTTGAAGAACTGAAGCAGGAAATTGAACTGATATTTGTACATTCATGTTCATGGCAGCAATAATTACAATAACCAAAAAGTGAAAGCAACCCAAGTGTTCACCCACAAATGAGCTCATCCAGTCATCTGTGGATGAGTAGATAAATAAAATGTGATATATACATACCATGGGATATTATTCAGCCTTGGAAAAGGAAGGAAATTCTCACATATGCTATAACATAGATGGACCTTCTGAACGTTCTGCTAAGAGAAATAAGCCAGCTACAAAAGGACAAATACTGTATGATTACAATTATGTGAGTTACCTACAGCAGTCAAATCCACAGAAACTGAAAGTAAAATGGTGGTAGTGCAGGGCTGAGAGAAGGGTAGAATAGAGAGATATCATTTAATGTGTTGAAGTTTCGTCTGAGAAGATGACAAAAGTTCTGGAGATGGATGATGGTGGGTTTTGCACCACAACGTAAATGTATTTAATACCACTGAACTGCGCACTTAAAAATGGTTAAGATGATTCATATAGATATTTTACTCTCACAAAAAGTCATAAACATCAAACATGGTTCCTCTCATAAAGTTGCCTGACCACCTCTTTTTTCTTTCTCCAGAAAAAAAGAAACCATTGTCTCTTATCTTAATTTGAAGATTGTAAAGATTTTCCGACAATCAGTTGATCTACTTTTAAAGTTTAAGATAATTAGAATTCTCAAAAAAGAGTTTTATCATCTTTGTCCATTGCCAACTCCCTTTATGGTCCTTTAAATATGCATTAATATGAAAATGAGGCATAGCTCCTTCACATATTTTCATTGCTGGATTCAGAGTGTGAAGGTGAAGTGGATATAACCAAACCTGCTCAGATTCCCACTGCTACTTAAGTTCTGGGTTGATTGCAGACTTTGAATGCAGCCCTGCTCAGTGACATAAGGTGATGGGAGAGCATGGGCTGCAGGGAAAATGAGCTCACCTTGAATTTGTGACTATGGCTGCTTTTCATCATGATTAATGGTCACTGGTCCTTGCTCACATCAATCTAGGCTGGTTCCCCCACACAGAAGAAAATCAGCCTCAACATCCCAGGCATTAAATCTGGTCTTGACAGCTGCTGCAAAGGCTGAACTGGCCAGGAGAGGTCCCATTACCTGCTGTGCAACACCTCATGGTGCTTCCCGCCAACAGGTGTGCAGGCACAGTGACTGGCTAGCTGCAGCTGAGATGAAGCTGGGCAGTCCCATGGCAGAGGTGAATTACCTGGCAGAGTGGTGGAGGGCCAGGCAGAAACTTCAGGAGCCTGAGACAAAACCTCACACACTCCTTATTTTGAAAACAGTGATGAGTTATTTAATCTCCTAATTTTTGTCTCCTTATTTGTAAAATGGGAAGAAGACTTGCCTGGCAGGTTTGTTTTCAGGATTGAATGTGACAATCTACATCTCTTGTCTGGTCCCACAGTCAGTACCTGAGAGAGTTCAATTTTCCCTCGCTCTCATTGCTCTTATTTAATATGAGGGTCCGAATAGAGCAATTTGATTCCTGTCTTGGTGCTTTTATACGAGCTGCTCCATGTGCCTGGAACGTCCTCCCACTGCTTTGCAAACTACTATTAATCCCTCAATATGCAACTTAGATGTCATTTCCTTCCCTGTTACAAAGGCCGCTGTCGCCCTTCCTTTTATGGACACGAATGGTGCCAAATGCCACATAGCTTTCCCTCTCTTCCACTTCTGTGTTCTGGTCATAATTCTATTTTTGGGCTCTCTCTGTTCAATTATTGTTTCCTGTGCCTCTGTCCCCTGCACTCATCATTGTTCTATCCTAAAGGGTCAGCAAACATTTTTTGTATGGGGCCTGATTGTAAATACTTTAGGCTTTGCAGGTCTGTGTTTTCCTGTGCCTCTGTCCCCTGCACTCATCATTGTTCTATCCTAAAGGGTCAGCAAACATTTTTTGTATGGGGCCTGATTGTAGATACTTTAGGCTTTGCAGGTCTGTGGTCTCCTCTGCAACTATGCAATTGTGCTATTGCACTGCAAAAGCAGCCACAGACAACTTGTAAATGAATGAGTGTGGCTGTGTTTCCAATAAAACTGTATTGATAAAAATAGGCAGAGTCAGATTTGCCCACTGGCCATAATTTTCAGCTCCTGCTTTACTCCATCCAGGTGGCATGGAGCTTGGCATAACAAACATTAGAAAAATGGTATCTGTCCCAAATTCTGGATTTGCATTAGTACGTTTTCACACTGCTATAAAGAACTGCCTGAGACTGGGTAATTTATAAAGGAAAGAGGTTTAATTGACTCACAGTTCCGCATGGCTTGGAAGGCCTCAGGAAACTTACAGTCATGGTGGAAGGTAAAGGGGAAGCAAGCCATCTTCTTCACAAGACAACAGGAGGGAGAGTGAATGCAGGAGGAACTACCAAACACTTATAAAACCATCAGATCTCACGAGAACTCACTGACTATCATGAGAGCAGCATGGGGGAAACCACCTCCATGGACCGATTATCTTCACCTGGTCTCTCTCTTGACACATGGGGATTATGACGGTTATAATTCAAGATGAGATTTGGGTGGGGACACAAAGCTTAACCATATCAGGGATCAAGTCTGACCCTGAAATGTCCTCTTCCATCTAGGTGTTCTGTTCTTATCCGTGATGGACCCACTGGATGCACACATACACAAAAAATATCCAATGTGTTCCATTGCATGTGCCTTTTGCTCCAGAGGCCAAAAATGCAAGGACATGTAATGATGTAAAAAGCTGCTCTTCATAGAATCAGAAGGCCTGGGGTGAATTCCTACTTTTGGCACTTGTGTGTAGTCTCAGGCTGGCCATGTCACTCTTTTGAGCCTTTATCTACAAAATGGGTTTCTTATCTTTACAAAATGCTTTGAGTGCCTCCACCAGAGACTGTAGTGAAAATCAAAATCATATCACATGTGATGTTGCTTTGTAAGCTGACTTGCTAGTCAAATGTATTATGTAAGTAATGTCATCATCATTATTATTATTTAGACTCAGGTTGTAGCTTTCTTCCACACTCCACACCCTGGGCTAGTAGGAGAGGTACGCATTCATTCTTTTATTCATTCACTTATTTAATTACAAATTCAAGACTGGAAAGTTGTCAAATAAGGAAATAAACTATCCTAAAGGGTCAGTACAGACTCATAGAACATTCCAAGCACATCTAATTGAGGTTTTATTGCCTACTTCTACTTTTATGTGTTCCTGTAATTTGGCTGTAGAACAGGGGTCTAAGATAAGAGAAACCTAAGTGCTTGCCTGGATTTTTAGACCGTGAGAAGCAGTAAGTCATGCATTGTTATGAAGCCTCATTTAAAGGGTGATTGGTATGTCAGATATTGTTTCTATTCCACCAAAATCTATTCTCCTGTTCTCCCTAAGTTACAGCCACATTACCTGTCCCTTGCAGGAAGATGTGGCCATGAGACTGAGTTATAGCTAGTGGAGTGTAAACAGAAGTAGAGTGCGACGTTGTAACTTGACCCTTAGGAAAAACACACACACACCAAAACAAACAAAAAACCTCTCAAGCACATTTCTTGCTTTTCCTCTTCTCCAAGGCCTGAAAGGATATGGATGACAGCAATCCTGGAAGCCACATGTTAACAACAGCAGTCTGGGTCCCTTAATGACCTAGTGGAGCAGAGCTGCCCCTGACTTGGAACCTTCACTTTGGACAGATGACTGGGCTAAATATAACTACTTGTTGTTCATATTGTATTGTCAGCCACTAAATTTTAAATTCTATATATGGTAGTATTTTCTTACTAAAAATTATATAGGTATGTCTATCTTTTTTACTTACCTCCTTGATGTCTTCCTTTCCATCTGTCTTCCTGCCTTCCTCTGTTTTGCTAAAATGCACAAATCCATAACCCTCAAGGTAAGAAGTGCATTGGTTTCAAAACTTCTCAAATTTTACAAAGTTAAGGTGATATACAAGGGCTGGTCCCTGGTGAGGCTTGAGGCTTAATTCTTATGTAATTTGGGAAGATTCTTCAAGTAAAATATTACAAATTTTTGAATGCAAAATTATGTACAAAAGCCTTGAAGCCTAAGCTTCATCAGCTTAACAATAAATACCTCACTGGTGGTGTGGCCACACTATATGTAGTCATGTAATATTACTGGCAAGTTTTGGTTGAAATTCCTAATCAAATGTATTAATATTTATTCACAAAACATGAATATTCTACTTGGGATCAATAAAGACTGGGCCAGGCGTGGTGGCTCACACCTATAATTTCAGCACTTGGGGAGGTCAAGGCGAGAGCATCTCTTGAGGTCAAGACCAGCCTGGCCAACATGATGAAACCCCATCTCTACCAAAAAATACAAAAATTAGTCAGGTGTAGTGATGTGCACCTGTAATCCCAGCTATTCAGGGGGCTGAGGCAGGAGAATTGCTTGAACCTGGGAGACAGAGGTTTCAGTGAGCCGAGATCATGCCACTGCACTCCAGCCTGGGCAGCAGAGTGAGATGCCATCTCAAAGAGTAAAAAATAAAAAAATAAAGACTGTACATAGTCTCTCAGTGATTTAGGTCATAGTTTCCCTCTCAAATAGTTAAAGTCAGGTTTGGTCTTGCTGTCAAATTAATTTTTTAAAATATAGCTTTGGAAATTTTTGGATTTGGGAATTGTAAATATAGGAGATTTATGTAACAAATCATCTGTTCTTAGCAGACAATGTGAAGGGAGGAGGATACCTTCTATACAATCTAAACCCTTCCCTTCAAGTAGTCTACAATCTCATTAATAAGTAGAGCATGAAGAAACTTAGCTACAATGCGATTACTTCCACAAGAGTAGCTCACAAAGGGAATGAATGTAAGCTTTGTGCAGCCTGTAAGAGCTTCCTGTTAATGAGCACTAAGTTCTTAGGGAAACAGGGATCCCAAAGTGTCTGCTCCCAGCCACTGTGATGTTAACTGATGTTCACCTAGAGGACATGGCAGGTTCAGGTGTCCCAAACAGTGAGGCAGTTAGAAGCAAATTGAAATCAGAAACAGGCAGACCTGAGCTCAGATACTGATTCTTCTATTTATTAATTGGGTAAGTTAGCTAACTCTTCTGAATTGTTAGTTATAATTAATGAGATGCAACAATAATTGTATTATTGGCTACCAGTTTTAAGTCCTTACTACATTTCAAGCATTGTGATACGTGCTTCACCTGACTGATCACCTCTAATCCTGCCAATAACTGTGTGAGATAGATGTATTACTTTTTTTTAGACTAAGAATTAAAGGTCAGAGAGCTTTAAAAACTCATCTAAGATTCAGGTCTCTCTGACCCCAAAATCCAAGCATGAACTACTGTTACTCTGCCCCTCCTTGAGACAAGTCATACTATAAAAATAACACCAAAAGCTGCAAACATAAAATTATGCCAAAGCTGTGTGCTGAAGTCCCTCCAAAGCTTCAGAATTTTTTCCCCTGACTCTGCTTTTGACCCACACACTTGACATCTTTTCCTACCCTAATCTCTTCCTTCTCACAATGACATTATCCTACATTCTAAGGCAATAATAATAAAAAGAAAGACCATAAGATGCAACTAGAGTATGACTAGTTTTTGCGACCTTCAAAACATCTTTTATGTTTTAAAATATTTTAATTTGGTAATTTTGCATAAAAATCTATATATCAGGCCTCTCTTAAGAAATTGAGAGATATAACACCAGGCTTGCATTTTTTATGACAATAACTGACAGCCCACCACATCTCAAGTAGGTTCCCTTGTTATACTTGCTCATAGCACCTTGTACTTTTCTTTATAGCATTTAACATAATTCATAATTCTACATTTATTTCTGTAAATATATATGTACTACTTGTTTCCCAGACTCAAAAGTAAGCTCCAGGTCTTATTTGCTTACACTGTATCCTCAGGGTTTAATAGACAACTCAGTTTAAAGTAGGCAGGCAACAAATACTTGTTAAAGAAATAAGCATTTCTGAATTAATAAGAAAGAAAGACGACATGGAGGTAGCATATTCATGGGTCCATTTTTCACCCTGTTACTAGGATAATTCATTAAACTATGCTCTCCAATGTGGATCTGTCCTCAGCCTTTTTGAAGAGTTGATCCATAATGGCTAAGAACAACTGCCATCTGGGTCCAAATGTTGTAAGTATAATGACTTCATAGTGATATCTTTCTGCCACTTAATGACCCTAAACATTAAAGAAATTAGAATTGGCAGAGTCTGTGGGGCTATTGTTTTTTTAACTTACTGGGGTTTCCAAATGGTAGCTTTATGCTGCCAGCTAGTATAATATTAAGGATTTATAGGCAATAAAACATAGGCCCCCAATCATAAGACTTGTCATGAGCTGCACATGGGAAAACAGTCTCCAATTTATGTTGCCTGATGAGACAGTGATTGACCATAATCATATCTTGATTCTATAGACTGGCTTTCTTCAGAGGACCATAAGGTCCTTGAGCATATGGTTTATGATCTTACTAACAGACATCAGTGAGGACACACATAGATAGGAAATGTCCCTCACTAAACCTTCTGCAAAGCACTCAGCACATTAACCTCCCCTGGCTGTTTTGAGTCTCTGTTATTTGAGTGAATTCATTAATCCAACAAATTTAGCGACTACCAAGAGTCCAATACTGTGCACACAGCTCCTCTCCTCATTGTGGTGAAATAACCTCTGCAGCTAATTCCAGGTATGTTTTCCAGTGAGTATTTTCTGATCCTCACAGGTAGATAAACTTCTCCCAGTTCTCCTCCCCAGTGTTCTTAGCATTTTGTCAATTCTTACTTCATGGTCAGCCTCATGTGAGAATCAGGCAGCCCTGGCTCCTTGGAGAGGCACAGGTTTTCACGGCAGATGGACATGGGTGTGCCCTATCCACCTTCAATCACTGTGTGAATGGGTATGCAAATTAATTATTTAATTCACAATTTTCTTATCTTCAAAATCAGAAATAATATGACTTGCTTTACTTAGTTGGGAAAAATATGTAGGATATTGTACATAAATTATTTAAATATAGAGATGACATTAGATAAATATTAAATTCCTTCCCTTCTAGAATGCAGGAAGTGTGCACTTTCATCTATTCATCTCAGCTCTTGGCAGAGTCCCTGATGATTTGGGGGGAGATCAATAAAAACTATGAAAACAAATAAGAGAGGGGAATACAGAGTCATTAAATCATGTTGGTCTTTTAATGGCAGCAGTAACTGAACAAATAGAAAATCTGAAAGTTCCCAAAACTAATCCAACAAAAAATAGGTTTAAGATATGAATGGATATTTCTTAACAAAAGGATCCCATAGTCAACACAACCACCACTGGTAAGCTTTAATTTGAAGATTCACTATAAGTTCTCTTCAAGAAAAACCCATTTGACTATTTGAGCTAAGTGTTTGACATTCCATTTCTTCCATCATGAGAAAGCTCTTAATTTGCTCCTCTGTGGGTGTCTCCTACTTCATGACAAATCCAAGTCCCTGGGGTTTACTTGGTCCCAGGACTGACACAGGTCAATCCTAGTTGCAAATTGCCATGCAGAGTAGAACCTGAAAACCTTCCCAGTCCACTGGGGGCCATGCTGTACTGTATTGCTGAAGTCAATGGCACATGCTAAAAAGCAGATGCTCTTTCATTGTCTTTAGAAGACGTTCTTGACTTCCACTGTGGTGATCTAAACATGCCACCACTACTGGCCAAGCAATTACTTACACAGGCAGTGCGGGGAAAGGAACAGTAGGTCTTATCTCATTGTCTACTCTGCCATGGTCACCCCATACCTATGCACACATGGACTCCATATTGGTCAATGTTGTTGCAGGAAGTCATGCCCAAGGGGTTTAACTGAAAAAAGCTTAGAAAAGGAACAATTTCAGAGGAGAGGTCAGTGTTGAAGGGGCTAAGTGGGGTTAGTGAAGCTTGCAGGCACCAGCAACCACAAGAAGCCTTTGCCAGCCCAGGCCAGAGAAGCATGTGAGAGCCATGGAAGCCGTGTACCCAGCAAAGAAGCCATGTACCCAACATAGGAATACAGCCACTGCCAGATCCATGTGGAGGTAGGGAGGAAGCAATGGAATAAACACTCTAACCTCTCTATCTTCCCACTCTCCATCATCTGCTGGTAGCCCCCATTGGTCAACTTTAATGAGATGTCAGGAGGCTAGAGATCTTGATGTTATAGATCCTGGAGATCAGCTTGCCTGGGAACACTAAAGGGCAGAGAATGGATTTGGGGGACACTGGAGCACAATCAGCATAAGCTCCTAATGCTGCAGCCTTTGATAACATGGATTCATTCTCTTTCCTCCTCCCAATGCACCAGAATGCTGGAAGGAGAATGTTTGACTCAGTTATGAAGTGTATCCCAAGTGAGATTTCTTCTCTGATAAATTAGGTCTTGATGTTGAGCCCAGATCCCCCATTTGAGTATTTCCTTGTCCTTTCAAAGGCTGTACTTGGTGGCTTTTGTGCAGGTCTCAGTCAATGTCACCTCAATCAAGAAGATGGTTCATGACATTGAATCTTAAGCAGGAAGGTATCAAGGTGCTAGTTCTCCACAAGGCCCCTTGGTCCTGCTACAAATTTGACTACTGCCACCTTTGCAAAGTTCAGTTTCCTTTAAGCAATATTTACGTGAGAAACAGAAGCTGTTTTTAAAACAAAAACAAAACAAAAAGTAAACAAGAAAAAAACCTGTTACATTCTATTGCAGATTTTCTACCCAAGTAATCTTACTTAGAATAAAGATATTCACAAATATGGCTTCCTGTTTGGACATAATTACTTGAGGGAAACTTTAAATGAGAATTTCATGGAAAAAAAACCCACAGAAAAACAAAAAACGAGATAACAGCAAGAATATGTGTCTGTCTGAATGTTTATCTAGACACAGATATAAATTGACAGATATCTGTTATTATAATTATTACTATATTATTTCATTATCATCATAAGCCTGGTAAAACGAAATTAAAATAACAATGAGATAATTACGTTTTTCCTGTTGGCAAAAGTGATATTTAAGACATTATTTAACTGGCGTGGCATAGAGAAAGTTCCTGAGAGCTTGTTCCCTCAGTTATTTATCCTGTAGTTGCTAGATCCTGGGGAGGCTGGAGGGCCCAGGGTAGAGTCTGGGTTGACTTGGTCAAGGAATAAACATTTAAAGAGCTTCTTAACAATGATACAAATGTATTTCAATTTTTCATGAACCTATATAATGTGTACAGGTGCATTGCAACTGAGTAACAACCCTGCTTATTAAATATGGCACAGTCCTCTGCTAATGGGGTGTTGGAGAAAGGGCACCCTCAGTCATTTCTGGTGGCAATGTGAATTCTCAGAGCCTCTTAGAAAACAAGTATCCCATGTAAAATAAATCTGTTAGATATGCTTTATATTATTTAATACTTAGCCACTTTCCTGCCCTCCCCTTTACCTCCTGATTCCAGGGACTCAATAATAAAAATGATAATATTTTAGATTAATATTAGTGGGAATTAACAGAACATAGAATTCTCCAACACTTTGGAATTTATCCCATGGAAGTATTAATAAAAAAGAATATATCAATACTTAAGGATAGATATACTGATGAATTTATTGTCATGTTATGTGAAATAAAACATTTTTAAAAAAGGATCTGGGATCAAAGAAATGGCTGAATTATCTCAGAAATAACATAAAGAGCAGGAGCGACTGAGTTAAGCAGAATCTGTCCATTTCTGCAGCAATGGTTTTAATAGCATCTTTTAAAGCTCCAACTGCACCATGATGAGCCAGGTTTCACACAGCACTTTGACAACACGGTCTTGATGTTTCTCAGCCAACATCTCCTGAGATCCACAAATGGGTAATCACTGACTTTTCTTCCCACATTGGAGCCCTCAAGATTGTGTGCAATATTATGCTAAAGGCAAACCTCATGTGGCCCACATGAGATCCTTCAGTCCTCTGTCCTCAGTCCTCAGTCAAGCAAAAAGGTTCGGGGAGGCTCAGTGTTCCATTGTTGACTCTGTGGGAGAAATGCAGTTGGCGAGGGTTGGATGGGTTATTTCAGAGCGTGGAAATAAAAAATGGAAATGCAGTTCCACAGTCAGCTGTCTACCTCTTGGGGAAACTTGTTTCACACATTCTCTAGTTTTCATTCATGGTCTTAGAAATTCATTTGCTATGCCCAGATGGATCTCAGGGACTCAGAAATGATATTTGTAATCATGAGAATTTTAGGAAAGTGAGAACAGGACACTCTGTCTCCAGTATCATTTCCATCCTTTTGGACACAGCCTCCTATTATTCAAACCTGTCAAGCCACATGAGGGTGGATAATGGGATACTGGAGATCTAAACCAGCCAAATAGGCAGAGCGTCATTGAGAATCATATTCTAGCTGTTCCAGAGTGTGAGCCTTGGATGGGGATCAGAGATAAGCATGAAGGCTTTCACAATGAAATTTATAAAAATTATGCAATTCTGGTTCAAAATTTTCTAAATATTTTAATAAAAAGTGAAAATGAAAATTAATCTCCAGGTGGTTTTTGTTGTCTCACATGTAAAATGGATAATAATAGTCAATTTCTCACTGGAGGGTTTTAAGGGTGAATAAGATAGTATTAATCAATCTCAAATCATTTGTTGAATGAGGCAGTAGATAGACAGACAAATAAAGTAAGATAAATATAGCTACATAGATAGAGACTGGCAGCTACATGCTGATGGTGAATATTAAAATCTGAGCTCAGTGTTCATTATTCACTAGGTCTTCAATACATGTTTGTTGAATATATTGATTATTAGAACAAAGTTTTGTTTTGTGTGTGTGAACTTTGAATCTGTAAACATTATGTCTTCACATGCAATAACTATCTAAAAGTTAGGATAAAAGCTGTATTTCAAAACGTTGCATTTCCACTGGTCAATTCCACTTGTAGAGTATTGAACAATTATCCAAAGCAGTTACAAGGACAAGTATCTTCTGCCTGAGCTGAAAGCATAAACTTCCACAGGGCAGATACCTATCTATGAGTACGGAGTCCATGAGGAAATGTAGATGCATCACTTTCCTACTTGGAGGGAAGAGTTTCTATAGATGATGTGTGAGGTGTATGTAGGGAGTGTTTCATGTACAAATTGGTCTATACAATTATAAGCTGTATCTTATAAAATTATTCTATCTTGGTCATTTGTGAATACAACCTGGTTTGGATGAATCTAGTTACCAACTTCTGATAACAATGACATTAATAATGATGATGATTGCTAGCACTCTATGTACACAGTTCTGTCTGAGAGATTTGTGTCTATTAACTCATTTAATATCTCCAAGAGTCTTATATGTTAGGTCCTATTAACATGCCCATTTTCCTGATGAACCCACTGAGACACACAAAAATGATGAATTTAATGATATCACACATCTTATAAATGGCAGAGCTGGGGTGAGAATACAACAATCTGAATCCAGAATTTATGCTCTTGGCCACTAAAAAACACTTTTTTTTAATAGCATAGGAAACGGAGGCCTAGGGAAAAAAAAAAAGATTAATAGTTCAGCGCCAAGGTTCAGCAGTGCCTTTTGATTTAATTAGTACAAATCCACTAAATGCTTAGTTCAGTCCAGCAAATGGGCAAGGTACTTTCTATGGTTCTAGTATTTGTGCCCTCCAAAATTTGTGTTGAAACTTAATCCCCAACGTGACAGCATTGAAAGGTGAGGCCTTTAAAAGGTGATTGAATCAGAAGGGTTATCCCCTCAAAATGAATTAATCATAATTAATAGACTAACAGGTTATCATGAGAAGGGAACTGGTGACTGTATAAAAGAGGAGGAGAGAGTCAGGAAAGGCCCTGGCATGTTCAAGAAACTTCGAACAAAAGGCAAGTGGGCTTGACTCTTCCCGTGACTGATTTAGTCACCTCCTCTCTCTGGCTGATAATGGTCAATCTTTTGATAATGACATCTCCTTGTCCCTTGACCTGCTCACAGACCCAGTGATCACTCTATGTTGGTTTTCAGCATATTTTTGTGTTGATATGATATCCACTTTTCCAACAATGGGATGAGAAGGCAAAAATTGAGGAGGCAACTCTTGGAACTGTCTCTTTCCCCCTCTGTGCTCAGTCTGTTCTCTCTTAGATAGCACATTAATACACTCAGTCCCCTTGCAACGGGACACCCTCCTGGGGAGGAGGACACACCTCCTTGGGACTCTGCAGAGAGTCACCACCAGTAAGAAGACTCTTACCAGATTCAGCCCTTTGACCTGAGACTTCTCAGCCTCCATAACTGTAAGAAATAAATTAGTTTAATTTATAAATAACCCAGTTCAGGGATTATTTTATAAGCAGCAGAAAATGGACTAAGACAGTACTAGAGAGACAACAGAGAACAAGCTGGGTTAAGTCCAATCTTTGTCTTCACAGAGAGGAAACACAAATCAGGACACAGAGCAACATGAGTGGGTGCTGGCAGTAAAGTGTTGTGGAGGCCATGCTGCTGGAGGACAAGGAACAGAGGCAGCATCGAGGCACCAGGGTGAGAGCCGAAGGATGATTGAGCTGGCCCAGTGAGTACTCTGGAGCTTGACACTCAAGCCCGCTGCACTAGAGGAAAATATCAACCTCACCATAGCCTTGGAAGGTCAGAATGGTCTGGCCCCTGACTGCCCCTAGAGTCTTATCTTTGCCACATTTTCCTGTCCTTTCAGGAGTCAAGCCCACCCGCCTTTTTTTCAAAGTTTCTTGAACATGCCAAGGTCTTTTCTGAATCATGCCTCCTTCACATATGCTCTTGCTTCTACCTAAAATGCTCTCTGTCTCTCTCCAAAGCTAATGTGATTTCCCCACCTCAGGGCTTGGTTCCATGGCTTCTTCTCAGGGAGGCTGTGCTGAACCACTCTTTGAGTAGTTTCCTCCAATGATTTCAATTTGTGATTGTTAGGAGTTGAGTTACATTGCCGAGAAAATTCATACATCAAAGTCCTAAGTCCCAGCACCCGAGAATGTAAACTTATTTAGAGATAGAGCCTTTACAGAGGTAATTAAGTAAAAATGAGGTCACAGGAGTGAGGTCATGGAATAGGGGTGAGCCCTATTCCAATATGACTGGTGTCCTTATAAGAAGGGGGAAGTTTGGACACAGGCACACACACAGGAAGAACACCACATGAAGATGAAGGCAGAAATTGAGGTGATGCTTCCACAAGTCAAAGAAAGCCAAAGATTGCTAGCTAAACACTGGTAGCTAGGAGAGCAGTTTGGGATCCAGCCCTTCAATACCTTGGTTTCAACTTTTAGCCTCCAGAACTGTGAGACAATAAATATATATTATTTAAGCCAAGCAGTGTGTGGTTCTTTGCTACAGAAGCCCTGGCAAACTAATATAGTGATTCACACTTTATGGGTCTACCACAAGCTCCATGGAGTAAGGGAGTATGTGAGACAGTCATCAGTGCCCTTAACAGGACTGGTTAAAGTGCGTACTTAAGGAACTCTTGCCATTAACTGATTTTCCTCTCCTCTCCCATCTGCTCCCTCCTTCCTTCTCCCTTTCCTCTCCCCTCTCATCTTCCATGCGCCTTGCTTATGAAATAATTTCTGGATGAAGCAATCTGTAAGTTTTCAGAACTTGATCATAGCTTGAATCAGGTCAAGAAACAACTGAGACCAATTGGCAGATCAGATGTCAAGGAGACCCCCCACAGACATCCTACCAAGAGACCCTGATCTAATTTCTGGGTGGTCTTAGGCATAGCCTGTTTTCTAAAGATGGGTCACAAAGAACTTATAGAGAGGCACAGACCCAGAGGGAAAGTAAAACACACATGGCTTAGTGGTGCTACTGAAGCCCGATTTAGAACCCTGTTTCTTTCTAACTGTGTGCCCTTGAGATATCTCTTTACCTCCAATTCCTACTTATCTATAAACCAGAAATACCGTGTCATCTGCTTTGTACACTTAACAATATACTGTGAGTCTTTTTTTCTGTTACAACAAATGCTGATTTAACATTTCTTTCTTAATATTTGCAAAACTAGATATATGGTATATATATATTCACACAGTATATATGGTAACATATATGGTGTGTATATATATGTTATATATGATATATATATAGTATATATGGTGTGTGTGTGTATATATATATTCACACAGTAATGTATTTAGCCAATAGTCATTATTATACATTAAGATATCTTCTAAATTTTGCCATTATAATAGTTCATGTGTATATATGATGTGTGTGCGTATATATATATAAAAATATATATATGAACATATAGTCACAGTAATTTATTTAGCCAATAGTCATTATTATACACTAAGATATCTTCTAAATTTTGCTATTATAATAGCTCATGTGATAAACTCTCCTGTATAGTTACTTTATGAACTTATCCAATTATTTTCTTAGGCTATATTATAATTATTTCTTTAGGATCAATTTCCATACGATAAATTTAGGTCTAAGAAAATGCAAATTCTAAGATGTCTTCTACATATTGCCAACTTGTTTCCCGGAAAAGTTGGATTCATTCTCCTATCAGCGATATATGAAAGTGCCTGCTTTCCCACACCAAATATCGTCACTCTTTCATGCATTACCAGCTTAGCAACATTGAACATTTTCACATATTTATAAGCCATCTCTGCTTATCTCTTCCCACATCCTGCTATGCTTGTTACTCCCCTAGTGCACCACAGCTGCTTGCTCACTGTGCTGTGGTCCATGTCTAGGGGAAAGCTTCACCCAGGCTCTCTTAACTTCCAGCATCCTGTTGGATTTGGTCCAATGGTGGCCCCTAAAGAGAATCAGAGGGTCAGCAAGAGATTCTCTCCCCTCCACCAGGCCAGGCCAAGGTTTTTCCAGTGGCTGTACTCCTCTGCTGGTGGCCACCATGCTTGTCTGGGGCTCCTCTTTCACAGCCAGGCTTTGGTAACACTGCCCTCTTCTATGCCCCTTGAGATCTTGCCTGGGAAAGAATTCTGCTGTTGCTGTTCCCTGGGTGTTTCCCATCCTGTGCATTTCTTAACCCTGTCCTCATCTCTCCAAACAGTCCCCTTACTACCCTTTCTTCAGTTACCATATGTCTCTAGCTAGTTTTATTGCTGTTGTAACCATTTTTGATTTTGGCATTTGCCAGTTGTACATATTTGAAAGATATATTTTTTAATTATTCATTCTTTGTAATATATTGTTGCCAGTATTTTCCCTAGTCTGGTTCTCTGGTACATTTTTTTATGCTGCTTAAAACTTTAAAAAAAAATCAATACAATGTGAGGCAAAGGGAAGTGTAATTTAGCAAAAAGTCTGAATTATAGATTTTTTTAAAAGGTTATAAAATTTAAAGTAAACAAAGTTATGGAAAATAGAAAAGTGAGTTAAGAAGTCTTTCTGAAACAGAGGTAAGCCGGACATCATTCAATGAACAGAAATCATGATGTGAAGTAACACTTTGGCAGTAAACCGAGTTTCTTTAAGTGGTTCAAAAAAATTTTTTTTGTCTTAGGTAGGTTCAAATTTCTCCCTCAAAGTTGTGTTTATATTACTCATTATGTGTACAAGACCTTTCTTCATGATTTCAAATTCAACTAACATTTCATCAAGTATTTATTATGAGCCAGGTACTTTCGTATAACTAACTTAGTATGAGAATTCTGTAAGATTGGTATTCTCACCTCCATTTTAAGGCTAGAAGATCAAAGTTCATAGACGTCGAATAACATACGCAGAGTTACACAGATAAAGAATAAACAAACTCCTCAGCAGGAGAGATTTTTCAACCTAAACCTTTTGCCTTTAAATCAGTGCTCTTGTCACAGTATCAAATACCAAACAGAATACATTGAAACAGAAGTCATGAATATTTAACAAAAATAAAATTTAGCCTATGTGAAATGATGCCTCTGCAATATTCACATTCAGTTTATAAGTGGTAAAAGATACTTGGTAAGAAATAAGGGCCAAATACAGTTGATTTGAGAAAATTTTCCAAAAGTAGTGAGTTATAAGCACGATGGTTAAGTGAAATAAACATTTAAAAAATCCTTATAGATAAAAATAAATACTGTAAAAATATACTAAGAAACAGGTGGTAAAGTATGCCCACACTGACATTAGCTATAACCGATATGCTCAAATGGATATAAAAACTGTTAGTGGGAACTGCTTACCATGGACTACCTTGAATGGAAGGTACGTAGAGCATCAAAGTCTATTGATTTTGGGTGAGCTAACAAGAGTTAGTGGACCAGAGACTGTATTGCCATTTTCCTCATTTTGAAAATAATAGACTGTACAATAATAGAGGTGTTATCACAAGTGCATTATCAAAAACTCATGGGTGAGCCTCATCTGAAGCAGAGTTTGTAAAGCATGTGGCATTTATGGAAATTCCTCCCCTTCAGTGCTCGTAACTGCAGACTTTAGCTGCTTCCATGTGATGCAAGCAACTTGCCAATAAATAAAGAAGAGATAAACCAGTCTGCCCACATCATTATGAGCAACAGCGTCAGAAACAACAGCCATTGAGAGAGGGAAGTCTCTTGTGGCAACATCTGGAGTAGAGAGGATGTGGTGGCATTTAGCTTGACACTTCCAAGTAATTTATTTGTGGAGAAAGACAGTGTTCACTGAATATGGCAGCATTCATGTATGCATAATATACTTCAGAATCCAATTCTGGAAAGATGGCATCTTTATGATATCTGCATCTCTTTCTCAACTCCCAACTGCTAACTACCTCTATGAACGTGGTATCAGTAGATAGAGGATGCATAATGAGGACAAACAAGGCCTTGGGACATGCAGAAATCTTGAGAGAAAATGCTGCTGAAGGATTTCTGCTCCCCCAGGTTAGGTGAGAGCCTGGAAACCAATGGAGAGAGTCCTGGGTTGATGAGTGGAGCATGCAGAACTAGAAAGAGTGCAACCTCTTTGGCCCTCCAAATTTTCCAGAGCTGGAAAATGTGTTTCTGGGAAGATCTGTTGACTTCCCTGGTCTCAGAGAAGCTTTGTAGGATCTGGACAGGTAGACTGAGTCCCCCTTTTAACTGAGTCTAGTAGATTATTAGTCTGTAGCACAGAGACCAAAATCCTTTTTCTCATATTTGGAGATCAAAACTAAGATATTGGTAGCTGAACCTAAACTCCATTGGATGGGTAGTGGAAAATTGCAAACCACTCAAGAGACGCCTAATAGTTAGAAAAAGGAAACACAAGCCATCTGGTAGCAAAACAATGCTAGAGAAGGCAGGCAACTTAAACAAACAAAATAATAATGCTTGAGAGTACATTACAGCATCAGCAAACACTTCAGAGAAGTAGACACAGCCAAGTGTCATTATTGGCAGTAGTTGTTTAATAAAGTTTCTGTGAGTAGAGAATACTGAACTATTGCTCTTAGAGGACATACAAGGTGAGGTTTCTGTGAGCCTCTGATCACAACAATCTTATCAACCAATCAATACATAATCTTATTCTATATGTGATTCTTTAAAAAAAACACCTGATTTAGTATATATTGTAGATTCATTCATGTATTAGTCCATTCTCACATTGCTATAAATAACTAGCTAAGACTGTGTAGTTTATGAAGAAAAGAGGTTTAATTGACTCACAGTTTCGTATGGCTGGGGAGGCCTCAGGAAACTTACAATCATAGCAGAAGGTGAAGGGGAAGCAAGGCACATCTTTCCATGGTGGAGCAGGAAAGAGAGAGGTGAAGGCGGAAGTACTACACACTTTTAAACCATCAGATCTCATGAGAAGTCACTCACTAGCATGAGAACAGGATGGGGAAAATCCGCCCCCATGATCCAATAGCCTCTCACCAGGTCCCTCCCCCAACATTGGGAGTGAAAATTCCACGGGAGATTTTGGTGGGGTCACAGAACCAAACCATATCAATTAATGTGCCTGAACAACAGTATAGCCCATGCCTGAACAAAGCTTATCTAACATGTACAATTTTTTAGTAAGGCACATCATGGCCTTGTTGTGCTTAGGAACACTAGACTTCAGCACCAAGCTTGGGAGCTATTTTAAATAGCAAAACTACCCAAAAAGGCATAATCATGTAAAAAATGTGGCAGTAAATACACCATGAAAAATACATTTGTTTACAGTACAAGAGCTGAAGCAATAAGGTGGTGTTGTTTGGCCTCAGCTGGGAACATGTGCATTCCCCCATATTTTGCCACTCTGAGGATGTCCATGTATGACAGTGAAAGCTCCATGGGTATTGGTTTTAAAGTTAAAAATATATCTTAGTAAGTAGACAAATTTGCAAACACAGAATCCATGAATAATGAGAATCAACTGTATATAATAATTCTTTTAAACTAAAACCTTTGGTAGTTGAAGGAGAAGGTGGTCATTGTTAGAACCTGGAAGACCAAGTAGAAGAAAAATCTCAAACCAGGAGAAAAGATTAAGAAATGGGGCCAGGCGCGGTGGTTCACGCCTGTAATCCCAGCACTTTGGGAGGCCAAGGCGGGCAGATCACAAGGTCAGGAGATTGAGACCATCCTGGCTAACATGGTGAAACCCTGTCTCTACTAAAAATACAAACAATTAGCCGGGCGTGGTGGCAGGTGCCTGTAGTCCCAGCTACTTGGGAAGCTGGGTCAGGAGAATAGCGTGAACCCGGGAGGCGGAGCTTGCAGTGAGCTGAGATCGCGTCACTGCACTCCAGCCTGGGCGACAGAGCGAGACTCCATCAAAAAAAAAAAAAAAAAAAAGGAATGGATCTGTGAGGAGAAAGGCAAGAGATGAGGAGAATAGGTGGGTTATGTTTGATTTACAATACTGGTACTTACAGGTGAACAAAGACAGCAGCTGAAGAAAGAATAATAAAAAGTTAATACATTTTAAAGTATACTGAGTTAAAGAAAGGCCTGAGTCAGAAGCCCAAAGCCTTGCCCAATCCTAGGCAAGACTGATATTAAAAAATACACACACATCAAGCCAAAGTCTGACACTGTTCTTCACTTTTGGATCTCAGGGATAAGGAGAAAACGTTTCAAGCTTCTATGCAGAAAAAAGCAGTAAGTTTCAAAGGTAAAAAGGAGATAGTAGAACAGTATTTGGAGACTTCTAAGAAAATGAACATTGACCCAAGAATTGTATGTTAAATCACAATAATAAGATGTACTTGTTGATGTGAAAGAAAGATCATCTTGCAGCCTGGGCAACATGGCAAGACCTTGTCTGTACAAAAATGCAAAAAATTAGCCAGGTACAGTGGTGCATGCCTGTAGTCCCAGCTTCTCAGAAGGCTGAGGTGGAAGGATCACCTGAGCCCAGGAGGATGAGGTTGTGGTGAGCCATGATTGCACTCCTGCACTCCTTCCTGGATGACAGAGTGAGGCTCTGTCTCAAAAGGGAGAGAGAGAGGGAGGCAGGGAGGGAGGAGAGAGAAAGAAAGAAAGAAGGAGAGAAGGAGAGAGAGAGAGAGAGAAAATAAAGGAAGGAAGGAAGGAAGGAAGGAAGGAAGGAAGGAAGGAAGGAAGGAAGAAAGAAAGAAAGGAAGGAAGGAAGAAACAAAGAAAGAAAGAAAGAAGAAAGAGAAAGAAAGAAAGAAAGAAAGAAAGAAGGAAAAGAAAATAAAGGAGGGAGGGAGAGAGAGAAAGAAAAAAAGAAAAAGAAAGAAAGAAAGAGAAAGGAAGGAAGGAAAGGAAAGGAAGGAAGGAAAGAAAGAAAGTAAGAAAGAGAAAGAAAAGGAAAGAAAAGAAAAGAAGGACGGAAATCTGCAAGGACTTAGAGAAAATAGCACCCACATCTCACCTGAAGAAAATGCTGAAGTTCAAACAACAAATGTTGTTTGTTGTTAAACATTTGTTGAGAGATATCTAGACAAGGGAAGACAGAGGGTTTTCATAAGAATGAAAAGTGAATCAAGACAGAGGTAGGGATACAGATCCAGTCATCAAGAGTCTTGGAACACATAGCAGACACACCAAAAAAGAATTCCTGAAATAGAAGTCACATGCTACAAAGGACAATGTTTAAACCTGGAAGAAAAAAAACTCCTTCTGTGAATAAAACCCTGAAGATGTGAGATAGATGATGGTGAAGACAAGCATTTCCAAATTCACATTACATTGAGGTAAGAGGAAAGCAATGGGGATATGGGCTAAGGAACCTTGGCTAGGAGTCACAACTGATATCTTATTTTAACATAATAGTAGAGGAAGAGCAATTTTGAGCTTCAAGCAAGAAGACATCATTGATTGTGCTATCAAAAAAGATAGCATACATTCTAAACTGACAAAGGCTAAATAGGTATAGACAGTAAATACATCAGACTAGCAAAAATAAAGAGAATAACTGTAAGTAACAAAGGGCAATAAATAATAAATATGAAGAAGTTGAAATAAATAAATCATATATTGTTGTTCTTATACTGTATGTCAATGAGAAGAGGCTGCCAAACTTGTTTAAAAAAATATGAACCATCTCCATGTGGTTGACAAAAAATGAAATGAATATGAAGTAATTAAAAAGTAGAAAATAGAGAAGATGAGTAAAGATATACCAGCCATCCAATTAAAAAGCTGAAATAGTTGTACTAGTATTCTATAAGCTGTAATTATGCAATTTATATATTGTATACATATTTGTAAATTATATGTGCGTATATTACTCTTCATTCTTCAAATATATACTATACATTTTACATATGTCTAACAAGAATTTATGAAAATTGATCAGAATCATGACTACACAAACCCTAAAAAATTCAAAATAGAAGTTTGACAGAATACATACTATGAACAAAATCATAATGACTATAAATAATAAATAACAAAAAAGACCAAAATTTATTGACTACTTAGAAGCAAAAAACACAAAGCGACAAGTGTAACTGAAATTACATTCTATCTGAAAAGCAATGAAAAGGAGAAAACTTTATATTAAAACCCATGGGCCACAATAAAATCAGTATTCAGAGAAATATTTAGACCCTAAAATGGCATTATTCTGGAAGAAGGAAGACAAAATACAAAGAAAATCAGTCCTTTTCTTAGGAAATAACTGAGTGTAAACCCAAAAGTCTAATGAAGAAAGAACTATTCAAGTAAAAACTGAAATTAATAAAATATATAGGAAAAAGTATATACATTTTAGAAGAAATACATTAAAAATATGGTTCTTTGAAAAGATCAATAAAGTATATAAATGCCTTATGAGACTAAAAAAAGAGATAAAGTAAAATATTTATGATACAAAATGAAACAGGAGGCTTAAACTCATATGTAAAAAAACTAAAAATTATAAATAAATAATATGTGCAAATATGCTGCAAATAAATTAAAACAAACCTAGAAAAAAAGGATATCTCCCAACTAAAATACAAACTACCAAAACTACTCAGAAGTAGAAAATCTGAGCAGACCAGTTACCGAAAAAAGTATTGAAAACTCAAATAAAGATTTATTCTTAAAAAAAGACATCAGGCTAGGTGATTTCACAACTGAGTTCTATGTAAACTTGTAAAAACCACCTATTTCTAATGCTATTTAAAACTTCTGATGGCACAAGGAAAATGAAAAGCTCAGCAACGCAACTCTTCAACCAGTGTCACTTTAAGACAAAGCTCTGCAAAGTTCTGAAAAAGACACAACATGGCAATTACAATAACTGTATGTCAATGTTATTTATGACTTAGGATGCAAAATTTGCAATATTGCCAAACACGATAATGCCACAACTTGGTGGGCTTAATTCCAAAAATACTCTATTAGGAAATTTATTAATATAATAGTAATAAAAATATTGATACCAAATTTATCTTCAGTATTGATTGTGCATCAGATACTCTGCTACATAATGTATACGTATTAACACAGTTACCATCTCATTGCAACCCTATTTTGGTCATTGTAATCATAATTATCATTGAACTGTGAAGACGGAAAACCCAAGGCATAAAGAAGATAATTTGTATCCCTGTGATCACATGGAGAGTAACTGGTAGGCCTAAAACTCCCAGAAATTTTGGCTCCTCTGTCCCTGACCTTAACCACTCCACTACTAAGACAAGTGTGTGCTGGGGGCAGGAGGGGGGTAGGGTAAGCTCATAAGAACAAATGCTAGAAAGGAATTTGGTTAAATTCAGTAGCTATTATGACTATATAAAAAAATCAAAACCACGTCATGATTCACTATGTACATCTACTCTTAAGCATTACTCTGTTTAAGATGTTCAAAATGGTGAAACTCTGAAGCCACTGCTCTTAAAATCAAGCACAAGATGGGAGGTCCATTAACTTCAACAATATTCCACATGTTTGATGGTTATCATAACTGCACTGACATAAATGAAATAATAATTTAAAACACTGTAAAAGAATCCTCTAAGACATTGCTCTTGCAGTTCTAAACTTCACTCTTATACCATTACTCTTTCTGCTACCTCCAGCATCAGGGCCATTAGCATACAAACATCCTACCACCTTCTTGACTCACTTCGCCCTCCAGCTACCACAGCAAATCTTTGCTGTTCTTTGCATCAAAGCACACTGAAGTGGCTGCTATGTATTTGCTTATTCTTCAATCTCTTTCTAACCATTTATTCTTATCCTACTTCAAGCTGGCTTTTGTCCCGACCACTCCAACCCCAAAGTGCTCATGATCTGCAAAAAACCTCCATGCTGCTGAAGCCTGTGTCAGTTTCATCTTTTTACCATGTGTGGGTGTAGGGGTGTACCACCCACATTCCCCTTTAGGGACAAGAAATTCATTTGCCCAGCTGCCAGGAGCCTTGGCTGCTCACAGCTCACCAAGTCCCTCCCCAGGAATTTCCCAAGGGATTTCACCCAAGATTATGTTCCCTTCTTGGAGCAGCCCACATCCAGTGATTGTCCATGGGAGGCTACCGAGTATAGCACCTCTACCTCAATTCAGGACATCCCTGAATGGCCACCCCAGCCCCAGAGCTCTTTTTGGGTGCTGCTGAGGCCTCTGTTACAGCCCCATTACTGCTCAACTTATTTTTCTGTTTAGTTCTGTGTCTCTTGCTTTGTTTCAATCTTCTTCCTGAGGGTATACCTCGAAAATTGTCTTCCTGGAAACCTCTGTCCCAGTGTAGCTTCCCAGGGACACTGAGCTGTGATCCTCAGTAGCTTTGAGGTGGTTGATCATTTCCACTTCACTGACACACTGGCTTCCTGTGATCCCTCCAAGTAGACAAGGCATCTCTTTCTCGGTTTCCTTTGCTGGTTCCTTTTCTTCACCACAAATTTTGATATTGTAGTGACTTGGAATCACAGTCCTGACACTCTCCTCCATCTACATTCCATTCTTGGTGATCTCATTCACTTTTAAGGTTTTAAAAATCATTCATATGCTGAGAAACTTTTAATGGTTATTTCCAACCCTCCCCTCTTCCCTCACAGTGAAATTGCTCTTCCCACAGCCTCCCCCATCTCAACTGGTGAAAAATCCAGTTTCTTAAGCCCCAATCCTAAAGTCGTTCCTGACTCCTCTCTTTTCCTCAGACCCGACATCCAATCCAGCAAGAATTCCTGTTGGCTCCACCATCATATTACATCAAGATTTCAGCCACTTCTCATACCTCTGTTCAGAGCCGCCATCACCTCTGTCCTGGATTTCTAAAAGAGCCTCCTAACAGCTTTCTGTAGCCTCCTTACAGGCTTTTTTTTTTTTTCAACATAGCAGCCAGAGTTATTCTTTTAAAACATAAGTCATATTGGGTCATTTATCTGCTCAAAACACTGCAATGGCCAAAGTAAGCATTCAGTAGAAAACAATTGCCTGCCTACTTCCCCTGTCTTTTTTTTTTTTTTTTGAGTGTCGCTCTGTCACCCAGGCTGGAGTGCAGTGGCATGATCTTGGCTCACTGCAACCTCTACCTCCCAGGTTCAAGCAATTCTCTGCCTCAGCCTCCCAAGTAGCTGGGATTAACAGGTGCCCACCACCACGCCCAGCTAATTTTTTTGTATCTTTAATACAGATGGGGTTTCACCATCTTGGCCAGCCTGGTCTTGAACTCCTGACCTTGTGATCCACCTACCTTGGCCTCCCAAAGTGCTGGGATTACAGGCGTGAGCCACCACACCTGGACAACTTCCCCCATCTTTACAATCAGGGAATTGGAATCCTTCTCCTGATTGAGGCCACTGATTGGCTTCTGCTGCCAGCCTGTGTAGGCAATGAGCAGACTGGAGTGTCCTACCAGTTACTCTGTTTGCCCAAATGTTCCAGCATTGCTGCACAGGGCAGAGGCACAAAAAGATGCACAGTAAAGTCAGCCTGAGAAAGCGGTGAAGGGATTGAGGTCAAAGAAGGAATGGACCTTATTTTTTATCTCTGGATAAAAGCATCTATGTTAATTATAGCCCTTTGGAACCCACAAATACTTCTTGTTTGAAGTCAAGTTCTGTTCAGCTACTCTTGTGCTGTAATTCAAGTTTTTCTTTTAAGTTTATGTCTAGAAAGAAAAAAATAATAAAACCACTGCAATGGCTCCCCATTTTTCTTTCTCTTAATATCTCTTGCTCTCTCTTTTGCTAAAAGGCAAATTTCTTACAATGGTCTATTAGATTCAACATGAATTTCCCTCCATACCCCAATACTTCGTTGTATCTCTGACTTCCTCTCTTACTAATCCTCAACCTCCATTTGGCCACTTTGGACCCCTTATTGTTTTGCTTTCCTTTCTAGTGCAGCTAACTCTGCTACAGTTTAATTTCCACCAAACCAGGAATCTTGGGCTACTTATTTACCAGTAGAGTCTAAGCACCTAGAAAAGTTCTTGGCACATGGCATTAATCCAATCAATAAATGGTAAATGGGTGAATGAAGCAATTAATGAATGGGTGAATGAGACAAAGTTATGAATTTCTGATGACACTTTTGCATACCTGTAAAGCTCAAGAGACTATTTATGGCACATACACCACCAGAATTAGTAAGTTTTGATTTGATGAGTTGGCTGGCTAAAAATATCAAAATTTTTTTATCCATTAAAAATATAATGGGCTAGAAATGAAAATGAAGGAATTGTGACAAAAGCAATAAAATACTTTAGAAATAAAATTACCAGAATGTATCAGACATATATGAAGAAACTATAAAAATCTGACTGAAGCCATAATATTTTATCTGAGTTAATGGAAAGAGAAACTGTGCTCCCAGTTGGAAATATTGAATATCATAGAAAAGGTTAGCTCTTCAAAGTTGATGTACATATATATATATATATATATATATATATATATATAGTTGAATATTAATTAGAATGCTTTTTTTGAAATTGCATAAAATAATTTCAAAGTTTATACAAAAGAATACAGCCTGAAACTGATGAGTGTTCTCAAAAGAAAATTGGTGAAGGGAAGTGTTTCATGGAATATGAACCATGCAAAAAAGCCTCTTCAGCTCAAATAGTATAATATGTGAATGGGAATAAATAAATCCATAAGTAAAGTGAGACACAGTGATACAGTTTGGATGTGTGTCCCTGCCCAAATCTCCTGTAGAATTGTACTTCCCATTGTTGGAGGTGGGGCCCGGTGGGAGGTGACTGTACCATGTGGGTGGATTTCTCATGAATGGTTTAACACCAGCGTCTTGGTGCTGTCATCACCAGAATGAGTGAGTTCTCATGAGATCTGGTTGTTTCAAACTATTTGGCACCTCCCCCATCTCTCTCTCCTGCTCCTGCTCTTGCCACATACAAACTCCCACTTCTCCTTTCACCATGATTGTAAACTTCCAGAAGACTCCCTAGAAACAGATACCATTGCTATGCTTCCTGTACAACCTGCAGGACTGTGAGCCAATTAAACATCTTTTCTTTACAAAAGTTACTCAGTCTCAGGTATTTCTTTAAACCAATGCAAGAAGAACCTAATACACATAGATTCCAAGAAGAAATCCCATTAAAAAAGGGAATGTATAGATGATAAAGGTGATTTCTACAGTAAAGGGAATGAAAGTAGGTTTATTTTATAAAGAGTTCTGGTACAACTGGCTGTTCATGCAAAAGAAGATAGACCTAGATCTCCTTTAAATGATAAAATAGCAGTGGATTAAAGTTTTAACTATAAAAGAAATCAAACAATAAAAATCTTGGCAAGTTTCAATAAAACCATTAATAGAAGAGGAAATTTTTTTAAACTAGAACAGGAAACAAAACAGCTACAAAAAATAAATCCTAAAACTAAAAGGAGATACCAGAAATTAAGTCAAAAGAAATATTTAAAATTATTATTTCAAAATAAAATATTTGCAATATATGTGACTGAGATTATTATTGAATACAATCTTTTCAGATTGATAACTAAAAATCTCATATAAAATGGGCACTGAATATGAATAAGCAGTTCACAAAAGAACAAAACCAGTTCTAAATAACACAATTAAGAAAAGTTACTGAGCCTACCTACTAATCAGAAGAATGTAAATTAGACTACACATAATGTAACACTTTACATCAAAAATTTGACAAAAACTATAGAGAATAAGTACGCCTACTGCAGGCAGGAATGTAAGAAGAGAAAATAGAGTTAACAGTATACATCACTGGTGGAAATGTTCATTGTTGTGTGGTTTTGAAGAATAAAATTGCAATACCTTTCTTAATGTAAGAAAAAAAATTACATTCTTTGAACCAGCAATCACATTTCTGAACTTCTATCCCAAATGAGTAAATATACCAGTTTAATGTCTAACTGGCAAAGAAATCAGAAGCATGGTGTTTTTTCACCGACAGGAGATTGTTGACTACCATGAGATTTAGTCCATGGGGTGAGGGAGTGTGTGTGTGTGTATGTGTGTGTGTGTATCCTCAATATGGATTTTCTCTTTAACAATTATGAAAATCCACCCAAGGCAGTTTATATAGATCTGACTGTGAATATCCACACACACAATTATATACATATATATGACTACATATGTAATTTTAAAGTAAAATATTGATAATATTTTCTTAAACTCAAGTGCATGTGGAAGAAAGAAATAGAGAAAAAGAGAGTAATGTTATCTGATAATTAATGGGAAACAAGGAAAAAGAACAAGTTATCCCTGATAAAATAATACAGGGATGGTCACAAGAACCGGCAGGAATCAAAGTGATTCCTGTGAGGTTGTTTAACATGAGGTGCTTTATAAACTTTTATTTCAGGGGGTCCTAGCTTACAAGGAAACCTTTTATGGGACAGAAAAACAATAAAACTAACACTAAAGCATTTGTTCTGGGGGAAGTAGGATTGCGTGGCCTTGGGAACACTCTACAACGTAGCCCAGGCTCAGAAGCAACTGCTAAAGTTGTTTTGCAAAAACCACAGGTTCCAAAAGCACATCATATTTAGACCATTTCTATAGAAGCCTTCCTTTTACAAAACTGTGGATCCCTTTGGTGGGCCACTGGGATCTTGAATCATGGATAAGCCAGCTTGGTGTAAAGAATCAGGATTTTGGCCGGGCGCGGTGGCTCACGCCTGTAATCCCAGCACTTTGGGAGCCCGAGGCAGGCGGATCACAAGGTCAGGAGATCGAGATCATCCTGGCTAACATGGTGAAACCCCGTCTCTACTAAAAATACAAAAATTAGCCAGGTGTGGTGGCGGGCACCTATAGTCCCAGCTACTCGTGAGGCTGAGGCAGGACAATGGCGTGAACCCGGGAGGTGGAGCTTGCAGTGAGCAGAGACTGTGCCACTGCACTCCAGCCTGGGCAACAGAGCGAGACCCCGGTTTAAAAAAAAAAAAGAATCAGGATTTTATCCAAAAGAAGTGGCAACTACTGCCACTAAAGCAATGACGAGATGACTGTTCATGGTCAACACCATCAGGAATTAGCCTTTTATTAAGTTTAAGTAATACAGAGATGCAAGAATAGCCCAACAGCCAATTAATTACTCTTCTAACATTGCCATTTACAATCAAGTATAAAATATAATGTGTATGTATGTATATTATGTATGAGGATGTAATTATATATGCATGTGTATATGCACTGCAACATTTGTTATTTTTGTATGCATTATGAGGTCAAAATAGAAAATCTAAAGAAATGATGTATTTTGATCCACTTTAAGGACTTCATTCAGTAATTTTTATAATGATTCATCACAGTTTAATTATCTCATTATTTTCTCTTTGATGAGAGAAAACCCTGTTTTCTCCCATTGATACTGCAGTTAAAAATTAACATAAGCCCAACAAAAAGCTTAGTAGGTCACTCTTCATTACTATAGAATTTATGATAATGAACAACTGGAAGCCATCCAAACAGTAAAAAGTAGGGGACTAAATAAAGGAAATTCTAGTGCATCTCTAATTGTACCGTATGTAAGTATAAAACGGATGCTCAGAGTTAATAATGAAATGTGAATTCCCTGTACCTCACTAGAGCACATAATAGTAATATGTCAAAAGTCATTAGCTCTTGTCCCCACTTGCTCATGACATCTCATCCGGTTGTTTCGGAATGTCCCAGGAGGAATGCTTCATCTGTGTTCACTGGGAAGTCTGTCCTAAGCTCACATGTGGCATTCTCTTTCTGCTTGCTTTTCTTCTCCATGATCCCTCGCTTATGTCCACTACACGCAAAAGTCCTGCAACCAGAACTCAGCATGCCTACCCTAAATCTGGCCCCAGATAGCTGTCTTTGATTCTTCTGAAACCACAGTCCTCCTGGATACCAGGGAGGGGCAAGGAGCCCATATTTCCAACTCATCAGTGCCTCATTGTCTTTGTCTAAGAAGTGGGGGATCATCCCCTTCATAAAGTTCCCTCATGAGAACCCCTCTTCAAATTTTCTTTTTTTTTTTTAAGATGGATTCTTGCTTTGTCACCCAGGCTGGAGTGTAGTGGCACCATCTCCACTCTGCAACCTCCGCCTCCTGGGTTCAAGTGATTCTCCTGCCTCAGGCTCCTGAGTAGCTGGGATTACAGGTGCCCACCACCATGCCCAGCTAATTTTTGTATTTTTAGTAGAGACAGAGTTTCATCATGTTGGCCAGGCTGGTCTTGAAGTCATGACCTCAGGCAATCTGCCTGCCTTGGCCTCTCAAAGTGCTGGGCTTACAGGTGTGACCCACTGCACCCTGCCCCCACTTCAAATTTAACCAGAAGGTCTTTTCTCTCTCAAGCTCACACATAAGACCACATGGACTTATGAACCTGACAGGATTCATGCCATCTACACTCTATTTCTCCTCTTCTCAACAAAGGACTCCCTTTTATCTGCAAAGTAACACATGCAAATGTTTATCTGAGGGCTTTCTCCCCTTCTCTCAATGGATATTCCTGACCCTGCCAGTAGTCACTGGCCAAATTCAAACTATTCTACAAACACATGTGAAAATATTCCTGTGAATTACACTAAGTGAAAACAAGGTAACATATTATATATAATCGTGTGTAGAAAATTACATAGACTATGGATAGTAGTAATATTTTTCTATTTCGCATATTTTCAAGTATCAACATAAATTAATTTAGCATAGGAGAAAAACAATAAACATGTATGAAAGATAAAAGTTGTTTAGGCTGGGCGCTGTGGCTCACACCGGAAATCCCAGCACTTGGGAGGCCCAGGCAGGCAGATCATGAGTTCAGGAGATCGAGACCATCCTAGCTAACACGGTGAAACCCCGTCTCTACGAAAAATACAAAAAATTAGCCAGGGATGGTGGCACGCACCTGTAGTCCCAGCTACTCGGGAAGCTGAGGCAGGAGACACGCTTGAACCTGGGAGGCGGAGGTTGCAGTGAGCCCAGATCAAGCCACTGCACTTCAGCCTGGGTGACAGAGCGAGACTCCAGCTCAAAAAAAAAAGTTGTTTAATTTATAAATAATAAAAATGTATTATATATGCAGTAGATGCCTAATACACAAGTGTTGTTGCATCTAATCCTTACAATAAACCTAGAAGACAACCTGCTGTTGTTCCAGTTTTATGGATGGGCAAACTGAGGTTCAATATAATTCCCTAAGTTACATAACAAGTAATATGTATATCTGTTTTTTCTCTGAGCCCACTCCCTTTTACTGGGAACTTCTTATTCCTTCTCGTTTTGGTCAGGGGCTCAATTCTCCAATGAGATATCCCAGTAATCTCTCTCTTGGCCTCAGCTAGGCCAGGCTGGCTTTCTGATGTTTATAATACATGCAACCAAAAAACCATACATAATACAACAGGTTAACTGGTGAGCCAGGATTAGAACCTAATCCAAACTCTCATTCTTTGTATAACCTTACACTTCCTTGCACGAGACAGGCAAATAAAGGACTCACAGACAGAGGAACAAAGGATTGTGGTCACAGGTCACAGATCCTTGGGCCAGTACCACTCCTTCAGGCCTGGAGTTTAAAATTTGATTTAGGCCTCTCATGTTTCCAAAACATTGACCTCAAAACTGGGTTCCCACCCTCAGGATTAAATTAGTTCCCAAGTTGAATTTTATGTTTCTTAGTTCTTTGCATCATCTCTGGCTCAAGGAGCTGGAGGGATGTTTTTGATTGCACAGCAAGGAATACAGCAGGGTGCTCTGAGCCTTAAAAGATGCTCTACAATCTCCTAAGCCCTGAGGGGCTTCCCTTTGGTCTGGCATGGATCCCTACGAGGCCTGTAGCACTGAGCTATAAGCACAAGAGGAGCCCAACCCTGATCTGCTCTCTACCACTCAGCCGCTTCATCATCTGTCCTCATTTCCCAAACCCTACGGCTTCCAGATCAAGTGCCAGGAACTGGAAACCTTCATGCTGAGAAGCTGAATGGGGCAGTGAAAGCTTCAAGCATGTGGCATATTGTGCAAACATAGGTTCAAACACAGGTTCTTCCAGGGACCAGCTAGTTGACCTTGAATAAATTACTGGCTTATTTTAGGTTTCTCCTGTAAGAAAGGGTATAGTTAAGCTGCTAAGAAAATATCAAGGACTTTCCAATGGAAGATTTCCCTCCCTTCTGCTCCTTTGTTTCTTCCTGCAATGTATTAAGTTTTCAACAAATATTTGTTGAATGAATGAACATCTCTATTTAAAACTGTCTTGCATGACAGTGTTCAGCTCTGACTATTCTACTGAACAATATATATTTTAGAATGATATTTATTGAGCATATGCTATGTACCAAAACCTACATTATGTGCATTCTTTCTTTTCATTTCTGAGTCTCCCACATCACCTTATATAACACCTGTAGTAACGATAATAGCTAACATGTTATTGGAAGAAACCAGGATGCTAAGAGAGAAGCTACCCTTTTATAACACAAAATAAATCAGTTAAGAAAGAGATTTTTCTCCCTTCTCCCCAGAGCCTGCACCTGGCAGAACCAGCACACCACTGGTACAGCACACCACTCACTGCAAGACATATCCCTCCCCTGAGCCTCTGCCCCGTCATTCCATGGTGTTGCTATGAATGTTAAATGAGAAAATGCCTTCACGGTATCGACACACACTAAGTGCCCAATTAGGACTCCATTACAACCATAATTTCACCATTGTTGTATCTCTAGAATAACAATAACAAAAATCATAGCAACTAAGCAGCAATTTAATTTAGTAAAAAGCAAATCATTTTTCACTACGCTTTTGCTCATCCGTCTTATTTATTCTCCTTTCAGTTCTGACTGTTGCAGGCTAAGTGGAGGTGTGTTTACAGGATGCGAAATTATTTTTTTAAAAATATAGAAAACAGCCAACTCTTTTAATTGGCAACATAAACACTGAAAACATGGCAGCTTCGCTGGATACTTATTTTTATGAAAAGAGATCAAGAAAAGATAACCATGTCTTTGCTGAACCTATCTTGAATGGGATGGCCTCTAATGACATTCATTTCAGAAACTTAAGTTCTTAGAGTAGTCAATCAGAAAATCTTCAGATCACTTTGTGAAGTCTTCACAGAAATTGAAACTACTATTTAGGACTCACTACTCTATGATTCATGCTGATAATGGTTTAGAGCTTATTCTCCTAAGAAAAGACTCTCTGACCTATGACAGAATTCTCTGAGATGGAAGTTGTTCTATCTACAAAATGTGCTGCAGAATTGAAACAAAACAGGTCTCTGTTTTTCCTTGCTTAATACCAGGAGGTGGTACATGCATGGAAGGTATGGGAACTCTCCTTAGCCAGATAGTAAAGGATGAAGTTATTACAGGCATAGAATTGACGGGGCACTATGCTGATCACATATCTACAACACTACGTTCAGTTCTGATTGTCACATTTGTTTTAGAAGACACACCTACAGGAGTTCATCCCGTGGAGAGTCACTATAATGTTCTGGGGGTTTAAATGCCTGCTGTAAGAGGAACACTGAAAGCAAAACTAAGTAACACAAAGAAAAGGGTCTGGAGAATTTCATCTCTAAAATATCTCAAGCTTGTTATTGTCAGAGCAATGTGTTTGTTCTAGGTGTACCTAGTTGTAGGTTAAGGGTAAGTAGGTAGAATTATGAAGGAAGAAACTTGCATCAGTCTAAGGCAGGTATTTCCTATCTCACAGTTGCCCAAGAACATGTTGGGCTGATTCAAGAAGTGAGCCCCACCAATGCGGGTGCTCAAATACAGTTTGCAAGTACATACCAATGGAGAAGAGGGGATTCAGACACTTCTTTAGGATCTTTAAGTTCTTTTCCATTTCTTAACTTTGGTGAGCCTATAAAAGCCACTCACTCCTCCCCATCTCCAACCTAGGGGTGAAGTTTTGTGGTTAGATATGTCAAAGAAAGTATTTGCTTGGCTAACTTTAAGGCCACTGATACAGAAAAATGATATATTAATCAGTAGATAAATGGCAAAAAAATAGATAACTAAGAGGAGAGCTAAGGATTTCAGCATCTTGGGGAACTGGTGTTATTAGCTCAGAATCCAGGAATGGCCTGTGGACATCACAGGCCATCTACAATTTCTTCAACTCTTAGAGACTTTTCCTTCCATGATCTCCTCTGTCTCTAGTTCCAGGGTCCACACCATCTCTGCTTTTGACCTCTCAAAGCCCGGATACAAAACTTGGCAAAGTTTTGCCTTCCCCCAAAGAAATCCACTGTCCCAAAGAGAACTGGTGATCAATGTAGACTTTACTAAAAGATGAGGAGATGAGAGTTAGGGGGACTTTTCTCCACAAGTCCTTCTCTGGCCACCCCACCATAGGCTGTCACTGACCCATGCAGTCACTAGTTGCCTCCTTTCTCTTTTCTTCTTGATTTTCCCCTAGGAATTCAAACTTTTCTTTGGTTTTTATGCAAAACCACTTTCCCTTATTGGGTAACTGACAGTAGCTAATTCCCAGAACAATACAGGGTGGTGAGTCAGGGCTGGGAACTGGACCCACCTCCTATTCTATTGATCAAAACACTTATAAAAGCATTCCTTCCCAATAAAGATAATTTTCTACTTATTAGAAGGGCTCATGAGTAAATACTTTGGCCTCCTGCTGCATATTAGTGTGTGGGTAAGAGTCAGTGTATGTGTGTGTGTTGGAGAGCTTTACTAAGATTCTTAATGAAGTGTGACACTATTTGCAAAAGATCAAGGGGAGACATTATTAACTGAACCTGAACTGGCAGCTACTGAGATGTGAGGAGATTTATTTTGTAGGTAAGCAATAATCTCTTAATAAAATTGGGAATAATGCCTGGGTGAATTGGGCAGGCTGCAGATATGAAAGGAGAGTAAAATTAAAATGTCAAAGGAACATTGAATGGAAGGAAACAAGCATGGAGGTGGGAGGACTTGGAGAAGAATGAAGATATACAAACCCAGGACTTTGAAGATGGAAAGAAATCTGAAACTCCAAAGTGAACATGCTGTATTGGCCATTCAATAAATGAATGTTGCTTTTTGCTTTTGGAAAAAACTTTAACACACCGAAGGATCTAGAGGAGAAACCAAGATGGTAGAGAGTTTGGAAACCTGGCCCTGGCAGGGAGATGGACACCTGGAGGATGTGGGGCTTGAAGAAGCTTGGGAGAGTGATGGTCACTGAATCCAGAGCAGAAGAGGTGATCACATAAAGGAGGATGAAGAACTGTCTGAGATTCCCAGAAGCAGTAACAAGAAAGAGAGGCCTCAAATTCAACATCTAAAGGGGCTGGGCCAACAATGAAGATGATAAGGTGGACCAGGTGAAGATGACCCAGAGTGTGTTGAGTGTGGCCATATGGCTTGCTCAGACTCCAACAAAAATCAGGCAGCAGCTGCTCAAGTCCTTCCCGTTTTTCTTTTTGGGAAACCAGCCCCATGTTTAAAGATCTGATTTTTTGAGAGGAGCCAGATAAGTAAAATCTCTACTTCTGAGGCTAATAATTAATTTTAAGCATTAAAACTTTAGTCAAAAAACAAAATATTTTCAAGGGCCACAAGCATCTACTATACAAGTTTGATAGAGACTGCAGAACAAAAAAACCAGATTGATGCTCAAAATTAAGGCCTGATTTTTAATTATTTGAGCTGTCCAAAAATGGATATGGTTTTACTAGAATAGTGGAAGAGGCGTGAGCTCCCCTCTCAATCACAAAGGTACCAGACAAAAAATGATGGCAGGGGCCGGGAGCAGTGGCTCACGCCTGTAATTCCAGCACTTTGGGAGGCCGAAGCAGGCGGATCACCAGATCAGGAGATTGAGACCATCCTGGCTAACACGGTGAAACCCCGTCTCTATTAAAAATACAAAAAATTAGCAGGGTGTGGTGGTGGGCACCTGAAGTCCCAGCTACTCGGGAGGCTGAGGCAGAAGAATGGCATGAATCCAGGAGGCGGAGCTTGCAGTGAGCCGAGATTACACCACTGCACTCTAGCCTGGGCGACAGAGCGAGACTCCATCTCAAAAAAAAAAAAAAAAAAAAATTGTTGGCAGGTTGGATGGAGGCTTCAGAGGATTGACTGTGTATTAGATGTCTCTTTAGCTACGCTAACCCCAGCAACTTGGGAGGCAGAGGTTGGCAGATCACTTGAGCCCAGGAGTTTGATACCAGCCTAGGCAATGTAACAAAACCCCATTTCTATAAAAAATACAAAAATTATTAGGTTGATGCAAAAGTTATTGTGATTTTTGCCATTAATGACAAAAACCACAATTAATTTTGCACCAACCAAATACCTGGGTATGGTGGCACATGCCTGTAGTCCCAGCTACTTGGGAGGGGCTCAGGTGGCAGGATCACCTAAGCCTGAGTAGATCGAGGACATAGTGAAGCATGATCACACCACTGCACTCTAGCCTGGGTAACAGAGGGAGACCCTATCTCAAAAACAAAATAAAGGCTGGTTGTGGTGGCTCATGCCTGTAATCCCAGAACTTTGGGAGGCTGAGGCAGGCAGATCACCTGAGGTCAGGAGTTCAAGACCAGCCTGGCCAACATGGTGAAACCCCATCTCTACTAAAAATATAAAAACTATCCAGGCATGTTGGTGGGTGCCTGTAATCCCAGCTACTCAGGAGGCTGAGACAGGGGAATTGCTTAAACCTGCGAGGGAAAGGTTGTAGTGAGCCGAGATTGTGCCACTGCACCCCAGCCTGGGCGACAGTGAGAGTCTGTCTCAAACAAACAAACAAAACAAAACAAACAAAAACTCTCTTTAAAATAAAAATTCTTGGGCCATTCTTGGGGAACCAACTCGATAGTTATGTAGTGGGCTCAATCATGAGTATTTTATATTTTATAGAAGCACTTCAGGTGGTTCTGATGGGAAGACAACAGGGGAACATGTTCTATTTGATGAACACCAAGGTTCTATCTTTCCTAAGATTTCTCAGACATGGAGTAGAGACAAGACTCAAGGAACTGGAGCTGGATAATTGGAAGAATTGATCTGACATGCCCCAGACAAGTTTAGATTCCCCAGTTACATGCTTCCATTACATTCTACATTTTTGTAACATGCATCGCACTATACAATTTTTTATGATTTGGGTAAATGTGACAGCTATTGTGGAATTATTTTTTCAGTGTCTATGTCCTTTGCTTGAATGTAAGCTCTCTAAGAACTGGAACTGTCTTGATCCTGTGCACCAGCATGACCCACTGTTACCATCAGCCTGGAATCTCCCTCCTTCCTTCGACATCTATGTGGCTTGTTCCCCCTTTAATTCAGGTCTCTGCTTGAATGTCCTCTCTTCAGAGATGCATTCTGTATTAGTCCATTTTCACATTGCTATAAAGAACTACCTGAGACTGGGTAACTTATAAAGAAAAGAGCTTTATTTGACTCACAGTTCCTCATGGCTGGGGAGGCCTCAGGAATCTTACAACCATGGTAGATGGCAAAGAGGCAAGGTACATCTTACATCTTATATGGCAGCAGGGGAGAGAGAGCAAGCAAGTGGGGAGTTGCCACACATTTTTAAACCATCAGACCTTGTGAGAACTCCCTCACTGTTACGAGAATAGCATGAGGGTAATGATCCCCATGATCTCTCATCTCACCTCCCACCAGATCCCTCCTTCTACGTGTGGGGATTACAATTTGAGATGAGATTTGGGTGGGGACACAGAGCCAAACCATATCACCTTTCTTATCCATGCTTCTTAAAACAGTAGCCTCTGTTGCTCTCTATCCCTTTATCTGGCACTAACTCTGCTCACGGTATTTATCACTGACATTGTGCTATATATTTATTTGCTTGTTACTTTAATGTCTGTTTCTTCCTTAGAGTGTAAGACATATAGCATAAAAAATTTGAATTTCCTGTTCTCTCACCTCTGAACCTAGAAAGCAATGTGGTACACCCGAGACACCAAATGGCATGTATGGATTAATAAATGTGTGAAGACAGAGCCATGACAGGATCCAGCAAGTCCATGGAGTAGAGATGACTCCAGTTTGCACGGGGCCTGGGAAGTGTGGCTGTGTGCAGAAAAGTGCAAAAAAGTGTGGAGACATAACACCAGAGAGCTTGTATTGGGTCAGATTATGATTTGGCTGTTAAGCCAAGGTAAAGAGATTGGACATTCCTTGAGGCGCTAGGAAGCCAGGAACAGCTTGATTGATCTTGAGTCTTTGGAAAGATTATTCTGGAAAACAAGACGAGGGTTCTTAGCATATGTCTTTGGCGAAGTTATCATCCCATGAATTAGTAAACAGGCCTCTGAATGCTAGGAAATGGGATTCAACATTTTTCTTAGAGGAGACGACAGTTTTTGTTTGGTATTTTCTAGCACTATGAAGGCCCATTGTCTTAGTCCTTTCATGTTGCAATATCAAAATACCCAAGAGTAGATAATTTGTAAAAAGTAGATATTTATTTCTCATTGTTCTGGAGACTGAGAAGTGAAAATTTAAGGTGCTGGCAGGTTCAGTGTCTGGTGAGGGCCTGTTCTCCACTTCCAGGGTGGTGTCCTATTATGTTGCTGCATCCTCTGGTAAGATAAATGCTGTGACCTCACAAGGCAGAATGGATTAACAGGCAAAAGGGCCTAGCTAGCTCCTTGCAGCCCTTACATAATGCACTGATCTCATTCTTCGGGTGGAGCTCTTGTGGCTCAATCACCTTCTAAAAGCCCCATCTCAATACTGCTGCATTGAGGATTAAGTTTCAACAAAAATTTTGGAGGAAACACAGACATAAAAACCATAGCGCCCATGATGCTGCCTTAGTTATGTTGAAAGTAAAGTCCCTTTCAGAGGAATTTGAGAGCAGTTACCAAGTTACACCCCTCATATAACTTGACCCAAAATATAGAAGCACTGAGGCTGGCTTGGAAGTCACTCTAGGTCCAAAGTTATCTAGACAGATGGGCCAAATCCAGTTTGATGAATTTGAACAAGGTGAAAAATGAAGCCCTGCAATAGCCTTTGTCAGCTCCACCTGTCTTTAAACTGCATGCAAACAAGACAGAGAGGCTTCTGAGGTTGTCTAGGGGCTGAAGACGTAGCCCTGTTGGTTGGTTATGTCTGTGTGCGCCTGCCCCAGTTCTATTCCTGACCCTCTGCCTTTAGAGGGCTCAATCTCCCTCAGCTCTGAGCCCTAAGGAGACAGGATGGGTAGGGTCTGGGAGTCATTTGGCTGCCCCCACATCTAGGAACCAGGATCCCTAAGGTAAGTCCCTGGTGCCAGGCCTCCTTCAATCCCTGCTATGAGTCTTTTTCACTAAGCTCTGCCAAGGGTCCCACCATGCACATGGTCTCTGTCTGGCCTGAAACTCTACCCAGACAGCATTCTAATCTCTAATGTGTCTGCTCCTTTGCCTCAACCCACTATGCACCTAACTCCACCCAAAATCCTGTATCAGCCTGGATAGAGACCCTTGTTCACATGTTCCAGAGAAGTACAGTGATTTTACATCCTGCTTCCTCTCCTTCTCTGCTTGAAATGCCATACAAGGTGACACCAGCTGATGTCCAAGGGCTGAGGGCAGAGAACTTGAAGTCAAGAAAGGTTAATATTAAAGGAGTAGCAGGAATATGGGTAGGAACACTAATGGTAACACCAATTACATCGCTTCATGTCTCTGCACACACAGAGCCATTTCCTCATTGTCCCAAGAGGCAGGAAAGTCAAGTCTCAATGTTAATATTTTAAATCAACAGAGACTGACAGAGACTGACAGAGACTGAGGCTTCTCCAAGACTCAGTCTTGTTAAAGTGACTTGTTCAAGGCCACCAGTCAGCTATTAAGTAAAGACAAGATTCCATATTCCCTAACTCCAAAGCAGTGCTACTGTTGTTTTTCATTACATTGCTGACTCTATGGGCCCTAGATCTCTTTGAGGGGTTGGAAAGTTCTTCTTTTTTTCCCCTTTATGTGTCTTAGAGTTGAAGCCCCAACTTTAAAACGCAGCTATGTGAATTATTACCTGAGTGAATCACTTTACCTCATTGAGCCTGTTTCCTTCTCCCTAAAATAAAATTGATTAACAACTATCTCATAGGGCTGTGCAGATAAGACAAAATTCTGTAGATCAAAAAGCTTTGTTACCAGAACACATTAAATAGGTGGGTGATGATATTTTTGGGGCAAGGATACCCAAACCTTACCTTTTGTCATTACCACCTGTGAAAAGTCATATATATGGGCAGGGGGATGGGGGTGGTATCCTGGCCACATTGCACCATAAAGAGAATTGAGTGTCAACTCATAGACACAGCTTGGTACTGCGCCAGTAGAATTTCTTCCTGTGAAGTAAGTACTAAAGAGAAGGTAGCCAGGCAAGACACAGAGACAGAGAAGATTGACCAAGAGAGAGAAAGAGATGCACAGAGAGCGGAATCACCTAAGGTTACAACCAACCTCGAGGGGAAAGGACAATTTTGATGATGGAATCATAGAATGTAGGAGCTATAAGAGTAAAAGGTGAAGATGGAATAGCTAGCCTTCCCTCCAGGCTGACAGAGTAAGTATAGACACAAGCGTCCCCCCATAGTCAAATATGGATGAGCTGTTAGTTTTGTCCATTGATAAAATGGAGATAATAGTGGTAGCTAGCATTGTTGTGAGGCTTGAACAAGTAAAAACATGTAATGCACACAGTAAACACTCAAATAGCATGAGCTGTTATTATCACTATTTTAAACTTAGTTTATTTCATGAACTAACATAGACTGATTTGCAGTGGTCATCTAGACAAGGGTTTTGAAGCCTGTCTTGGCTCAGCAGGAAAGTGTCCTGATGAGTTCCTGATGTACATCATGGGCTTTGGGTAGAGGAGGGGATGGCACCTGTGCCTGATGCTGACCAATACTCCAAAGCCCCGATTCCTCTTATTGATGAGATAACGGAAGTTAGAGGTAGATAGTGATTCCTAAAGTCAAACACAAAAAGACAAATATGGAAATAAAACTCATACCTCTCTTCCAGTCCAGATATCTAAGTCTGCTGTTGCTCCCTGAAGCTCCCCAGCCAACAGGGCAACTGGAGGAAAATGGGAACAGGAAGAACAAGTCCAGTGGATTCCAGAATTTCATTCCAGAAGATGGGGGACTTCTCTGCTCAGGTTTGGATCATAATCCTGAAAGTCATAATCACAAATGCCATAATCCTGAATGTTGAGATCCTGAAAGATCAAAATCCCTAGTCTAAATCCCTAAATTCTAAAATCCCTAATGTCTAATAGACATAATGACATCTTTGGAATTAGGTGCTATAAAGGCTTCTAAAAGTAAACTTCAAGGACTTACCAATAAAGTTTGTTTTTTTTTCCATTCACCCCAATGCATTTGGTGGACAATTCCAACGAGTGGATTAGCTGCATGATACGACAACCATGAAAACTTTAGTTTAATAATGCATCGTTTGTCTGCATTGGCATTCCTTCCAGCTGATGAAGTTCCAGGAGCTTTTAATGAATTAAAACGGCATTTGTCTGAAGAAGCCAGTGAAGTTACCGACTGGTTTGAAAATAATTATGTGCACAGTAGGATAAGAAGACACTTACACAACAGTGTTGCTGTTCAATCAGCAGCATTGTTTTCACTGAATCTGCTGTCTGTATATGAGTGCATGTAAAATGAATTTCCTTGTATCCAAAACAACACAGAAGCATGACACAGAAGATGGAAAATTTTAATAGAGAATGCTTATGTCAATATATATCTAATCATAGAATAATTTCACAAAGAGCAGCGCCATGTAGAAAACAAATGTGAAAGTATTAGAGCCATACCCTAAAAGAAAAAAAGCAGCTATTCATTATGATGCAAGACTTCCAAATACAGCCAGGCGCAGTGGCTCACGCCTGTAATCCCAGCACTTTGGGAGGCCGAGGTGGGTGGATCACGAGGTCAGGAGATCGAGACCATCCTGGCTAAGACGGTGAAACCCCATCTCCACTAAAAATACAAAAAAATTAGCCGGGTGTGGTATCGGGTGCCTATAGTCCCAGCTACTAGGGAGGCTGAGGCAGGAGAATGGTGTGAACTCAGGAGGTGGAGCTTGCAGTGAGCCGAGATCGTGTCACTGCACTCCAGCCTGGGCAACAGAGCTAGACTCCATATCAAAAAAAAAAAAAAAGACTTCTAAATATAGTTAATAATCAGGAAAATTGGAGAGCTCTTATGGAAGACCTCTGTGCAATCGTCCATAATTTACTCCTGTAATACATCTTTTGTATGTCAATTTTTAAATTGTTTCTTATTTTTAAGTTATTCCCTCACTATTTTAAATTGTCAGCATTATTATTTACAATTTGCTATGATATGTATTCCATCTTCACATCATTTTCAATACCGGGGATATAAATTCTAATTTGTTTTATGCATTTTTTTTTTTTTTGCAAATTTGACTCCACAAAAGTGCACTGTCACAATGTAGACTTTGTGTGTAATTGTTGTGAATGTGTATACAATATTGAAACTTCCTCAATAAGCGAGAGGATATCCTTCATATACATCTGCATTTGCGAAAAAGAAAAAAAGTTCTCGAGATCTCAGCTCTTTGGGTGACTGCACATGCAGGGGTGACCCATCATGGTTTTTTATCTCATCCAAAGACTCAAGTTGTCCGTCATGTTATGTCAGATGACTGCAGTTATATAAGCTGTTCCTTTATGAATACAGTTCATCTACTCATAATTGTTACACTTGTGTGACTGTTGTTAGTATATTTGAGTGTTTATCCTTGCAAAAATATGTGTCACTATTGCCTATTTTATCATGTAACGTGGCCTATGAAATGTCCAGTCATGTTTTTATATATTTCTTAAATCAATCCCTTTTAAAAAATGTAAATAAATATCTTTTAAATAATTTTTAATTATTTTTTCCTAATTATGTTTTCAGGATTTTGATCTTTTGGGATTTAAACTTTTGCGATTGTATCTTTTGCAATTGTGATCCTTTCTCTTCTGTTCAACGCAAGCTCCTGCTGTTGGTTGATTATAGCAGATTCTCCAAGAACCACCAGAAACTGTTGTGGTACCACAGAGGATACCTTGGAATTATTCATGCCTCCTTATCTTATGGACTTCCTGACAAATTGCTTATTTGCTCTGTGGTTTGAGAACATTTTATTTTGCTGCAGGGGTTCTTGCTTACCTTGGAAGCCCTAAGAAGCTCTGATGAGCTGGAAATGAACAGCCAATTCCACTGTGCTCATTGAGCACCTGCTGCTGCTGGAGAGGGCACCAGGCATGTCCAAAACTCTCCTCTCATTTAAACCTCATCTTATAAAACATCCTGGAGGTGGAGATCTTTCTTCCTTTAAGTACATTAAGGCTTGAAGAAGTTATGAAACTTGCCCAAGGTCACACAGTTAATCAACAGCAGCATCAGGAATCAAATCCAGATTTGTCCATCTCCTAAGACTGAACTGGAACTCTTTTTATTGCAAAAAACTCAAATCCTTTTTGAAAAAAGAATAAGGTCCAGGCCCCAGAGGAATAGAGTTATTGAAAATTCACAATGTGCTGGATTTATATGCATTGTTATCACATTTATATGCATTGTTTCATTTTATGTTTAAAACAATCCTACTCCTGCCAGGCTTTTTCACTGCCAAGTTAGAGATAAAGTAGCAGAGTCTAGAAGTGTCTAAAAGAGGTCAAGTATCTTGCATGAGGTTGCACCAGCTGAAAGTTCTGGAGTCAGGAGACGTGGACTAAAGTCCTGATACGTGCCTGTTGTACCAACACAATTATCAGTAGTGCTTTTTTTCACTGTCCAAAGGGTTCTGGTTGAGATGATGAACTATATAGTCACCCTAACTACCATTCTAGTTCCTGCCACCTGGATGCCTTCTGATGCCTGAATCTCCAACATCTCCTTCAATTACTTCAATTACTCCTACCTTTCCAGTAAGTTATTTTTTTTGCTCAAGTTAATTAAGTCTGTGTTTTGCTTGCAGTCATAACAAAAATTTGAATGTGCCCACTGAAAATATTCACCAATAGGATCTTTTTTTTTTTTTTTTTTCAGAAGAGGTCTTTAATAATCAGGTGGCTAGGGGGTTCTACTGATAACATTCAGCCTCCTTTCCATATAATTCCCATGCTTGCTCAAAGGGTTTATGGAAAAGTGTTCATAGTAGCATGGACTGAGGCTCTTCTTGTAAGCATGACTTCCCCTCACCTGGGTTGACACAGTTACTGCCATTGTCCTGTGAGTACTGTTACAGAAACAGCAACCAGCCCTGAGGCCTTTTATGGTGCTTAATTCAGTGAGAGAATCAGCCAGCCTACCTGGAGGCAGACTGATTAAAATGTCATTCATTTTGGTGAGGTAGGAATTTGCTCTCACTGAAATTGACACCTAACCTAGATTTATGTGACTGAATATACTTTTCCAGTCTCTGATGCTTAGCCGATGTATGGATTTACCAAATGCCTTACACGCTGCTTTTTTTTTTTTTTTTTTTTTTTTTTTTTTTTTACCAAGGAACAGTTGCCATTGCAATGAAGTTAGGCAATGGAAGGATGCCCATAGTATTCACTACCCCAAAGAGAACACATGGCCTTATGGAGGGGTGCAGGGCCTATTGAGGGCTCAGCCTTGGACTTAGCATAGAATTAGCAAAGAGACAACATCTCAGAATGGAACTGTATTTGGAAACAAGGTCTTTAAAGAGGTAATTAAGTTAAAATAAGGTCATTAGGGTGGATCCTAATCCAGTATTACCCATGTCTTTATAAAATGAGAAAATTAGGACAGACACACACAGATGAAAGACCCTGTGGAGACACGGAGAAGATGGCCATTTATAAGCCAAGAAAATAAAGAGGCTTCAGAAGAAACCAGCCCTGTTGACACCTTGATCTTGGGCTTCTTGTCTCCAGAATTGTGAGAAAATAAATTTCTGTTGTTTAAGCCACCCAGCCTGTAGTACTTTGTCATGGCAGCCCTAGCAAACTAATGCACCTTCATTTATTCCTTCTTCAATGCTCTTCCTTTACATAGATCCTGCTTTCTGGATGATATCACTTTTCTTCTCTCTAAAGTGCTATTTTTAAACTTTTTGTGTGTGTGTGCAAAGTAGCCCTATTGATAACAAATTCCCTCAATTTTTGTTTTCTGGTCTGGGAATGTCTTTATTTCCCTCTTACTTTTGAAGGATAATTTTGCTTAATATAGAATTCGAGGTATGTTATTTTCTGTCATCACTTTAAGCATTTAACCCCACCCTCTTCTTGCTTGCATGTTTTCTGAAGATGAGACTGATATAATGCTCCTCCTTGCTCATCTAAAGGTGAGATGGAATTATTTACCCTCTGGCTTCCTTTAAGATTTCTACTTTGTCTTTGATTTTCTACAGTTTAAATATGATATGCCTAGATGTAAATCTTTTACTACGTATCCTGTTTGGTGTTCTCTGATATTCCTGCATCTGTGGTTTAGTGGTTGTCTTTAATTTTGGAAAACACTCAGCCATTATTACCTCAAATATTTCTTCTTTTCTGCTGTGTTTCCTCCCTCTGGTATTCCCATTATGTATATGTTACACTTTCTAAATGGTCCCAGAGCTCTTAGACATTCTGTTCTGTTTTGTTTTTACCCTCTTTTATCTTTCCTCTTCAGGTTTTGAAGTTTCAGTTAACATATTTTCAAGGTCACTGATTCTTTCCTTGGCTGTGCACAGTCTACTAATGAGCCCATTGAGATATTCTTCATTTCTGTTACAGTGTTTTTTTTGTGTGTGCATGTATTTGTGACTGGATCTTGCTCTGTTGCCCATGCTGAAGTGTGGTGGCATGATCCAAGCTCACTGCAGCCTTGACCTCCCAAGCTCAAGCAATCCTTCTGCCTCAGCCTCCTGAGTAGCTAGGACTACAGGCATGTGCCATCACACCCCGATACTTTTTAACATTTTTATAGAGATTGAGTTCCACCATGTTGCCCAGGCTGGTCTCCAACCCCTGAGCTCAAGTGATCTTCTCACCTCAGCCTCCCAAAGTGCTAGGATTACAGGTGTGAGCCACCGTGCCTAGCCTCTGTCACAGTGTTTTTCATTTCTAGCAATTTTTTTTTTGAGTCTTAGAGTTTCCATCTCTCTGCTAACATTACCCATTTTTTATGTCATGTTGTCTACTTTTTACATAAGAGTCCTTATCCTATTAATCATATTTGTTTTACATTCCGCGTTTAATAATTCAAAAATCTCTGCTGTATTTCAGTCTGGTTCTGATACTTGCTTTGTCTCTTCAATTGTGTTTTTGACTTTCAGTAATGCTTACAATTTTTTTCTGTCAAACGTGGGACATGAGGTATGTGGTAGAAGGAGCTTAAGTAGATATGGCTTTAGTGTGAGGTTGTATGAACACATGGCTAAAAGTTAGGCTGTCTGCTGTTTGTTGTACCTGTGGTGTCATAAGCTAAAATTTCCTCTAACGTATCTACTGTTTCTGTCTTAATCTGCTGTCATTGAGTGTCCTTAGAAAATCCTTCTAAAATAATGTCTGAGGCTTACAGTTTTCTTAGCTGTAACTTCTGTTATTATACAGGCACCCTACTCATTCAAGGGATGGTAAGGAATGAGGGGAGGGAAAATGTTCTCTATTCCTTTGATTATGTCTCGGTCGCTTTTACGTAGCCAGTGTTCCTAGGCTATGACCTTTGCAAGTGTTTCCCAGCTTTCCCTTTCGTCCCTGCTTAGGTGAGACATAAAGGTTAATGGAGTCTGGACTTGGATGTTTCCCTTCTCCCAGGCCGGTTAGATGCTGGTAAAATAGATTCTCCTGAGATGCTTTAATAAGGAGAACAGAGAGCTTTGGGCATAATTCAAAATGTCTACTTTTCTTCTCCTCTACTGGAAGCGTGAAGGGGGTGTTTCCCAAAATTCATCCTGAGAACTTGTAGGGTCCTTTTTGTAGGTAAAGCCATGAAAGTTTGGGTCTTTCTGAAGACTGTCCCCTCCCCAAAGTTATTAACTCTCAAAGTAGTCCACATGGAGCCTCCAGAAATTTTTCAATTATAATTGAGTGTTTCTACTGGTATTGGTTCCAGCTGTGGACCTCTGCCCTCCATAAGCTGTGATTCTCTGTACTCATCTCTCTGCTACTCCAGGTTTAGGGGCAGAAGTTCGCCCAGTGACCTCAGTTCTCTGAAGGATCTAAGAAGAGTTGTTGATATTTTTAGTTTATTTGGTTTTTATTTAGTTGTGAGGATGGAAGTGACAACTTCCAAGCTGTTCATATGTCAGACCAAAAACTGAAGTTGCATCAGTGTGTCCATTATAGTACTTTTAAGTAAGTGAATCAAAATTTCTTTCTGAATTTGAGTTGTGAAAGTAGAGATTACCTACAAATGAAGTGTTTTCACAAGCTCAGAGTCAAAGCAGGCTACTTGGCTAATGAATGCAGCACAGAAGGAAAGGAGATGACTCTGGACTTAGAGTTGGGAAAAAATGGGTTGAGATTCCAGCTCTGCCATGTCTTTTGAGGTGACCCAACTTCTTTGAGCCTGACTTTCTAAATTTGTGAAATAGAGAAAAAAGGGATAGTTTGCAGAAAACCTTACAATTAATCATACCCTTCCTCTGTGATGGATTTTTAATCAATAGAGAAAAAAAATGAGTCTCACGATAATAAAATATGATAGCTATGTTATCACCAGTTGACCAGTTCCATTAACACAGGACTCCTGTAGGCTTGAGAGTGCGCAAAGGGAACAGAAATGTTTTTCTAAAACTGTTTATCTCTGGTAAATCCAGAAGGAACCCCCTTCCCTCAACCTCTATAGAAATAAAAGGAACAAAATAAAGAGCACCCTGCCCTCAAAATCTACATTTCACCATTATTGTGAATATCAAATAAGGCAAAATAAGGAATAGTAATTGATATGGTTTGGCTGTGTCCCCACCTACATCTCATCTTGAATTGTAGCTGTCATAATTCCCACGTGTTGTGAGAGAGACCCGGTGGGAGGTAATAGAATCACAGGGGTGAGTCTTTCCTGTGCTGTTCTCATGAGAATGAATAAGTCTCATGAAATCTGAAGGTTTTTATAAAGGGGAGTCCTCCTGCACATGATCTCTCTTGCCTGCTGCCATGTATGATGTGACTTTGCACCTCATTAGCCTTCTGCCATGATTGTGAGGCCTCCTCAGCCATGTGGAACTGAATCAGTTAAACCTCTTTCCTTTATAAATTACCCAGTCTCAGGTATGTGTTTATTAGCAGCGTGAGTACACACTAATACAGTAATGATAATGACTGGCAATGCTTTCTGATTAGTTACTTGCTCTGGTCCACGCATTGTGCTAAGTGCTTTATGTGCTGTTCTCTAAACAACCCTATTAGAATTACATTCTTACTACTCCCTTTGTATAGAAAACTGAAACCTATGAGGATTCAATAATCCACCCAGGTCACTCATCCATCATATGACTTAGTTCACATTCAGTTTTTAGGTGTTATCTAGGTGAAAAGAATCTTTAGAATCCTGAGGAAAAAGATTAAAATCCCCCAGGAGAGACAGGAGCTAGCACAGAGCCTGACACATGAAAGGCACTTCATATGTTTTGGTGGAAGTTAAGGCAGGTGTTCAGAAATCACTGCCTGCTTCACTCACTGCGTTTAAATGTGTACAGTTGCACACTTCACAACTAGACAGTGTACACCCTGCAGGGATGGAATAATTATTTTTAAAAATTTTAATTGACATATAATGATTATACATATTTATGAGGTACAGAGTGATTTTCCATACATGGATACAATGTGTAATTTTATATAAGTAGCATATCTATCACCTCAAATATTTATCATTTCTTTGTTTGGGGAACATTCTAAATCCTTTCTACTACCTATTTGAAATTCTCTCTAGTAACTATTTGAAAATATATATTATTGTTAACTGTGTTCACCCTCAGTGCACTAGAACTGATTCCTCCCATCTAGCTGTAATTCTGTGTTTGTTAACCAACATCTCCGTATCCTCCCACTCCTGCAAACCTACTCTTCTCATTCTCCAGCAACCACTGTTCTACTTTCTACTTTTAGGAGATCAAAGAGAGTGAGACAGTGGTAACTAGATGCAGGAAGGGTAGGAGGGAGGAGGGATAGGAAGATGTTGGGACAGCTAGTTTACTTCACTAAACCTACTTGCTATAGGACTGAGTTCTTTGCAGTACTTGGTACATATAAGATTTATTGATAAATGCCTTTCAACCTTTAGTAATTAAATGTTTTGGAGGGGAAGAAAGAATAAATTAGTCAAGTGTGTATGATAACCAAGATATGAAAACAACCCAAGTGCCTATTGATGCATGAATGGATAAAGAAAATGTGGTACACACACACACATACACAATGGGATATTATTCAGCCTTATAAAAGAAGGAAATCTTGCCATTTGCAACAACATGGATGAACCTAGGGGACATTATGCTATGTGAAATAAGCCTGAAACAGAAAGACAAATATCACATCATTTCACTTATAGGTGGAATCTAAAGAAGTTGAACTCACAGAAACAAGTAGAAAGGTAGTTCCAGGGGTTAGGGGGTGAGGGAAATGGGGAGATTTGGGTAAAATGGTACAAACTTTCAGTTACAAGATGAATAAGTTGTGGACATCCAATGTACAGCATAGTGATTACAGTCAATAACAGCATATCATACACTTAAGATTTACAAAGAGAATAGATCTTAAATGTTCTCATTATCAAAAAAAAGATAATCATGTAAGGTGATATGTTGATTAGCTTAATTGTGGTAATGATTTCACAATGCACATGTATATTAAAACATCATATTTTATACCTTGAATATACACAACATTCATTTGCAAATTATGTCTCAGTAAAGCTGAGGGGAAGGTAATGCATGTGTGTGCATCTGCACGTGTGTATGAATGTATTTTCCTTAGGCAGTTGGGTGGAGTAATGGGAAGACAGAGATGGGGAAGGATTAGCATTCATTAAGAAACCTCCTGTGTTAAGAGCTGTGTGCATGTTTTTCTCTGGTGGCCTTTTAGGGAGTAGGAAATGTGACATGACTAGATACTGCCTGGCCCCCAGCAATCCACAAGTATTAGTAGAGCACCTTCTATATAATGGGAACTGTTCTGGGGAAACCAATCTAAGAAAGCCCCTGTTCTCACAGGGCACCAGAGAGAGTAAATCGATTGGAACACAGTGATATAAGCTGTAAGTATTACTATGTGGGGAAGACAATGTGCTTTGGTGGCACATGAGAGGACTATGAACTGGGGGCTAAAGAGGAGTCTTCCCAGAGAAGGTGATGTCTCAGCTGAGACATCTAACAAGTGAGGAGGTAGAGGCAGCAGAATGTACGAGGCCCAAATCACTGATGTCAGTTATTAATGTTATTGTTATCCCACTTGCTGTTATGGGCTTGAGAATCAGTAAAATCCTGGTTTTGCCATCTCTGAATGTGTGACCTTGGGTAAGCCACCTGATCTTCCTGAGCCTCTGTCTTGCTCTCTGCATCACAACGACACCCTACATAACTTGTAATAGTGAAATGAAAAGAAAAAGAGTTGGCAGATGCACAGAACCAACTCTCTTCCTGGCATTTAAAAGTGCTACAACATATTTCTCTTTCTATCCTCTTCAAAGAGTTTAACATTTTTTTAATTTTCTGGATTCTAGAGTCTTCTTGGACACCAGATCACTCCCAACAACTAACATTTGCAGAGAGTTACGAGAAGCTGGGCAAATATGCTATATATAATAATTACATGAGTGCAACCAACTGGCAGGCCACGCAGCAAGGTCCTCCTGAGCTATTATGTAAAGGTGCACACTATTCATTCCAGGAAGAGTCCATAAAGCAAATTCACAAGTTAGTGAAGGTCTGTTATAAATCAGTAAATAACCATGCACTGTAATTCCAGGCTTTTTTTTTTTTTTTTTTTTTTTTTTTTTTTGAGACAGAGTCTCGCTGTCTCCCAGGCTGGAGTTCAGTGGTGCAATCTCGGCTCACTGCAAGCTCTGCCTCCTGGGTTTTCGCAATTCTCCTGCCTCAGCCTCCCGAGTAGCTGGGACTACAGGCGCCCACCACCACGCCTGGCTAATTTTTTGTATTTTTAGTAGACATGGGGTTTCACCCTGTTAGCCAGAATGGTCTCGATCTCCTGACCTCGTGATCTGCCTGCCTTGGCCTCCCAAAGTGCTGGGATTACAGGCGTGAGCCACTGCGCCCGGCCAATTCCAGGCTTTTAACACTAAATGTGCACAGTAACTATACCTTATTTGATTTTTAGACTTTTCTTTAAAGTGCATACTTTATATCCACAAGAAAAAAATTAAAATATTATCGGTTTCATACTTCAAAGATGGCTGGGGATAGATAAACCCTATCCAAGTTTGAATCTAGGCTTCTCCTCAAACTGCCTTTGGGTCGATGAGTACATTGTAGTATGCTTGACACAAAATCAGTATCTGTCATACACTCTTAGGCAAATGATAATTTTCTACTGAAAACTATTTCCTTAGTGATAGTAAATCTCCAACTACTGTTGACAGATCCAATTTTTGCAAAGTGCCAAAAAGCCTAAAACATGTAGGGAAGAATAATTCAGCTTCACAGGTATTATTGAGCAGCTTGCTTGTTTGCTCTCAGATTTGCCCCTCTCCCATTCTTTTTCTTGCAAACAGGTTCTCTATGTTTGACTTTATGAGTCAAGTTCAGCCAAAGGGAAGTCTGTTAGGAGATAGGAGAATAGGAAGTGTGTAATTGACATTGTTAGTGCCTCACTCAGATTCCTAGGGTCCCTTTTCAGTTCAGCGTGCCTATCCCCCAGCTTCTGAAGGCTCACACTTGTGATCTTCCCTGAGGAATTGGTCTTTAGTGGCTGGAGCCATGTCACCAGAGGTGTTTTGAGGTTACACAACCCCCTTGGAATCATATCTCATCATTGACTTGTGTGCAATGGACAAAAGCCCATCTCCCTTGCCTCAAGGCAGGACAAACACTGGAATGCAATTTTTACCCCCAAAGCTTCCTGCAGGATCTGGCTATAATTAGATGTCACCTAGAAGCCTATCCTTGCTTACATTCTTTCCTTTTTTCATCCTTGCTTCCCTGGCCATTCAGATTTCTCCTGGGAGCCTGTGTTAGTAAATGACTTACACGCAATTCCCTGTTTCAGGCTCTGCTTCCAGGACACCAGCCTAGGTCAAGGAGAGAAGCCAAGGTATGTCTTCCCTTTTCACTCTACCTCTGGTGGAGTCTGATGCAGAAGTTCAGACTCCTTCATTATTCCTGCTCTTGCCCTGGTAGCTTGCACTGGTTCTGGCTCCCTCCTGGTCATTCTAGATCCTATGAGATGGCTCTGTTCTTTATGTTTTCAGCTGCCTTCTGGAGTTTGTCTCTGGCCCCATGTGCCCAACATTTTGGCTGGATCCTTGGGAGGCCTCTCCTCCAAGGTTCTGAATCTCTTGGGCAATGCCAGCTCCTGGACTTTGATAGCATTGTCATGCTCCTTGGCCCGTCAGTTCTAGGGGTGGCAGCAGCCTCCTAGAGTTGTTCATCTCTGGGTTGCCTTACCTTCTCCTGGTTTCTGCTTTTCCAACACCTCTGTAATTAGGCCCTCCCATTAAATTCCTTCTATTGAGCTCCATGGTATGGATGGTCCTCTGTGTTCCTTGACTTGTCCCCTGGAATCCTTGTCTTGTGCTACACCATTGTTTTCAGTCTTCCTTGCAATTAGGTCAGCTACCGACTAGTTTGGGCCAATGCAATGTGCGTAGAACCCGTAAAACCTCTAAACAATCCTCTGCACCCTCTCCTCATTCATCTGCTGACAGATGCCTGAAGTCTGATGGAAGATTTTGAGAACCTGGGGCATGGCTGATCCCCAGACACAAGGAGCCTGAGTAGATAAAGACTGTGTAGAGCAGAGTCTTTACTCACACCCCACCCCCTGTAATCTTCAATGGACTGTGCATGCATGAGAAATAATATGTCTCCAATTTGTGATCCATATAGGAAAACAATAGAAAGCAAAAATCAGAAGTGTGGTATATTAGTGAGCTATTCCTCCACTAACGCTGTGTGATTAAGCAATCCAAAACTCAATGGCTTACAAGCACGTTTATTCCTATGCTCTTGGATCTGCCACCAACTGCAGTTCAGCTTATGTGGGCTAGTCTCTCTGCTGGCTGATCTGCTCCAGGCAGCAGGCTTGGCTTCAGGCTGAGGTTGGTTTCTCCACCTGTATTCATTTTGGGGCCCAGGTTGAAGGTGTCATTGCTTTCCAGGGATTAAACTTCTCAAGGCAAATTGCTAGAGTTCAGGAACTCAGCCAAACATGCAAGCACATTTAAATAGTACCTGCATGATGTGCTCTTATGAAATCTGCTCACTTTCTGTTGTTTAAGCAAGAGTCGATGGAGCAGGAAAATATAATCTACCCCACAGGGAGGGGGAGAAGAATAACAATTTGCTGAAAAATCATCAAATAAAAGATATGGAACTGCACAGAATTTTCACTGTCACAACTCCTGGTCTTGGATTTTCCCCAGGAATATCACTGGCCTCATCCTCTCTCCTGTCCTGAAGAAATGAGTTCCATGAATTCCCCTTCTTTCCAGACTCAGCATTTCTTATTTATTTATGTATGTATTTAAATTATACTTTAAGTTTTGGGATACTTGTGCAGAATGTGCAGGTTTGTTACATAGGTATACACATGCCATGGTGGTTTGCTGCACCCATTAACCTCTCATCTACATTAAGTATTTCTCCTAATGCTATCCCTCCCCTAGCCCCACATCCCCTGACAGGCCCCAGTGTGTGATGTTTCCCTCCCTGAGTCCAAGTGTTCTCCTTGTTCAGCTCCCACTTATGAGTGAGAACATGCAGTGTTTGGTTTTCTGTTCCTGGGATAATTTGCTGAGAATAATGGTTTCCAGCTTCATCCATGTCCCTGCAAAGGGACTCATCCTTTTTTATGGCTGCATAGTATTCCATGGTGTATATGTGCCACATTTTCTTTATCCAGTCTATCACTGATGGGCATTTGGGTTGGTTCCAAGTCTTTGCTATTGTGAATAGTGCTGCAATAAACATACATGTGCATGTGTCTTTATAGTAGAATGATTTATGATCCTTTGGGTATATATCCAGTAATGGGATTGCTGGGTCAAATGGTATTTCTGGTTCTAGATCCTGAGGAATCGCCACATTGTGTTCCACAATTCTGCTAAAATGTAAGGTCCTCAAGGGAAAGAATTCTACCTCCTTTTGACATTCAATAAGTATTAATTGAACTCTTGTCATGTGCCAATCCTTTCACTAAACATGGTTACTGAGCCAAAGCCGACACGCTTCCTGTTCTCATGGAGCTAATGGGTTAGTGGGTGAAATAGTATTTAAATTAGCACAACGGTTAGACTAATGGTCAAAGCTGCTGAGAAGAAAAAGTCCTGGTGTTATAAGAACTCATGACAGGGGAGCTAATCTGGTTGGAGATTTAAGCACAGAAAAGGCTCACCTTTGCTGAGATTGCACCACTGCACTCCAGCCTGGGTGACAGAGTGAGACTGTGTCTCAAAAAAAAAAAAAAAAAAAGAAAAGAAAAGAAAAGAAAAGGCTCCCCTTTGAATGTGATGTTTGAGCTGAATTTGAAGTTCTAATTCCCCTTTTGACCATGCCAAATACCTAGAAAAACACTTGGCACAAAGTAAGTGCTCAAAAATGTTGGCTGAAGGAAATAGTAATAGGCTATTGATAAATGTTGTAGATGAGAATATTTAGATACATTGCAGTTTCAGCCCTTAGCACATTTTATCTCATTTAACCTCACAATAATAAAATATATTCTATAATTATAAGTCTCATTTTATAGATAAAGAAACTGAAACACAGAGAGGTTAAGTAATTTTTCTAAGGTCATACATCCAGGAAGAGATGGAGCTGGAATTTGAACCCAAGCCTTCTGGCTCCAGAGTTCCAGCTTTTAGTGACTACGTTATTGGATAAGATCATCTCTTTTCCATGCACCAGCTTTGTGCTAGCTATTATGCTTGCACTGTTTCATAACATACCTGGGAGAGGTATGTACTATTTTATTTTCTTTTTTAATAGATACTATAATTGGAACTGAGGGATAGAAATGCCTCCAACCAAAATCATGAAGGTCACAAGTAGCACTGTCAAAAATAGAGCCAACCTTGTTCTATAACCTGTACCTGGATCCTTTCCATATTGCCAAACTGCCAACTGGTGACTGAGATGGTGACACTGATGGTCAAGAGACTATGGAAAACGACAAGAAGAAAAAGGTGGGGCGCAAGGAAAGTGCAGGCTTCTGTTAGACCTTCTGCCTTCTTCTTGGGACTTGGGCTTTTAAAATAATGTAGAAGCTAAAGACAATCAGCAACTCATGAACACCCTGAAGCAAATTTCCATTTCTTTATGATTCTACCTTCCCCATGTCACTTTGCATTTGTAAAAAGCATTGCAACATTGCAATCACTTGTAATGCTGTCTGATTAGAAGCTGAATCCATTTTTCTGTGCAAATATGAAGTTTCCCATTGTATGAAAATGTTATAGAAAATTAAGTGTACTAAATGGCAATTTTTAAAGAAAAATTACAAGGTGCACCTACAGGTTTGAAATCTAGTTTTTTTTTTTTTTTCAAGTGGATGGAAAGAATATTGAGCTATTGTTACATGTTCTAAAAGGTGGGTGAGTAGGAAAATGACTAAAGAGGGGAGGTGATTGCTGAAATCTGTGCTGACTCAGCTACTGAGCTGAAAGATGAAAGTAGCAAGACCTAAGCTGTCTCTGTGGATTCCAAACCAATCATGTTAATTGGAAACTGGAACGAGGAAATGGTCACAATCAACAGATTTATCACCCAAAGGGCTGAGCAGTTCATAAATTTAATCCAGCAAAGGAATTGGAAAATAGAATTGATGCTTATAAAAATCAGGAGTGGAGGTGGGGGCCTTTTCTAAACAACCCTTAGCAGCCAGATGGCCAGCAGTGCTTGAACATATTTTATTTGAAGCTATTAGAAATATGAAAAGGCGGCTTCCTCCCAGCCCCTGGATGAAGTATTATAGCTTCTTTTTTATGATCCTTATAAAAGAAGAGCAATAAAGAGACACAAACAGGGTAGTTAAGTTTAATGTCGGTAAAAACCAGACACCTGAATATATGTAATTTATTTTCTTAAAATCTTGCCCAATTGAGGCTGCTATTAATTAGTATGAAAATGTATTGCAGAGCCAATTTTGCATGAAGTTTGTTATTGTGGCTACTTTATGAAAAGGAAAGACAAATCAACCAGAAAAGTCTCTGTGACTTCATTGTAAAAAGGAGGTGGAGGGAAGTCATCAAAACAACCTAAGGACTTCATCTAGGAAAACAATCATGTGAGATCCCAGATCTCAAGAATTCAGGAGGCTTCCTCCACCATGGGGATGAGAGGGTAGGGGGGGCACTGGGGGAGGAGAAACCCACACCAGTTGAGGACCTACGGTGTCCAGGAACGGGGCCATGTACTTTCCAGGGGTCAGGCACTTGTGACTGTCTGCATTTTTCAGATGAGAAAACAGGCTCAGATAAGAGCCTCAGCCCCAGTGATAGAACTTATTAAGGGACAAGCCAAGATTCAAACACAGGTGAGTCTATTCCAGACTCCATATTTGACTATGATTGGCTATTTCTCATTACAAAGTCTGGATTACACTACCCACTGTGTTTTGTTTGCTTCTAAGCAGCCAAACTATTTATCTGGCTTATTGGAACATCAGGGAGGCAGAAGTTGGAAATGGTCAAATTACTGTAACTCGTCTAAAGCCTTCATTTACCTGTCTGTGGAATGAGTAGGGCTCTCTCCACTTACTGCTTGCTTTATTTGCACCATTCATCACCACGGGACCAGGTGGAGATAAGTGAGTTAATAAAACCCAATTGAACAACTACAGTTTCTATGGCCAGCTGTTGCTCAATAAATATTTAACAAAGAACATGGTCACAGCTAAAAAATAATTCTTGAAGGTGATTGGATCTAACCATATTATATTTCCTTCCTTTTGATAAAGATATCCCTTACTGAGTGGCTTGATTCTGTTTGTTTGTTTTTCAAAGAGGGGCAAAAGCATGGCTTTGGCTTTACCAGTATGATGGAAGGAAAAAAGCCAGGCTGTTATTCTGTCGTTGGAAAGAGAGGTTCAGGCCTCATCTTTTTTGCTCATGTGCTGTGTACCACTGAGCAAGTTACTTTACCTTCTCACCCTCAGGTTCGTTCTTCATATATAAAATAAGAGTCATAATTCAACTTGGCGTTTTGTGGGTTTCAAATAAGAGAACACATTGGAAGTGTTTGGAACTCGGCCAAATCACATTAAATACTCAGTACGTGCCAGTCCTTCCCTCAGGCACCATCTCAACTTTTAGGATATAATAATAACTACTAAAGTACCACATTGTTTTATGTACATAATAAATTGGCTTCATGACTTTTTATTTCACCTCATCTTCACTCCAAATGTGTGAGGTTGGCAGGAAAGAAGCAGGCATCCCCACCTTCATACACAGATGAGCATATTGAGGAGCAGGGAGATAAAATTCCCGTCTGAGCCACACAGCAAGTAAGAGTTGCCCTGGGCTGTTCCTAGGATCCATGCCCTGGAGTGCCAGGTAGGCTCATTTCCATTGCCCCACAAACAACATCAACTCCACCTTCCCCTGTTCATGCTGACACCTCACTTACCCATTCACTGCCCTGCTTCCTCATGTGCACAATGGCAACCGTAGCTCAACCTTGCAGAGCTGATTGGATAGCATAAGCAATGACCTCAACGCTGTGTGAGTGCGGTGCTCAGTAACAGGCAGGATGACCAACTTATTATAACTCCACCTAGTAGCGATTGTCCTGTGGCCAATAAGCATCAATCTTTGCATTTAGGCACCAACATAAATATCCTGTCTACAACGGTCCCTATTTCATACACGAATGTACACATACAGAACTGAAAGAAGACAGAAAAAAACAGGCTCCTTTGGCACATCAGTGGGAAAATCAATCTGAAAATCTTCTCTGCTTTCTCAAATTGGGAAAATGTTAATCAACAGCACTGAAAATTGGAGGAATAATGTAATGCCTGCTGAGGAAAGTAGACAACACAGAGCTGATGTGTGACCATCATTGGCTATTAAACTCTGATTTGCTGAATGGTGTATTCCTTTAGAAAGCAGACTTTCTCACCAAAATAGGCAATAGAAATGTTCCCATGATTAACAAGGTGGCAACATGTGACCAATAATTCACAGAGTCAGCAAACACAGCTAACAGCTGGCCTGAAAACACTGGGGAGACAATTTATGAGCCTCTGCTCAATTCACAAGGGGAGGGGATGCAAGTCCTAGCATAATAACCATATTTCTTACTTGCTTTGTCCAGATAAAATCTTACTCTAGATTAAGAGGTGGTTTCCTTGTTGCTCCTACATCTGGATTAGAGAAACATAAACTCTTCTGTGATTATCTCTGCCATCTAGTAGCTGCTGGAGAAGAAAGAAAGCAACAAGGTCCTGATGCTATAAATGTTGATAACATTATACACCAACTCTTTCTTGATGCACACCAGTTCAAAGGGCCCTGGAATTCGGTTGTACATTTTAAACGATTGATAATGCAACTTCTTATCAAGCTGATCATTAGATAATCACTGGAGCTGAATTACTAAGAGTATAAAAAGAAGGAAAGGGAGGAATTATGTATGTACTAGAAAGAAGAAAGTGCATAAGGAAGACAAGAGGAGAAAGAGAGGGAAAGAGAGAGGCAAAGATTGAAAGAATTAGAAAAGAATAGAAGCTGTCAGTTATTTGGCATTTATTATGATCCAGGCAGGTTGTTGAGGGCCTCACAAACATGTTCTCATTTAATATTAAGGATCGAACTATAAGTTAGCTACTATTATTTCACGGAGGAGAAAATGGACTAGAGAAGGTTATATAACTTAACCAAGGTCACTCAGTAAGTAATTGGAAGAACAAGGATTAGAACCTAGGAGGGAGGAGAGAAGGAAGAAAAATGAGAGGAAAAGAGGAAAGTTAGTTTTAGAGAATGACTAGTACAGACTGCCAGCTGCTTTGTTAGAAAATTGGTGGCTTTTCTATCATAGGCAAATGGGCATAAACAAAGAGGCACTTTGATTGTGCCAAGCTTAACTCTCCGCCCCAGAAAGTAAAACTCCAATTAGAAGTGAGACTGCGCTGGAGGTTCATGCTTGCTAACAGGGATGGAGAACACCAGGTTGATGGGCCAATTCATTAGTGGGGACCACTGCCCGCAAATTCAAAAGACTGGAGAAGGATTGTGCAAGCTGCCACAGCCCTGGGCCTTTTTTGCATGCTAGAAAGAAAAACTCCAGGGAGCAGGGAACATAGTATCTCAAAATAATATTTCAACATCTATTTAGTTAAAAGAGCTAGGAATACATGAAAGTTCTAAGTAATCACCCTTTCCTGGGCTGGGAGAGATGGGCACTAAACATAATCACACTGGAATCACAGTAGATTATTTTCAGTAAAAATAAATAGAAATATAAGGAACAAATGCAATGAGATTATTTAAAAACAGCTCAGGCTTTCTTTGGCCCAATGAAGAAAACCTCTACTAGAAGCAAAAGTTGAATAAAGGACCAGACACAAATATACCCCCATTATGTATTTGTCAAATAGTCGGGGCAGGTCACTGTGGGAGGTACTGGAACACATTCTCTGTCCTCAGGGGTCTAGTGTCCAGGTTAATGTCGAGCCAAAATTCCCACCTGGGTACTTGGACTCCCGAATTCCAACGATTCTGCTTCCTGACAGCCACCCAGCCTGTCAACCTTAACACTCAGCTTTGCTTCAAGCAAGTATTTGATATTTGTCATTTTGGCATCTTTGGCTGAAGTTTCTTATAAAACAGAAGAGGGACATTTAAAAATGTATTGGGGACCAGATATCGTGGCTTGCACCTGTAATCCTTGCACTTTGGGAAGCCAAGGCAGGAGGATCGCTTGAGCCCTGGAGTTTGAGACCAGGCTAAGCAACAAAGAAAGATCCCATCTCTAATAATATAAAACAAACACACAAACAAATAAAAATATATTGGGCATGAATGTGCTGATTTATTCATTCAGTATAAGTTTATGGAACCCTGGACCCTGAGACATCAGCAGTGGACCAGAGAGACAGATCCTTGTGGTCATGCAGAGGGACACACAAAGGGATGCAGACAAAGCCTCAGGGAGAGGAAAAGGAAGGACGTGGGCATGGTCCTGAGATGGAGTCTAAATGCGGCAGGTGGGTTACTTTAGCAGAAGGTCTCAGGTCATTTCTGTGAGCAGGAAAAATTTAATGAACATCACCAGGATGAGAGAAAGATGACAGAAAGCCCCCACGTCTCAGCAACAGCACGGACGAGGCCCTGAGGATGGAAAGGTGACTGCCTACAGCTGGAGCCAGAGGCTGGGGCCTGCTCTCTGCTCATTTCGTCTCCTTTAATCCTTACATCCATTTAAGTACAACGTCAACTTCAGGGATGACACAGAGCAAGGGCAGATTGGAGTCCAACAGCTTTCCGTGATTGGTAGCCAGGGTTCTTTGGTAAGTGGGGGGAAATTACAGCCCCTGCTGCTCTGCCTGGACTCCTCCATTGCCTCTGGACATGAACACTGGGCTGTTTCACATCAAGCAGCTCACCTCAAAGTGCTCTGGCCACATTAACATTGCAGTTTGGAATTTAGAGGCTTACGATTTCTCTCCTCGATTCTATCAGCCTCGCCTTCTGCAGCCACTTAGCTCAATCCCACCCTTTCACTCTCTACCTTCTATTGTGGTCACTCATCGCCCCATGGGGTTCTGGGCGCCTCCTCTGTCTGTCCCTGAGTACCAAACCCAGTACTGTTATACAGCTGATTTCTAGCGCACCTTTGGAAAATCAGGAAATAAAGGAGTAGAATACACAAGTCTACTTGCCCAGTCCTTCTGCCGCCCATGGCCTGGCATATGTTCTTAGGAGACTGCTTTCTGCACCAAGCAGAGAACGAGCACTGGCAAGAAATAAGCATGGCAAGAACTCTTTCTCCATCTGGGCCTTTCCCAGCTCCTACACACAATCCCTCGCCCCCCTCCTCAGAAGCACAGGCTGCCATGCTAATGAACATGTCCCCCTCTGTCAGATCAACTTCCAAGAGGAATCCTGCCTTCAGACAGTTCACTTTTTCACCTTCAGAGCTATTCCGAGCTGGTAGCTTATTTACTTGCACATTTGGTGAGCGGGTTGATGGCGTCCCTGGGGACTCATTCATTTGTGCAGTTAAAGGGAGCTGGGAAGGCAGTCTCAGCACAGTCAGGTGCAGGGGGCGGGGCTCTGGGGCCCAGCCTGCGTGGGTTTCATACACTGTTTGAGCTCCTTTGCCCAGGGGTTGGCAGGCTGGCTACTTTTGTGCCATTGGTTCCGAGTGGCTCAGGAGGGGACTTGGGGCTATGGGGCTTGTTGTAGGCAGAATAAAGGCCCCCCAGCGATGTCCACATCTTGATGCCTAAAACTGCAACTATTTCTTTACATGGCAAAAGAGATGTTGCAGATATGATTGAGATGGGTACATTATTATGCATGATTCAAGTGGGCCCAATGTAATCACAAGAGTCTTTTTATTTATTTATTTATTTATTTATTTATTTATTTATTTATTTTGAGATGGAGCCTTGCTCTGCCACCCAGGCTGGAGTGCAATGGTGCGATCTCAGTTCACTGCAACCTCTGCCTCCCAGATTCAAGCGATTCTCCTGCCTCAGCCTCCTGAGGAGCTGGGATTACAGGTGTCCACCACTGTGCCCAGCTAATTTTTGTATTTTTAGTAGAGATGGGGTTTTGCCATATTGGCCAGGCTGGTTTTGAACTCCTGACCTCAGGTGACCTGTCCGCCTCAGCCTCCCAAAGTGCTAGGATTACAGGAGTGAGCCACTGTGCTTGGCCAAGAGTCCTTATAAGTAGACTAGGGAAGCAGAAGAGTGAAGCAGAGAGATTGGAAGATGATGTGCTGCTGGCTTTGAAAACAGAGGAAGGGGGCACAATCAAGGAAGGCAGGCACATTCCTTCAACATTGAAAGCTGGGAAAGACAAACGGGTTCTCTCCTGAAGCCTCCAGAAGGAATCCAACCTTACTGACACCCTGATTTTACACAGACCCATTGTAGACCTTTTATCTCCAGAACTGTAAGATAACAAATTTTATGTTGTCTTAAACTAAGACTGTGGCAATGTGTTACAACAGCAATATAAGCTAACACAGGAGTCTTAGCGAAAACGTCTGAGTCCTCAAAGCAAGGTGTTCACTCATTCCTTGGCCTGTTGCTGTGTTCTCTCATTTGGTGCATACACAAACAGTGAGAGCAACTCTCTGCAAGGCCATCTGTCAGAGGCTGGGGAAATGATGATATGTTGACTGCTTCCCATCGTTCAGCCTTTACAGGAAGCTGACAGAGTGCTAGCAGCAAATGGCCATGCATGCTAGCACACTGGAGTGTGTAAGGTTGCAGGTAAGCCCAGCAGGGGTGCAGTAGAGGGGAACTTAATTTCATCACAAAGCATTCAGGAAGGTTCCTGGAAGAGGTGAAACTGGAGTGAGGCCTTAAAGGATGAATAAGTGCCAGTCATGTGTGAGAGGAACAAAGGTATCCAGGCAGCAGGAACAGTGTGTGCAGGGGCATAGAAGCATGAAAGACCTTGGATTTCTTTTCTTTTCTTTTTCTTTTTTTTTTTTCTCGAGATGGAGTCTCAGTCACCCAGGCTGGAGTGCAGTGGTGCAATCTCGGCTCACTGCAGCCTCCAACTCCTGGGTTCAAGCAATTCTGTCTCAACCTCCTGAGTAGCTGGGACTACAGGCGCACACCACCACATCTGACTTATTTATTTATTTATTTTTGATGGAGTTGCACTCTGTTGCCCAAGCTGGAGTGCGAGGGCATGGTCTCAGCTCACTGCAATCTCCACATCCCAGGTTCAAGTGATTCTCCTGCCTCAGCCTCCTGAGTGGCTGGGATTACAGGCACCCACCACACATCTGGCTAATTTTTGTATTTTCAGTAGAGACAGGATTTCACCATGTTTTTCAGGCTGGTCTCGAACCCCTGACCTCAAGTGATCCGCCCACCTCAGCCTCCCAAAGTGCTGAGATTACAGGCGTGAGGCACTGTGCCTGACCGACATTGGACTTCTTAAAGAGCTTGGTATCCCAGGATCATAGGTACAGAGTGGGTAGGAAAGTGAGAATATGAGGCTTGACAGGAAGACAGGGCCACATCAAAGACAGTCTTGCTCAAGCGATGAAGGAGCTGAAATCTCCTCCTCTCCCACTAAAGTATTTCCAAAGCGGAGGCACATGGTCACGTTTGAGAAGTCTCAGAAAAAAGTAGCCCAAGTAGCTCAATGCTAGCTTGAAATGGATTTGAAGTCTGTCATATTTATTCTTAAAAAAAAAGCAATGGGCAGGGCATGGTGGCTCACGCCTGTAATCTCAGCACTTTGGGAGGCCGAGGCAGGCAGATCATGAGGTCAGGAGTTCGAGATCAGCCTCACCAATATGGTGAAACCGCATCTCTACTAAAAATACAAAAAGTAGCTGTGCGTGGTGGCATGCACCTGTAATCCCAGCTACTCAGGAGACTGAGGCAGGAGAATCGCTTGAACCTGGGAGGTGGAGGTTGCAGTGAGCCAAGATGGTGTCATTGCACTCCAGCCTGAGTGACAGAGCAAGACTCCATCTAAATAACAAACAAACAAACAACAACAAAAAAGTACATTGAGACTTTTTTTCTCAAAATAGCTGTTTCTTTAATCTAAATTTGTTTTCTATCAAGCTTTCCTAGAAAAAATACACAATCCAGAACAATTTGCCTTCTTTTCCTTAAGTTTGTATACCACTCTCCAACCCTTGTTTCAGTTTGAGAACTACCATTGATGTGGGGGTTCTTGAAGGGTTATAAGAAGATGTCCCAGTAGGAGAAAGTATGGGAAATTCAAAGTTTAACACATGTCCCATCAGAGTCAGATGAGAACATACAGAGCAGGGCACAGTGAAAACAAAAGCAAAAGCCACAATGCATCAAGCTTGAAGCTGCTGTTCAGACTCAGGAGGGGAGAAGAGACCAAGAGAATGCAGAGGTGACCTACCTGCCTTAACTGAACCTCAAATCAGATGGGTCTGGTGTACACATACTGGGTGTAATGGGGTGAATAGTACCCTCCCACTCCGAATTCATGCCACCTGAAACCTCGGAATGTGAACTTATTTGGAAATAGGGTCTGTGCAGATGTTATTAGTTAAGATGAGTCCATACTGGATTAGGGTGGGCCCTAAATCCAATGACTAGCATCCTTACACAAGCACACAGGGAGGAGACCTCACGAAGATGGGGGTAGAGATTGCAGTGAGATGGCTACACGTCAAGGAACATCAAGGGTTTCCAGGAGCTACCAGAAGCTACAAAGAGGCCTGGAAGAATTCTCCCCTAGACCTTTTGGAGGGAGCACGTCCCTGTTGACATGTTAACTACAGACCTCTAATCTGCAAAATTGTGAGATAATAAATTCCTGATATTTTAAGCAGCTCAGTTTGTAGTAATTTGTTATGGCAGCCACAGGAAACTAATATATCAGGCAGAGGCTAGGTTCTGGCTTCTGGGAAAAGATGTTATGGTAAGATTCCAGTTCTATAATAAAGACTAACAGAAATGTTGTGATTGGTGGGAATTCTGTTATTCAATAAATACTTACTAAGCTGCTGTATGTGTTGGGCTCTGGGCTAGCAGTGGGGCATTGGGAGCATGCATGGAAAAAAAGTAAGTAAGCCATAACCTGCACTGGTTTAATGCACAGCCTCATTGTATTCATTTGTTCTCACATTGCTATAAAGAATGACTTGAGACTGGGTAATATATAAAGGAAAGAGGTGTAATTGACTTTACAGTTCCACACGGCTGGGGAGGCCTCAGGAAACTTACAATCATGGCAGAAGGCAAAGGGGAAGCAAGTCATGTCTTCCCATAGTGGCAGGAGAGAGTGAGCAAGTGTGCAAGCAAGTGGGGGAAGTGTCACAGTTTAAACCATCAGCTCTCATGAGAACTCACTCACGATTATGAGAACAGCATGCAGGAAATCACCCCCACGATCCAATCACCTCCTACCAGGTCGCTCCCACAACATTAATTGTGGGGATTACAATTCGAGATGCGATTTGGGTGGAGACACACAGCTAAACCATATCAGCTGTGGAGACTTCCCCAGACCACCCTCAACAGAATCCCCGACTGCTGCTGGAAATGAGGTCCATAAGCCAGCATCATCAGCCTAAGATGAAGCTGGTTGGGTATGCTGCTTCTTGGCCCCCATTCCAGACCTACTGAATCTGAATCTTAGGTGTAGGATCCAAGAATCTCTGTTTTGCAGAAGGTCTCCAGCTAGTTCTGATGACAACTAAGGATTGAAAACTTCAGGTCTAGCAGTTTAATATGGTGAGGCAAATTGGCCTGAAGAGAGAGCAAATCCTAAGCTGAAGGCATTTAGACCCTTTCAAGAACAGCCCCCTCCCCCACTAGTGCATGTGATTGGACCAGGGGTTAGGACCTGCTGAGACCATAAATGAAGCCATTCGTTTACATCAGTAAGAGGAAAAAGGGATGAAGACAGAGATTCCTAATGGTCAGAAGCCTGTGCTCTTTGTACCCAACTCTGCCAGTCTTAGATTCCTCCTTCTTCCCCTCCAACTTGCTATTCAGTTTGCACCGAGCCTTGCAGCTGAATGTACAAAGGGAGAGCTGCCTGAAAGCTGCAGTGGGTGGTAATGGTGTTAGCTAGCACTAGCATCACCAGTGTTGCCATCCTCATGTGCACCGAGCATCTGTCATTTCTCAAGCACCATATGCAGTCATTTTATATACATGATATCATTTTACTAATCCTCACACCCACAGGATGGAGATGTTATTGTGTTCATTTTACAGATAAAGAGATCAAGATTGATATAGGGATTAATTGCCCAAAGATCCAAGCCCAATAAATGACATAGCTGTATTACACACTCCATCTTCCTGCCCATACCTTTCCCTCTATGCTGAAGAGTACAATGACAGAATGAAGGACTTAGTTCCCTCCAATCCTAAAACCAAGAAGATCAGAGATTCTCCAGTTGTGTTATGCACAGGAATCATCAGCGTCAATGTTAAATGCAGAATCTGGTTTGGGAGATCAAGGGTGGAGTCTGAGATTTCATACTTCTAACAAGCTCCCAGGTGATGCCAATGGGGCTGATCCCTGGACCACACTATGAGTACCAAGGAATTAGATAATTCCACAGTGGACCTCATTTCTCAACTGGGCAGATATGTAGACTTGTAACTTGGTCAATAACATAGCTGAGGTCATTGGATCCATTACTTGTACAACCAGGCTGATAACACAGCTGCTATCAGAACTGAGAAAAGCAAAACACATTAAAATGAATGAGAAACTCAGATCTTCTTAGTGATTTAGATGTTTTCAGCTCCTTTCTTCTCCATTCTCACCCAGCTATAGTTAGTCAATATCTTCCCCTGCAGACACTCCTTTAGCTGGTCCTTGAGCTGATATTGAACAAGGTGTGTACAAGAGATTCTCACCCCACCAGCAGATGGTTATCAAAATTATAGAATTTCCCTTAGACCAGGGCTGCTGGCTTTTACTTGACCCAAGGCCTCTTGTGTTGTGCCCCTGCACCAGAGGCCAGCCACGTGAATATTTGCTTAGGCTTTTGTGACTTCATTTCCAACTTGACACTCTGTTTCCTTGCCACTAGTTCACCTGCTCTCTGCACCTCCAACACAGACATAGGTTATCCATTAGGAGTCATAATGCTGCCTTGCTTACAGCACGGGTCCCCAGCTGCCCTGGATCTTCTGTTGCTAGGCTGCATCTGTTATATTCAACTTCCTACACTGAAGAGTTTTTCTGCTTCCCCAAGACACTGCTACTGGGACCAACCATTCCCTGACCAACCCCATAATTAGCTGAGTGCACTAAACTCTAGGTCTACCAATCTGGACTTTTCCCTTCTCACCAGCAACCTACCATTCAGATAATAGTCATCTTTGCAGCGGAGCACCACATGCCAATGTATAAGAAAAGAGGCCTCTTCATCCTACTACGGTGACTCGAATTTTTAAAAATTAGAAAAATCCAAACATTCATTATTTTAATTGACAGAAATAGCTGAAAATCATTTTTAAACACAAAAGTGGCAATGCCTGGTAAAATCTCAAGGAAGTTAAATTTTATTTAGATTTAGTTGCCATGATAAGTTTGTGTGCAGTGATTAAGTTTGTTGTTTTCTGATAAGATAAGGACATCTAGAGTCAACACCTCTGGACATGATTGACTACATTCCTTTGGATAAAATATGAATGTTGTTGGTACAAAAAGAGAAAGAGAAAAGGAAAGTCATTTTTAACTGTAGATAACATATCTTATATTTGATTAATTTATGAACAACAGCAAATACAATAATGGAATGAACAAATATTGAATGGCAAACTAGAAATCAGAATTTGCCAATCTCAGGCAGTTCTTACATGATGTGTTCACCTTTGAAGTCAGTGGGTTCAAGTGTTATGTGAACATAGCCTTGCCTCTGTGATTCAGCCTTGTGACAAGGGAGCAGAGTGAATAGATGAAGGGTTAGGCCTGGTATCAGAGGACTTGCCTTCAAGTCTTACCCATATAAGCTGCATGTTCTTAACAAAACTATGTAGCTTTTCTTAGTCTTGTTACCTACTCCTAAAAATGACAATAATGACATCCCCAATCTCAGTGGTTATTGTGAGGGCAAAAAGATTTTTTGGAAGAGGGACTCCAGACCGTGCTGCCCTGAGACCTTACTGAGCCCCATCCAAACTATCTTGAGTTGAAATCAACCCTTCCTTTTTCCCACTGCTCAGGCATAATCTCAGAGAAACCAAAGCGGGGTCCTGGACATGCTGGCAGGTGGCAGTGATCTGAAAGGCTCATATAGCAGAGGCTCAGACTGTGCAGGGTCTAAAACACAGTCAGTATAAAATCCACCATAATTACCATTTTAACACGGGGAAGGCATAGCTTTACTCTGGGGTCTTAAATGTCAGAAGCCTTTTGCAGCACCCTTAAAAGCAGAGATAAGAACAAGCATGGAGAGTGAGAAAAAATATGAGATGAGGCAGCACCTTCTTGACCAGGAGAATTGTGCCTGGACTTCTATAAATATGTGCATGTTTATCTTTTTTTGCTTACTTTTTTTGGCTCTCCCTTTATCTTTTAACTCAATTTAGAATGACCTGTTTATTCATAAACTTATTCAATCAATATGCGCGTACCCACTATTACAAGAGACAGTATAATAAAATAGTTAAGAATATGGACTCTGGCCCCAGAATGCCTCAGTTCAAATCCCAGCTCTTTTACTTAATGGCTGTGCAATCTTAGGCAAATTACCTAACTACTTTAACCTCAATATCCCCATTTGTAACATAGTCAAAAAATCAGTACTTAGTTCGCAGGGTTGTTATGAGGATTCAATGAGTGTAGGGCCATATGGTGGCTCATGCCTGTAATCCCAGTGCTTTGGGAGGCCAAGGTGGGATAATTGCTTGATGTCAGGAGTTTTGGACCAACCTAGGCAACAACGTGAGACACCGCCTCTACAAAAAAAATAAAAATTATCTAGCCTTGGTGGTGCACCTGTATTTCCAGCTACTCGGAAATAGAAGTACACCATTTTTCTCTTGGTATTGCCGTCCTGGACCAGGTTCAAACAACTGAGTGACAGGTGCACCTGTATTCCCAGCTACTCAGGAGGGAGAAAAGAGGATTGACAGTTCAAATAACTGTCCTTGAGATTGAAGGAGACTCTTCTCTTCTCTTTCCCCTCTGAATCCATCCCCTGCCCGGCACAAGAGATGCCCCCAACCCTTAGGGTTGACAGATACAATTAACTCGGTGTGCAGTATTTCTGTTTCCTAAAACTAGAAACCTTACCCATCCTTCTATTCAGGGATGGGTGTTAGATTTGAGTGAGGAGGCTTGCCATAAGTCATATGTTTTTCCTCTACCTTGTCCTTGTTTTTCCATGAGCCATTAAATGTCATACCTTAACAACAGATGGAATCCAGGAGATAAGTCGATTTCCAGAAAAGGCAAGACACTGATGGGAAATTACAAAAGTTACAGGTAGCCCTGTGTTGCAATACATAAAAGCTTATGGGTGCTCATCTAAAGCTAATTTTGGGGAGTCAAGCATATTCAAAACTCCAATTTTGGGAAAGTTTCCTCTGCCTGAGTTTGTTTTCTCATCTATAAAATGGAGATAATAATATTTGTATGGTAAGGATGCTGCAAAGACTTGCAAAGTAGATGATCAATCAATGTTTTTTGAAAGAATGAATCTTTCCAGTGATTCTGGAGTCAGCTGCATCAGAGTTAATAGGTGATATGGTTTGGCTCTGTGTCCCCACTCAAATCTCATCTCGTACTCTAATCCCCATGTGTCAAGGGAAAGAGTTGGTGGGAGGTGATCATGGGGATCATGGAAGCGGTTTTCCCCATGCTGTTCTGGTGATAATGAGGGGGTTCTCACAAGATCTGAGTGTCCCCTATGGCATCTGTCTCTCCTGCCACCATATAGGATATACCTTGCTTCCCCTTAGCCTTCTACCATGATTGTAAGATTCCTGAGGCCTCTCCAGCCATGCAAAATTGTGAGTCAATTAAACCTCTTTCCTTCATAAATAACCCACCTGAGGTAGTATCTTCATAGCAGTGTGAAAACAGACTAATACAATGGAGATACTGTGACTCTGCTGAGGTGGCTGTAGACTAAGGAAGACTTTCCTTCAGTCATTTTCTTATGTGAAACATTGGCATGAGCTCTGGAAAGGAAAGGCAAGACACACATTGACCACATATCATACACTAGACACTGGATGGTGCCTCATGCTATTTAATCCTTCCCTGTAGCTATCCTGCAAGATGGGCGATATGACCCTGCTTTACAGATGTGGAAGCTGAGGCTTAGGGAAGGCCAGCTAGATGACTCCCAATCCTGTACATGCCACCTGGGCTCCAGAAGAGCAGCTAGAGGGCCTCCCCTCTGTGCTCAAGCCTAGAGAGGTAATGCGACGCAACCCAGGTGGACCTTCAGGCCCCAAGTTTGTGGAAGAACTGATGCAAATGGAGAAACAGGAAGATTCCACTGCTAAACCAAAGTCCCTCCTCTGCACACTGGTCACCTGGAGCAGTCTCTTTTCCCTACACTGTACCATCATTAAGCTCATTCAAACACCATCTCTGTGTAGCTGCTTCACGGGGTGCCTTAGACCTAAGCACATGTATTTTTTTTATTTATCAACATGAGATCATGTCTCCTCATCTCTAAACTGAAGGCAAAGATCCTGCTGTGTGTTGGCCCCATCCAGGGGCCCTGAGAATCCAATGTAACCACAGTAATCCTGACAGCTATCACTCAGATACCTCTCATTAGGTGCCAGGCATGATTATGAGCACATAGGATAACTCATAATTCACAAAATCTTCATATCAGCAATGTGATACCCTGTTATTAGCACATTCATTTTGCAGATGAGGAAAACCAGGTACAGAGAGATTAAGTAACTTGCTCAAGGTCACACGGTTGCTAAGGGGAGGAGTCAGTATTTGAACTCAGGGAGTCTCTGATCATAGGCTTTGTGCTCTGGAGGGGATGGGAGGGCTCCCTGGAAGCTTACGGGGTTATGGGCATTCTAGAGTCAGATCTGACCTCACTCAGCCTGACTCCTTCCCCATGAAGAAGTCTGACCGACAGAGTTTTATCTCATCATTACCAGTGCAGTCTTGCTGGCTCAGGTCCTTGGAAATATTGCTATTCTATGCTATATCCTAACATTAATACTCAGTTAATGCTCTACTATTGAAAATCATGCTCAATTACTTTTAGCATAAAATTTCAGCTGCTTCCCACTGCATTGGAAGCTTTGAAATAGGCAATTGTCTCTTACCTCCTCTTTCACTTCTGCCCATTCTCCCTTTAGCAAGCTCATGTGCTGGGAAGTCACCTTTGTTCTATGATTGCAGCTTTTCCCCTGTGTGGAAGAGACTGTACTCACTGTACTGTCTCCTTGAAATGCTCTTCGCTGGCTATTCAGAGGGCAGACTCCATCTCAACCTCTGGGTCTGGAAACTTCCCTTCCACCTCCCCAATACCTGAAGTTCTCTGCTCCCTGCCCTCTCTTTCCCTCTATCTCATCAACCCACTTATTGTCTGGACCTTAACTAGAGTTGCTACCCCAATTCACAAATTATATCCTCAGGGTTTGTAGAAACCCATCTGGATAAAACTTGTATTTTTTTTTAAATTGTGGAAAAATACATACAACATAAAAACATAAAATTTACCATCTTATTTTTAAGTGCCCAGGTCAGTAGCATTACGAACATTTACATTATTGTGCAACCAATCTCTAGAATGTTTTCCTCTTGCAACACTGAAATTCCATGCACATTAAACAACTTCCCCTTTCCCCTCCCTCCAGCCCCTGGCAGCCACTCTTCTACTTTTTCTTTCTATAATTTTGACTACTCTAGGTACCTCATATAAGTGGGGTCATAGAGCATTTGTCCTTTTATGTCCGGCTTATTTCACTTAGCATAATGTCCTCGTGGTTCATCCATGTCATAGCATGTGCCAGAATTTCCTTTCTTTTTAAGGCTGAGTAATACCCCATTGTGCATATACACCACATTTTCTTTCTCCATTCATTCCATCAATGGACACTTGGGATGCTTCTACTTTTTGGTGACTGTGAATAATGCTGCTAAGAGCATAGCTGTACACAAACCCCTGCATTTTAAACTCCTGTATTTACTGTTTGGGCTGTAGACTTCCAGGGCTGAGCTCCACACACTGGACTGTTTCTAGCTCCCTGACATTATCAGGCTCCTCCTCTTCCCCTTACCGCCATAATCCACAGCTGTGCCTTCTCCATGCCTCTGGGAGCTATTAATTAGGACAATTTTCTCTTCTTAGTTTTTAGGATATTCATTTTGACTCAACTCATCACGTATATAAGTAGGGTGGATGACTGAGTCTACAGTGTGGTTTCTGATAACTTGGTGGGGACATTATTATAAACCCCATACAATCTCTTTAAAATGTCCTCTTCCCCTGCTAGATGGTACTTTAAATACTCATTGCAATGAACAGACTTCCTTACCACAAGGGGCACTTAGTGGGGAACTGAGACCTGTTAACCGAGGGGACATTATGACCTAATGATACCAAGGAGTCAGTGATGCTCAGTGAACGAGTGCTCAAAAAAGGTTCTCGAAGACAGTAAACAGGAGCGGAAGAGGAACAGGAGGCAGCAGAAGAAAGGCCTCAAGAGAAATGTAGGAGACTGCAGACACTAGATCTGGACATTGTTGGAGCTGGGACTACATCTCCAGGAGGAGAAGCATGGACCCATCTAACTGACCTTATGAGAGGTGGGATCCTAGGAGCCAGCTCTAGGGATGGGGGCTGTGTAGGAAGCAGATGCTAGATCCAGGTCAAGAGATTCCTCCCTTGACTGCTTAGCTGCTTATGGTTTTATGAACGTGGACAAGTTAATATTCCTACACGGCTACTTTCTCTTGAGGAGAACAAACCAGAATAATAATATGTATCTTACAGTGTTTTGTTGATTAAAAACGAATTCACATGAGTGGGCTGAGGAGCATGGCTGTGTCTCTGCAGATGTTCCATAAAAATTGTTCATCCTGGTTGGGTGCGGTGACTCATGCCTGTAATCTCAGCACTTTGGGAGGCCGAAGTGGGCGGATCATGAGGTCAGGAGATCGAGACCACCCTAGCCAACATGGTGAAACCCCATCCCTACTAAAAATACAAAAATTAGCTAGGCATGGTGGTGCGCACCTGTAGTCCTTGCTACTTGGAAGGCTGAGGCAGGAGAATCGCTTGAACCCAGGAGGTGGAGGTTGCAGTGAGCCAAGGTCGTGCCATTGCACTCCAGCCTGGTGACAGAGTGACACTCTGTCTCAAAAACAAAAATTGTTCATCCTCTCTTGTTCTTGCAAACCTCACATCAGGCATAGTTCTATGCCCAGAATTATGCCTTGATAAATATTTGGGTGGAAGAAAGGAAAGATAGATGATGTTTTCTCCCCATCAGCTGCCTTCTCAGGGAATTTGGATCTCCAATTTGGGAGATTTACAGAACACTTCATGAGGACTGGAGATGCCCAGAATGAGCCTGCACTCCCCAGTTGAGTGTTTCCAGAATAAATGGAAGATGAGTGGTGTTGTACATGGGTGAGGCAATGTCTATCATTTGAACTAAAAAGGACAAGTAAACACATAGTTCACAGTATAAATAAAACCAGAGACATTCCCTCATCAGCAACCTTCATATTCTGAAAGAAAGCCCACAAAGCACCTGAAAGACATTCATAGACCAGCTGCCATGAGACCTCTCTGCACCAAGAACCTTTCTTTCCTTACTCTCTTGTTACTAGCTTGAAATCAAGCTTCATGCTTGAAACTCAGCTAGTAGCACCCCCACCAGGACACACAGTGGTCTGGAGTTAGATTGTAAACACTGGGCCCCTTATGCTGGCTGGGATTTTCCCGGGCACATTGGTGGAGCTTTCTTCTGAAATGTCACACAACGCAGCTGTGTACCCTGAAAGAGGTTTTGGAATGACAGTCTGGAGAATGGGTGGAGTCTGCCCATGAGGAGGGTCAGAAATCCCTAAACTCCTAAGGAGTCAACTACTTAAAGGAACCCAACAGTTCTACAAAACCACAGAGAAATGTCAACATCACTGGACCAGATCTACTTCCCCTAAAAAACATAAGGCTTGGCTTGACAATACTGAAGAAATCAAATAGGAAATGCTTATTTTCTGCTCATGTCTACCATGTCCTTATTTGCCTTTAAAAGAAAAATAAAAGATAATTTGGTCTAGATAATTATTATTATCATCCTTATTGTCAACATTGTCATCTTCATCCTTACAAGGAATTAAAATACCATAGTGATATATCTAGGCTGAATCTTAATAACTGAGGAAGAAGCAACTAGATGGAGAAGGCAGACAAGGACTGAGGGGGTGTGGGAGCTGAAAATGTCCCAGGCAGAGAGTGCAGAGTGAGCTAAGACATGCTGTTCCACCCTAATCTCTTTTTGGTTACTTAATTTTACCCCCTCTTCATCTGTTATTTTGTGTTTGTCCATGTCTTTCAACCTGTTCAATCCACTTTCTTTAATCTGTTTCTGTGTTGACACTGAACTCTGGACTCCAACCTATTTCTGGTTAGCAATTGCTATCCTTGCAATATGTCACAAATTCATTCTTTCATTCAATCATTCATTCAATAAGACCATATGATATGGTTTGGCTCTGTGTCCCCACCCAAATCTCATCTCGAATTTTGATCCCCACATGTAGAGAGAGGGATCTGCAATCCCCACGTGTCAAGGGAGGGACCTGTAATCCCCACGTGTCAAGGCAGGGAGGTTATTGGATCATGGTGGGGGTTTCTCCCAAGCTGTTCTCATGATAGTGGGTGACTTCTCACGAGATCTGGGGCTCTCCCCATTTTGCTTTACCCTTCTCTCTCCTGATGAAAATAAAACAGGGCTCTTCCCCACTTCGCTTTACCTTTCTCTCTCATGATGTGTTGTGAAGAAGGTGACTGCTCCCCCTTCTGCCATGATTGTAAGTTCCCCGAGGCCTCCCCAGTTATGAAGGACTGTGAGTCAATTAAACCTCTTTCCTTCATAAATTACACAGTTTTGGGTAGTATCTTTATAGCAGTGTGAAAACGGGCTAATACACCGTAGTATCTGCTTACCTGTAAGGTAAGATGTCTGTTACCTGTGTGGTACCATGATAGGTGCTGAAGGCACATAGAAGCATGAGACCTGCTCCTTGTCACTATGGAAACTACAATCTAGTAGTAGAGGAAGCAGACATGGATCAGCTAATTGTGATTTATATTAGCAACTCTTTCATTTGTTCACTCATTAATTCATGTATTCAACAAATATGCATGGAGTTCCTGCTATGTGCCAGGAATTGTGCTATACCCTGGGGATGCAAGCTTATTTTCTGTTCATGCCTATCCTCTCATTTGCTTTTGAAAGAAAAAAAAAGATAATATGGTCTAGATAATTATTGTCATCATTAAGGTCAACATCGTTGAATGAGAGTTTATGAATGAGCAAAAGGGACACCTTCCCTACCCTTGTGGAGTTTATAGTCTCCATTTGGAGAAGCTAATGAGACCACTGGTGTCTTAGAAGACTCCAACAGGAGGGGTCCTGGGAAAATTGGGGGTTGTGAAAGAAGATTTTCCTGCTCTGTCTATTGCCCGCCTTCTGTAAGCACAAACTGTTAATTTCTTGAAGACACTTTGGTTACCCATGGCAACGTCTAAAGCAAGCAATAAAGAGCTGAGGAAAGCACATGTTCACACCCTCATGTTGACTTTTCCACATGGCCTTCTGAGTGTGGTGATTGGGAAAATAAAACGAGCTCCTGGTTAATTAGGAATGTGTTAGGACCTCATCACTAGAGTGGGTGTGTTGACTTTAGAAGGGACCTTTAAAACTTTTTAAATTATTCCCTAAAATTTGCAAAATGTGTTATTTGAATAGACTACATTTTTTTCTAATTTTAGAAGGGGAAAATAGTTGGATTTTTAAAGTTTAATAAAATATTTCAAGTGCTTACATGATCTGGGCTCAGTCATCTCTCCAACATTATCCTTTCCCACTACTCATTTTGCTTTCATTTTTTTGAGTAGTCTTACCATCCCCTAATAGTCTGTTTTCTCTTTTCTCTGGGACATTGCATATGTTTTCTTTTTTTCTGTCTGTGGCTTCCTTTCTTCCTCTATCTCTCTCTCCTCTCAAAATGTCTTCTTATCCTGACTTCTAACATCATTTCTACTTCAGATAACACTAATTTACTTCTTCTCTTGACTATAAAACCTACAATGAGATGATGCCTTTACTATGCTTTTCATAGTCTATGACCTCCCCCTATCACTAACAAATACATTGTTTTCATACTTTATTCAAACATCTTCTTTTCCCCCCTAGGGTGGGAACACCATGACAAGAGGGTTGTGACTACTATGTTGAGAAGTTTATTCCTGAGCCCAGTCCAGTAATTACAAAATAAATATTAGTTGAATAAATGAATAAATCAGAACCATCAGTAAATATAATTTATACTGAGAAGAATCACGTCAGTCAGCTATTGCAATGTAACAAACCACCCCAGAGCCCAGTGGCATGAAATGGGAGGCAACTTTCATTCTCACACTCAAATCTCTGCAGGTGGTTGTGATGTCTTTGCTTCAAGTCATGGTTCAGTTGGAACAGCCCTGCTCTACATATCTCTCATTCATCTGGGGCCAGCATAAAACCACCTTTGCAGAATTATGACAGTAAGAGCAATCTGACATAGTTGACGCCAACTTCCTTCTGATCCCTTTGCTGTCCTTCATCATTCCTGGGTGTAGGCTAAGCTAACTTTGGGAAGAATTTAGTTTATAGTTTAACTTAAAACAAGGATAATAATAGTCTCTCCCTAAAACTAACCTTCTTTTTGCTCAGGGATGAAAACTACTTTTGTAAGCCTAATAAAAACCATAAAAAATAGGATTATGGGAGGAGCACAGACTACACTACGAGACAGGCATAGTTTCTATAATCCCTTACTGCTTAGGAGTCATGTGGCCAGAGGTCAAAAGATTTGTGACTTCTCCAATTGCTCCCATAGACAACATCCTTATTATAGAAACTAAGATTGGTCTTTTGAAATATATTTAAGACTGACTCCACTGGGACTCATGATTCATAACTCAACTAAACCTGTGGCCCCACCTAGAGGCAGACTTAGCACCTGAGGCCTGTTTTCCATACCCCTATGATTTCATCCCCAATCAATCAGCAGCACCCATTCCCTAGCCCACTGCCCATCTAATTGTCCATAAAAGCCGTAGCCTCTGAGCCTTGGAGAGATTGATTTGAATGATAACTCCAGTTCTCCCACGTGGGCCAGGCTCACATCAATTAAACTCTTTCTCTACTGCAATGTCACAGTTTCAGTGAATTAATTTTGTCTGTGCAGCAAGCAGGAAGAACTCATTGGACATAGCAAGCAAGTCACCTGGGGAAGAATTTTCTCATGGTAATAACAGAAGTACAAGAGGCAGAGTTCAACCACACAAGGGGATCTCAAGCCTTTGCCTGTTTCATGTGTATTAACATTCCATTATCAAAACAAGTCATATGGCTAACCCCACATTCATGAATGGGAAACATACTCTGCCCACAGGAAATCTTTGAGAGGACTGAATACCTGTTTGACAATAATCCAAGATACCATAACCAGTCAAGATACAAGGATCAATCTATAATCTAGCCAATATTTATTTCATGAAGTTGTTTCTCACATAGGCAATTATTAAGTAGATTTTACTCATACTGCACTATGCTAGATTGCTTGCAAAACCCACAATTAGAAAATGAGTCATGGAATCTGCCACCAGCAGCATGCAAGTAAGATAAAACAGATGATTATTCTACAAGAAATTATGTTATACACTTACCAAAGACTACATATCATAGAGCAGATAGCAAAGATTTTAGAGTCAGGCAGACCAGGGTTTGCTGACCATCTAATTGTGGGTAGTTGTCTAAATTCCTGAGTCTCCTTTACCTCCCCTGTAAAATCGGTGTGATAACAGTACCTACATCTCATAACGTGGAATCAAGATAAAATGGCTCATGCTGTGTGCTACACCTGGCACAGAAAAAGGCCTCCATACACACCTGTTCTCTCTCTTTGCATCCTTTTGCCCTATTATGCCCTTGTCAAGACCAAATTACAGAGCACATAATCCCATCATTTGCTAAAAATTGTGGATGTCATTAGCTGCTTGGTTTTCTCTCTATTTGGGGGCCACCTTGATGTGTGGTTCATTAACATGAAATCTTCAAGGAATGAGGTATGAGTTTGACTTCATTTTTTAAAAAATTTTAGTTCCAGGATACATGCACAGAACATCAGGTTTGTTACATAGGTATACATGTGCCATGATGGTTTGCTGCACCTATCAACCTGCCATCTAGGTTTTAAGCCACACATTCTTTAGGTATTTGTCCTAATGCTCTCCCTCCTCTTGCCCCCAACTCCCTGACAGGCCCTGGTGTGTGATGTTCCCCTCCCTGTGTCCATGTGTTCTCTTTGTTCAACTCCCACTTAGAAGTGAGAACATGTGGTGTTTGGTGTTCTGTTCCTGTGTTAGTTTGTTGAGAATGATGGCTTCCAGCTTCATCCATGTCTCTGCAAAGAACATGAACTCATTCTTTTATATGGCTCCATAGTATTACATGGTGTATATGTGTCACATTTTCTTTATCCAGTCTATCATCGGTGGGCATTTGGGTTGGTTCCAAGTCTTTGCTATTGCAAATAGTGCTCCAATAAACATACGTGTGCACGTGTCTTTATAGGAGAATGATTTATATTCCTTTGAGTGCATAACCAGCAATGGGATTGCTGGGACAAATGGTATTTCTGCTTCTAGATCCTTGAGGAATGGCCACGCTGTTTTCCACAATAGTTGAAATAATTTACACTCCCATCAACAGTGTAAAAGCGTTCCTATTTCTCTACAGCCTTGCCAGCATCTATGGTTTCCTGACTTTTTAATAATCGCCATTCTAACTGGCGTGAGATGGTATCTCATTATGGTTTTGATTTGCATTTCTCTAATGATCAGTGATAATGAGCTTGTTTTCCTATGTTTTTTGGACACATAAATGTCTTCTTTTCAAAAATGTGTGTCATATCCTTTGCCCACTTTTCGATGGGGTTGTATTTTTCCTGTAAATTTGTTTCAGTTCCTTGTAGATTCCGGATATTAGACCTTGTCACATGGGTAGATTGCAAAAATTTTCTCCCATTCTGTAGGTTGTCTAGTTCACTCTGATGATAGTTTCTTTTGCTGTGCAGAAGCTCTTTAGTTTAATTAGATCCCATTTGTGAATTTTGGCTTTTGTCACAATTGCTTTTGGTGTTTTAGTCATGAAGTCTTTGCCCATGCCTATGTCCTGAATGGTATTGCCCAGGTTTTCTTCTAGGGTTTTTATGGTTTTGAGTTTTACATTTCAGTCTTTAATCCATCTTGAGTTAATTTTTGTATAAGATGTAAGGAAGGGGTCCAGTTTCTGTTTTCTACCTATGGCTAACCAGTTTTCCCAGCACCATTTATTAAATAGGTAATCCTTTCCCCATTGCTTGTTTTTGTCAGGTTTGTCAAAGATCAGATGGCTGTGGAGGTGTGGTGTTATTTGTGAGGCCTCTGTTCTGTTCCATTGGTCTATATATCTGTTTTGGTACCAGTACCATGCTGTTTTGGTTACTGTAACCTTGCAGTATAGTTTGAACTCAGGTAGCATGATGCCTCCAGCTTTGTTCTTTTTGCTTAGGATTGTCTTGGTTATATGGGCTCTTTTTTGGTTCCATATGAAATTTAAAGTAGTTTTTTTCTAATTCTGTGAAGAAAGTCAATGGTAGCTTGTTGGAAATAGCATTGAATCCATACATTACTTTGGGCAATATGTCCATTTTTCATGATATTGATTCTTCCTATCCATGAGGATGGAATTTTTTTTCATTTGTCTGTGTCCTCTCTTATTTCCTTGAACAGTGGTTTGTAGCTCTCCTTGAAGAGGTCCTTCATGTCCCTTGCAAGTTGTATTCCTAGGTATTTTATTCTCTTTGCAGCAATTGTAAATGGGAGACCTCATTTTTTTAGAGCCTATCATCTTGCACATCTTATCCAGACTGCTTTTCCCCTAAGCACATTATCTTGCCTTTAACAACTCCAAAGAGCTTCTAAAACATCTCTGTTTATTTATGGCTTTGTGTACTCACCCTGCTTTCTATCCATGGGTTGCCTCACTCACCATACTCACTTCTCTGTATGTGATACTCTAATCTATATCCAAATCAGAGGTCCACATCTACATGTCAAATTGCTTATTGGATTTTTCTAAATGAGGATCAGGCTGGTATCTCAAATCTGATGTATTAAACACTAAATGTAGAGTCCATTCTCTGCATCTGCACTTCTCCAGTGTTCTTTATCTCAATGAACAGCTTCACCATCCATCTAGTCACAAAGCTTAAAACCTCACGGTTGCCTTTGACTTATCCTCTTCCCTCATCATCGTAATCCATTCAATATTTAGTCTAGTCAAGATGACTTTGTCTGTGGAGCAACATAAAACCCCAACATCAACCAGCTCAAACAGAAAGAACATAGCAATTAGTTTAGGGGAGAGCAGGCACCAAGCATTGGGTTTCAGTACCACTTTACCCCAATTTTCCTGGCTTCTCTAGCTCTGCCCTCCCCATGTGAGCTTCACTGCCACAGTGACCACAAACTGGCCATAGCAACTCCAGGCATCATTGTCTATAAAATAACACCCAGAGCTTCCATCAGCAGAATTGTCTCTCTTAGGAGTGAGGACCCCCTCCATAGACATTGCCTAATGTATCACTGGCTCAAAGGTCCATTCCCAAACCAGCAAAAAGGATAGATGTATCATGCTTGGTGTGGACCACGACATCAATTACTCTTAATCCCATTTCTTGACAATAAAATCTAATGAGCACCACATTATTTTACCTCCTCAACACCTTGAACCTCTTCCTGTCCATGTTACAACGTCAGTTAAAACATTCAGTGCCTCTCACAGGAACTATAAATTTCTGCCCTACTGGTTTTCATATCTCTGAACTTTCTACACCTCCCCACCCCAATCCTTTTTTGTACATTCAGCAAATATAACTTTCTAATACAGTTCCCATTAGGTCACTTCTTAGAACACTTTCATGTTTTCTCATAGGATAGAGTTCATACTATACAACTGGACATTTGACTCCTTCAAAACTTGACTTGATGCCCTTTTCATCACTATTTTCTGCTAATTTTAACAGTTTATGTTGTGCCTATATGATTTCATAGTAGCAAGGCATTATGTATTACGCTACTTTTTTCTTTTTTGAGACAGAATCTTATTCTGTCACCCAGGTTGGAATGCAGTGGTGCGATCTTGGCTCACTGCAACCTCTGCTTCCCACTCAAGCGATCCTCCCACCTCAGCCTCCTGAGTAGCTGGGAACACAGGCATGGACCACCACATCCAGCTAATTTTTTGGTAGAGACAGGGTTTTGCTATGTTGCTGAGGCTGGTTTCAAACTTCTGAGATCAGACGATCCACCCACCTTGGCCTCTCAAAGTGCTGGGAATACAGGCGTGAGCCACCATGCCTGGCCACAGATTTTTGTTTGTTTGTTTGTTTGTATGTTTTCTTTTGTTTTGTTTGAGACAAGGTCTATCTCTGTTGCCCAGGCTGGAGTGCAGTGGTGTGATAATAGCTCACTGCAGCCTCAACTTCCCAGGCTCAAGTGGTCCTCCTGCCTCAGCCTCCCAAGTAGCTAGGACTACTAGGTGTGCACCATCATGTCTGGATAAATTTTTTATTTTCTTTTTGTGTGTGTGTGGAGATGAGATCTTGCCATTTTTCCCAGGTTGGTTTCGAACTCCTGGCATCAAGTAATCCTCTGCCTCAGCCTCCCAAAGTGCTGGGATTACGGGCATGAGCCATCACACCCAGCTCATATTAAATTTTTTCTATGCCATATCTCAATTACTCTGCACAGTTCTCTGTGAGGTAGATACTATTGACATTGACACTTTATAGAAAAGGAAGCTTAGATTAAGGCAGGTTAAGTAATTTTCCCAAAGTCACCTAGAGACTTGTACAGCTGAAGTTTAGAACCAGGGCTGTCTGACTCCAAAGCCTGTGCTCCTAACCACTAAAGCATATCACCTTCCTCTTGCCTCCACCCAAACCCTACATACAAGTCATCCCACAGTTTTTAAGTGCTTTTTGAAGAAGCCTGGTAAGGTTTTGTCTTCCTGGGTTTAATAAAGTTGCTATCACTGCTCAGAATGCTCACCTCTATACCTCTGCCTTCAGTCCTACTTTTATACTTTCTCTGACACCACCAACTCCAGTCAAAATTATTTCTCTTTTCCCCATGATCCCTTGGCTTGACTGTCACACAAATCCATCTCTTGCACCAGAGTCTCAACTCTTTATGATAGAGACCAGTTCTTTCGTTGCTCAGTTCTTCACAGCATTGTAGCCCTGTGGTTTATATTCATCCAAAATAGTCCAAATATTTTTTGAGAATATACTCTGGGCAAGACAGTGCTAGTTACTATGAGATAAAGATATCGAAGGCACAGTTGCTATCCTCAAGAGGTATGCATTCTAGTGTGGCAGGGAGACATACAAACAAATGATTTCAAGGATAGAGAAATGTACAGGGTCCAAGTTGCTATATAAGCGTATCTTTGATTTAATTTCATGAATGCATTCTGCAGACTTATAACATTGCCCATGCATCGATCCCTCACCGGTGAGCTAGGAGCTTTGCATGCGTGTTTTCATGGGCATTAGGCGTGCTGTTGGTGTTATTCCTCCACTCCTGATGATTCTTCCACATGGAGGGAAACCTATTAGAAAAATGCTTGTTTTTTTCTCCATCCCCATACCCAGTTCCCCCCAGGGACAAAGTGTGATTTGACATGATTGAAAGGAGAAGTCAGGCACATTTAGGCTGGCCTCATCCTCACCTCTTGTGAAGGACCGTGCCTGCAGAAAATGTGTGTTCTCTATTGCTTTAGCTATATAGGGAAGCTCAGTCTCATGTCACACTGACAATATCACACATCAATTGTGTATCATGATTCTACTCACTCTCTGACCCAGTGCGTTTTGTGATGTTGCAGGAGCCTTCTTAGACTGAAAGCAAGGAAGCTCAGAAGTGTGGAAAATTACAACCAATCCAAGGTGGGATCCACGGATCAATGTTCCAGCTCCCCCTACTTCACTGAATAAGTCTAGGGATGGGGTATAACAATGTGTCCTTTTGATTATTTTCCTGAAACATGACAACACACACTTACATTGGCTTTCCCTTTTTTCTCTTTCTTACTCTCCCTGCTTCCTCACTCCTTCTTTCTGGAATACCTCTCAAATAAACTACCTATAACCAAGTTCTTATCTCAGGCTCTGCTTTCAAGAGAACAAAAAGTAAGACAGACAACACGAGGACATGGTTTATAATCCATCTCTCAGCTCTGTAGTCTCAGTATTGGTTCCATTCCAAGAGGCCTTTCCCCAAGAGCACCTGAGAAATGGTGTGAGTCACTATGATTGGTCCTTGCCTATGTTGAATTGAATCTTGTGGCCAGAGGGTTGGAACACACCAGGTAGCTGAGCTGAGTCCCACGCTCAGCCCAGAGCTGGAAGTTGTGATTAGCCTCACCAGTGTCACATGTGCAGACAGTCGGAGTATGTTTCCATGGAAAATCAGTTAGATTACTAAAAGGAGAGAGAATAAATGTGAGGTAGGTCAAACAACATACGATCATTAAGAAAACCACCAAAGAGTCTCTCCATCTATAGATAGCACAGGTGACTCTGACAGCACAAATGAGAAAGGAGCATCTTTACCAGGGGAATGATATCATTGTCTGTTAGGATTGGAAGTGATTTAGGAAATGATTTCACCCAAACTTAAATTACTGTAGAAGTCCAGAGAGAGAGACTAAGCCCATTAGCTTGAGGTGGTCCAGACAACAGTTGGTAGTTCTGGATTAGAAACCCAAGACTCCAACCTTCCAGTGCAGAAACAAGGTCCTTCTGTTTACCCATTCCACCCTCACAGTGGCTGCTTCCTCCAAGAGCCCAGCAGCTCTAAATTGCAAAGACTATAGAATCATGCTTTAAAAACATCACATTATTATAAAAATGATAGACTTGGCTAGAAGACAGTTCTCTTTCTGAATTTACTAATTCAACCTATTAAGTCTAATCTGTGTCTACAAAGAAAAATGTTGACTCTTGATTTACTTAGCTTACAAGGCTATATTTCTTGCGACACACATAGTGCCTGGGACAGTCCCTGACTCAGCTCTCAGCTGCCCTGCTTTCATGATGATTTAGCAAACAGCAGAGAAGAGAGACTTGAAGGGAGGGAGAAAACGATTTGGCTGGAAGCCTTCCCAGCAGAGGAGGGTTTTTCTTTGGTTTTGAAGGACAGGCCAGACATAGATTGGCTGAGAAGGAGGGGCAACATGGGGTTGGAGAGACAGAGATAAGAGTGTTTGGGGAAGGAGCATCTTGTTTTGAAGTGAGAACAAAGGAATTGAATTTCAATGAATAAGTAAATCGCAGATGATTAGGGTAAAGACTATAATATAAATTTCAACATTCTTGACAGTGTAAAGTGTTTCCTACAGAATGAAGCTCTGGAGGGGGAGGGGAGGGGAAATGGAGGAAAGAGAAGTTAAATTTAATAGACACTATCAAACAGTAGAAAAAGAGTTTAAGCTTATTATTAGAGTTACACAGAGAACTGACAAAACTTAAAGCATAACAATAGTACTATCAAATGCTGGGAAGAGGATGGAGTAAGAAGGGAGAAAAACAATAAATCAAAAAATGCAGTTTCAAGTGTGGTATATAGAGTCATGGAGGCCAACAATAGAATAAATAAAGGCAGAAGTAAAGTGGAAAAAAGGCTGTTTGTGAGCAGTGGCATTAAGAGTGAGGAGAGGGAAGTATTCACTTCCACCGTGAGCTTTTCTGTACTGTTTGAACCATTACCATGTGCAGGCATTGCTTTGAAATCTGAAAAGGAAATCCCACAATTCAGCAGTTGCCCCATTAGCATGAACTGTGTTTCTATTCTGTACTCAGCACTGCCCTTGGGTTGGGAATTAGAAGATGAATAAATGAACAAAGCATTAGGTGTTAGAATGGAAGAGCCTTTCTGGTTGGGAGAAGTGCAAGAAGCACATTGGAAAGAATTCCCAAAAAAGTAAAACAGAAGATGGATATTGAAAACTGAAGAAGAGTCCATCAAATGATTCAGCAAGGGTACTAGAGGCAGATGCCGAAATAACTAAAAGAACAGAGGCATGGAATGCAGTGAAATCTTCTAGCAAATGCAGATTGTGCAGTTTTGCTTGTGCATTTGGTGTTAAATTATAAGACTGCAGGGACAAATCAGCTCAAATAAGGAAGGGCTTATTTACCACATTAGGAGGTCTGAATTGTCTTCTGCAGACCAAGGATCACAAACTCAAATACATAGCTCAGTCAGTCAGATTCTCAAAAGTAAGAAAAGAGGAGGGGGAAAGATGACAGTAAATGAAAGAGCACATGCTTGAGCTGGGCAGAAGGTGCAGCTGGTGCAGCAGATTTTTGCCATCCACGTGTTCAAACCCAGGATCAGAGATTTTCTAGTTTTGAAAATAAAGCTAGGAATCAAGATTTTTATGTAAAACTTCTTAATTATAAAATGTTGGCAATTTTATTAGGCTACACTATGCTGTGTTGTGATAACAAAAAAAAACCAAAAACAAACAAGCAAAAAAAAACAAAAAGCAATGCTCAATGGTGTAACATAAAAAGGATTTATTTTTCACTCACACAAAGCCCAAATGGGTAGAACAGCTCTCTTCCATGTGGTACCTATGTCAGCAGGAACCCAGGGTCTTCAAGGTTATTGAAACAAAGGTGGAGAAGTGCATTGCCTTTTAACAGTATTGACAGGCACCTGCTGGCTGGAATGAGTTACTTGCCCTCAATCTAACTTTAAAGACTAGGAGGTATCATGACACACATGGGTATTTAATAAGCACTCAACTATATCTGCCATGCCAACTAATACAAACATTTTATTTTTAAATACCATATGATCCTATTAATAATGGTTGGGTCTGGCAGAAGGGTGGGCAGTTTAAGAAGATCTCTGCCACAGTCAAAGATTGGGGATTCTTTAGAAATATCACATTTTCATTTCACAAAAAATAATTCCAGAAACCATGTGGAAGATTGACCAGAGGGGCAATGCTAAAGGCAGAATGGTTATTGAAATGGCCTGGAGAAGCACTATTGAGGAACTGAAATGGGAAAGGAACAGTCGGAATAGAAGAGAAGAGGTGCTCGTAAGTGGTATTAACTCTCTTGGTTTATATCCTTGGTTTGTAAGAGGAGGATGTCCACAAAGTTTGTGTGAATTGCCCAAGATTGCAAAGTTAATAAGCAGCTGTTCAGAAACTTAGTCCAGCACACTTTTTATCCCATTGGTAGAATAGTGGCAAAAAAAAAAAACTAATGGAAACATAAAATCTTTGACTTTGAGAATTAGACTTCGAGGAGCTTATCTAATGCAAACACTCAACGCCATCAGATTTTGTTCGTAACTGATTTTAAATGTGAACCTCCTCAAAGATATTACTTTCTTCTTAACTTATAAGACCTGCCAATGGGTAAACATCAAACAGATAATGTATTCATTTTTTAACCTTGATTTAGACTCTTTTTCTATTACCTTCTGGGAAATCCTCAGCTTAAGAAAGAAATATTTTTATCTTTCTCACCTCTAAACATGTCCTGGTGCTGGAACAGTTAGCATTCTAATCAGCGTGGCTCCCAACCATCTGTGATGAGATTTCTTTGGGAGGATTCAACTCAGTCTCTTATGCTCAGAAGTAGTTAATCCACTTGAGCTTAAAGCAGAAAGAAAATAGAGAAAGGAAAATTGCTGGGAGGGAGGGAATAGTAGTAAGGAATGTAGGGGGTAGGGGAGGATGAATTAAATGAAACAGTGTGTTTTTTGCCCTAAACCTTCAGAAAATGAGAACATAATGCATCCGTGTAAGAGCACATAAAAGATAATGTTAAGCAAAAAATTTTCATATTAATTACATGGAGGTTTTATAGGAGGCACTGGGCTGGTCATTTTACATTATCATTTCAGTTAATCTGTCCTATTTCCCCATGTGATGTGAGTGTTATCCCTATTTTATAAATGAGAAAAGTAAGATGCAAAAATGTACCAGATCACAAGCTATCAGAGAATCCCTGTTATTTAAACTCAAAGCCTGAGTGCTTTCTTTTCAATAACCTTAGTAACAGTCTTATATTAGAATTCAACAAATATTTATCAAGTATTTATCATGAAGCCCAAATTAGGATGCAATTCATCTTATTTCATTCTTAAAATAATCCTATGAGGTCAGTATTATTATTCCAAATTGTTACAGCAAAGGGAATTGGGGTGCAAAACAAAGAGAGTTAAGTGCCTGAGGTTTTATTCTAGGTGTCAGTAAAGATACAAGGCAGGAATTCAAGTTCCTGAAGAACTAGGTCTCTTCAGATTGGCCTTTTTTTCTGCTCTCTTTGGAAAAAACTTTCTCATACTGACATCTTTTCCGATTTCTTAGTCTTTTATGATCTTTCTCTCTTTGTCTAGAGGACCTACTGAAAGAGATATTTAGGAAGAAAGTCACTTAATTATTACAACCATTTGGGAACATATATGTTATCAGTATTTGTTCTTCCAATAACAACATAGGGCATATGTTAACAGACTAGCCAGTACAATGATATCCTTAAGGGCCATTACTTTCGTGAAAAGATAAAAAGATCTAGGTGTGAAGTTGGTCTGTGAGGCATCTTTGTTATGAGAGTTTGAGCAAATATCTGAAACTTTATGATTCTCATTAAAAAATGCCATTGTTGGAACATAATCCAAATGAGTTATACATCTGGATCATATGTTCAAGAGGTCCAGCACACAATAAAAAATACACATTAGAAATGCAAAGAAGAAGGAAAATGTGACCTATATCAAGACATAAAGTTGTCAATAGAAACAGTCACAGAGGTGATTCAGATGATGGAACGAGTAGACAAGAACTTTATTGAAATTATGTTCAAGAAAAGGATGGACATATGAGCAAATAGATGGAGGATCTCAGCAGAGAAATGAAAACTATGGAAAAGAACCAAATGGAAGATCTGGAACTGAAAAGCACATTATCAAAAGTAAAAAATTCACTGGATGGTTATACCGAAGTTTTCTATTTATTGTACCAAATACTGATAAGAGGGTAATAAAACCTCAATTATGAATATATATATATTTTTTACTTAATTTTATTGTATTTTGCTTTATAAAGTTTGAAACTCTGTTATTAGACGCACAACTGTGATGGTTAATTTTATGTGTCAACTAGACTGGGCCATAGGGTGCCCACATACTTAGTCAAACAGTTTTCTGGCTACATCTGTGACGGGATGTTTTGGATGAGGTCAACATTTGAATTGCTAGACTGAATATAGCTGATTGCCTTCTGTAATGTGGGTAGGCCTCATCCAATTAGTTGACAGCCTCAAGAGAATAAAGAGGCTGACCCTCCCAAGGGTAACAGGGAACCCTCCTGCTTTGTTGTCATGAATTGTGATGTAAGTTATTTTCCCATCTTCAGACTAGAACTGAAACATCCGCTCTTCCTGTGTCTTCCACCCCTCAGACTGGAACTATACTTTTGGCTCTCCTGGGTCTCCAGCTTGCAAACTGCAGATCTTGGGACTCCTCAGCTTTTAAAACTGCATGAGCTAATTCCTTTCACTCTTTTTTATGGCTTCATAATATTCCACGGTGTATATGTACCGCATTTTCTTTATTCAATCTGTCAGTGATGGGCATTTAGGCAGATTCCATGTCTTTGCTATTGTGAATAGTGCTGCAATTAACATATAGGTGCATGTGTCTTTGTGGTAGAATGATTTCTATTCCTTTGAGCGTATATCAAGTAATGGGATTGGTGGGTTGAATGATAGTTCTGCTTTTAGCTCTTTGAGGAATCACCACACTGCTTTACACAATGGTTGAACTAATTTACACTCCCACCAATAGTGTATAAGCATTTCCTTTCCTCCACAATCTTCCCAGCATCTGTTATTTTTGACTTTTTAATAGTAGCTATTCTGAGTGGTGTGAGATGGTATCTCATTGTGGTTTTGATTTGCATTTCTCTAATAATCAGTGATATTGAGCTTGTTTCATACGCTTGTTGGTTGCATGTATGTTTTCTTTTGAGAAGTGTCTGTTCATGTCCTTTGCCCACTTCTTAATGGTTTTTTTTTATTGTAAATTTGTTTAAGTTCCTTATAGATGCTGGGTATTAGACCTTTGTCTGATGCATAGTTTGCAAATATTTTCTCTCATTCTGTAGGTTGTCTGTTTATTCTGTTGATAGTTTTCCTTTGTAGAAGCTATTAAGTTTAATTAGATCCCATTTGTCAATCTTTACTTTTGTTGCAATTGCTTTTGGTGTGTTTGTGCAGGGTCTTTATTTGTAGCTGACTTCTTATATTTGGCTTCACAGAGAGGTATGTTAGCAAAATATTTTTCGTGTTGAAGCTTTGTGGTGTGATCCAGTAGGTGGCACTCAGGCATAGTGGTCAGTTGGTAGGCTCTTGCTCAGTTGTGTGTCTCCCTTGTATTTCCTCATAGTTGCAGCCATGTTTCCTCTCAATGCTCTGCAAGTGAGGGTTCCTCTTCCACTTAAGTCGTGGCTATAGACTACAAATTGGCACCCCCAGGCCGCCCACCACAGTTTTGGTATGTTCTCAGGGTTTATGTTTCCTCTCCAATTTGGAGGCAGCAGAGTAAGAGACCTTAGTAGTGGTTGTGGCTGAGGGTCTTCTGCTTGTCTGAAGGAGTTCATAAATAGGATATAAAAGTTATTAGTTTTGTAAGAGAAGACTAAAAATTTAGATTTCATTAAAATTAAGAACATTGGTTCACATCAATAAACATTGTTAAGAGAACAAAAAGGAAAGCCACTGGGAGAGACAAGATATTTATAAGACATATATTTGACAAAAATCTAATCTAGAATATATAAATAGGGCCTATGAATTGATAAGCAAACTATAAACAATCCAATAGGAAAGTTGATTTAAAAATTTGAAGGTACTTCAAGAAAGAAAAGGCAGTAAAGATTAAAAAGGTGCTCAATAAAGGATCCATCAGAGGCATGCAAATTCAAACGAAATAAAATATCACTACCCACCACAGGAATGGGCAACATTTTAAAAAAGTCGAACCAAATCAAGGATTATTGAATATGTGAAACAATTGTAACCTTCATTTCATTCTGGAAAACTGTTTAGCAGTATCTATATAGACCTTAATTATGACCCAACATTTCTACTTCTAGATATATATCCAACAGAAATTCATACCAATGAGCAACAAAAAGTCAAGTGCAGGAATATTTATAGCAACATTTGATTTATAATGAGAAATGGAAATTTCTATTAAAAATAAAATAGAAAAAGAAGTCACAATATATTATTCATCAAAAGGTATATTATATAACAATGAAAATAAATTTTATATATATATATATATATATCTCCAACAACATGGGTTTAAATCTCAATATAATATTGAATTTTAAAAGCCAGATACAGGACAGTAAGTATTCTATGATTCCATCAAAATATCTTGCAAAAATAGACAAATCTAACTTGTTCTGCTAGAAGTCAGAGTGGTGGTTACCTTTATAAAGGAGGCAAAAGAAGGATTAAGAAGAGGTGCAAGCAGGATTTCTAGAGCTGGTGATGGTATCATTCTATTTCCCAATCTGTGTTGTGGTTACATGTATGTCTTCATTTTTTAAAAGTGCATCAAACTTACACTTATAAATTATGCACTTTTCTGGATATATAGTTCAGTAAAAAAAATTACAAATGCTAGAAAAAAAGATAAAACCTAAAGAATATAGAGTCAGAAAATAATAAAGATATGAGTAAAAATTCATGTTAGAAAAAACAAAAGGATAAAAAACTCAATAAACCAAAAGCCATTTTTTTTGGAAAAAATAAGAAGACAAAAATAGAGCAATAAAATGGCAATTCTATAGCAAATCTACTCAAGAAATAAAGGGAAATAATTTACACTACTGTTTTAATCATAATTATATATTTATATTTATGTAATAAATAATGTAAATAAATATTTTTTACATTATTGACATCAGGCAGTGGGTTAGAGCCAGATGGTTTCAATTTCAATCAATTGGTAATGGGGAACACCTGAATGTTTTTGAGCAAGGAAATGATATGATCTGATTGTCTTCTGGAAAGATCTCTCTGGGACTAGTATGTAGAATGATTGAATGACCAGTATGTAGAATGGTTCTACTAATATGTACAATGATTGAAGAATAACTATTTTTTAAAAGAAATAAATTTTGCTCCAGAAATAAAGGGAAATTTTAAAAAGAATACTTTTCTTGGTCCTTCTCAGTTTATGCTATAGTTGTATTTGTTTGAGGCATTACTTTTCAAGTGCTTTTAAACCAGAGCTGAGGTTTATTTTCATCATTCTTTTCATTAATCTGAGGGGCAATGATCCATTGTTTGTGACTCAACATTCTGGATTTGCATAATAGAAGACAGGCAATTTGTTTCAAACTCACAGAAAAATATTTCAACACATTTGTCTTTTTCAGCATCCTTACCAGTTATGACATTGACATCATGAAAAAATACTAATTCTAAAATAGTCACAGATATTTAATTTAACTTGCAATGCATTTGCTTCTACTCAACAATAACTATGTGTCTAGCACCTGGTTTTTATTTAAATTTTATTAATTCCATAAGCAAATACTGAGCTTCCAGTTTGTGCTGGCCACAGAGCTTGATCCTACCATGCAACAGTGTGTAAAACAACTACCTCCCTGAAGGAACTCTAACCCTGTGGGGCCAAGAAATAGACATACATAAACAATTACATTACAGGGCTAGGCATGGTGGCTCATGCCTTTAATCCTAGTACTTTGGGAGGCCAAGATGGGAGGATCACTTGAGCCTAAGAGTTTGAGATCAGCCTGGGAATCATGGCAAGACCCTGTCTCCACGAAAATAAAAGTTAAGAAAAAAAATTAGTTGGGTGTGGTGGGATATGCCTTCAGCCCCAGCTACTCAGGAGGCTGAGGTAGGAAGATAGCTTGAGCCTGGGAGGTTGAGGCTGCAGTTAGCTGTGATCATGTCACTGTACTATAGGCTGGGTGACAGAGAAGACTCTGTCTCAAAAAAAAACCTTACATTATAGAGTATTATATGCTGCAATAGAAATATGTCTGGAGTCATATGGTAGATCAGAGGAGAAAACAATTAAGTTTGTTGAGAAGATAGAAAAGGGTTGAAGGAAGATTTCACACAATCTGAGCATTGAAGTACATGTGGGTTTTGTCTGATGAGAAACAGGGATGAGCTGAAAGCACTATAGGAAGAATCATTAGCATGCAGTCCTGGACAGGCATATTGTGTGCAGAAAGGCCCAGAGATAATTATGGGAACATTCAAAGGACCCCATTTGTGAAGCAACTTCAGGCCCTGCTACGATGCTCAATTTCAGCACAAAGAGGCAAGCCCAGCAGACTCCTAGAGAGATGGATGAGAAGGTCCAGTGTGATTTTGAAAGATAACATTCCGTTCACTCTGCTCTGAAGGCCCTGTGAGTGTCTTGCCATCACTTGACTATACTATGAATGTTCTTTCAGATCTTCCTGCTTTGTGCGGTGCAAAGTGCTATACTTAGTCTGCTTTTAAAGCATTGCCTGCCAGCATAAAAGTCACATGTCCTTGGAACTATTTCTGAGCCTCCTGGCATAGTCAGTTTCTCCCTCCACAGTATTTGTGTGTTGCCTTGTACATATGCTATTACAAGATTCACCCCAATTAATGATAAATACGCTTCCAGTCCTTCACTGGATTTGGGGATATCTGATGACACTGGATGCTGCCTTTCTTATTTATAGCCTTAGTACCCTGAAGAGCTCTAAGTATGTAATGAATATTTAATCAATGTTTGTTAAACATAGCTCTCAATCATACAGTTAATTGTGTTTAAGAAAATGGCCTATCACATAACCGTAATGACCCAGAAGAATTTTTGTATTGTGAAATATCGCACCATTTTTGTTTGATAATTTTGAATTTTCAAAATTAGCATCTCCTATGATAAAAGAAACTAATAAATGCTTTGAAAAGAAAGTCAAGAAAAAGTCCTAACATTTACTTGACACTTACTAGAAGCTCATACTATGCTAAGAATATGTGTCATAGTTAATCATGTGTGTCAGCTTGGCTAGGCTCTTGTGTCCAGATGTTTGGTTAAACACCAGACTAGATGTTGCTTCTAAGTTATTTTTAGATGTAATTAACATTTAAATCAGTACATGAATAAAGTGGATTAACCCCCTGCTTTAATAATGTGGGTGGGCCTCACCCAATGAGTCGAAGGCCTTATGAGAAAAGACTGAGGTTCCTCCATGAGGAAGAAATTCTGCCTCCAGATTGCCTTGAAACTCAAGGCTGCAACATCAAAAATATCAACTCTTGTCAGAATTTCTAGGCTTTCAGCCTCTTCTGCAAATTTTCGACTTGCCAGCTTCCATAATCCTGTGAGCCAATTCTTTAGAATAAATCAATCCCCTCTCCTCATTAATCTTAGTTAGATAACACAACCTGACATCATTCACACATCACACACAGCTTTTGAGGCCAGTATTATTCTCATTTTTTGCACAAAGTTACTGAGGCTCTGAAAGCTTAAGTCTCTTGCATGGTGGATGTAGCAGGCAGTAATACTCTTCACCAATTATCCATTTCTCCTAGGGTGAGCAACTGTTCTGGCTTGCCTAAAACTGTGTTTAGAGGATGTGGTTAGAGAAGACAGCATGTAAGAATCATGAACTTAAACCAGGAAGTGAGAGCTGACTGCTCTTTCTCTAAGAGTTTCAGGGACAGTTGCGAGACAGAGACCCTCTTAGGATGGAAGAGAAATTTCCACAGATCCCATTGTACTCAGAAGAGCACTGGTCAAGGAATCTTTGGTTAAAACCTTGAATAACTGTTTTCTCTCAAAGCTCCAAGTCACCTATCTGTGAAGTAAAGGTGCATACCACATACTTACTCCAATTCCTTTCAGCCCTGACATTTTATGGTTGAGAAAATCCTCCTCAGTATCATCACAGATACATCTCCTAGATTTTCTTGATCACCAGAAAGCAAAGGAGAAAGTCTAACATAAACTCAAAATGCAGACACAATAAAGAATACACTAACGAGTCTGTTTGGGCTTTTTAATCAGCAGAATTCATTATGGTAAATGTGAATGGCTTTGTAGAGTTCTTAATTTCCTGTTTATCCCATTATATTTGTATCATAAATGACTTGACTTTTAGTTTGTGGTTAAGAATAGAAAAGGGTAGTTAAATAATTATAGACAGTATGTATTCTTTACTGCAACTGAGCCAGACATGAGGCAAGATAATATGAAGACAACCCAACTGCAGCCAAAGCTCTTTCCCTGTGGACTTCTCACCCAGCAGTCAGGGTGTAGACAGCTCATGCTGCTTACAGCTCTCCTGGCCTTGTCTGACAGCCACCACTTAAATGCAGGTGTCCCTCAGCATCCTCTTTCTGTCAGAACCGAGGCAGATTTGAATTTCTTCTGTTGTAAAGTGTGTGCATTTTAACAGCTTTTTGATTGAACAATTCTCTAAAAGTGCGGTTGGAGTTTTTGTATCATATGCTTTTATGTTCAGACACAAAGATTTATTTATGTTGAATTTCTAGGTGATGTCAGAATTGCAAGAGTTCTTTATAGATGAGTCAACAGATTCTGAGAGCTGAACTAATTTATCTACAGTCAAATACACTATTTATTTGCTACACTTGAAGTGTGTAGAGTTCTATGCTGGGGCCGAGCATGGAAGAGGGATGCAATATGTTCTCTAACCTCTGTGAGGCTAGTACTGTTTCTGAACTATGAATTGGTTCTTTAGATAAGGGAAGGGAAATCAAATTCTGCCTAAAATATGTGGTAAAGATGTCAAAAAAGAAATTAGGAGGATGAAAAATAACTCTCTATTGCAAGCAGAGAGGGAGCACACACCAAGGCCTAGTAGTGGAAAGAACATAGTATTCTTAGGAGGCAGAGAGTTTTTGTTGCTGTTGAGAACCTTGACAGCATATTATAATAACCAGGGGAACTATAAAAAGTATGGATGCTGAATGCCATCCCCAGACCTTCTGCCTTTATTGAAGGTAGGTGGAAATTCAAATTGCTTTACACTTTTCAACAGTTAGTATTGAGTATATCAATTCCTTATAAAATGGGGAAGAACAAGTACCCCAAAAAGTCCCATACATGAAGAAAACCTTGGAGGCCTTCTTATCCACTCCTGTGATTTTTACAAAGAAGATGAGAACTAAAGATAATTTATTTACTCATAAACATATTGAAAATTTCAATTAAGGCTGACATAGCCTTAATTTTTATACTCTCTTCTTACAGGACTGACTGGACAAAACATTTTTATACTCTCTTCTTACAGGACTGACTGGACAAAGTTGAGCCCCTTTAATATGTGCTGATTGGCAATATTTATTTTAAGGCATGAGCATATGTAATCTGATAACCACCCATTCTTAGCCAGTGTCTATGTTAACTAAGGTTGATTTGGTCAACTCAACCACGTTTCCCTTGGAAGCTGTTTTGAATGTGTGTTAGTCAGCTCTGGCTGCCATAACAAAATACCATAGACTGGGTAGCTTCAATAACAGAACTCTATTTTCTCACACTTGTGGTGGTTGCAAGTCCAAGATCAAGGTGCCAGCAGAGTTGTTTCAGTTTCTGGTGAGGACTTTTCTGAGCTATCAGACTGTTGCCTCCTTGCTATGCTCTCACATGGCTTTTCCTTGGCACATAGCTCTCTGGTGTCTCTTCTAATAAGGACGCTAATCCTATTGGATCGGGGCCCCACCCTTATGACCTTATTTCATGTTAATTACTTTTTTTTTTTTTTTTTTTGAGATGAGGTCTCACTCTGTCACCCAGGCTGAGGGAAGTGGTGGAATCTTGGCTTGCTGCAACATCCACCTCCTGGGCTCAAGCAATCCTTCCACCTCAGCCTCCCAAGTAGCTGGGACTACAGGTACATGCCATCACGCCTGGCTAATTTTGTGTATTTTTGGTAGAGATGAGGTTTTGCCACATTGCTCAGCCTGTAATACTTCTTTAGAAGGCCAGTCACCAAATACAGCCACCCTAGGGGTTAGGGCTTCAACGTATGCATTTTGGAGTGATGCAAACATTCAATCTAGAACAAACTATATAAAGTATTCATCAAGCTTGTGTTTTTCATTGTGTATACATGCAAATATTTAAGCACAGGATTTTCAAAGGAGGTGAGGGTTGACTTTGTTTAGATTATTGAGTTTGATTTTCTATTTGTATATAAATGCCTTACACTTAGTAGATTAGGATACATTTTGCCTGAAATCACTTTGAATGTTTTGCTCTTGCCTGACTGTGGGTTGTAAGATATTAACTCTATGCACAGATCCATCTGGCTTTTCTTGCCTATATGATGTAAAGTTTTAAACTAAGACTTGAATTATAAAATATTCTAAGTATTCAATACCAGATTGTTTAAAAAATTAAAGATTCATAGCTGGCAACAAAAAATAGAGAGAGCATTTGGGCTTTGGACTAGACAAAACAGATTTCAAATTCTGGCCCCCTTCCACACTCTGAAAGAATGTGGAAGTTGCATAAATCCTGTCTAAGCATCAGTTTCCACTTATATGCACATTGAATAATATTAACTTCATGAGTACTGTGAGGATAAAGTATATCCATTCAACCCCTAACCAGTATCAGTATTTACACTATTTAACAACTAGTAAGATATGGTATTGCCCAATCATAATAGACGCTGCCCACTGGAAAACAAAAACAAAAACAAAAAACAATAAACAAACAAAAACTATAGGTAAATTTCAGCTGAATGCTGAATTTTTGTTCAATCATTGGCCTGAATAAATGTAGGTATAGGTGCAGGAAATGCAGAAAGTAATGGAAAAAGATCCATATCTTGAGAGATTCAAAGTACACTGAGGGAACATCAGACACAGAACAAATGTAATACAGTGTTATAGATAATATGATAATGCTGTGGTCTAGATATTTGTCTCCCATGATACCAAATATAGAAGTGGAATCCTAATCCTCAAGGTGAAGGAGATGAGGACTTTGGAAGCTGACTAGGTCATGATGGTGGAGCCCTCACCAATGTAGTTTGTGGCCTTATAAATGAAGCCCCAGAAAGCTGTCTTGCTCCTTTCACCATGTGAGGACGCTGTGAAAAGGCACCATCTATGATCCAGGAAGCAGCCCTCACCAGACACCACATCTGTTGGACGTCCAGCCTCCAGAACTATGAGAAAGAAATTTCTGTTGTTTATAAGCCACTCGGTTGTTTTATTGTAGCAGCCTGAATGGACTAAGACAGATGGAAAGTGTGTGATGAGTGAAAGTGACTAGTATGAGCCTGGCATAAAACAGGCTGTCTTCTCTTCATGTTGGCCTGGATAGGGAAACCAATCTTTTGCATCATCATGAGATTAAGCATCATTTTATCTAACATAAGTGGGAGGGAGAGAGAAAAATCAGAAGATAGAAACTACTCATATTACAAATAAAAGGAAACCAATTTAAAAAATCCAGCTCATTCTAGTCTTTATCTTGTACTGTAGTGCACTGGTTTAGCATGCTACCCTCCAGGCACGTATAATTTGTCACTGTTACCCAAACACATAAGTAATCTCAATAATCTAAAAATAATAATAACCTTTTATATCCAGTGAACCAAGCGTTGCACTACGCATTTTATAAATATCATCTTATTTAATCCTCTTTGAACCTGCTAAGAAGACAATATGATCTCTGCTTGTTCAGTGTGAAAACTGAAGGTCATAGAGGTGGAGTCAATGGTCAAGGTCACCTGACACAAGTTCATTCAATGCTTGGATTTGGTTCCAAGTTACCATCATGGATGGACCCAGTGACTTCCTAGAGGCTGCAGGGCAGCCTAATCCCTTGCTTGTTTCTCATCTCACGTGGACTCATTGAAACAAAAGACAACTCTTACCTAAAATGGTGAAGTATCATAAGAAAGTGGAATCCCCACCTTAAAGAGAAACAATGTCATATTATGACAATATTTAAGGAAACAAAAATTAAATATTTTACAGTATTAGAAATATGATTACTGAATAAGTCCTTTCATTATGTTGATATGTAAGGGCACAGAGAGAGGTGAGAGAGAGAGAGAAAGAGAGGAGACACTTGACACTTATTGAACAAAGGGAGATTTTGGTGTTATCCTTGTATGTATAGTGATGTGTAGTCTGCACTAGTCAAAAAAGTATGTGAAATGCTACCAACTTGGATTCCTTGCACACAAATATACGCTTTTTTTTTTTTTTGAGACAGAGTCTTGCTGTGTCACCCAGGCTGGAGTACAGTGGTGCAATCTCAGCTCACTGCAAACTCCGCCTCCCAGGTTCATGCCATTCTCCTGCCTCAGCCTCCCGAGTAGCTGGGACTACAGGTGCCTGCCACCACGACCGGCTAATTTTTTGTATTTTTAGTAGAAACGGGGTTTCACCATGTTAGCCAAGATGGTCTCGATCTCCTGACCTCATGATCCGCCCACCTCAGCCTCCCAAAGTGCTGGGATTACAGACGTGAGCCACTGTGCCCGGCCACAAATATATGCTTTTAAGTAAAAGTGTTACTAACAGAAACAAAGAAGGCAGTCTTTATGATTGCAGGCTTACCCACCAAAATAAGTCCAGAGGTTCTTTATTTTATAGTCTGACACAGAAATCATACATGTTGCCTCCCAGGCAGCAACACAAGAGTGTTGTCCCTTAAAGACTGGCCAAAGAAGGGGTGCTCATCAGCCAAGGCCCACCTGCAGTGGTTAACAAAGGATCCATGGGGCTCAGTCTCTGAACTCATTTCTCTGTAGCTGATTGCAATTTTTGTTTTTCAACCCATGACCTGGGTTGACCTGAAACTGCCTTTGTCTGGCTCAATCACAGACTTTCCAATCCTCCAGTTTCACCGTCAATTTTCCAGGGTGCCTCGGTTTTTGTGGCTAGTAGCATCCTGTGATCTACTGTGCTCTTGCTGCTATGACTGCTGGCACACTGGGACATTTGGGGGTTATGTGACTGAGTCATGCCAGATAATTTCTTTGTTCCATCTGCCTATTCCTTGCTCCTGCCTGGGCTGCACAGATTGGTGGTTACTATTTATTAACTTTTGCAATGAAATCATATTGCATTTCAGGGTCCACACCAGAGGCCAACTATTAATTCTAATATTGGAAGTCAAACCAAAGTTCATGGGCCACACCAAAGTCCACTGCTATGTGTCAGAACAGAACAAACAAAAAGCCAAGCTGAGCTAGAATTGGCATGGTAAACAGCCGCTAGAAGAAATCAGAACTGGAAAAACCAAAGGGGAGAATCCAATCAATGTCCAACTTGGCTAAAGATGTAGTCTTGCCATCCGAGACTTACTGCAAAGGGCTAGAGTCATGTTTCCCAGTGCATGCTGTGGGCTTTGTCAAACCTGCTGCCTATCAGCTGATAGCAAGAAGGAAATCACCACAACCATGCACTCCTATTCCCAGCTAACTCTTCCCTTCACTGAAATGATGAAATGATGGTGGCATTCTGGCTTTGCTCGGATTACATAATACTCACATTAAAATGGGGATTAATAATGGAGATTTCACTAACAATCATGAGCACGTATATTCACACATATTATTTCCTCCAATGCCCACTCTTAAAAGCAATATGAAGCTCCTTATAGTAAACACTATAGCTATAATACGTCTATTAAAATGAGATGAAAGTGCACAGTGGCAAGTAATGGAGTAGCAATAGAGACAGGCCAATGAATCGTGAGTTTCAAACCTGAAGTTTCTGGTGGCACCTGCAGAAGAAATGAAAGGCATAACTGTCAAATGAAACTTATCATTATGCCCTGCAAAAAGTAATCGTTTGGATGCGAAAACCACTACATGCCAGAAACTGATTACTTTATGCAATCGTCTCATCAGTGCCATGTTTTAAAAGAGAGGAAGACAATTTATCCCAAGTCAGAGCAGCAGTGGAGGAAAAGCTAGATTTGAGGGAATAACATCCTCACTCTAATGTCTATCTGTGTTGCCCTAAACAGAGGCTGCTTCTCCATGGGGATATAATCAGGCCCCAACACAAAGATCAGCTTACAAAGATTAATTCAGTTATCCTAATTGTTTTAATCTTGCTGACTTTCAAAAGTCCATTTGTTAATTTACTTAACATATTCATTCAATTTCTGTCATGTGTGCAAGGAATACACAGATGATGAGAGAGTTTTGCCCTCTGTCCTCAAGGAACTTACAAAACCAGTAGAGAGAGACACATAATGAATATATTATTAGAGCAGATGCCCAGTGTATGCTTTTTCTGATGATAAAGATCATCATGAAGAAGAAGAAGATGATGATGATGATGGTGACAGTGATGTTGATGATGATGTCACAGGGAGGCAAAACAGAAGGAAAGGAAGAGGAAAAGAAGGGTAGATGGAAGGAGAAACAGAGGGGGTACAGGGAGAAGGACAAGGAAAAAATCTAGTCATTTTTAGACATTACTCTAGCTCAGTGCTACATCTCAGCACACCTCCTGAGTCCTGGAGCCCACCATCCTCTTAAGTTTTTTTTCTTTCTTTCTCTCCAGCAATGAAGATTCAGGCTCAAGCTCAAAAGCCATCTCAGCATAGTTCACTGAGTTACTTCAAGTGAGACAACATTATTAAGTGCATTGTCACTTTGCTTTGCTTTGTCTTTACAAAAAGCCATCAAAAATACTCTCCCATGCATTGGTCATGATAAGGACAATGTCATGGCTGAAGATGACCCTGGAACAGATGAAGATGAGTTTCAGATGAGGATGAGCTGCCACCACCTTCCCTTCTCCAGAGCTACTGCTGAGCACTGGAGCATCTGTCCCTTGGGGGAGGTGGTGGAGGGCAGGAGCAAGGGAGCAAATAAGACTTTCACAAAAAAAGATTCAATTTATTCCAGGGTCCATGTGGCTGCATTAGTAATGGTGAAGGAAATAGATAACCAAGATTCATCTGCCACTTGAGAAAGTGCATGCAGAATGGTCGATACACTTGTTTGTTTTAATAATGGATTAGATGCTATATGGAAAATGTAAAACTCCTGAAGCTCCAAATAAGACAGCTAATATCCTACCTGCTATGAATTTCAAGCACTCTATCTTAGCAACCTCTTTTGGAAAGAGCCCAGAAGCAAGTTGGAAAGCAGTGAGTGCTGCCCTAGTCCATGGAGGTGGGGTGTCCCCTTCCCCAGAGCAGCCAGGATGTTCTGATGTGGTGTCATCCTCCTGACCCTACCACAGGCCACCATTTGCACTGGGGGAAAATAGTACTCAACTGCATCTCAAGTTGACAGAGCAACCTTCTGGTCTCTGGCCTGCTCTCAACTGGCAGTGTAAAGTTCTCTGTATCACTTGACCTTTCTGAACCTAAGATGAGTCCAAAATCAGTAGTAGCAGTGGTGCTGGAAGAAATAAAGAAGTGGAAAGAAAAGTAATAATAACATCCAATTAACTGCCTATCACTTGGCTTACTACCTACCATTTAGCAGTAATAATTACCCCTGCACTTCAAAATAGATGTCTTTCTCTTTGGTTTCAGAAGAAGAGAGACCGAGACTCAGACAGGGTCAAGCCGTTGCCCAAGGCCACAGAGTTGGTGAGTGGCACGGCCAGGACTTGAACCCTAGTAAAAATCTTTTTCCTCTGCCTCAGCTTTCATTATGTAATGCTGCCTCCCTATGGGGTTCCCCTGGTGACTGCTTGTATGCAAGGGAGAGTGGGAAACCCAGGATACCTCTCAGAGTTCTGATGTTAGCAGGCAATTCTCTGGGAAGAGGGAAGGGAGAAACACAAGTGCACATGGGCAGCCATCGTGTGTCTGGGTGTCAGAGGACAACCATGCCCTTGTCCTTCCATGTATTACTGTAGCTCACTCCCCCATCCATCAGCCTTCTTTAAATGCAAGCTAGGTTTTTGGGCTTCACCTACCTTCCACTCTTTTCTCAACTGAACACAACCTGGTGTGTTCCCTCATTTCACAAGTGAAAGTATGTATTCTCAATCTCCCTAATTATTGAAATACCACTTCTGTTTTGGTTGTATGAACCACACTTTCATGTTTTCTTTCTATCTCTGATTGCCCTCAGACTTAATTGCCTGCAGCTTATCATCTGGCTGCTTTGATCATATCTCTGGTTTTTGCTGTAAGTCCTCTCCTCTCCTCTCTCTTCTGTTCTTTTCCCTGCTCTTCTCTCTCCCCACATGCTCTTACTGAGCAATCTTATGTACTTCTTTGGAGTCAATTATCACTATGAACTGTTATCAATGCCTCCCTAATATCTGTCATGAAGTAAGCGGTCAACATCATTTAAATATTTTTAACAATAAATAAGTAAATTATTAATAGGTAAATGGATTTAAATGTCTAACAATTGGAAAAGGGCTCTGATTTAGAAACATACATCTCAGATTTATCTGTATTGAGATGACACTTAAAGCCAAAGAAGTGGCTGAAATTATCCACGGAATGTGTGTTAGGAAAACAAAGTCCTAAGGAACACTAATAGTTACAGGAAGAAGAGAGAATGGGGATCTCTTGGAGAAGTGACAGTTACCAAGACAGTAAGAGTGAAGTGCAGAGGACATGCAATGTTAGAAGCCAATGGAAGTAAAAGTTTGGTGGTAGAGGGGTGGTCGACAGGCTCTGAAGGCCCAGCAAGGGCACAGAAACATGCCCTTCAGATTTGGCAGTGGGAAGGTCACTGCTGCTTCCAGGTGGGAACTTTCAGGGTCACTCTTTTCCCATCAGGCCAGGTACTTTTATGCCTCTAAGTCTTTGCACATTCCATTCCCCTACATCTAAATTGCTATTTATTTCTCCATTTCTGTTTCTGACAAGCTTATATTCATCTTTCGATGCTTGCTTATTTAGTCAACAAATATTTATTAAATGTTTACTATGTGAAAGGTATTGGTTTGAAATCCCTCAAATGTCATTTCCTTTATGAGAAATTCCTTCACCAATCCCCCATGCAGATGCAAAGGTTTGCTTCTCTGTGCAACCACAGCACCCTGTACACCTCTGACCAAAACCCTCAATCCCCAGCCCACTGAACTGTGGACAGCTGTTTACTCACTCTCTCTAGAACAAATTCTTGAGAGCAGGAAATTGGTTTTATTCCTCTCTGTATTTATAGCACCATATTTTATGTTAAATTCATTTATCTACTGACTCTTCACCTTTATTTAAAAATCATTTTGATTTTTATCTCTTTTCTTTTGATACCTGACAGGTATCAATGATACACTGATGGAAGCCCATGTTCCCTGTTATAAAAGAGGTTACATTTATTCTCGTTGGAAAAAAGAATCATATATGTTGGAAGTATCATTGAATGGATTTGAATAAAGGAATAATTGTGGCTATGCATGTATAAGGCAAGCTACTTCCCTTCATCACTCTTTAGTTGTTATCCATTAGAAGAAAGATTAATTTCTTCCATGACAAAAATGGTAGTCTCATTTTTATACTTACTAATTAATGACCTGTTTATAAATAATTCCTGGCTTATTTCACAAATGTCTGAAGTAATTCTGCTTAATCTCTACCATGGTCACAACTTTACCTGTTCCAACATCTATCCAAGCAGCATGTCTTAAAATTTGAAGAAATTGTAAATAATGGGGTAGAGCCACTCACTGGAGGTATGAACAAGCTGCCAAATTGCTCTTCAATTTTTAAATTGCTTTGACACAAGCAGCAACCATGAAAAAGATAAGCTTAGTGCTTGTCAAACCACAAGTGCGCTATAAGCAGATTTCAGAGAGGATTTTATGTATGGCATGCCACAGTCTCACTGGGAGCTGAAAAGCAGTTGTGAGCATATCTGGCATTAAGGGAAATTATTAAAACTCTATGATTTGAAATGGATGGTTTGCTTCCTTTTCCTTATCCCACTGCAGATTCTACTGACCAATAATTTTAGTCCGTCCATTTATCCCCTGTGCCAGGATAAAGTTTCGTAGGGGAAATCTAAACAGTTTCCAGAGTGGACTCTCATTCCTTGCTTCCTTCCTGCCAGCTTCTCTTCACATGTATTAATTTTTAAAATATCTACGATAAGGTACTCTCTGTGATAAGTTATGTGAACACAAAGGCAAATGTGACCCAGTCTCTGACCTCAAGCATTTCTGGTCTAGATAAGAAGCAAGAGACTAAGTTTTTCCCTGCTCTCTTCTTTGTGCTCCTAAGGCAGCACCTACATGATTGCATCATAACAACAGAGTGCATCATAATTATTTCAACTATTATCTTTATTTGCCTAATGCTCTTCTTCTACATATTCTGTTTACAGACCTCACCACTCTGATTGCAAGAATGAGTCTGTGACTGAGACCCGGCCCATCAGAGTAAAGCATCCGCTGGTAACACAAGTAATTTAGGAATGTCCACATAACCCAAACCACACAAACTGGAAGCCCTCTCTAAGCATTTTCTGCTGGAACTAAGAACAAAGAGTTTTTTTAACTCTTGCATGTAGTAAATTATAAGAATATGACTCAACATGATAGCACATTTACTGTCACATGGATAAACACATGAGAATAAAGATGATTTTGAGAGAAAAGTGGTGATGAGAAGTAGACAGAAAGATATCTAGCAACATCAAGTCATTTATTCCTGTCTCAGATATAACTGGATTTCTCTAGTTAATATGTATAATGTAAGAGAGTTTTTGTTTATTTGTTTGTTTGCTTAAGTTAGATCAGGTTGAGATTTTGACACTCCAAACTCAAAGAACCCTGACTAGCAATTGGAATTGATACCAGAAGTGGGGACAACAATTTTGAAAACCAAAATGTGGGACTGGGTTTTGTCAAGATGAGATAGGGGAATCCTCATTAATCACTCTCCACTCCCCTGATCATCTTCAGCTAGGAAATATCTTGTTGAAAAGTAGAACAGCATTGGGTTACGGGTTTCTTGTGGTATCTTGAAACTTCAACCATGTGCCCAACAAAACCAGAATATCAGTGACTTAGTAGAAAAATGTGATGATATTGGACTGTAGGCTCTGTTCTGCATTCTTCAGTAAATTTCTACAACAAAAAGACAAATTGATTTACCTGAAATCACAGAGAAATCTGTATGCACCTCTACATAAAAAATTCTTTCTACACAGCCTCAGCAATGCTAAACTGGAAAGGTTAAGGCAGGAAAGTCCTCTGTAGAATTGGAAAACTAATTGTTTTACCCCGTCATAAAGTTAGTATAAGCAAAAACAGGGCAGTGAGAAAAGTGAAAGAAGATTAGATTCTTCCCTGCCTACCCAAGGTAATCATTCCCTATGGCCTAAGCAACTTGGATGCAGTGGTGGGCAGGAAAGGGAATTAGCTTTAACTTATCATCCTATCCTTTCTTTCACTTTACTCTGAGGTAGGAGTCAAGACAGAAGCCATTAATCTGATGGTCAAAATGTCAGGCCTATTGATAAGCAATCAAAGGGGTATGGTACTTATTTAAAGATAATGACCAGACATATATTCTTGCATCAGACTTCCAGACTAGTATTTTAAAGAATACTTAAGGCTAGATAAACACCAAGTATCAAAAAAAGAGGTTTGGATGGCACATTCCCTAAGACTGTCCTCAGGCTCATTCAAGGATATTCAGCAAAGATTCAACCATAGAATGGGATTTCTTCTCACTGTACAACACCTTTTATGAATGGCCCAGGATGATGCCAGGTAAGTGAATTCACCCAGTAGGTAGATTCTGTGGCAATCATATCAGTTGAAAAAGGATCTCAGTCTATTACTAACAAGCAAGACAATGAATGGATGTACATTTCTATCCCTATCCATTGGAGTATTGTATATCTGGCCAGTGGCCGCTGAATATTACTTCCTCTTCCTCCCTTTTTCCATGAGACAATTATGTTGATTAATATTTTACCTCAGGAATGCTTATTAGAGAAAACAGATAGTCATATTTATCATTAGCTGAAAGTATACAGAATCTTTTTATGCCCCAACTAGATCTCAGAGAGAGGAAGGCACAGTATTTTAAAACCCTGGATTTGAGGAAGAAATAACATCTGGACATAATTTTAGAAGCAGTAATTACAATGGGTAGCTGTTATATTGGGAAGGAGTATTTTTTTCAATTTTTATATGCTAAAAAGATTTTGTAAGTATTCTAGAAAATTAAAGACTTGATTGTAAACAGTACACAAGACTCCTTTCTTCTGGTAATTGGAAATAATCTCCTTTGGCTACCACTAATATGGGCAAATCCACATTTAGGTCTCTAAAATTATTCTGTCTCCTGAGGATGTTTCAGGGTCAGCCTGTATGTGTATTTGGAACTTTTCTGCTACAACCATTGAGGGATGGTCTCCTCTGTTCTCAAGAGTCTTGCAGCTTCAAACATAAATCCTTAAACCATTCGGTGGCCAGTGTACCTGTTTGAGGAAGACGAAATCAAGGGGGAAGAGAAAAGGTGAGCCCAACATAGAGTTCTCAGTTTTGGTCTCTGATGTCCTCAGAACTTTATTGGTTCTTGTGGCTCCCAATACAATTATACAAACCAAACTAGTATCTTTCCAGTTAATTCCCTTTGTCATTAAGCTGGTTAAAAATGGGTCTCTTTCACTTCTATATGAAGAAGTCCTGAAAGGTACTGTTATCTTTTCCATGGAGTCATTGAACATTCACGTAATGTAACTGAATTTCTTTAACAATTATACAAATTTAACCCAAATTGGTAAGTCATTCAACACTTTTAATTAAGAAGGAATCACTATAAAAGGCAGAATTTATATAAATCATTATTAACAGCCTTCCAATTTAAACATTTATTGTCCTCACAAACAGTATGACTCAATCAGGTGTTAAAGTGAACTAAATATGGCCTGAGAAGGACTCCATACTTCTATATTTGAATTCTTGTGGACAATCTGCAACCTAGCTCAATAGGTAGACAAGATCAAAAACCTAATTTAGGAGTATGCACCTGTAACAATAGCTGAGAGGCCATACTTCAATCATTCATACACTGCTGAGTGTTCAGACTGTTCAAATAAGGCAAAAGCTGAGCTGTAACCAATCCTGCTGTTCTGTACCTCACTTCCAATTTATGTACCTCATTTCCTTTGTCTTTTTTTTTTTTTTTTTTTTTTTTTTGAGATGGAGTTTCGCTCTTGTAGCCCAGGCTGGAGTGCAATGGCACAGTCTCAGTTCACTGCAATCTCCGCCTCTTGGGTTCAAGCGATTCTTCTGCCTTGACCCCTCAGGTAGCTGGGATTACAGGCATGCACCACCACACACGGTTAATTTTGTATTTTTAGTAGAGACGGGGTTTCACTATGTTGGTCAGGGTGGTTTCAAACTCCTGACCTCAGGTGATCCACCCACCTCAGCCTCCCAAAATGCTGGGATTACCGGCATGAGCCACTGTGCCTGGCCATTCTTTTGTCTATAAATATTCTACCACCATGTTGCTGTGTTGGAGTCTCTGCGAATCGGCTGTGACTCTGGGAGGCTGCCCAATTCGTGAATCATCCATTGCTCAATTAAACTCCTTTAAATTTAATTCGCTGAAGTTTTCCTTTTATCACAGGTATTATAAATGTTCATTCAATAAATACTATATAGCTAAAAGGCAGCAAGGCAGAGTGGCCGAGATCCTGGCTTCATAGCAGGCAAGGCCCAGGGTGGACACCCATTATCATTTACTAATTGTGTGGCTTTGAACAGCTTAACTATCACCCAGCCTAATTTTCTTCACCTTTAAGATTAGCAGGATACTAGGAATGTTGTCAGCGTTAACTGAGTAATATAAGCAATACTCTCAATATTGCTATTGTGCATAGTTCATGATCAATAAATGGTGTTCTCATTGATACCCTCAGCCATGTACTCAGATGTTACTAATAGGATGAGAGATTCCCATGCATATCTGTAGTCAGAGCCAGGAACATTTATTCCCACAATGCTCTCTGGTCATTATTCTAAACTATCTTGGTACTAATCAGTAATCAAGCTTATGCAACCACTCTGTGCAACGCCCAGTCCTGAGTGCTACAATGTACCTTGAATGATGCAAGAAAAGGCCTGAAATGAAGCACAGAGAAAGAAATAATTTAGAAACTCAAGTGCTCACTTCCCTACACCGCCCCTCTCTTTCCATTTCATATGTAACCAGTGGAACATAATTATGAAAAACTCAATTAAGATAAGCTTGTCTTAAAAAAATAAACACACACTCAATTTATATCATTTCTTGGAATTAGTTTGGAAGGGGAAAATTCTCATAATACTATTAAATTTCCCATTCAACTCTCAGCCAAAGAACAAGGGCTGCTGGCAATAATTGCTTTTTAAATGACTCACTGCAACTCAGGGTAAACCCTGCTGTAATTAGTCTTGCAGAGAAAGTACCTTATGAAGAGAATTTGGACAGACCCAAAATACCATTTTGTTCTTTCTGCCTCTTTCCATGAAATCTTTTCAGTCTTTCATTTCTGACAGTTGCCTAGTAAGTCCATTTAGAGAAATTATCATTTTCCCTTGAAAAGCTAAGCAGCCAAGTGTTTAGGTAATGGAGCCACAGAATTGTCCTTCAAGTTGGCTTAGAGAGCTCATTCAACTGTAACTCTTGCCCCTGCCATGCTCTGGGTGTCTGCTTCATGGATTGCACTCTGCAAAACTGCTTTTTCTATTTCTCTGCACACATGGCAGGTAAATGACCTCTTAGCTCAGTCACAAAACAGACCCAAATCTCAGTTAGGCACCACACCCAACTACATGGTTTCTCAATGCAATGTTCCAATGCTAAATTCCAGGGAAAAAGAATCTAGTTAGCCCAGTATGGGCCAGGGATCATCCCTATTTACTAAGTTCTGGCCAGGGAGAAAAGCTCATGAAGCACAAACAATTCTCCCCCTTTGGAGGGCAAGGAACACAGTTGTATTAGAGGCTGTGAATTGAACAGATGCCCAGAAAGGTTCTACTGTTCACATAGTATCTCTACTGAACATATAGTCTCTCTAGTTTGCTGAAGAGGAAATTGAAACCCAGAAAATCAAAGCCCATCAAGTTATCAAACCGGTGAGTATGTAGCTTTGAACTCAGATCTTTCTGACTATAAAGCTTATAACTTCTATTAAATTAGTAAGTAGTTGTCATAGTGGAGTGTGCGATACATTCCACTGGCTTTAAGAAGAAAATAAGTATATAGCCAAATTCAGATCAAATTCAGAATAATATCATAATGGTGGTGTGTGAATCATCTGTGTCTGTGGTATAAAAGTTAAAACTATTAAAAATAAGTGTAACTACAATAATTTGTTAAAGAATATACAGTGTAAAAAGATGTAAATTGTGATTTTGATGTCACAACTGACATCATTTTACATTGTATATGGAAGGGGAAATTAAAAGTGTAGAGGTTTCATATGCAATTAAAGTTAAGTTGTTACTAGCTTAAAATAGACTGTTATGTTTTATGTAAGCCTGTAACCACAAAGCAAAAATCTATAGTAGCTATGTAGGAGAAGAAAAGAAAGAAATCAAAGCATATTGCTACATAAAATCATCAAATCACATAAGAAGATAACAAGAAAAGAACAAAAGGACAAAGGATATACAAAACAGCCAGAAAATAATTAACAAAATGGCAACAGTAAATCCTTACCTTTTAATAATATAGTATACCTTGAAGTATATCTTACCTATTATTTACTTTGAATGTAAATAGATTAAAATCTCTAAATGGAAGACATAGAGCGTGGATGAATAAAAATAAAAAATAAAATTTAAAATTAAAAAAATAAAAAAATATAGGACCCAAGTATATGCTGCCTATGAGATACTCACTTCTGCAAAAAGAGCATTCATAGACTGATAGTGAAAATATATAAAAATATACTCCAAGCAAATGGAAACCAAGAAACAGCTGATTATCTATACTGTTACAAAATATACGTTAAGTCAAAAACTGTAAAATGAGATTTACATAATGATACAAAGGTCTATTCATCAAGAGGATATAATAATTATAAAAACATATGCACCTAACATTGGAGCACCTAAATATATAAAGCAAATATTAATAGATCTGAAGAGAGAAACAGGTGGCAACACAATAATAGTAGAGAACCTGAATACCCTACTTTCAACAATGAATAGGTCATCCAGACAAAAAAATCAATAAGAAAACATTGAAATACACTTTAGTCCAAATACACCTAAAATATATATACAGAATGTTCTATCCAACAGCAGTAGAAAACACATTCTTCTCAAGCACACACAGAACATTTTCTAGGAGAGATCATATATCAGGCCACAAAACAAGTCTTAACAAATGTCAGGAGATTAAAATGGTATCAACTATTTTATCCAACCACAATTGCATCAACAACAGGAAGAAAACTGGAAATTTTACAAGTACAAGAAAATTAAACGACATGCTCCTAAAACATCAATGAGTCAAAGAAGAAATTGAATACAAATGATAATGGAAACAACAATGTATCAAAAGTTACAGAAGTAGCAAAAGCAGTTCTAAGAAAGAATTTTATAGTGATACATGCCTACATTAAAGAAGAAGAAAGATCTTGAATAAACAACCTAATGTTACACCACAAGTAACGAGAATAAAAAGAACAAACCAAGCCCAGAGTTAGTAGGAGAGAAATAACAAAGATTAAAGAAGAAATAAAGGAAACATATACTATAAAAATTATGGAAAAAATAACAAAACTGTGGGATTTTTGAAAAGATAAAATTGACAAATCTTCAGCTAGACTAATAAAAAAAGAGTAAAGAAAATTAAATAAAATATGAAATGAAAGAAGAGACGTTACAACTGACACCATAAAAATACAAAGAATCCCAATCCCAGCACTTTGGGAGGCTGAGGCGGGCAGATCACGAGGTCAGGAGATCGAGACCATCCTGGCTAACATGGTGAAACCCTGTCTCTACTAAAATACAAAAAAAATTAGCTGGGTGTGGTGGTGGGCGCCTATAGTCCCAGCTACTTGGGAGGCTGGGGCAGGAGAATGGCATGAACCTGGGAGGCGGAGCTTGCAGTGAGCCAATATAGCACCAATGCACTCCAGCCTGGGCAAAAGCAAGACTCCATCTCAAAAAAAAAAAAAAACAAAGAATCCCAAGAGATTACTATTAACAATTATATGCCAGCAAATTGGCTAACGTAGAAAAAATTGGTAACTTCCAAGACACATACAACCTACCAAGATTGAATAATGACGAAATAAAAAATCTGAACAAACTAATAATGGCTAAGGAGATTGAATCAGTAATTAAATAAAAATGTTCCATTAAAGCAAAGTTCAGGACTTGATGATGTAACTAGTGAATTCTACCAAACATTTAAAGAAGAATCCATACAAATCCTCCTCAAGCTCTTCCCAAAAATGTAAGAGGGGAGAACATTCCAAACTTATGAGATCAGCATTACCCTGATACCAAAACCAGAGAAGAATACTATGAGACAAGAAAATTAGAGATCAATTTCCTTGATGAATGTAGATGCAAAAAATACTACATTAAATACTAGCAAACTGAATTCAGCAGCACATTAAAAGAATCATAAAAAGTGGAGTTTATCACTTGGATGTAAGGATGATTTAACATACACAAATAAATAAATGTGATACATCACATGAACAGAATGAAGTCATGATCATATCAATAGATGAAGAAAAGGCACTTGACAAACCTCAACTTTCTCTTATGACTAAAACCCTCAACATAGTAAGTATAGAAGAAATGTATCTCACCCAAATAAAGGCCATATTTGACACATCGACATTTGACACATCTTACTGGTGAAAAGATGAAAATTTTTCCTCTAAGATTAGGAATTAGATAAGGATGCCCATTCTCACTACTTCTATTCAAATAGTACTGGAGGTCCTAGCTAGAGCAATTAGACAAAAAGAAGAAATAAAAAGCATCGAAATCTGAAAGAAAAAAAGTTAAATTGTCTCTGTTCGCAGATGACATTATCTTATATAGAGAAAACCCTGAAGACTCCATGAAATATCATAACAAAATAAACAAATTCAGTAACGTTTCAGGATACAAAATCAACATACAAAAATCAGTAGTGTTTCTATACATTAACAACAAACTGTCTGAAAAAGAAGTTAGGAAAACAATCCAATTTACAGTAAAACAAAAAAAGTATTTAGGAACAAATTTAACCAAGATGGTAAAAGATCTGTGTACTTAAAACTATAAAACATTGATTGAACAAATTTAAGATGATACAAATAAATGAAAATACATTCCATGTTCATGACTGGAAAAAATTAAAATTGTCAAAATATTTATACTACCCAAAGTGGTCTACAGATTCAATGCAATGCTTTTTAAAATTCCAATGGCATTTCTTCTTACAGAAAAAGAAAAAACAACTCTAAGATTAATATGGAAAACAAAAAACCCTGGAATAGGTAAAGTTGTTGTGAGAAAGAAGAACAAAGCTAGAGGCATCATACTCCCTGATTTCAAATTGTATTACAAAACTATGTTAAGCAAAACAGTATGGTGTTGGCATAAAGACAGACACATAGACCAAAGAAACAGGATAGAAAGCTCAGAAATAAATCTATGCATATATGACCACTAATCTTTGACAAGGGCACCAAGAGTACACAATGGGATAAAGATAGTTTTTTCAATAAATTATGTTAAAGAAATGGGATATCCACATGCAAAAAAAAAAAAAAAAGAAAAAAGAATGGTAACCTTGTTTTACTCCATTCACAATAATCAATTTAAAAGGGATGAAAGACTTAAATATAAGACTTAAGACTGTAAAATGCCTAAAGGAAACCTAGGGGAAAATGTCTATAACATTTGTCTTGACAATGATTTTTTGGATATAACATCAAAACACAGGCAACAAAAGCAAAAATAAACAAGTGTGATGACCTCAAACTAAAAAAGTTTCTGCACAACAGTGAAAACAATGAACAAAACGAAAAGGCAACCCATTGAATGGGAGAAAATATTTGCAAACTGTATCTCTAATAAGGGGTTAATATAAAAAACATGTAAGAAATTCGCAAAACTCAACATCAGTAGACCACATGATCTAAAAATGGGCAAATGACCTGACATTTCTTTAAAGAAACATACAAATGGCCATCAGGTATTCAATATATTATTAAAAATGGCCAACATAATTAATCATTAGGGAGATGTAAATCAAAACCACAATGAGCTATCACCTCATACCTGTTAGGGTGACTGTGTCAAAAAATAAAAAGATAGAAAGTGTTGGCAAGAATGTGGAAAAAAGAGTACCCTAATACATTGTTGGTAGGAATGTAAATTGGTACAGCCATTTGTGGAAAAACAGTATGGAAGTTCCTCAAACAGTTAAAAATAGAACTACCAGATGATCTAGTAATCCCATTTCAGGATACATGTCTATTAAGGAATTGAATCAGTATGTGGAAGAGATTTCTGCATTTCCATATTATTGAAGCATTATTCACAATAGCCAAGATACGGAAATAACATAAATATCTACTGATAAAACTATGGTTAACAAAAATGTGATGTGTGTGTGTGTATATATATGTATATATATATACACACACAAACATGCACACATACTCACAAGCACATATGCAATAGAATATTATTCGGTTTTTAAAAAATTAGGAGACCTTGCCAATTGTGACAACTTTGAACACAGATGAACCTAGAGAACACTATGCTAAGTGAAAGAAGCCAGGTGCAGAAAGACAAATGCTGCATTATCTCACTTGTATGTAGAATTTATAAAAGTTGAAATTACAGATGCAGAGAGTAGAATGGTGGCTGTGGATCGGAGGCTGGGGTACATGGGGAGAGGTTGGCCAAAGGGCACAAACTTGCAATTATAATAAGTATACATTTTGGAGACCTAATGTATAGGATAGGTGACTATAGTTAACAACGTCTTGTGTATACATTTGAAATTTACTAGAAGAGTAAATCTCAAGTATTTTCACCACACACACAGAGGATAACTATGTGAAGTGATGGATATTCCAATTAGCTTGGTTGTGGTGATTATTTCACAGTGTATATATACATTAAAACAATATGGTGTACAACTTGAATATACACAATTTTTATTCATCAATTATACTTCAATAAAAAGCTTAAAAATACTATTTTGGCCATTTGAGGTTAAACAAAATATATATTAACATTTTTAAAAATACAAATGGCAGAAATATTTTTCTCTTTATTTTAGTATGAAAATGAAAAGTAAATTAAATTCTACACGTTTAATATGCAGATTGACTTTGAGGTCTTGACTTGGTTTGTATGTCAAATGGTAACATATGCTGTAGAGACAGGTAACAGTTTTTTAATGCAGAGAACTTAAAAATTGTATTTGCTTATTTGCTTACCCTTTATTCCAATGTATTGCACTTTATGTGCCCTTAATAAAAAGGATGAACAGATTACCTGTAATTTTATTTATTTTACCACAATATGGATAAATGGTCTAAAAAAATCCTGCAAAAAATCCCGCAGCTTGAACATAGTAATAACAGCGCCAAAAGGGACTCATAAGAAATAGCACAGTTACTTGAAATATGATTTTAAGAGCCACGGTTCTTAAAGATAAATCTTGCTTCAAGTGTATAGTGAGGCTTGAGATATTAGCTAACGAGAGTATAAAGCCATTATAATTAGAAAGACATTTAACATCTAAGTATGCAGAACATTATTAATAACATGCTTCAGTGAAGTAAAAGGTTCTCTGTGCTGGGAAAAATAAAGTGAAATGACAGGATTTTAAATACATCATCTATTTAATTTTTATATCATCCCTTTTCACTAGTATTTCTGGACATCATTATAGCATATTAGGTTGAACTATATGAAATGGCCATTTTCATAGGCCAAAAGGTTGAGCATTAGCAATTTAATATTTTTTAACCCATAAATAGTTGTTGTTGCACATGATTTGAAGTAAATAAATATGCATCTCCTGGGAGACTTTCTCGAAGTTTTTTGATAGATGAGGTGTATAATCAACAGAATTTGTGGACCACTGTTTTGTCTCATGTTAAACTAGGAGAAAGATTCGCTGACACGACAGCATTGGATCCCCCTCAAGGGATGAATATGCTCTCAAGAGATGGAGAACGTTTTAAAGAGAGAATGAGGGTATGCATCTTGAGGCAGTGGGTAGAAAGCAGTCAGAGATATCTGCGTTGGCCAAGATAAGAGGGCATGAAAGTACATGCTGACTTGGGGCAAAGGGACTAATTTTCTTTGACAGAAAAGTAGAGAGTAAAGAGACATTTATTAAATAAAGCCTCTCTCCTCTTGCACGAAGACCACTTCTCAACTGGTCAGCAGGACAGGGGGCAGATGCTAAAGGCATAATCTGACAGTTCACTTTGGGCCATCACACTGCTCATCCTCCATACCATGTGTCCTCAAGACCCCCCCGACAAAGGCTTACATACGCAAGTGGTTCATTTCAATGATGAGCCTCTGCTTTCTCTGTAAACACAAGAAGTTTTGCACATTTATCTGGATAAGATAAAAAATACATTCCTCACTACTCTTCTGAGATCTCTTTCCTCTGACCATCAATTTTCTGCCTTCCATCAATAAACAGTACGATGGGGATTTAGAAAGTCAGGTGTGAATCTGCCATTATTTCTGAGACAAACTAGAAAAAAAACTAAATTTTCTTCAATAATTTTTGAAGGAAAGCAAAGTGATATGAAAAAAAAATTGCCACAGTGGCATGAACCATCACACACACACACACACACACACACACAGGGTGAGAGAGAGTGAGAGATAAACAACTTTCTTGTTTTTTGATGTATTTTATTTTTATTGATACATACCAAGATGTACCTATTTTCAGGATATATGTGGTAATTTAATGCATTCATAGAATTTGTAAAGATCAAATCAGTGTAAATGTGATATCCTTCACCTTAAATATTTGTCTTTTCTTTATGCTAAAGCAAACTATTCTCTTCTAGCAATTTTGAAATATATAATAGATTATTGTAAACTATAGTAACCTTACAGATATATCATACCAAGGGATAGAATTTTTTGTTGTTGTTGATGTAGAACTCATGTTTATAAGGCATTAGCTGAATACATTCCAAGAGAATTGCTACCCTTTTTTTGGAATACAGAATGAGAGACTGAAAAAATAGCAGAAATCGTTGGATGTTCTATACACATTGATGTTGCCCCCCGCCCAGCCCCACAACTATCCAGACACACGCATGTGCAAAAGCTTGTGGTAATGTGGTCTTTCACATCTTTCCCCTAAAAACTGATAAAACATATGTCAATCATGCCAATTAATTTTATCCACTTATATAAGAGACAAAATGCTTCCTTAAAAACTTGGCAATAACATAACTTACATTTAGTGAAAAGGAGAACCTTTTATCCTTCGTTGATTTTTTTTCCTTAATACTTTTTTATATCTGGAGTACTTTATTGTTTCTAATTAGAAAGTGGTGATTCCTCAGGGATCTAGAACTAGAAATACCATTTGACCCAGCCATCCCATTACTGGGTATATACCCAAAGGATTATAAATCATGCTGCTATAAAGACACATGCACACGTATGTTTATTGCGGCACTATTCACAATAGCAAAGACTTGGAACCAACCCAAATGTCCAACAATGATAGACTGGATTAAGAGAATGTGGCACATATACACCATGGAATACTATGCAGCCATGAAAAGTGATGAGTTCATGTCCTTTGTAGGGACATGGATGAAGCTGGAAACCATCATTCTCAGCGAACTATCACAAAGACAAAAAACCAAACACCGCATGTTCTCACTCATAGGTGGGAATTGAACAATGAGAACACATGGACACAGGAAGGGGAACATCACACACCAGGGCCTGTTGTGGGGTAGGGGGAGGGGGGAGGGGGGAGGGATAGCATTTGGAGATATACCTAATGTTAAATGACGAGTTACTGGGTGCAGCACACCAACATGGCACAGGTATACATATGTAACTAACCTGTACGTTGTGCACATGTACCCTAAAACTTAAAGTATAATTAAAAAAAATAAAAAGAAAGTGTAGTTAAATAATGGCTGTACTTTTGTAAATTCTTCATGAAAAGCACTGATCAATTATTGAGTGATCCAGCCAGCTTCCTCTTGTTATCCATCCCTGAAGCAAGTCCAAATGCTTTGCCTATATTATCCTAATCAGGTGCCACTAATCCCCTAGTGTCAACTAGCAGCATGACTCACAGGAATTAACCAGCCTCTCATAAGTTCCTCAGAAAACCTAGCCCTTTGCCTTGATAGAGCAACGACCCTGAAGTGTCATAAGCATCCTGATTTACTAAGAAGGCTTACATAGCAGACATGGGCATTCCATCCATCATTTACAAAGCTCAGGTTAGGCAGTGCAACTCAGAAAAGACGCTACAATCACTGACATATTTACTGTTTTCAAATTAATGGTATAGTCTCCCATTTAACCCACACAGTCTTTTTGTGATAGAGTTATTGTTATTATTATAATTTTATTATTATTCCAATTTCAGTTTTGCAAGTGGGAAAACTGAGTGGCCAGAGAAGCCAAGTATCTTTGTGTGTGTGCCAAGAATCTTCGATAACACCACACAGCAAGGAACTGGCAGAGCTGAAACTTTCAACTAACCTTAGAGTCCTTCTCCCTCTCAACATGTCTGAAACTACAGGAAGAATCTTTCTAAAAGCAGCCCCCTAAAATCACCATCTCTAGGAATGGTTATAAAAATATTTTGATGTGGAGAAAAAGGATACAATCTAAACATTTGCCATAGTGAAACAGCAGAACATATTTTCTACATCGTATATCAGTCAACTTTCAGTAGGTTATGCTACAAAACAAATTATCACAGCAATTCTAGTAGTTGAAATCAACAGAGATGTTGCTCCCATTCCCATTCACATGAGCAGAATGCAGCTCTTTTCACAGCCTTTTCATTCCAGGATCCAGGCTGAAGGATCACCTTCCATCTGTGACATGCCAGGATATAGCCAAAATCAGACAGCAAGCATAGAACCATGGGGTGGCTCTTAAGGATTCTGCTTGGACATTGCCTGCATAACTTCCACTCCCATTCCATCAGCAAAAATAAGTCTTACGGAAATATCTGATGTCAGTAGGGGGTGAAGTCATCTCCTTTCAAAGGAAAGGCCTCCCAGAGGGGCCCTGTAGATATGGACCTATTAGAGAGTGACAGCAAATATTTCAGACAACTCAAACAATGTTTTACATATACATACTAAGTAATAGTATGCAGGCTTTTGAAAATGAAACATTAAGTCTATAGTTAATGACCTGAAAAAATATTCATGATGAATATTGCTCTACGATAATTATCCATCTCCACCCACTAATATGTAAATTCCATGAGGCCAGACCTTTGGTCTGTTTTGCTCACAAATGTATCTTAACCACATGCTGAAAAAAGCATAGATCATCATAAAAAGTTATTAAAATATTGAATAAAGGAATTTTCCTCTAAGTACAGTTTTATAGTCATATCGATTTTGTGCAATATTTGAGCAATCTTTTGGTCTTGAGTGTTTTCTTATTTTTGACCCAGTAGATCTTTAGAAATTATATTAAATGTTTAAATGCACAATTATTTTTATGTATGGCTTAATTACATTGAAATACTTAAAATGATGTGCTTGCTAAAGAGTTTTTAAATTTGAGGAGTATTTTCTTTATAGTCTAATGTACCACGAATATTCATAAATATTCTTGGTATATTGAAGATAATGTGTATTCTCTAATTTTTGGATGCAAGATATCTTTGTATGTTAGTCATTTTATAAATTGTACTGTTTAATAAAATTTTCTATAGTCTCACCTTTTTTCTCATTAAATTATTTATTAAGAAAGTGATATTAAAATATCTCACTATTAATCAGGACTTAGACATGTATTTTTGTAACTATCGATTTGGTTTTATATATTTTCAGGTTATATTATCAAGTTTATACAAGTTTAAAATTGTTATAATTGCCTGCTAAGTTGAACCTTTTATTGCTGTAAAAGAATATTTCTGTATAAGTAATACTTCGTTTGAAGTCTATTTGTCAGATACCTCTACAGCAACAATAGCCTTACATTGTCTCTTGTTTGCCCTTTATAGCTTTTGTCCACCTCTCTCTTTTTGACTTCATGTGTCAGCATCTTTTAGATCAGCTTCTGTTAAATAATGTATTATTAGATTAGCTTGTCTATCCTATCTGGAAATATTTAACAACTGGCAAGTTGTGTCCATTATTGGAGTAGGCCAATCACATAGTAGGTCCTCAAAAAAAATTTGTTGAAGGAATAAATGAGTAAATAATTTTTTTCTGATATATTTGAGTTGTAAATTTTATATTAACTGTAATTATATATATGTATGACTAACACAGGTATATAAGTATTTAGATTTCTTTATACTACTTTGTTTTAATTTCTACTTTTTTTCTGATTTTCCCCGTTTCTTGCTTTTTTATTAAAATAACATTTTATTATTACTTTTTATGCTACTACTCTAAAATGTATATACTATATTTGTCTTTTTTTAGTCATTAAACTTTTTTTACCTAGTGAGTTAATAAAATATACACAATCTTATCTTTACAAACCTATCCTACAATACAAAAGTCAGTTCATCCCTTTGTACATATTTTTTTAAATTTTGGTTGGGTGTTTTCATTTCACCTTGCTTTCTTCAAGCCAATATTAATGACTATTAGTGCTGTTTTAGGGAACCCACGTTGACATAGATTTGCTCACATACTTATGGTTCCCCTCATCACCATTCACTGTGGCTTCACAGGCCTTCCCCACGAGGCCAGTTTTCTTCTTCAGGAGTGGAAACTTCCACGGTTCTTTCAGTGAGAGTTTGTTGGTGATAACCTCTCTGCGGTTTTGTTCACGTAAAATATTTTCATTTCACCTTCACTCTGAAATATAATATTGCTGGGTACGAAGTGTTACAGTAGTAGTTATTTTACCTTCAGCACTCTGAAGAAATTTGTTCTGTCTCTCGACTTCCACAGAGAAAACGGAGTTGAACTGCCATCCTTTTAAATAATTTGACATTTCTCTCAGGTTGCCTTTAAGACTTTTATCTTTATTTTTGAAGTACAGCAGTTTAACTACAAAGCATCTAAGTTTGGGTTTCTTTTCCATCAAGCTGGCTACCTAAGTCTGATGATTTCTGAATTTTATCATGAATTCCTTTTGAAAAATATTTCCCCCTATCACCTCTAGTACCCCATTTTTTCTGAAACAAATTAGGCTAAACTTTTCCATTCTACCCTTCTTTTCTTCTACTTCTTCCTACTTTACATCTCTTCTCTCTCTTCTGAACTCTTGGCAATGTCTTCCTGTCAAATCCTTGCACCGATTCCTCAAGCTGTCTTATTTACTGTCCTTTACATTGTCTCAAATACTTTTGAATTTCAGTGATCACATTTTCTTTTCTAGAGGTTCTATGTGTTCTTTTAAAACATGCCTGAAATGCTATTGGTAGTATCTTATTCCTTTCTCATGGTTCTCATTTTTTACATTCTTCAACATTTTTTTTTTTTTTTTTTTTTTTTTTTTTTAATCAGCTTTTCTTTTTTTTTTTTTTTTTTTTTTTTTTTTTTTTATTATACTCTAAGTTTTAGGGTACATGTGCACATTGTGCAGGTTAGTTACATATGTATACATGTGCCATGCTGGTGCGCTGCACCCACTAATGTGTCATCTAGCATTAGGTATATCTCCCAATGCTATCCCTCCCCCCTCCCCCGACCCCACCACAGTCCCCAGAGTGTGATATTCCCCTTCCTGTGTCCATGTGATCTCATTGTTCAATTCCCACCTATGAGTGAGAATATGCGGTGTTTGGTTTTTTGTTCTTGCGATAGTTTACTGAGAATGATGGTTTCCAATTTCATCCATGTCCCTACAAAGGATATGAACTCATCATTTTTTATGGCTGCATAGTATTCCATGGTGTATATGTGCCACATTTTCTTAATCCAGTCTATCATTGTTGGACATTTGGGTTGGTTCCAAGTCTTTGCTATTGTGAATAGTGCCGCAATAAACATACGTGTGCAAGTGTCTTTATAGCAGCATGATTTATAGTCCTTTGGGTATATACCCAGTAATGGGATGGCTGGGTCAAATGGTATTTCTAGTTCTAGATCCCTGAGGAATCGCCACACTGACTTCCACAATGGTTGAACTAGTTTACAGTCCCACCAACAGTGTAAAAGTGTTCCTATTTCTCCGCATCCTCTCCAGCACCTGTTGTTTCCTGACTTTTTAATGATTGCCATTCTAAATGGTGTGAGATGATATCTCATAGTGGTTTTGATTTGCATTTCTCTGATGGCCAGTGATGATGAGCATTTCTTCATGTGTTTTTTGGCTGCATAAATGTCTTCTTTTGAGAAGTGTCTGTTCATGTCCTTCGCCCACTTTTTGATGGGGTTGTTTGTTTTTTTCTTGTAAATTTGTTTGAGTTCATTGTAGATTCTGGATATTAGCCCTTTGTCAGATGAGTAGGTTGCAAAAATTTTCTCCCATGTTGTAGGTTGCCTGTTCACTCTGATGGTAGTTTCTTTTGCTGTGCAGAAGCTCTTTAGTTTAATTAGATCCCATTTGTCAATTTTGTCTTTTGTTGCCATTGCTTTTGGTGTTTTGGACATGAAGTCCTTGCCCACGCCTATGTCCTGAATGGTAATGCCTAGGTTTTCTTCTAGGGTTTTTATGGTTTTAGGTTTAACGTTTAAATCTTTAATCCATCTTGAATTGATTTTTGTATAAGGTGTAAGGAAGGGATCCAGTTTCAGCTTTCTACATATGGCTAGCCAGTTTTCCCAGCACCATTTATTAAATAGGGAATCCTTTCCCCATTGCTTGTTTTTCTCAGGTTTGTCAAAGATCAGATAGTTGTAGATATGCGGCATTATTTCTGAGGGCTCTGTTCTGTTCCATTGATCTATATCTCTGTTTTGGTACCAGTACCATGCTGTTTTGGTTACTGTAGCCTTGTAGTATAGTTTGAAGTCAGGTAGTGTGATGCCTCCAGCTTTGTTCTTTTGGCTTAGGATTGACTTGGCAATGTGGGCTCTTTTTTGGTTCCATATGAACTTTAAAGTAGTTTTTTCCAATTCTGTGAAGAAAGTCATTGGTAGCTTGATGGGGATGGCATTGAATCTGTAAATTACCTTGGGCAGTATGGCCATTTTCACGATATTGATTCTTCCTACCCATGAGCATGGAATGTTCTTCCATTTGTTTGTCTCCTCTTTTATTTCCTTGAGCAGTGGTTTGTAGTTCTCCTTGAAGAGGTCCTTCACATCCCTTGTAAGTTGGATTCCTAGGTATTTTATGCTCTTTGAAGCAATTGTGAATGGGAGTTCACCCATGATTTGGCTCTCTGTTTGTCTGTTGTTGGTGTATAAGAATGCTTGTGATTTTTGTACATTGATTTTGTATCCTGAGACTTTGCTGAAGTTGCTTATCAGCTTAAGGAGATTTTGGGCTGAGACGATGGGGTTTTCTAGATAAACAATCATGTCGTCTGCAAACAGGGACAATTTGACTTCCTCTTTTCCTAATTGAATACCCTTTATTTCCTTCTCCTGCCTGATTGCCCTGGCCAGAACTTCCAACACTATGTTGAATAGGAGCGGTGAGAGAGGGCATCCCTGTCTTGTGCCGGTTTTCAAAGGGAATGCTTCCAGTTTTTGCCCATTCAGTATGATATTGGCTGTGGGTTTGTCATAGATAGCTCTTATTATTTTGAAATACGTCCCATCAATACCTAATTTATTGAGAGTTTTTAGCATGAAGGGTTGTTGAATTTTGTCAAAGGCTTTTTCTGCATCTATTGAGATAATCATGTGGTTTTTGTCTTTGGCTCTGTTTATATGCTGGATTACATTTATTGATTTGCGTATATTGAACCAGCCTTGCATCCCAGGGATGAAGCCCACTTGATCATGGTGGATAAGCTTTTTGATGTGCTGCTGGATTCGGTTTGCCAGTATTTTATTGAGGATTTTTGCATCAATGTTCATCAAGGATATTGGTCTAAAATTCTCTTTTTTGGTTGTGTCTCTGCCCGGCTTTGGTATCAGAATGATGCTGGCCTCATAAAATGAGTTAGGGAGGATTCCCTCTTTTTCTATTGATTGGAATACTTTCAGAAGGAATGGTACCAGTTCCTCCTTGTACCTCTGGTAGAATTCGGCTGTGAATCCATCTGGTCCTGGACTCTTTTTGGTTGGTAAACTATTGATTATTGCCACAATTTCAGAGCCTGTTATTGGTCGATTCAGAGATTCAACTTCTTCCTGGTTTAGTCTTGGGAGAGTGTATGTGTCGAGGAATGTATCCATTTCTTCTAGATTTTCTAGTTTATTTGCGTAGAGGTGTTTGTAGTATTCTCTGATGGTAGTTTGTATTTCTGTGGGATCAGTGGTGATATCCCCTTTATCATTTTTTATTGTGTCTATTTGATTCTTCTCTCTTTTTTTCTTTATTAGTCTTGCTAGCGGTCTATCAATTTTGTTGATCCTTTCAAAAAACCAGCTCCTGGATTCATTGATTTTTTGAAGGGTTTTTTGTGTCTCTATTTCCTTCAGTTCTGCTCTGATTTTAGTTATTTCTTGCCTTCTGCTAGCTTTTGAATGTGTTTGCTCTTGCTTTTCTAGTTCTTTTAATTGTGATGTTAGGGTGTCAATTTTGGATCTTTCCTGCTTTCTCTTGTAGGCATTTAGTGCTATAAATTTCCCTCTACACACTGCTTTGAATGCGTCCCAGAGATTCTGGTATGTTGTGTCTTTGTTCTCGTTGGTTTCAAAGAACATCTTTATTTCTGCCTTCATTTCGTTATGTACCCAGTAGTCATTCAGGAGCAGGTTGTTCAGTTTCCATGTAGTTGAGCGGCTTTGAGTGAGATTCTTAATCCTGAGTTCTAGTTTGATTGCACTGTGGTCTGAGAGATAGTTTGTTATAATTTCTGTTCTTTTACATTTGCTGAGGAGAGCTTTACTTCCAACTATGTGGTCAATTTTGGAATAGGTGTGGTGTGGTGCTGAAAAAAATGTATATTCTGTTGATTTGGGGTGGAGAGTTCTGTAGATGTCTATTAGGTCTGCTTGGTGCAGAGCTGAGTTCAATTCCTGGGTATCCTTGTTGACTTTCTGTCTCGTTGATCTGTCTAATGTTGACAGTGGGGTGTTAAAGTCTCCCATTATTAATGTGTGGGAGTCTAAGTCTCTTTGTAGGTCACTGAGGACTTGCTTTATGAATCTGGGTGCTCCTGTATTGGGTGCATAAATATTTAGGATAGTTAGCTCCTCTTGTTGAATTGATCCCTTTACCATTATGTAATGGCCTTCTTTGTCTCTTTTGATCTTTGTTGGTTTAAAGTCTGTTTTATCAGAGACTAGGATTGCAACCCCTGCCTTTTTTTGTTTTCCATTGGCTTGGTAGATCTTCCTCCATCCTTTTATTTTGAGCCTATGTGTGTCTCTGCACGTGAGATGGGTTTCCTGAATACAGCACACTGATGGGTCTTGACTCTTTATCCAACTTGCCAGTCTGTGTCTTTTAATTGCAGAATTTAGTCCATTTATATTTAAAGTTAATATTGTTATGTGTGAATTTGATCCTGTCATTATGATGTTAGCTGGTGATTTTGCTCATTAGTTGATGCAGTTTCTTCCTAGTCTCGATGGTCTTTACATTTTGGCATGATTTTGCAGCGGCTGGTACCGGTTGTTCCTTTCCATGTTTAGCGCTTCCTTCAGGAGCTCTTTTAGGGCAGGCCTGGTGGTGACAAAATCTCTCAACATTTGCTTGTCTATAAAGTATTTTATTTCTCCTTCACTTATGAAGCTTAGTTTGGCTGGATATGAAATTCTGGGTTGAAAATTCTTTTCTTTAAGAATGTTGAATATTGGCCCCCACTCTCTTCTGGCTTGTAGGGTTTCTGCCGAGAGATCCGCTGTTAGTCTGATGGGCTTCCCTTTGAGGGTAACCCGACCTTTCTCTCTGGCTGCCCTTAACATTTTTTCCTTCATTTCAACTTTGGTGAATCTGACAATTATGTGTCTTGGAGTTGCTCTTCTCGAGGAGTATCTTTGTGGCGTTCTCTGTATTTCCTGAATCTGAACGTTGGCCTGCCTTGCTAGATTGGGGAAGTTCTCCTGGATAATATCCTGCAGAGTGTTTTCCAACTTGGTTCCATTCTCCACATCACTTTCAGGTACACCAATCAGACGTAGATTTGGTCTTTTCACATAGTCCCATATTTCTTGGAGGCTTTGCTCATTTCTTTTTATTCTTTTTTCTCTAAACTTCCCTTCTCGCTTCATTTCATTCATTTCATCTTCCATTGCTGATACCCTTTCTTCCAGTTGATCGCATCGGCTCCTGAGGCTTCTGCATTCTTCACGTAGTTCTCGAGCCTTGGTTTTCAGCTCCATCAGCTCCTTTAAGCACTTCTCTGTATTGGTTATTCTAGTTATACATTCTTCTAAATTTTTTTCAAAGTTTTCAACTTCTTTGCCTTTGGTTTGAATGTCCTCCTGTAGCTCAGAGTAATTTGATCGTCTGAAGCCTTCTTCTCTCAGCTCGTCAAAATCATTCTCCATCCAGCTTTGTTCTGTTGCTGGTGAGGAACTGCGTTCCTTTGGAGGAGGAGAGGCGCTCTGCGTTTTAGAGTTTCCAGTTTTTCTGTTCTGTTTTTTCCCCATCTTTGTGGTTTTATCTACTTTTGGTCTTTGATGATGGTGATGTACAGATGGGTTTTCGGTGTAGATGTCCTTTCTGGTTGTTAGTTTTCCTTCTAACAGACAGGACCCTCAGCTGCAGGTCTGTTGGAATACCCTGCCGTGTGAGGTGTCAGTGTGCCCCTGCTGGGGGGTGCCTCCCAGTTAGGCTGCTCGGGGGTCAGGAGTCAGGGACCCACTTGAGGAGGCAGTCTGCCCGTTCTCAGATCTCCAGCTGCGTGCTGGGAGAACCACTGCTCTCTTCAAAGCTGTCAGACAGGGACACTTAAGTCTGCAGAGGTTACTGCTGTCTTTTTGTTTGTCTGTGCCCTGCCCCCAGAGGTGGAGCCTACAGAGGCAGGCAGGCCTCCTTGAGCTGTGGTGGGCTCCACCCAGTTCGAGCTTCCCGGCTGCTTTGTTTACCTAAGCAAGCCTGGGCAATGGCGGGCGCCCCTCCCCCAGCCTCGTTGCCGCCTTGCAGTTTGATCTCAGACTGCTGTGCTAGCAATCAGCGAGATTCCGTGGGCGTAGGACCCTCCGAGCCAGGTGTGGGATATGGTCTCGTGGTGCGCCGTTTCTTAAGCCGGTCTGAAAAGCGCAATATTCGGGTGGGAGTGACCCGATTTTCCAGGTGCGTCCGTCACCCCTTTCTTTGACTCGGAAAGGGAACTCCCTGACCCCTTGCGCTTCCCAGGTGAGGCAATGCCTCGCCCTGCTTCGGCTCGCGCACGGTGCGCACACACACTGGCCTGCGCCCACTGTCTGGCACTCCCTAGTGAGATGAACCCGGTACCTCAGATGGAAATGCAGAAATCACCGTCTTCTGCGTCGCTCACGCTGGGAGCTGTAGACCGGAGCTGTTCCTATTCGGCCATCTTGGCTCCTCCCCATTCTTCAACATTTTAAACACACAATTTATATTATGGGCTGGGCACGTCTGTAATTCTAGCACCTTGGGAGGTTGAGGTGGAAGGATCACTTGAGGCCAGGAGTTTGAGAGCAGCTTGGAGAAAATAGCAAGACCCTATCTCTACAACTAAATAAAAAATTAAAAACTTAGCTGGATATGTTGATGTGTACCTGTAGTCCCACCTACTCAAGAGGCTGAGGTGGGAGGATCACTTAAGCCTGGGAGATCAAGGCTGCAGTGAGCTGTGATTGTGCCACTGAACTCCAGCTTGGGCCACAGAGCAAGACCTTGTCTCAAAAATAAAATAATTTATATTACGTATACAACAATGACAAATCTGTAGTTTTAGGGAGTGTAGCTCTGTTGTTGCTCCTGACTTAGTCATGGTGATGGATATCTTCCTGTTTTGCAGTTTGGGATTGTGAGCTCAGCTTCTGAGATCCTTTGTCACCAAGAATCCTCAGTGGTCTGGACTGCAAACACGGACCTCCACAGGGGTTGACATTTGTCTCTGCCAGGAACCCAAAGGTATTATCAGCCCCAGATGACTTTACTTAATTTCTCAGCTTCTCTCCTCCAGGCTCTAAAAGTAGGGTGAGGATAGGATCAATTTAAATTCAAAACACAAGTGAATCAGGCCTTTAGGAGCCTTTCTCCACTCCCACAAAGAAACGATCTTTCTCATTTTTCTCTTTGCTGGCAAGCAGAGTATTTTTCTCTGGAAGGTCTTGGAGGGTTGTGGCCTTGTTCAAGAGGCCTCAGTTCCAATCCCCAAAGCCTCACTTGTTTTCTTAGTCTCTTGCTCTGCCCTTAGGCAGATATTGGGGCTTTGCTTATACTTCCAGGCTCCTCACAGTAAACTGACCACTTGGGGCCTCCCTCTGGTTGTCCTAGCCAAGGGTATGTTACCAATTGTTCGTATTTCTTTGTCTGCCTCTAGGAATAAAGGGCACATCAGCCTTTTCCAGGGGTGATTAGCTTCAGTTTTGTTTACCCTCATTTGAGAGCCAGCCTATGTTCTGTTCTCCACGCAGCTTAAAAAGGAGTCGTGAACTTTGGATATTAAAATAATAAATAAGTAGTAATACCTATTGGGCTCAGTTTTCTTCTCTTTTTCTCTATTTTTGAAGTCTATAAAGTCTGTATGGTCTATAAAACCATACAGGAGGAGAAGACAGGTGACTGACACCTATCACCTCTGCCTGTTTCATCTGCTAACAGCTCTGAGGAATATGCAACACTTTTTAAATCTCACTTTTTTCTTTCTTCCTTTCAACCATTATCTGAAAGTGATCAAGAACATTGTAGAGACCCATGCACTGATTAGATAAATCAGATTGTCCCGAGAAGGCAGAAGCAGTCTTCTGTCACTCAAGTGCTTGTGTATGCCATGAAGTGCCTGTGTCCTTTCTTGCCCAGGAAATAAAATTATAGACATACAAAAGATCCTGATGGTTCCAGAGGGAGCAGCATGTCTAATGAAGAGATAGACAATCTAGTTTTCCTTTTCTTGTATTTATTGGTCATCTCTTATGTGACAGGAAATGTGCTAAATGCTATGGCTGCAATCATAAATGAGACATTTCTTTCCCTCAAAGAGGTCAATGTCTGGTAGAGGAGGAATGCACATAAACACAAGTCATACAAAGTAAGCTTTGTGAGAAGGAAGGTGTTTCTGAGATCCGCAGAAGAGTTTCTGGAGGAGACAAAACCTGAAATAAATCTTCAAAAATAACTGAGAGTCAGTCCATTTCTTTACTTAATATGTATTTATTAATTATTGATTATGTGCTGAATATTAGGATAGGTCCTTGACATACATCTGTTAATGACAAAGGCATAGTTCCCATCATTATGGGCTGGCATGCTTTGCCCATAATGATGTGCTGTGCTTAGCAGAAATAGTACAGCTAAGTGTGTCTGAAGAGCTTTCAGTTATGTTACTTTTGATTGGTCATTCTTTCTTGGGCCTCTGTTTCCTTTCAAGATGTCAATATCCTCCCTTTTCTAAACTTAGTCAACTTTGGACTGGTGTGGAGAAGCCATCTCTGTTGGAAGGCAGGCACCCATCAGCCATCGTACTAAGGGCTGGGAATAAGACCAGGAGATTGGTTATGATTCTTTCCAGTATTGTTCATTAAGCTCATTTCCATGGTATGCTCAGCATTGCTCTCTCCACATCTTTGCCTCATTTAGACAATAATTGCAAACATTCCCATTGACTTTATTGGAATCTTCTACTTATCGTCTCTTATAGAAGTAGAGATACTATAGGTGGAGACAGGAAACTGAGGCTCAGAAATGACATATCTGACATAGCCATAGGTGCTCATAGATGGGGTTTGTTATAATTCTTTGGGGGGTTCACATAACAGAGAGAGCTACTATGTTCTCTGCCAAATGAACTGTAAGTAACCCTGGTGAGAGTAGACTTATGCTATAGACATGAATGAGTGAATACAAAGCTAGAAGGTCGCATTTCTCTTTTTGTTAGATTCTATGGTTTGGTTGGATTTAGTTCACTCTCTAAAATTGCTCAGATTATAAACTTAAATGTAGGGTCGGGCACAGTGGCTCACACCTGTAATCCAAGCACTATGAGAAGCTGAGGCGGGCAGGTTGCTTAAGGTCAGGAGTTCAAGACCAGCCTGGCCAACATGGTGAAACCCCATCTCTACTAAAAATACAAAATAATTAGCTGGCATGATGGTATGCATCTGTAGTCCCAGACACTTGCGAGGCTGAGGTAGGAGAGTTTCTTGAACCCGGGAGGTGGAGGTTGCAGTGAGCTGGGATCATGCCACTACACTCCATCTTGGGCAACAGAGTGAGATTCCATCTAAACACACACACACACACACACACACACACACACACACAAAAAAAAAAAAAAAAACTAAACTTGAACATAAAACTAAAAAACTTTTGAAGAACTGTAGAAGAAAATCTTCAGTGTCTATGATTTGGCAACGAGTTTTTAGACTTGATACCAAAAGCACAATTCATAAAAGTACTTACTGACAATTCAAATATCATCATAATTAAATACTTTTGGTCTGTAAAATAACTCTGTTAAGAGAATGAAAAGGCAAGCTACAGACTGGGAGAAAATATTTGCAAATTTGTAAGCCATTTATCCAACAAATAACTAGAATATAGAATATATAAAGAACTCTTAAAACTCAACAGTAAAAAATTAGAAATTTAATTAGAAAATTTAATTTAATTAGATTTAATTAGAAAATGGGCAAATGATATAAACAGACACATCACAGAAGAGGTATAGAGATGGCAAGCTCATGAAACTAGCAGAATGGCTGAATTAAAATAATAGTGATAACACCAAATGTGGAGCAACTAAGGCACTCAAACATTGCTGTAGGAATGTTAAATAGTAGAGCCGCTATAAAAAACACTATAGAAAAGCAGTTTGGCAGCTTCTTTAAAAACTATACATAGGCTTACCTGCAACCCAGCAATTGCATTCCTGAATATATTTATCCTGGAGAAATGAAGACTTGTACTGACCAAAACAAACAAAGAAACAAACAAACAAAAAACCCTATTGTTTTGTTAATTTATTCATAGAAGCCCAAAACTGGAAATAACTCAGACGCCCTTCTATGAGGGAAGGGTTGAACAAACTCTGATTTATTCATACCATGTAATAGCACTCAGCAGTTCAAAGGAATGAACTATTGATACACATAGCAACCTTGATGAATGTTCAGAGAATTACACCGAGTAAAAGGTTCCATACTGTATGATTACATGGTGGTGGACACATGACCTTACACCGGTGATAAAGTGTTACTTAGAACTGGCTGGGTGCAGTGGCTCATACCTGTAATCCCAGCACTTTGGGAAGCTAAGGTGGGAGGATTGCTTAAGCCCAGAAGTTCAAGACCAGCTGGGCAACATGGTGAGATCCCATCTCTACAAAAAAAAAAAATAAAATAAAAAATAAAAAAAATAAAAAAATAAAAAAAAACTTTTTTAAAAAATTAGCCAGGCATGGTGGCATGCAACTGTGATTCCAGCTGCTTGGGAGGCTGAAGCAGGAGGATCACTTGGACTCAGGAAGTTGAGGCTGCAGTGAGCCATGCTTGTACCACTACACTCCAGGCGGAGAGACAGAGCAAGACCGTGTCTCAAAAAATAAAGTAAAATAAAATTACATAGCACTAAATACACATATACAAGTAAAAGTAAAACTGGGGAAATAAGAATAAGATCAGTGGTCTGTATCAATGTCAATATCCTAGTTGTGATATTACGTTACAGTTTTGCAAGAAGTTATCATTAAGGACAAGGGGGTAAAGGGTACATAGGAATCTCTTTGCATGAGAATCTACAATTACATACAAAACATTTGTCTTAAGTTTAGTTTTAAAAATATTTGAGGAAAAGCAGCAGGACTGTTCTAGCTTAAGTTGGTGCATGTCCTGAGCTGACATTTTGAGCCCATCTATGAGACTGTCATCCTCTGCCTGTAAGCCCATCTGCCTCCCACTGCTCCTGGGAAACACTGGGCCCATGTAAATGTTTAGCCTGAGGCATAGATGCAAACCCTGAAGCTGAATCTACTGCAGACTTCTTTCCCTACAGCCAGCATTCTGGCCAACTGCCTCGCACTCATGGCTTTGGGCTTGCAGGGCATGCTTATGCACTGCACCTGTGCACGCTTCTTTCAGACTAGGGGACAAGATGCTGGAAGCAGGTTTCCTGGTCAAAAATGGTAACCACGTGTTCTGTTCACCCAGGGTCATCAATCGTGAAGCCCAAGGTAGAACCCGCATTTCTCCACTGGGGTTTGTCTCTCCTGCTCTCTCTATGGTTAGTGTTATTTTTAATGAGCAGCCTGAATTTAGAGCTAGCTGTTTGAGGATCCAATTCCCAAGAAATGCAGCAGTATTAGTGCATCTAGGCTTTGAGTAGAAAAACCTGCAGGAGGAGCTTGAACAAGTTAGTTAACCACGCTGAGCCTCCATCTCCCATCTGTGAGGCATGATAACACTAGTTTCAACAGGTTGTGGTGGGGGTTAAATTAGATAATGCCTTGTCCATGTATTAGTCAGCTCAGGCTGCCATCACAAAACGCTATAGTCTAGGTGACTTAAACAACAGAAATTTATTTCTACAGCTCTGGGGGCTGGAAAGTCCAAGATCAAGGCCGTGCTGCTTTGGTTTCTGATGAGGGCCCCCTTCCTGGCCTACAGATGGCCATCTTCTCCCTGTGTCCTTACATTGTCTTTCCTCTGCATGTGCATAGAGAGAGTATCTCTCTCTTCCTCTTTTTTTAAATTTAATTTAATTTAATTTTTAAGAGATAGGATACTGTCACCCAGGCTGGAGTGCAGTGGGCATGATCATGGCTCATGGCAGCCTCAACCTCCCAGCATCAAGCAATTCTCCTACCTCAGCCTCCCTAGTAGCTGAGACCACAGTTGTGTGCCATGGCACCTGGCTAATTTTTTAGTGGTTTTTTTTTTTTTTTTGGTAGAGATGGGGTCTCACTATGTTGCCCAGGCTGGTCTCAAACTCCTCGGCTCAAGTGATCCTCCTGTCTCAGCCTCCTAAAGTGCTGGGATTAAAGGGGTGAACCACCACACTGGGCTTTCCTCTTCTTATGGAGCCATCAGTCTTATTAGATTAGGGACCTACCCTTATGACCTCATTTAGCCTTAATTACCTCCTAAAAGCCATATCTCCAAATACAGTTACCTTGGACATTAGGTCTTCAACATATGAATGTGGAGAGGGGGAGACAACTCAGTCCATAGCAGTCCACTTAGAGCAATTATCTCACATATAGTAAATATTTAGAATATAGAATTCTTAAAATTATGTTATTTTTGTTAACACTCTAATTGTAAATGATAGACATAAGGTGAATTACTCTAGCTTAAGCAAAAAGAAAACTTTTATACAAAAAATGCAATGTTGTCTTTCAAATCAAGATTGAGAATGAGACTTGGTTTCAGGAAGTTTCTGAAAATTTAAAACTGAAAACGTATCAAGAGCCTAGAGTGAAGTCTCCTTCCACCTCTCACCATCTCCTCACAGCTTCTGTGGACTGGTTTTCTCTACCCTTCTGGGCTTGTAAAGGAGCAACACCTGCCACTCCACACCTCCCATGGTGCCATGTCTTCTGTGCAGAAGACCATTTCACACTTACTCACTTGCAAACCTAATTCAGAATCGCCAAGAGAGGAAGTGGGTTACTGCCCCTGGGTCAGAAGTCCATGCTTAGTCTAACCACCAATGGTTAAAGACGATAGCCTCCAGGGGCCCAGGCACCCGCTGTTATAGGAGGGAAGCAATTTGAGACAAAGTGGGTAATTGTTATGCTGGATAATCACCCCATACAGTGTCTAGTATGTTTTTCATACTGCTGCCAACCCTGTTTCACAGGGTGCCTATTTGAGTTGTAAATGTGAACCCCTGATACTGGTGAAAAGTTATATTATCTTGACCTGACTCCACCCATTTGGGGATCACCATTTTCCTTTCAAAGTGATCACAGGGGTCCTTGGGTACATAATCCTCCTTCCCTACCTCCTCTGCCATCCTCCTCTTCCTTTTTTTTTTTTTTTTTTTTTTTTTTGAGATGGAGTCTCGCTCTCATTGCCAAGGCTGGAGTGCAGTGGCGTGATCTCGGCTCACTGCAATTTCCACCTCTTAGGTTCAAGCTATTCTCCTGCCTCCCGCTCCTGAGTAGCTGGGATTACAGGCACTCTCCACCATGCCAGGCTAATTTTTGCACTTTTAGTAGAGACGGGGTTTCACCATGTTGGCCAGGCTGGTCTCGAACTCCTGACCTCAGGTGATCCGCCTGCCTTGGCCTCCCAAAGAGCTGGAATTACAGGCACAAAGTGCTGGGATTACAGGTGCCACTGCACCCTGCTCCTCCTCTGCTGCTGCTGTGTGGCCGTCTGGATGGGATTTGCTACCCAGGCTTTTAAAACCCCACAAGTTCCCACAAGTGAAATTGTTCCAGAATGTGCTGGGAAGGCATTTCCAGCCAGTTCTACACCACTGTGGGGCCAGGTCCTAGTGGCTCCAAATCTGTCACTTGGGCTAGAGCTCCAGGGGGTCACATTGTCACCTCAAAGAATTCCCAGCTGAAGGGGTCTGGCCTTTTAGGCAACAAAAGCAGTAATCCCCTTTCCCCACCCCTACAGTTCATTTTATGCCTCAGTTTCCTCCATATCAGTGCTACCTTTGGCTAATATTGATCCAGAGGTTCAGAGTGGCAAGGATGATATCCTATTCTCTCTTTATTGCCTCCTGTATTGAAGTGCAAAGGATCACACTTAGCCAGAGACAATCTGTATCAATACAAAGTAAAATCCTAGTGGAGCATGCTGGCTGCATCTCTCCTTTTTGCCATCATTGAAAACTGCTGACTGGCCATATGCAGGTGCATAGATCTTAATTAGGCTCTGCAGGATGAGAGGAAGGAGACATCCTGCTTGGAGAAGAATCAGTAGTGTCATAAATCTCTGCAGAACAATTAGGAGCCCAAGAACCAGAGGGCATGGGGAGGAGTCACATTGTATCATTTTTCTATTTATTTTCTGCTCAACCATCTTCCTTACAGCATCTTTGAGATGTTCAGTTATTGCTGACTACCTGGAACAGTTACACCCCTCAATTCTGTTTAATTGAATATTGAAAACATTTACAATAAAAGCTCTTCTAAACTTATTCTATTTAGCTGACTTCCCTGATTAACCAATACAGCCCAATAGCCCTGTAAAACATTCTAGCATAAAGCTGTCAGTGGGTGAGTTTGCCTTAGCCAGTGGGATGCTTTACAGCTCTCCACAGGTCTGCCTCATGCTAAGAGTCCCTGTAGTTCTCTGAAAACTGTTTCAAAAGCCAAAGATATATTAGGGAAGAAAGAGATAATACTATTTCTATGAAAACTACAATAAAAAACTTTGCTCCTTTCAAAGGCTTTGAAAAAAAAAAGATAGATTGCCTTAAAAATCGCTGGACAATTATGTGTGGACCTTATACCTGGAAAAAAAGCTTGAGGCAAGGTCATAAAAATCTAGAAGATATCTGCATTGAGAATGCAGTCAAATGTCTTCTTTTTTTTTTTTCCTGAGACAGAGTCTCGCTCTGTCGCCCAGGCTGGAGTGCAATGGTGCCATCTCTGCTCACTGCAACCTCGCCTCCTAGGCTCAAGCAATTCTCCTGCCTCACCTTCCCGAGTAGCTGGGATTACAGGCGCCCACCACCATGCCCAGCTAATTTTTGTATTTTTAGTAGAGATGGGTTTCACCATGTTGGCCAGGCTGGTTTTGAACTCTTGACCTCACATGATGCAACTGCCTCGGCCTCCCAAAGTGCTGGGATTACAGGCATGAACCACTGTGCCCAGCTGGTCAAATGTCTTAAACTCTCCCCACTCTAGTAGAGACATTTTATGGTTCTGGTTTACACTAGTTAAGGTAGAACTCTCGAAAATAAACCATTGTCAAAGAAGCACCCTTTGTCTACCTCAGAGTTCCTAAATACATGTATGATTATATTCATATTTATGTAATTTAAAATAAAATTCTCAAGCTACATAGGTAATTTAAAGAAATATTCCCTATTTTCTATTTTTCCTTTACCTAATGAACCCCTGGTTTCAATCACTTGTATCAGAGAGTTCTGGGCCATTTCCTTTATTTGTAGCATTAATCTGAGAGACTTCATGAAACAGCAGTTAAGAGCAGAAGCTCTGTGGTGTGAACAGGGCATGTTATTTGAATCCTCTAACTCTCAGTTGCTTCATCTCTAAAGCGGGTATAATACATGCCTCACAAAGGTGGTTGAGAGTTAGATAAAATAATTTCTGTAAAGTGCTTAGCACATTACCTAGCACACATTCAGCATTTAGTAAATGCCAGTAACAATAAAAATGATATTGATGAATTAATAAACAGTTACTAATTTCCTGGTACTGTTCCAGATGCTGAAGTCACACGATGAGTAAGCACAGTCCCCACCCCACAAAACTCACAGTCCAGCAGGAAGAAGAGAGGCGACAGATCGTCTCAGTGGATGTATTCATTCAATACTATTTGTTGAGCTTCTAACCTGCATCAATAAATTACTGTAAAAATTCCTATAATGATAAAAACATGTCCCTGCTATCATAAAGGCTAAAGTCTATTGGAGAAAAATAGTTACTAAATAAAATTCATACAGTGTGCAATTGATGAAATTTACTGTCCACTGGGGGAGGGCGTGTGCCAGGATGGGATTCCCTGAGGAGTACATCTGGAGCTGAGAATTGGAGTTTGCTGGAGTGTTCACTGAATGAGGGGTGGGAGGAGAGCCAGCATTCATACTGAAAGAGAAACCCACTGGCAGGAGGACACAGGGTGAGCGTTTTGACAGAGATCCTGTGGGTGACATGGGGAAGGGAAGGAATACATTTATCTGTGTTTGGGAAAGTGGAATGACTCAGGAAGGCTTCACAGATTATGTGCCTGGATTATGAAGAACAATATGTTTTCTCAACAGGCAAGGTAAGAAGAGCTGTCCAAGAAAGGTAAGCTGTGTCTACAAATGTTGGAGTCAAGGTTGGTGAGACAACTGGGGAGGGATAGCTAGGACCTGGCCAGCAAAGCCCAGGGCACTCAATGGAGAGGAGGAAATTAACTGGAAAGGTAATGCCATAATCTGGGGAACAGGAAATGAGGTCCTGGCCTGGGGCATGTCCAGAGAAGAAGAGGCAGGGCCATTGCGCTTCCTCTGGGTTTCATAGGGATGCAGCAATGGACGGGGTCATTGGCCTGCAACAGCCTGGCCCTTGGATGGGACCATACAAGGCTGACTGCAAGGGAAACATGAACACATTTCCCGGTGAGTAGAGAAGTAAATCAAATTATTTCTATGAACAGGAATTGCTAGAGGCTTCATGGAACAAGTGGGATGTAAGATGCATCTTCAAGAGTGAGTGACATTTTGGCATGGCATTTGAGAGGTGACAATCCAGAGGCTATGAGCAACAGCCCCAGATGGGAAAGCACCAAGGAGTGAAGAAGCTTACGAGCAAAAAGTATTTCTTAGTTTTGCAGTTTCTAAATGTATCTATGTTCTGCCCCTTTAATCTCTAACAATATGATTTTGAACTAATTAATATAAAATTAATCCATACATTAGCTAAAGTAGATAATGACTTAATGACTTCCACATCCCAGGCAATAAACTTTTGAAAATGCTTCTAGCCCGCCACATAAAAATCTGGCAAAATCAGTGAAAGAGAATTTCAAGGACTGTTTTTCTTTTAATTTATATCTCAAAGTAATGGTGTACCAGGGAAAATGTCCAGATTCTAGTTCTGCACTACTTCAGATCAGAGATTTGCAGTAGGGAGATTTGGCTCCCCAGGGGGCATCTGGCAATGTCTGGAGACATTTCGGGTTGTCACAACTGGTGGGGGGTGCTACAGGCATTAAGTGGGCATAGGCTGGGGATGCGGCTGCATAGAACAGCTCCCACAACAGAATTATTCAGCCAAAGAATTATCAATAGTGCCAAGGTTAATGCACCTTGTTTTACACCAAGAAATAACCTTTAAGACTGACCTTCTCAAATCCTTAATTTTGCAGATGTTATGTGTAACTTCCAATATATGAAATAATTTGCATGCAGCTGGCTAATTAACAGTATATGGCCTGGGACTCAGGCTTTATAGACCAGTGATTTTCTTTCCTGATGCATTAGATGTCCTGTGTGTTTTATATCGAATGGCCAGCATATTTTAATGCTGTCAGCTCTTAATTCCAACACAGAGAGGAGTTACTATATAGATGCCAATTGCATAGGGAGGAATATAGTTTTGAGATCGGGCTTCTGATGATCCAGGAAGGGAAGGGAAGTAGGGGTTGCCCCATCTCTGGGGTCTACAGCAACATCACTGGAGCCCCAGATGGGGCTGACCAGGAGCATCAGTGTGTGAAGACCAGTCCATGATGCTGACACTCTTTAATTATGAAAGGATGAATAATCTAGTTCTGCGTTCTTTCAGGAGACAAGGGACTTGTCCAAAGCATGAACACTTTATAAACAATTTAACAAATGTAAACTGTGAAAGAGAAAGACAAATGTGTGAATATGAAAACTAGGGTCCCTGACAGGCCCACAGCCTCCAAACCCCTCCCTTCACTTCAGAATGAAAGAATCCTTCTGTGCCTGCAGGGGAGTGGGCCGTGGTGGGAGGAGGCTGGACCTGGGGTTGCGAGTCTGTGAAGGGCCCTAGACCCTGGCCTGAGTAATGCCACTTACTGACCATTTCAATTTGGGCAAGACATTTTCATTCTCAGGGCCTTGAACTCCCCACCTAAGAAATGATGAAACCTGAGTCAGAGCTTCAGTATTTGAGTTTATCTTTGAGATCAGGTTTAAGATGCCTCATTTTCCAGGTGAAGAAATTAAAGTTTGGAAAAGTCAAGTTATCTCTTGCAGGCCACAAAACTAGCAAGAGAACAAAGGGGGCAATTGATCAGATTTTATGCAATATCAATGCTTGGGAGAAGAGGCTTGAGGCTTTAGGAGCATTAGGGGCTGCAATGGCTTTGGTCCCATGATCAGTAGCATTCATTTGCCCATCCTCTCTGAAGTTCACTAAAGGGACCCTGTGTATCCCTCATCTGGCTTCCTCATGCCTGGACCCCCAGATGGGCATCATTTTTAAACCCATGAGGCCTCAGGATGGTGGCTCCTTCTCTCATCAGCTACTCCTTCAACACTGGAAGGGAGCTCATTCCAGACACAATCATAGAAAAAATCACTCCAGCTAGGAAAAGCCAGATGGACACCAAGAAAAGGCTAATGTTTCACCATGGCTGAACCACCTCACCTCACAGGGTGTCTTGTTTAGGGAAATGAGATTTTCAAACAAAGAATCAGGAGCAGGTAAAAGCCACAAAGAATCAGATGAGAGATACACTCATTAGCAAACTTCCACACTGTCCAATTAACCGATCCTTCTGAGGCTTACCTGATGCTAAGTGCTCTTGGATAATAGATTGGTAAAAAGAAAAGTCACTTGTGCCCTAGAATTGGTTTTTGTGCTCCCAAGATGAGACAAGACTAATAAAAATGGTCTGCACCACCGGAATCAGCAAATATTAGAAAGATCAAATAAAATCTTTAAAGTCAGTTGAGTAGGTTGCAAAAATTTTCTCCCATTTTGTAGGTTGCCTGTTCACTCTGATGGTAGTTTCTTTTGCTGTACAGAAGCTCTTTAGTTTAATTAGATTCCATTTGTCAATTTTGTCTTTTGTTGCCATTGCTTTTGGTGTTTTAGACATGAAGTCCTTGCCCATGCCTATGTCCTGAATGGTATTGCCTAGGTTTTCTTCTAGGGTTTTTACGGTTTTAGGTCTAATAGTTAAGTCTTTAATCCATCTTGAATTGATTTTTGTATAAGGTGTAAGGAAGGGATCCAGTTTCAGCTTTCTACATATGGCTAGCCAGTTTTCCCAGCACCATTTATTAAATCGGGAATCCTTTCCCCATTGCTTGTTTTTCTCAGGTTTGTCAAAGATCAGATGGTTGTAGATATGCGGCGTTATTTCTGAGGGCTCTGTTCTGTTCCATTGATCTATATCTATGTTTTGGTACCAGTAACATGCTGTTTTGGTTACTGTAGCCTTGTAGTATAGTTTGAAGTCAGGTAGTGTGATGCCTCCAGCATTGTTCTTTTGTTTTAGGATTGACTTGGCGATGCGGGCTCTTTTTTGGTTCCATGTGAACTTTAAAGTAGTTTTTTCCAATTCTGTGAAGAAAGACATTGGTAGCTTGAGGGGATGGCATTGAATCTGTAAATTACCTTGGGCAGTATGGCCATTTTCACGATATTGATTCTTCCTACCCATGAGCATGGAATGTTCTTCCATTTGTTTGTATCCTCTTTTATTTCCTTGAGCAGTGGTTTGTAGTTCTCCTTGAAGAGGTCCTTCACATCCCTTGCAACCTGCTCATCTGACAAAGGGCTAATATCCAGAATCTACAATGAACTCAAACAAATTTACAAGAAAAAAACAAACAACCCCATCAAAAAGTGGGCAAAGGACATGAACAGACACTTCTCAAAAGAAGACATTTATGCAGCCAAAAAACACATGAAAAAATGCTCATCATCACTGGCCATCAGAGAAATGCAAATCAAAACCACAATGAGATACCATCTCACACCAGTTAGAATGGCGATCATTCAAAAGTCAGGAAACAACAGGTGCTGGAGAGGATGTGGAGAAATAGGAACACTTTTACACTGTTGGTGGGACTGTAAACTAGTTCAACCATTGTGGAAGACAGTGTGGCGATTCCTCAGGGATCTAGAACTAGAAATACCATTTGACCCAGCCATCCCATTACTGGGTATATACCCAAAGGACTATAAATCATGCTGCTATAAAGACACATGCACACGTATGTTTATTGCAGCACTATTCACAATGGCAAAGACTTGGAACCAACCCAAATGTCCAACAATGATAGACTGGATTAAGAAAATGTGGCACATATACACCATGGAATACTATGCAGCCATAAAAATGATGAGTTCATGTCCTTTGTAGGGACATGGATGAAATTGGAAATCATCATTCTCAGTAAACTATCGCAAGAACAAAAAACCAAACACTGCATATTCTCACTCATAGGTGGGAATTGAACAATGAGATCACATGGACACAGGAAGGGGAACATCACACTCTGGGGACTGTTGTGGGTTGGGGGGAGGGGGGAGGGATAGCATTGGGAGATATACCTAATGCTAGATGACGAGTTAGTGGGTGCAGCGCACCAGCGTGGCACATGTATACATTTGTAACTAACCTGCACAATGTGCACATGTAGCCTAAAACTTAAAGTATAATAATAAAAGAAAAAAAAAATCTCTAAAGTCATTGAAATGCCCTGCTTCTGTGGTAAATTAGGGCTGAATCCTTCGAAATCCTTAAGCCTGAGGCTGGCAGGCTGTTCAATCACATTATGTGCTGCTTTGGAAATATCCCTACAGTTTGGTAGGCAAGAGGCCATACACAGTGAGGCCTGTTGGGAGAAAACACAACAAAAATGTGTTGTCAGGTTGGTTTTAATTGGTGATCTGAGATACAAACTCTCACTGGGTAAGGTGAATTTGAGCTTTAAGCTTTATCTCCTGTTCACGTTTTGCTCTTTGCAATTTGATGTACAATATGAACAATTCAAATCATTTCCTGGGAGTAACTGGCAAACACTTGGCCTCAGAGAAGCAGCATGACCCTTCGTTGCCTGTGCAGTGAGAGGGGTGGCCTGCATGACCTTGGAACTCCAACTTAGCTTCCAGTGTTTTATAATTAATCAGAGGAATATATAAATTCTGATTTAGTCAATACTGATTTAGGAACTATAAAACTGCACCACTTTAAAAGTCTGTACAGGCATGCCTTCTGCAAAAGTCTGAACCATATTTAGTTTTTCTTGATTAAAAAATATCTTGCTTAATTTTGCTGATTTTCTTTCAAAGAAAGCATGAAAAAATATAATTGTCTCATTCATTTTTTTCAGCTATTTTATTCAACAAAGATCTACAGAGCATCTGAAAAGCAGCACAGTTCTGCCACAATGGGGCTCAAGTTTAAGTGACTGCAAAGTCCAGGATTCTTAAAGCTTAAATATTAACACACAGTTCCAGACTTGCAATGCCCCAGAGGCACAGGATAAACATGCCCTCAAATCTTCTCTGGCAGGGGACACCCTCAATCCACTTTATTCAGGATTCACAAAGGTGGAATCAGAGTGAATGAGCTCAAAATTAAAAATTAAAGCACAAACAAAAATATAAGCCATTGACAGTGAGATTAGCAGAAATACAAAGCAAACAAACAAGATATTTAAACTCCTTAGACCATAAGATAATATCACCATTAGAGATTTAAAAATAAATATATTTTTAAAATTTTAAAGTATGAAAGACACTAAAAAGTGAGATACAATCGAGAGCTTATCATGAAAGGCCAGATATTTTTGTAAAAGAACCAAATAGAACTCCCAGAAGTGAAAAATGTAGTTATTGCAATTAAAGTCACAATGGACAAACTAGACAGCCCAAATGTACACAAAAGGAGAAATAATTGGGAAACTGGAAGGTAGAACTGCATGCATTTACCCAGAATGCAACACAGAAACTTAACATGGGGAAAATGGACACTAAAATGAGCAATCCATTATTTTAAAAAATCAAAAAAAAAAAAGAAAATAACAAACAAATGAACAAACAAACAAACAAAAACAGGTGCTGGCAAGATTGTGGAGAAAAGAAAACACTTATACACTGCTGGTGGGAATGTAAACTAGTTTAGCCACTGTGGAAAGCAGTGTAAAGATTTCTTTAAAAAGTTAGAACTCTCATTTGACCGAGCAATCCCACTACTGGAAATATATCCAAAGGAAAATAAATTGTTCTACCAAAAAGACACATGTAGTTGTATGTTCACTGCAGCACTATTTACAATAGCAAATATATCAGAATCAAAAAAGATGTTCATCAATGCTGGATAAAGAAAATGTCTTTTACAGCAACATGGATGCAGCTGGAGGCCATTATCCTAAGTGAACTAACGCAGAACAGAAAACCAAATACTGCATGTTCTCACTTATATATGGGTGCCAAACTTTGAATACACATGGACACAAAGATGGGAAAAACAGACACTAGGGACTGCTTGAGGCAGGGGGGTGGAGGAGGTGTGCATTGGAAGATTACCTATCCAGTACTATGCTCATTATCTGGGTGATGAGATCATTCATACACCAAGCCTCAGCAGCACACAATTTACTCATGTAACAAACCTGCACATGTATCCCCAGAACCTAAAATAAAAGAAGAAAAAAAAACACCCAGGTATATGCTGCCTACAAGAGACTCAATTCACATTAAATAAATAAATAAATAAATAAATAAATAAATAAATAAATAAATAAAATGAGCAATCTAATTTACATCCAGCAGGAGTCCCAGAAAGGGCAGGGTAAGAGAGATTTGAGAGACAGTCTTCAAATGACTGTGGATTTCCCAAGCTGATGAAAGACATGGATGCCATGTTTAGGAGGACATCAAATCTTAAGCAAGGATTGTTCAGTTGATGTAAGATAGAATGGATGTGTTTTATAGGACATAGATAGAGCCTTAGACCAAGCAGAGAACATACATTCTTCACCAGCACACTTGGCACAAAAAATGCCTGTTGGCCCACTATTGAATAGGCCAAATAATCAGTAGCATGCAGACCATTGTTTTTTATCTCAGTACAATAAAGTTAGAAAGCAGTAACTATAATTGAATGATTAAAATTGTGAAGATGTTAGTATCATTAATATTTTTACATTAAACTTCTCACTGATAGTACACAGGCATCTAGTACATAGGATGCATTGCTGTCACTCAGGCTCATCAAACCTGGCTTTGATATTTGGTTATTGAGGGAATGGGGCTTGAAATGGTTTGCTTCTTCCTTCCCAAGTAATTTCCTCTCATTGCTGTATTGGTTAAGAAACTGTTTATATAGGAGTCTAATTAAATATACTTGAATGTATATAACAGTCCCCTTCCTTCTTGCTGTGTTGCCTTAGGTGAGTCAATTAAATTCTCTGTACTAAGTTTTCTCATTTGTATAATGGAGGTAATAGTACCTACCTCTTAGCATCATTAAAAATGTAAATTTACTAATAGGTGTAAAATACTAAGAACAGTCTTTATCACCTAATTTTAAAAATATGACTATCAATTTTTAGTTTTAAAGTTACACTGATGGATTTATCCTACCCTGCAGTCAGAGATTTGGGTGAGAATGACCTACAGTATCTGGAGAAGGGGAGAAGCATGGTGAGGGTCCTGGGGGGGACCAAGGTTCAGAGGGTGCATATTCTCTGAGCTAAGCCATTGGAAAATCTAGGACTTTACAAAGGCATGCAGAGGCCCTTCCCAGCAAAACTCCATGTTAGGATGCAGGATAGACACTGGGATAAGATGAAATCCCCTCTAATTTTCTCCTTCACTGAGTCCTTTTGTAGAAACAGGCTCTGCAAACACTTTGTAAGGTTCCTCTAGAAATGGCTTCAGCAACTTATAAGTCACAGAATGTAGAAATGTGACCATGTGTCCAGGTGAATCGATTAAACAGTTCAGTCCCCAAAACAGCAAAGGTTGAAAGGAAATGTAGAAAAAGGTAAAGGGAAGAGGTACATTCATAAAGTTGTTGTGGAAGAAAGTCAGTGACGGGGAACAACAAGAAGGAAAATTGTGTTCCCCATGATTTGTTCAATTTGAATCTTATGGTAAGCTGAAATAATCAGACACATATTTATTAGTCAATTTCAAAAATAAAATAAAATAAAACAATACCTGCGTATAAAGTGAAACATTAAAGACACAGTGGTCACCACAACAAAAAATTCTCCAAATTGTTAGTTTTATTATCTGTAAAATAGAATATAAAAATTTACTCAGCTGGATTGTTTTGAAGAATACATAAGATAATAAGTGAAATGTGTTTGGAATAGATAAATCCTCAGTCAGTCTATGTGTTGCCTTTTTAATAAAAATAGTATGATCATACTGTTTGTATAAATTTAGATGATGCTTTTTTCTTTTACAACTCATGTCCTACTTCTGTTTTAAAAAATACCTACCTAAAAATACCTACTTCTGTTTTAAAAAATACCTAATAAACTCTTTTAAACTCTGTCCAATTTTTACTTGTCCTCTGTACTTTTCTCAGCTTCCTGTCCTTTTGGCTTTAATAGGACAATACTTCCTTGGAAGGAAATGATTCTCATTTCTGTCATAATGTGCTGCTTGTTCTCAGGCCTGGAGGAGCTCTGTCTGAGAAGTTAACTTAGCCAGCCAGGCAGCCAGGTGTCTGCCCCAAAGACCCTTCTTCATCTTCATGAAAGACTGACTTCATGCATGTCCTATTCACCACAGTGCCTCTCCCTGCTATTGGGGCGTCCCTTGCTTTGAATAGAGGGCACAGACATAAATGATCCACAAGTCACTGGTGTCATGTCCTAATGAAGAGAATAATAACAGACGATTGAGTGTGTTCTCATGCAATGATGTACATGTTTATCATCACATTCAATTTCCAAAAGGCTCTGTGAGAGAGACAGAGGAAACAGTATTATCCACCCTTTAAAAAAAGAATAATAACAAAAAGATTTTTAAAAGCCAGATCTGAAACTCAGAGAAGGAACATAACGTGCCGGAAATCCCACAGTTTCCGCCTTAGCTCTGGTGTCCTGACCCTAGTCTAGCTCTCTTTTTACCCAAATCAGAGAGTTATTTTGCTGAGGGAAACTAGGAAAAAATCAAGTAGGCCAAAGGTTTGAATTTTCATATGAGGATGTTAGGCCTAATGAACTTTCCCAAAGTTGCAATTAGCATTTATACAGAGCTCCGTGTTCGATTCTACCTTTCCATTTAAAACTCATCAACCCCTCTAAGAGCTGAGTGCTGATGAATCCACTGTGAAGATGGCAAGAGTAGGAGGGACCTCAGAGCAAATCCAGCACCAATCCCTAGGCAGAAAGCTGCACTAGGATCCAGGTGCTGCCTCCTGCAAACCGTGAGCCCCTGGAAAACTCCTGTAAAAGACTCTCAGAAAGATTTATTTTCCTAAATCTCAGTTTCTCTCATTTGCAGAATGGGATTTATAAATATAACTAAGCCACAGACTGTTTTGGAGACCAAAGAATATGTGATAGAAACAAATCAGTAGGCCAGGCATGGGGGCTCATGTCTGTAATCCCAGCACTTTGGGAGGCCAAGGAGGGCAGATCACTTGAGGTAAGGAGTTTGAGACCAGCCTGGCCAACATGGTGAAATCCTGTCTCTATTAAAAATACAAAAATTAGCTGGGTGTGGTGGCGCACACCTGTAATCCCAGTTACTCGGGAGGCTGAGGCACGAGAATCACTGGAACCTGAGAGGCAGAGGTTGCAGTGAGCAGAGATCGCACCACTGAGCTCCAGCCTGGGCAACAGAGTGAGACTCCATCTCAAAAAAGAAAAAAAAGAAAGGAAAAAAAAATCAGTAAAAACAAATAAAAAAGTGTTCTCCAAAAGAGGCTAAATGGAGTATTTAATATGTTTGAAAAATGCTTACACACAGTCTTGTATAAATAATGCCAAATAATCCCAGTTAATCTGTGTTTAACCCAGAAATGTTGTCCTTTATTTTACCACAGAACACTCTGCCCAAAGACACTATTATTCACATCCACTAAAAAAATGATTTGGTGGATCACATTTTGTGGAACGTTCTTGCAAAGCCTTAAACTAAAGCTATATTAGTTTTCTCCTTTCTCGACGGGAGGCCAGGGGCCACACTCAATGCTGAGATCCCAACTGTCCCAGCCTCCCTGCCGCCCTTCCATTCTGTGGGCGGCGTTGGGGTGAAGAGGCGGCCACTCTGCTGCCTTGCCTTAGGGACTTGCCATATCTTCTCTGGGTTCTGACAGGTATAAATTGTCAATCATAAGTCATGTTAGGCAAATGGCATAATAACTTGATGAACTTTCAGCAGCTCCCATCACCTTTGCTGACAGAGAACAGAGGCAGCATTGAAAGCAGGGAGACTGGAGCTGGAGAATTTACCCAAAGTGTAGTCACTAATGAACGATGCCACCTACATGCTCACCTGGTTAAAGGCATGGGTGTTCTGAGCTCCAGGACCTCTGGAGAAGCCTTCAATATGTTGCCTTCCTGGGGGGTCCCAAGAAGATGGCCAGAGTTCCCTGATGCCCATCACTGATTTGAATTGCTCAATTCATTTAGGAAGAAGGTGCTATGCAGGGGAAGAAGCAGTGAGGTGTCACAAAGGGAGCCTGAATTTAGGAGTCAGGGCAAAATGCCCCAGACACAGTACTTTCTATTCTAATTCATCCTCTGCTTCTTCTCAGCACTAACTGCAACTTCCGATTGTTTTAGGTTTTTACCTATTGACTTCTTTTGTCTTGTTGGCCATTGGAATGACCATGTTTGTTTTGCTCACAGCTGTATCCCATCACTCTATTGGATATTATACATTGTATTAATATATGTATATTACATAGTCATTTGACAGTCTACTGCCTCCCCTGTCCCCATCACATGTAAGTTCCATGAGAGCAAGGGCTTCCTCTGTTTGGCTCACCACTTATATTTCCAATCTAGCACAGAGATTGACACACAGTAAGACTTAATAACCCATTTTTTAAAGAATGGATAAATTATGAATAAATGAAGTATAAAGTATAATGCCGATAAATTCACACATGCAGGAAAAGATGGTTCAAACCATCAACGGCCAATACTGATTGGGCATCCTATTTCTAGAATGGCATTAGGATTTGGGTTTGTGATTCTAACCACCACCCCCCTTCACCCTTCGCCCCCCACTCCCCACCCCACATACACAATTACAGTTTTGTTGGAAGAAGAAAAAGGAGAAATAGGGAGGTGTCTTCTAATCCAAGGGAAACCACGCACAGTTCATTCAATAAGCATTTATCTAATAGCATTATGGATGCAGAAGTAAGTAAGCCATGTGGGCTTTTGGTCCAGCAAAGGATATGAATGTTTCTCCATTAATTACAAGGCTCAAGAAGAAAATGATTTGGATTGTGGTACTAGTGGGTGAGGGTCATGCCATACTACAGCTCAGTGTGTATCTTAGGATGCCTAACTTAAATGGTACCAACAACTCCAGCACCCATCCAGAGTGCGACTGTTACTTGGCATCCTGGTTGGGACCTAGGTGCCTGCTATTCCTTCAGGAAGGAAACCTAAGTGACTCCATGTGATACATTGTGAGGGAGCAGAGAAGAGTCAGGGAGACATGAAGAGAGAATACGTAGAGGCCAGAAACACCTAACCAAGGAATGACAAAGCAAAGCAAATTCCACAAAGGAGAGGGGAGAAGGAGGCTGCCTCCAGAGCCAGTTGCCATGTGTGGCATTGTTGATTAATGAATCGAGCTTTAAATTTTCTGGCAAGAAAGAGACAAGAAATGTGATGTTTACAGTTTCATTGTGAGCTTTCTTTTTTGAGTAAAAAAAAAAAAATCTTGTGAGTTTGGAATTTTAAAGTGTGGCAAGTAATTTGCTTGAAATTCAACTCCACATGTCGAGAGTCTGATTAAATCTGTAGCTTTGACCATGACCGCAAAATCCAGCTTTTTATTGTGCCTTCTGCTAATTAGAACTGGAGATTTTGCATTTTATTGCTTTAATCCTGTGGTTGTTCTAGAAACCTGGATTATCACATTGCAGGGGAGGTGATTTAAGGCAAATATGTCGGGTCCTTGTTCTGCTTCATTTAAAGATAAGTGATGATATTTTTATATTTTTAAAAAAGGAAAGACAGACAAACCCTTTTTTTTTTACCTCCTCTGGCATCTGTTTCTCAGTAGGGCAGAGGAAACTTTCAGCATAGACCACCCTTTTGAGAACATAGTGGTAAGGGTTAATCCATCCCACAGTCTCTGCTGGGGCTGACAATCTTTGCCAAGACTTAGCTAGGACCCAGCAAGTCACCTAAATGGACAGGCTCTGAAGTGATACTGCCTTCACAGCTCAGAGTGACAAGAAATGGGATTTGCAGTTTCCATTAGGGAGGGATAATGCTCTAGGTGACAGTCCTTCCATTCTTGTCTTTTTCCAAATAATGGGTCTTTCTGGAAGATGTTGGTAGACCCCTCAACACCCAAGAATTACTCAGTCAACTGGGGACAGAATGAACAGATTGATCTGCAAAGAGTGTGGGCTATCTGCAGACTGTGGCATAACCCAGAGAGAGTGAGCAGTTCCCCAGGCAGGGTGGGGAAGAAAGGACTGATGGAGGGGATCAGTCATCAAACAGATGCTTAATGGAATTGAATAACTGGAATATTATTCAGCCTTAAAAATGGAGATCTTGCCATTTGCAACAAGGATCAACCTAAAGGATAGCATGCTAAATGAAATAAGCCAGTTTCAGATAGAAAAATATTGCATGATGGTATTTATATGTAGAATCTAGAAAAGAAATGAAAACATAGAAACAGAGTAGAGAGGTGGTTACCAGGGTGTGGGGATTGGGAACAAATGGGGAAATATCCATTAAAGAATAAAAAGTTGCAGTTACACAGGATAAGTAAGTTTAGAGATCAAATTAAAGCATGAGGACTATAGTTAATAATGTATTACATACTGAAAATGTGCTAAGATAGATTTTTGGTACTCTTACCACAAAAAAGTAACTGTATGAGATGATGAATATGTTAATTTACTTGATTATAGTAATCACTTCTGAATTATATGTATATCAAAACATAAAGTTGTACACCTTAAATATATACAATAAAAAAGATTTAGAAAACCCAACTCATGCTCTCTTCCTCTGTATATATTCATATTTTTTCATTATATGTGGCACTTTCTATATTCTCAATCAAGTTTATTTTCTGACCACTGGCTGAGCCAGCCATCACAGTGTGATCTTTCCTCTCTTTCATTCACTACCATCCATATCACCAAGTCGACCTCTCCAGTCTTCTTAGTCCGTATTTTCTCTCCATCTTCTACATCTCTACTTTAGTAAAGAGTTGTGTTATCACATTTCTATGTCACTGTAGGATCCGCTTGGGAGCTGGATCTCTACTCAGGCCCATTTTCTGCTATTCTCCTCATTGAAAAAAGAACAATGTTTCTACAACTCAAATCTGTCAATAGCCTTTAGAGAAAGTGCAATTACTTAGAGCTGCATACAAGGTTCTCTAAATCCCTGGTGATTTTTTTCATTATTTTCTTTGTCACATCCTCTAGTCACATCCAGCAGCTGCCAGCTGACCAGCAGCCAGCTCAGGGTAAAATCCTGCCAGGTCTGTAGAGTTGGTTCTACAGTTTAAAGTGCTAATTACACATTACACATCACTGCTGTGCTAGTAGCTAACCAAATAAATTTGCATTGCTGACCAGTTTCCATCAGAAAAATCTAGAAAAAGAAGATCAAATTAAATAGAAGTAGAAATAAGGAAAAATAAAATATATAAAAGTGAGTCAATGAAATAAATCATTGGCAAACAGAGAAAACCAATGAAATCAAAAGTTAGTTATTTGGAAAGATTAATAAATTCGATAAGCTTCTAACAAAACTGATTAAAAGAAATTGAGTTACACATATGACCCATATCAATAATGAAAAAGGGGATATTACCTTAGCTCCCAGGACATTAAAATTGTAGGAAGAAAATATTATAAATACAACAGTAAATATAACAACTTGGTCAAATGAATTTCTTGAAAGACAAAAATTAACAAAAATGACCAAAAGATATAAAAATCTGAAAAGTGCAGGTCATAACCTCATGACCTCTTATAAACATCAATAAAAACACTCAAAAATAACCTAAGAAATTGATGCCCACAATATATAAAATAATGTATTATGAACAAGCATGCTTTATCCTGAAAATAGAAGACTAGTTCAACATCTAAAAAATAAATTAATAAAACTCACCTTATCAACAGATTAAATAAGAAAAAAGTGCAATCGTTCAAAAAGAATTCTTTGGAAAAGAAATCATCATTCCTGATTTTTAAAAAAATCTCTCAAAGTAAAAGTACAAATAAGCTTTCTTAACTTAATAAAGATATAGCAAAAAAAACTAGAATCAACATCATACTTAAAGACAAAAGACTGAATCCCTCTAACCTACAAACAAGGTAACTCATGACTCTTATTCAGAATTATTTTAGAGGTTATAGCCAGTACAATGAAGCAGAAAAGAAATAGGGAAAAATGGGGCCTAGAGATTGGAAAGAAAGAAAACTGTCTCTTCTCATACATAACATGATTGCCCATAGAGAAAATCTCAAAGAATCTGAAAAATAACTCCCCAAAACTAATAAATGTGTTTGGCAAGGTTGCAAAATGCCAGATCAATATACAATAAATTTTTGTATCCTAGGAATCAAGCAAATGGAAATTGAAATAAAGCAATGTCATTTACAGTAGAACCAAAATACATTAAACACTTACATCCAGTTATTTGAAAATACCACAAGATCTGCGTGCTGAAAACTACAAAATCATGGTTAAGAAAAATCAAAGAAGACCTGAATTAATGAGGAGATATACTACATTCAGTAATTAGAAGAACCAATTTTGATAAGATGTCAATTCTCTTTAATTGACACGCTCAACGTTAATTTTTGGTAGAAATCAACAAGCTGGTTCTGTAACCAAACCCAGCTTTTGCTGCTCATTGCTTGAAAGCCAGACATGAGAGAAAGTTTGGTGGAAGGAAAAGCAGAAAAGCAGGTTTAAGTGGAGAGCCAGCAAACCAAGAAGATGGTGAACTAATTTTCTAAAATACCATCTTAAATTTTTTAATTTACCATAAAGTTTTTAAAAGGGAAACTTGGTATGGGAGGCATGTGGGAATGGTGCAGGGTACAGGGTCTGTGTGTCTGTTTTAATAGCTATTTTGGGTAATTATTCATACAGAGGTCTAATTAACGTTATGTTGACTTCAGCCCAATGGTGGTAGATTAATTGTTCATGACTTTTCCTAAGTGAGAAGATTCTGTAAGGGCTCTGTGCCTGGTTTGTTTCAAGATTAGCCTCTGGAATTTCTTAAGCAAAAACATAATTAGATAAGCATGTGTTTATCTAATTAGGCAGGGGAGTGTCTAGAGAAGGAAGGAATAATGGGTTAGAGAAGAGGGAAGTAAGAAAAAGAAAGTGGGTGATTAAAATATGTTTTTAAAGTTGAGGTCCCCGGTTACAGTTCTAAAGTATATATGGAAAGAAAAGAAAATAGAATAGCCAAAACAGGCTGAGTGTGTTGGCTCATGCCTGTAATCCCAGCACTTTGGGAGGCCGAGATGGGTGGATCACCTGAGGTCAGGAAATCAAGAGCAGCCTGGCCAACATGGCGAAACCCTGTCTCTACCAAAAATATAAAAATTAGCCGGGCATAGTGACAGGCACCTGTAATCTCAACTAGTCGGGAGACTGAGGCAGGCGAATCGCTTGAACCGAGGAGGCAGAGGTTGCAGTGAGCCTAGGTTGTGCCACTGCACTCCAGCTTGGGCGACAGAGTGATACTCTGTCTCAAAAAAAAAAAAAGAATAGCCAAAACAATTTTGACATAGAACAATGTTAAAGAACTCAGCTTAAATGTTTTTTTGATTTACTATAAATCTGCAGTAATCAAGAGAGTGTAGTATTGGAGAAAGGATAGACATATAAATAAAAAATTGAAATATAAAATATGGAAACTCACAAGTATACAGTCAACTGATTTTCAAGAAAGATGCAAAAGCAATTTAATAAAATAGCCTTTTCAACAAGTAGTGTTGGAATAATTAGATATCTATATGAAAAATAATGATCATAATCTATACCTTGCAACCTCTAAAAAAAAGTAACTCAAAATTATAATAAACTTAATTGTAAAACCTAAAACAATAAAAAATCCTGGAAGAAAACCTAAGAGAAAATCTGTGTGACATTAGATTACACAAAGACTCTTTAGACATAACATAAATAACATGGTCCATTAATAACAACAACAGAAACAATGAAATCAGTAAAATTTGGTTTCATTAAAATGTAGAACATCTATTTTTTGAAAGACATTTAAGAAAATAAAAAGATAACTCACAGATAGGGAGAAAATATTTATACATTATATTTATGATAAAGGACTTGTGTCCAAAATACATAAAGACCTCTCAAGATTCAAGAAAAGATAGAATTAAAAATAGTTAAAACAGTTTGGACACAAACTTTGCCAAAGGAAATATACAGATGCAAATAAGCACACAAAAAGATATTCAGCATAATTTGCATTATGGAAATGCAAATTAAAATCACAACAAGATATACCTATTGAAATGCCTAAAGTATATAAAAGCAGGTAATGTCAAGTGCTGCTGAGGATATGGAGATACTGGAATTCTCATAAACTACTGGTAAGAATGCAAAATGGCACAGCCACTTTGATAAACTATCTGGTAGTTTCTTACGTAGAGAAATATAAGCGACTCAGCAATCTCAGTCCTAGATTTTTACCCAAGTGAAATAAAAACATTCTCACAAAACATGCACATAAAACTTCGTAGTAATAGAATGCGTGATTGCCTCAAACTGGAGACAAACTAAATGTCTCTCAACTGAAGAATAGGTAAACAAAGTGTAGTATATCCATACAATGGAATAATGCCAAGCAATAAAAGAAAAAAAAGCAATACATGCAACAACATGGATGCATCTCAAATGCTTTATGTTAAGTGACAGAAGCAAGATTCAAAAGACTACATACTGCATAATTCCATTTACATGACTTTTGGAGAAGGCAAGATTACAGGACTGGTGACTGGATCCACAGTAGCCAGGAGTTAAGGGTTGGAAAGGGGTGACTAGTCAGTAGTACAGGGCAATTTAGGGGGTAAAGGAACTGTTCAATATCTCAACTGTGGTGTTGGTTACATGTCTGTATATGTTTGCCAAAACTTGAAGAACTATACACTATAAAAGTGAATTTTACTAAATGTAAATTATTTGCTATTATTCAATATTATTTTTTAAATGCAATTAAAATAAAGATTCTAAAGAAAATAAATGAAATCCTGATAACCTTTTATCTAGTAAAGGGAGCAAATTTGCAAGTAAATACTTTCCTACCAAGAAAATTACGAGCCCAGTGTCTTAGTCCTGTAGTCCTATAACAGAATACATAAAACAGTATGCTTTTTCAAGAAAAGAGGCTTATTTACTCACGGTTCTGCAGACTGGGAAGTTCAAGGGCATGTACTTGGCTTCTGGCAAGGGCTTTTGTCCTGCATTACAACATGGCAAAGAAGGTCAAAGGTAAATCAGACATGTGTGAGGAGGGTCAAACAAGAGGAAGAAACTTGCTGTATAATAACCTGCTGTCTTGGGAACTCACCTATTCCCAGAGGACTAATTCAGTCTTGGGAGAGCAATAATTCACTACCCCAAGGATAGCACCAAGCCATTTATGAGGGATCCACTCTCATGACCCAGACACCTCCCATTTGCCCCACTTCTAAACACCCCCACACTGAGGATCAAATTTAATTTTAGTGGACACAAACAAAGCATATCCAAACCACAGCACCCAGCTAGCTTTACTGGCGAGTTCTAACAATTTAAGGAAGAAATTATAACTTTCTTATGCATTTTTTAAAAATTAAAAATATCCAAACCTCCCTTTGTTTTCTGCATTTATCGTCTTTTTTCTAACTATTTGCATAAGATCCAAAATGTGCAAATAAGCCTTTGTTCTCTCTGAACACTATAAAACAAGGTTACTTTAGCTTACACCATGTGCATTTCTTTTGTTTTAAGGAAAAGAAATCTGTATCTTATACAACTCCAGGGTCCCTCAGTACTAAGTTTTCCTTTCCAATTAATAGCATGCCACAAGATGTTTGACTACTTTGCAGCTGATTTTGCATTCACTTACCTCTAGCCAATTGTTTTAATAATGATGCATCCTGAGTAGTGTCTTTCTCCATTTAGGCCTAAAGATCTCTCTGAGGACATTCCCTAAATTCACAGCCCCATGTATCCATTCTGAAATAAAAATGCCTTCTCTTTCTCCAGCACTTCCCACTCCCTGCTGATGCTGAATGGCTTTTCATGGAAGCACTTAACAGTGGTTGTAGAAGGACTGCCATTTTTTTCTACATGGGTGAGTGCTCTATTCATCAACATTCTATTGACCATCACATTATCAAGAAGGCCCTAGGGTATCATTACAATTTGTAGTCTCTATCCTCAAATGTCTATCCCTAAACTGTCTCAATTCTATTTAAATGGCTATATTTCTATCATAATTTGCAAAACAAACTCCTATGTCTAGGTAACCCAGCGTGATAGGACCCTGACGTGCTGTGGCTGAATAATGCCCCCTTCCCCCTGAAAAGATATCCATATCCTAATCTCTGGAACTCATAAATTTTATGTTATATGGTAAAATGTACTTTGAAGATGGGATTAAATTAAGGATCTTGAGGAGGGCAGATTATCCTGGATTAGCCAGGTGAGCCCAAGGCCTTACAAGGGTCCTTAAAAGAGGGAGGAAGGAGGAGTCAGTCAGAGGAGGAGGAGATGTAACAATGGACACAGAGATTGGAGAGATACACTTAGAAATGGAAGAAGGAGCCACAAGCCGAGGAACACAGGCATCCACTAGAAGCACAGAAAGGCAAAGAAACAGATCCTCCCCTCAGGGCCTCTAGGAAGAATCAGCCATCTTGACAACCTGACCCTAGATCCATGAATCTGATCTCTGACATCAGATCTTGAAACAGTACACATTTATTCTACAGTTTAAAGTCAATAAATGGGTGATAATTTGCTACAACAGCAAAAGGAAACTAATATATGAAAATTTGCTGTTTCATTGTCTAAACTAACAGAAGCAGGCTCTGAAGGAATAGAATATCCATATATTCCCTTGTAGTCACATCTCATGGTTATAATTGCTTTGTAAATTTCTTTGTTTTTACATCATATGGACAATTTCATGGCACCTTTTAATTGTTCTTTGTGTGTGTGTGTGTGTGTGTGTGTGTGTGTGTGTATACATACATACTATATATACATAAAATATATATAATTATTATATAATTAATTATATCCAGACAGCTACCTTCAGGTACTCCATCCCCATCCAGCTTGGGACTTGGGACAATGCTATTGTCACTAGCACTGACTTTTTTGTAGTGATTCTGCAAGTGACCACTGTCATCAGCCACTGGTTGCCCATTTCTCATCCAAGTTTTTGGGATTACTCTGTTTTTAATCTTGCCTTGTGATATTGTTTTGCTGTGTCCCCACATGAATCTCATATTGAATTGTAACCCCCACAACTCCCACACGTCATCAGGGAACCCAGTGAGAGGTAACTGAATTATGGGGGCAGGTCTTTCCCGTGCTGTTCTCATGATAGTGAATAAGTCTCACAAGATCTGATGATTTTAAAAAATAGGACTTTACCTGTTTTTTTTTTTTTCTTTTTCCTGCTGCTATTCATGTAAGATGTGATTTGCTCCTCCTTGCCTTCTGCCATGGTTGTGAGGCCTCCCCAGCCATGTGGAACTGTAAGTTCATTAAACCTCTTTCTTTTGTAAATTGCCCAGTCTTGGGTATGTCTTTAACAGCAGCATAAAAATGGACTAATGCAGTAAATTGGTACCAGTAGAATGGGGCACTGCTGAAAAGATACCCGAAAATGTGGAAGCAACTTTGGAACTGAGTAACAGGAAGAGGTTGGAACAGTTTAGAGGGCTCAGAAGGAGACAGGAAAAAGTGGGAAAGTTTGGAACTGTCTAGAGACTTGTTGAATGGCTTTGACCAAAATGCTGATAATAATATGTACAGTGAAATCTGGCCTGAGGTGGCTTCAGTTGGAGATGAGGAGCTTGTTGGGAACTGGAGCAAAGCTGACTCTTGTTACATTTTAGCAGAGACTGGTGGCATTTTGTCCCTGCCCTAGAGATTTGTGGAACTTTGAACTTGAGAGAGATGATTTAGGGTATCTCGTGGAAGAAATTTCTAAGCAGCAAAGCATTCAAGATGTGACTTGGGTGCTGTAAAAAGCATTCAGTTCTATAAGGAAGCAGAGCATAAAAGTTCAGAAAATTTGCGGACTGACAATGCCATAGAGAAGAAAATCCCATTTTCTGAGGAAAAATTCAAGCTAGCTGCAGAAATTTGCATAAGTAATGAGGAGCCAAATGTTAATTCCCAAGACAATGGGGATAATGTCTCTAGGAATGTCAGAGGTCTTCACAGTAGCCCTTCCCATCACAGGCCCAGAGGCCTAGAGGAAAAAATAGTTTTGTGGGCTGGGCCCAGGGTCCCTATGCTGTGTGTGGCCTAGGGACTTGGTGCCCCATGTCCCAGCCACTCCAGCCGTGACTAAAATGGGCCAAAGTACTGCTCAGGCACTGACTTTGGAAGGTACAAGCCCCAAGCCTTGGCAGCTTCCATGCAGTGTGGAGCCTGCAAGTGCATAGAAGTCAAAAATTGAGGTTTGGGATCCTCTGCCTAGATTTCAGAGGGTGTATAGAAATGCCTGATGTCCAGGCAGAAGTCTGCTGTAGGGGCAGGGCTCTCATGGAGAACCTCTGCTAAGACAGTGCAGAAGGGAAATGTGTGGTCAGAGCCCCCACACAGAGTCCTTTCCTGGGGCACTGCCTAGTGGAGCTGTGAGAAGAGGGCCACCATCCTCCAGACCCCAGAATGGTAGATCCACCTACAGCTTGCAAATTGTGCACCTGGAAAAGCCACAGACACTCAATGCCAGCCCACTAAAGCAGCCAAGAGGGAGACTATACCCTTCAAAGCCACAGGGGCTAAGTTACCTAAGACCATGGGAACCCACCTCTTGCATAAATGTGATCTGGATGTGAGACCTAGCATCAAAGGAAATCATTTTGGGGCTTTAAGATTTGACTGCCCCATTGGATTTCAGACTTGCACGAGGCCTGTAGCCCCTTCATTTCAGCCAATTTCTCCCATTTGGAATGGCTGTATTTACCCAATGATTGTATCCCCACTGTATCTAGGAAGTAACTAACTTGCTTTTGATTTTACAGGCTCATAGGCAGAAGGGACTTGCCTTGTCTCAGATGAGACTTTGGACTGTAGACTTTTGAATTAATCCTGACATGAGTTAAGACTTTGAGGGACTGTTGGGAAATCATAACTGGTTTTGATATGTGAGGACATAAGATTTGGAGGGGCCATGGGTGGAATGATATGGTTTGGCTTTGTCCCCACCCAAATCTCATCTTGAATTGTAACTCCCACAATTCCCACATGTCATGGGAGGAACCCAGTAGGAGGTAACTGAATTATGGGGGTGGGTCTTTTCCCGAGGTTTTAAAAAAACGGGAGGTTCACTGCACAAGCTCTCTCTCTTGCCTGCTACCATCCATGTAAGATGTGACTTGCTCCTCCTTGCCTTCTGCCATGATTGTGAGGCCTTCCCAGCCATGTGGAACTGTAAGTTCATTAAACCTCTTTCTTTTGTAAATTGCCCAGTCTTGGGTATGCCTTTATCAGCAACATGAAAATGGATGAATACACCTTGCTTTCCAAAGAAAACATTGTTTCAACCAAATCCCACTCCTACCATCAATTGTTGTGAGGATTGTGTGTCCTCCTTCCTTAGTTCAGAGTCCTCCAAAAGAAGACACTGAGACCAGGTTTCAAGGGTAAGTAGATTGTCTTGGAGGTGACGTCAGAAACCACTGATGGAGAAGTGACAAATGAGACAGAAAGGGAAGGAATTGATGACAGGGAATCTCAGGTGAAAAAAACCTCAGGACTATCCCACCCAAATAGCATGGAAGAGTGAGTATCATATAGCAACTCCCTGAAAGAGTTGTGAACTCCCTTCCATTTCTGCCCTGCTGGATGGGAAGAAAAGCGGGTCCTGGTAGCTAAGGAAATCCCTCAGGCAAGAAGATATGTGTGCTGCCAACTGGAAGTTGGGCCAGAGAACATGGAAGTGGTGAAGGCAGGGCATAGACAGCATCCACAGCTCATATCCAGTCATTCTCTCAAAGGGACTTCCATCACAAGATCTTATCTAGTGCAGTTTATTAGAAAAGCATATGAAAAGGCTTTCAAATTATTAATAAGAATTCTTATAGAAATGTTCATCTGTGTCAGGCACCATATTTCTGGCTGGGTGAACATAGATGTCCTTTACTATCAAATTCCATGGGGCCCATGAGAAGAGAATGCAGGACCAGCCAGATGGCTCATGCCCATTGCCATTTTTACTTTGCTTCTATGTTACAAGCTGACAATTTTGCTCTGTGTGTACTGTAAAATAGCAGACATTTTCCAAATTTTGCTCTGGCTTACACTGTTCCTTTTTGCTTTTTCATTTATCTTTCTTGTACCCATAGTTAAAAAAAAAAAAAGCATTTCACAGAGGTAAGGTTAAGGCTAGAGGCTTATGTGGTCAGAACATTTGAGCTCTTCTTGTAAAGGTTCAAGTGAACCTTGTCCTTCCCCATCTCTGCTTCCTCAGGAATGAGTTTTCAAATATTTCATTCCATTTCACTAAAATCTAGCAAGGCTGGGTCAAGGGCCAAATATCTTTGTTCTAATTCCCGCTCTGCAAATGAGTACGCAAGTCTCCCCCACCTGCTGACAGAGTCATCATATAGCACAGTGGCAATGGCTGGCCATAGACATTATCACAGATATCACATTGGAAATATTTGTGAATGACAATGGGTCAGATGCCTCAGATAAAGCTATCGCAAAAGATGTAATCACTGTAGCTATTAGACTGACAGAAGAAAATCTATCAGAGCAATTCCAAGGATGCAACTGTGAAGGATAAGTTGTTCTTCTGGGAATGTGAGTGTCCCTTGCAGGAACACTGATGGAGAATCTCAAAGCCCTGAAGCCCTTAGGGGATTCAAAGGTTTGAGTTGGCTTCAGCAGCAGCACCACAGGGTAGGCAGATGTGGGAGGATGGAAGTTCTTCCTGGGAGCAAGTGAACAGGGGTGAACAATTTCAGAACTACAGTCTGAGATCTCACTGAAAAAGCCATTCATCCAGAAGACAGGAAATCAAGAACAGGTCTAGGATACAGAAAAACTGGGGTCAGTTGGTAAAGATGGTGGCCATAGCCCTTAATCCTCTGATCCTATTTTTCACATATTTTTCAATGTTGAGCTTTGTTTCATTTATAACTTTTTTTTTTTAAGATACAGGTAAGGGGCTCACTCTCTCACCCAGATTGGAATGCAGTAGTGTGATCTCAGCTCACTGAGCCTCGACCTCCTAGGCTCAAGCAATCCTCCCACTTCAGCATCCTGAGTAACTGGGACTACATGCACGCACCATTACACCTGGTTAATTTTTATATTTTTTTTTATAGAGACGGGACTTTGCCATGTTGCCTGGGCTGGTCTGAAACTCCTGGCCTGAAGTGACCCACTTGCCTCAGCCTCCCAAAGTGGTGGGATTATAGGCTTGAGCCACTACACCCGGCCCACAACTAACCTTTCTTGAGCACTACCTAGGTGTAGGGACCAGTCTCAATGCTTTGCTTGCATTAATACATGTAATCCTCACTATGCTATGATTCTGGTATTATTATCATCCCATTTTACAAATGAGAAAAATTGGATGCAATTAAGGTTGTAAATCTTTCCCAATGAGTGAATGGGCAAACAAGGAGGAGAATGCAGGCCATTTGTATTGAATTGTACCATGTGCTTCCTCCATGCAGGCAGGTGGAAGGGGACGAATAGAAAGGGAAGCAGGAGGATGTGTGGTGCTATGGGCACCTTTGCATGGGAACAGAGCATCTTGAGTGGGTGGTTTCAACTCAGAAAAGGAAGGCAGGCTACATGGGAGGATAAGAAGAATTGATAAGAGAGACAACTCAGTACTTCACTGTAGGTGAAGAAAAGGAAGAGTGGCTGAACTCAGAGTAGTGGCAGAGCAATGAGGAGAGAAAGTTTGGAGAGAAGGGATCCTGTGTCTTAGGGAGAAAGAATTTAAGGAATTTGATGACTAGGAGGTGATTCCACCCACCCCTGACCAGACGTCCACTGCCACTCTCTGGTGGTACCTGGTTGTGTTAATTCTTCCCAGTGGGAAAACCTGTAGAGTGCTGCCTTCTCTGTGGGTGTGCTGGCTCTGATCACTGCCTCCTCTCTTCCTGCAGCTCATGGGGACCCAGCTGTGATGGCAGTGCTGATCCACAACCCAACAGTATGGGCTTTCTCCACCCACACTCTTTCTGGGTAATTGCTAGGGAAGATTCACATCACTTCAGGATTCTTCAATGGACCCACTTAAACATGAGTTAAGTAACTACCTATGGAAGCATTCATTTGTTGTGTGCTTCCTGGATATCAGGCACCATGACTAGCACTGTGCAGGCCCTCTCTTGCTTCTTAATTCTCACAGCAAACCTTAAAAAAGTATATTACAATCCCTGTATTGATAATGAAGAAACCAAGATGCAGAGAGGTTAAATAGTTATTCATCTGTCATTCAGCTTGGAAGTGCCAGAGAGGCAATGATTGACTTGTGTCTAGAGCCTACTACCTGGAAGGCCAGACCAAACCCCCTGTGTCACCAGCAACTCATGCCTTGCACACCATGCACCAAGAAGTGTATCCTTCATCCATCTGTTCATATTAATTCCATATTTTCTGACTTCTTCTCTGGGAAGAACCTGTACTAGGCCCTGGAGAATCAAAGATGAAAGAGATACAGCTCCACTTATGAATGGCATGAGGATCTCTGATGTTCAAAGAGTGGACAAGAAAAAGAAACCTAAGAGGCTTGGAAGAGAGTGAGTGATCGGAGAGGTTGGAGGTTGACTAGAATCATGGCTTCAGCTCATTCTAGAAAATTATTTTTCTAATGATAAAATAGAGAAGCAAAAATGATTTGGGAAAATATAAATTTAGCTTACAATTCCAAGAGGCCATAATAAGGCATTCAGGGTTTATAAATGATATTACAGGAGACCAAGATTAGGTTTATGTTCTGACCCACCACTACCCACCCAGTTCCTTTACAACCCCCAGCTATCTCTTAGAAAAACACGACTCATAAGCCAGTTGGCTCTCAGCTCTCATTTGGTGCCTGGAATCAGAATTTCAACATGAATATGAAAGCTCAAAGGAATTCCATTTGACATCACACCTATCAATTTGAGGTTTATTTGCCTGAAGGCCTATGACAGATATAGCTATCTCAATTGGGTTCTGTGCTTTCATGAGAGAGTTTCGGCGAGAAATGCTATTTTAAGCACCATTTAGGCTTTGCTGAGACTGTTTTTATGGGGAAAGTTATGACTCTTGGTAATTGCTAGAGTTTACTTTTAGAGCCTCCTCCTCAGACATCAATGTGAGCTTCTTTGCCTTTCTGCACAATCCTATCGTGGTTGCTGTTGCATGGCATCGCCTCTAGGTCTTTAGGCTGATGTTATTTATAAGCTAATGACAGAGCAATAAATATTGTAGTAAATAGTTGTGGGGTGTCATTTGCTGAACCGAAGTTATAGGCAGCTGGAGAGTCTTTCCTTGTGAAATTCTTTCTCCATTCTTCCTATTACAATGGCCTACAGCATAGATCAAAATACATCTGCCACCCCCTCCCCAAATGCATTGACATTTCCTTATAAGATCAATATACCTTTCAGTGGAAACCACTGTATATGCATTGTGTCCTACAAGAATCCCTTGGCAATTTCTATGTGAAATCCAGGGGAACGTGTGCATATTCTGAATGGGTACATTTCTAATTTTTTGCATAGGTTCAATGAGCTACATTTATTAATGTCTACTGTGTGTGCATATATATATATATTTATATATATATATATAAATATATATATATATATGAGACATTCTTCTGGTTGATGCTTAAAATGATGCAATACCTTTCTTTATAAAGCTCACATTTTAGAGAGAAGGAAGAGCACATACAAGCAATTAAACACATGTAAAAAGTAACAAGGGCTTTTAAAAAGTGTAGAGAAAGTGGCATAAGAGATTAAGAAATTATTTTTTAACTCTCTAGGACAGGGAAATACTGCTGAAGGGGACCACATGTATCTTATGTCTTGACTGATGTGTAGGATTTAGCCTCTCCCTCTGATGACTATAGATTTTCAACTTCTGACTGGTATCTACACTGCTACTTTCATTGGATCCTCATTTCTTTTGTTTCTCCAGCATTTAACTTTAAGAGGTATCATCCTCTCCAGAAACCCTCCGCTGGTAGCTCCAGGCTTGGTCACTTACCTCTATTGTGCTTCTACAACAGGCATAATCTATGTATTTTCTATTTGTATTATTTAAATATTATTTAAATATTTATATATATATAATATATAAATAATTTTTTTTTTTTTTTTTTTTTTTTTAGGGACAACATCTTACTCTTTTGCCCTGGCTGGAGTGCAGTGGTGTGATCATGGCTCACTGTTGCCTTGAACTCCTAAGCTCAAGAAATCTTCCTGTCTTAGCAGCCTGAGTAGCTGGGACCATAGGTACATGCCATCATACCTGGCTCATCTTTTATTTTTATTTTTGTAAAGATAGAGTCTCGCTATGTTGCCCATGATGGTCTCAAGCTCCTGGCCTCAACAATTCTCCTGCCTTGGACTCCCAAAGCACTGGGATTACAAGCATAAGCCACTGTGTACAGCCCTGTATCTGTACATTTTCACATTGCCTGGTAATATGCGTGTCTTACCCCCCAGTTGTAAATCTTTTAAAATATAGACAGTATCTCATTGTTGCTCATTGTTGCTCCTGTAGCAGTACCTATCTCATCACATGGTGATTAATATAAATAATCAATGTGTAATCAGTATGGCTGGATGGTTAAGTGACTGAATGGAAATGAAGGGCATTCCAAGTGGATGGATCTATAGGAGCAAAGGCCTTCAAGCGGAAGTTTAAGATATGTGAAAAAAAAATACTAGGAGACAAGGTCCTAAAGGAAAATTAGTGCTATATCCTAGGGATGTCAGGCTGAGAATTAGAAAATATATCTTGGACACAATAGGCAATCATCGATCAACAGAATATTCCTGTGGTTATACTGCATTCACCCTTTTTTTTTTTTTTTAAGAGAAGACCTACCTCTATATTTGCTGGATATAGGATTCAAAAGAGAACTCGCAACCTTTGCACATGATCTTATCTCCTTGCTACAGCAATTGTTCAAAGGGTGGACACTGAACTAACCAGAGAATGCTGCCTTCTTGTTTATCCAAGGATGTTGTTGGGCTCAGAAAATAATATCCCAAATGGTGCTTTGGCATGCTGAGCACTTTGAATTTTGAATTAAAGGAAATTGGAAGGCCTTAGAAGCTGCCTCAAAATCAAAATCTTTCTGACCTTTCCTTGTTTCTGTCCCCAAGTGTGGGGAGGGGCTCTCTCTGAGTTCCTTTATCTGACTCAGAAGTACTTCCAAAAGAAACATAATTGCCTTCAATCTCCTGTCTGAAATCTCATTAACTAGGAAAGATTAATCACTGAAGAAGAAACTAAAGGTTATGCCACACTCCCTTTAACAGACTTTTCATCTATTCTTCTGAGGGTGGCTATCTGAAAGACTTTATCTGCATAAGAAAACCTTTGTTGGCCGTGCAGTTCTGCCCCTCACCTTCCCATAACTTCTTGCCACCTCCCCCAGAGTCCAGAGGAAATTTGTCCCAGGCTATTGCCTGTTATTGAGGCTCATTCATCTCCCCTAAATATTATTTACTCTTTCTTTAAAAGTGCTTACACCTCCCACTTTTCTCTCCCCTATGAAGAGGTATTTAAGCTTCAAGCATCTGGCCTCCTCCTTTGAATTTCAAGCTAAGTGTGACTCCCATGGGCTTTCACATTAATAAATTTGAACATTTTTCTCCTGTTAATCTGTCTGTTGCTAGTTTATTTTAGCAGATGTAGAGATGAAAGCCTTCAGAAAGCAATGTTAGAATTCCTTTTGTGCCTACGATGTGCACATAACCAAACTCAGGTCAATCAAGGGACTTCTCTGGGATAATTTTCTAACCTGCACCAGGAAAAGAAGTGTCTTTCCCTATAAGGGTATATGCTGTCATTGGCTAGGTTCCCCATCATGGACAAAAAGTGGGTCTAAAGTTAAAGAAACTCAATGCAACATGCAAAGAAGAACAAAGATAAGAAGGAGCAAGAGAAGTACTTGGTGCCTGTTGTCAGGCTACTGCCCTTTTACCCAGGTAGGCCAGTTGAATCTGGGCCTCTATAACCTACAATCAGGTACTTGTGATTGCATAGCTTCTTTCTCATTGCAACAGCACCCTGGACTTTAAGGAGAGTCCAGGAATGACTCTCTGGCTCAACAACACATGTCTCATCACTACATGCTGCCCAGAGATTTATTTCAAAAGGGAGACTATAATACCAAGGGGAGCTTCCCCTAAGAGTCATCAACATGAAGCCCATCATGTCTATGTCCCCATTTATTCTCTTTTTAAATGCTAAACTTCTTTAAATAGTTATAAATAGAAGATTTCAAACAGGAGAGATGATATACAGATACAGAGATAAACTAAACCAGATTAGGTGTTTAAAAGATGTAATAAAATAGCATCCTTTTCACCAGATTTTTGAAGACAGTGACAAGGGGTGTTGGGAACTGTGCATTAGAAGTATAACGCTATAGAAAGACTTTTGTATCTATTTCAGAATTTTTGCTATGTAATACAATAACAGTAAGAAAAGAAGCAAGAGCTAGCTGAGAGACCTAATTTTAAAAAAAGACATTTCAGACTTCTCTTGGCACGAATTTGCATCTTATTAACATCGAGCTGATAAGAGGTCTTATTTTCACATTTATTGCAGAAAGAATTATCTCTTTTCAATGATACTTGAGTCCAATATTATACACATAGCACATGAAATGCAGATGAAGTTTCAAGCCCATCATATCCAAGGTTTGACAAGAATAAGTGAGATGACAACAATTAAACATAATTTCTGAAGCCACAGACCAAGTGTCATTTAATTTATGTAGTCTTCCCAAGTAACCCTGGAAGAATTAATCACTTCCTCTTTCTGGTCCAATAACATTTTTGAACACACTTTTATATATAAGGTAGACTGTGTTAGAAGCAGCATAGAGTCACAAGTTGAAATACCATTGTTGTTTCCTTCACTGCAAAATGGATATATTGTAGAATATGCAATCTACAATTTGAGAGAGAAAAAAACAAGAAAAAAATGCAATATAAGGTAATTATCAAAATTTCTGGCATTAAGTAAATTCTCCTAAATTAGTCAGTATAATAGTTCCCTTTTTTTGGTTCAGATACAAAAGTTGGCCAGCCCTCTCCTGCCCACCAACATATCACTCCAAAATAACCACAGTGATAATGACTAGGTGTCTATTTTTAATTTTTTCAAAGAAAATAGGTGATGAGAAATGAACCCTATCCTATTTGAGGAGACTCTCGACAGGTGACCAGACTTTAACCTAACTGCATGATTATCTAAATACAGAGATAACATAAATAAATAGCAAGAAACAGCATACCCATCAACAACTGTCGTTTTGCTTTCTTCTTCTATATGGTTATGGAACATGTGTTGTTCTCCACATTATGGTGCAAGGTACTTATTGTGATGCCACTTTCAATGCCAAACTATAGTAGTGTGTTCAGAATTTAATGCAAATGAAAATATAAAAGTAGTATTATAAACAGTTTATGTGGATGAATGCAGCTATTTTTTCCTAAACTGAATGTGGCTCTTTCCTAAACTGATTATTGTGAGTTTTCTGACTTTCTTCTATAGTCTATCTTCTTAAATATTATATCAGCTATCAGTTACTTCTCAAAGTCTATCTGCTTTAATCAATTCTGAACATGTTATTACTATCTTAAAGCAAGAATACATAAGATCTAAATGAAGCCTGGAAAATGCATTTATCCAAAAAAATGTGAATGTAGTGCAAGCATTTTTTGATGTGTATTTTGGCTTTTGCTTACCACTTCTGCTTTAAATAATTGACGTTGACTTAAACACTTCTGATAAGATGTCCTACATGCTTATAATCTATTTGTCATATATACTTTTTAGGATGATATAAAGTACATGAAGCAAAAAGATGACATCATCTAATCGTGTTACTGTGAGCAGAGAAGAATTCAAATTCAGGCATCCAGGGTAACCAATTTTATGGGACACATGTGACTCAGCCTTAGCCTCCTTCTCTACAATTACATTTCCCCACCTGGGATTTCACAGATCAGCAGTAAACAAACTCCAAGTTTCATTTCCGTAAAGTGACAGAAGATGGGTCCCCTGAGTGAAGACGGCCTTCTACCCTTCATCTGAGAAATTTAAACCAGTAGATTTGATAATAAATGTTAAGGGTATTCAATTAACATACAAAGTGGCAGCTGGAAAGGGCACCGCAGACAGATGTCTGGCTAGAGTCAGTTCTGTGCCCAGGAGAGACAAAGTAGCTAATAAATGCTGTTCTCTATTTATGTGTTGACTTCTGAGACACTCCACTTTGAGTGTTTTCTTGGTAAAGAGTTCATCTGATCTCAAGAACCCACCCCCCAAGGAGGGAAAGTCCATTGTCTTTGCCTTAGATTGGCAGGTAGAGTAAATGAAAAATTAAGAAATTATGTGAATTCCCCCAAAGAGAAGAGAAGGGCTAGAGTGACTATTTTATGTTACGTGGAGATGAGGGTGTGCTTATTCTTTCAGCTGACATAATCTATTAACATATGTAAAATGCTTATAAAGAGTCTCCAGCACATGTTAAGTGCTGAATAACACAGCCACCACCACCACCAGCATCACATACTATTGACAGGCATTGTACTAACTTCCTGGGATTCAAACATTAAACATACATATTAAACATATGTACAAATAAAACACCTCTATGTGTTCAAAAAATACACGTATACAAATGAATAAGTCCAATAGACTTCTGTGAAAAGTGAATCTACAAAGACTCACATAAAATCATGGTTATGGCTGGTAGACTAGCAGGTTAAGTGAAGGAGGTCTTCAAGGAAGAGTTAGCACAATCTAGGAACTGTTCACCAAGCAGGTAAGAGAAAAAGACCTTCACAAACACGGAAGAAACAAACACACCCTGGTAAACTTGGGGAATTATAAGAAGCCCAGTTTGACTGTTGACTCTGATGTGATGAGTTAAGGGAAAGAAATGAGGCTAGGAGGAGGTAAACTTGTGGGCTCACTTTGTGGAAGTCTTTGCTGCCCTACTAAGGAATTGGAGCTGTATGTCATAGAAATCCATTTGACAATTTCAAGGGGGCCATGTTACAGGATCTCTAAAGATAGCATGCCCTTCAATTTGCAAAAACACATGCCATTTAAACTCCCTGTGCTGACTTCCTCACTAATAGAGTGAAGGTTATTATGGATGGAAGGAGTAACATGATAGAAGCAAAAGCAACGCTAAAACATTACAGGGATGTATGATATACTAGTTTATTTTCACACTACTATAAAGAACTACCTGAGACTGGGTACGTTATAAAGAAAAGAGGTTTAATTGACTCACAGTTCCACATAGCTGGGGAGGCCTCAGGAAACTTACAATCATGGAGAAAGGCCAAGGGGAAGAAAGGCATGTCTTACATGGCAGCCAGGGAGAGAGAGCAAGGATGAAATCATCAAATCTAGTGAGAACTCACTATCCCGAGAACAGCTGAGGGAAATCCAACCCCAATGATCCAGTCATCTCCCAACAGGTCCCTCCCCTGACACATGTGGATTAAAATTCTACATGAGATTTGGGTGGGGACAAAGAACCAAACCGTATCAAGGGAAATCACAGAATTTTGTGTTGTCATCAAAAATTTGAAAAAAGCAGGGTGGAGGTGAGTCTTATCACATCTCCATTTAACTTGCCTGTCTGATTCTTATAGAAGTTGGATGGGTTTCAGACACAGCCAATGGATTATTGCAAACAAAACAGAGTTGACTCCAAAATTGCTATAGCTATTCCAGCTGTAGTCATTTTACTGGATCAAATAAACACAGCTTAGGAACGTAGTATGGAATTACTCAAAAAAATTATTTACTTCTATCCCAGGGATCCACAAGCAATACCCATGGGTAAAATCTGATCCTCAGTTTTTATAAATAAAGTTTTATTGGAACACAATCATGCCCATTCCCTAACATATTGCCTATGGCTACTTTTATGCCACAGTGACAGAGTTGAATAGCTGCAAGAAAGATTGTGGCTCACAAAGCTTAAACTATTTAGTATCTAGCTCTTTTTAGAAAAAGTTTGTTGACACCTGCCCTATCATAATGAAGACGAGAAGCAGGCTGCTTTCACGTAGCATAAACATCAGTATACCTCTCCTGAAACTATCCCAGGCCATGATAACTCTTATGTGCTCTTCAAAACTCAGTCCACAGAATTTTGATCATTTTAATATGCCACAGAACATCTTACTGGTCCACATACACATTTGGTTTCTTGCTGATAGGATCTGGTGATCAGAAAATAGAAAGTGCCTCTGAAAGAGAAAACCTGCATGATCTTGCTTGTTTATAGATTATAAGTGTCAAACTCTTATAAGCAAGTTGAATGGTGGTTACTAGAGGCTGGGCTAGGGGTGGAGGGGAAGACCGGGGAGATGTTAGTCCAAGAATACAATATTTCAGATCAACCAGAGAAAAAGGTTCAGGATAACTATATTATACAATACAGGGACTATGGTTAATAATAATAATGTAACATACTTGAAAATTGTGAAGAGAGTAGACTTTAAGTGTTTTCACCATAAAAAACATTTTTAAGGTAATGGATATGTTAATGAGTTTGATTTAGTCATTACACAATGTATACACTTATCAAAACATTATATTGTATGCCATAAATGTATACAACTTTTGTCAATTAAAAAATAACAAAGTAGAAAATGCCCTAAATATATTGTAAAGTAAGACATAAATGCTAGAGGGAAATACACCCCTTAAAAATAACCATGCTAATGATGATCTGACCTATTTACTGAGTAACTATAAGGCTGTCAGGTTTATGGTGGGGCTGTCATGAAGACTCTCCAGCTGGGACACTCTGCTGTTCAAGCAGCTGCCTTTTGATCCACCAGATCCAATGGTGCTCAAAGTGTCAGTGACAGGTTAATAAATATATGAAGTCTATTGCAAACTACAATAGGATAATTAATAGTACGTGCCTAGACTTTTATAAAAAGCCAAGCCCTTTAGGCAACCAACAATTCTCTTGTTGATAAAAATGTCTGAACTTATTACCAGACCCTGGTAGAATCACAAAACCATAAACTTGCATGTGCCATTATTATTTGTTTCTTTCTCTATCCTGCTGTCTGGAAATCGGATACAAACTGGAATGTCACATGCCAGGGACGATGAAGGGGTAAGTTTAAAGGCACTTGGATCTATGTGGGCTTCATGGAGTAGAGAAGCCTTACAAGACCCTGCACTACAAAACCCCAAATGAAGATTCTGTTGCTCTCTGGGGTAACACACTTTAGTACAGAGAAATATGAAATTATTGCCTTAAATCTAGAAAGGGCTAGAAAAGAGTAATGTGTGCCCTTTATAGAACAGAGGAAAATCTGAGGAATTTTCATTTACAGAATATGTGTTAAAAGAACACAGGCTTTGCAGTTTTACAGATTCAGACTCCAATCCTCTGTGTGCTACTTGACAACTTTATGGGCTTGAGAAACTCACTTAACTTCTCTACGTATGAATTTCCTTATTTACCAGATACAGAAAATAGCTACCTTATAAGATTCTTGTGAGAACTAAATGATAACCTATATGCAAAGTATAGTAGGGTTTCTTTCATTTAATAACAAATGAGAGTTGCCATCTCTCCATCTCTGTCCCTATATACCTCCCCACAAAAACTAACAACCACCAACCAAACAAACCAACGAACCATCTCTCTGAGTGGGCAGTTATAATACTTTAGTAATTGTAAGATGGATACCAGAATCACAGCTACCAGAGATGTAAAATTTAAATCATGGGTGAGAAATGGAGGGAGAGTAGCATAGAGATATAGGTTTGTAAAACATGATCTAGATCTAAAATGATCTGGAGTGTGACTTCTAGAAATGTACATAAACATCATACTTGAAGTTCCATAATTTTATAAAGAGGACATTATCAGGTCATTTGCTATGTCATTTTATTGTAAAACACAACTTACATATATTTCTTTAACTTATAACAGTGTAATAGCTCAGACATGACAGTTATCTCAGATAAATGGAACATATAAAATGCAACAGCAGTTTATGAGATTGGCGTTAAGCACATATTTGAAAAGCAGGGGAAGACAAGTCACATATTGGAGAACTTATGATCTGTCCTATATTTGTTTTATACAACTGAGGAAAGAGGCCGTTTCAAAATTGGCTGAACATCTAGACCATAGGTGTGGTAACTGTTCATGGTAAATAGTAGCCTATCCTTGAGTTATCACTTGGACAATAAAAATAAGTGGAGAAAGAGCTAAAGAGGTAGTCTAGTTTTCCAGCTAAAAGCATAAAAAGACCATGTTAAATAACATGAGTTGTTGGAATGTGTCCTGTTCCACTTCCTTGCCATAAGACATCTGATGAGTTAGTTAACCTCTCTGCATTTCATTGTCCTCATCTGTAAATCGGGGCAATACTATCAAAGTCACATCAATGCCAATGCATAGAGAGGAACTGAAATAATGGATGTGAAATATTCAGCACAAGGGCTGGTATACGATACATACCCAATAAGTGGCAGCTACTTATTTTGTTAAAGGTCAATATACACAGTGATTAAAAACACAAACTTTGGAGCTAGAATAACCTAGATTTTAGTGCTAGTTCTGCCATTTATTTTCTCTGTTTCTTTGAACAGGGATTCTTGCTAGGTTGCTGTTCTCTCATATGCAAAATGGTGAAAATGAAAGTACCTATTTCATGAGATTATTGTGAGCCTATCGTTAAAGCAGTCAATAAGTGCATATTATTGCTGTTATTAAGTGGTTAATAACTGTTAGCACTTATTAAGTACTTACCATATAACAGAGTTGGGTAAAAATACTCTTCATGTACTGTTATTTTTCTCTCACAGAAACCACTTAACAGCATTTTCCTCATTTTAGCAAAAGAAATTGAGGCAGAGTTAGTAACTTGCCTAAGTCCTACCTATAGCATTGTCAGAGTTAGAATTCAAACCCACTTTAAAAAGTTAGAAAAAGAACAAATTAAAGGAAGTAATCTAAATAAAGACATGAAATCAAAACAGAAAATGGACAAGCAACAGATAAATCAGAGTAAAAATTGGTTATTGAAAAAGACTAATAACATTGCAAATCACTGGAAAGAATAACAAAGGAGAGAACACAAACTATCATTATTAGAAATAACAAAGGTGACATTACTATAAATTCTACAGACATTAAAAAGGTAATTAGAAAATATCAACAACTTTACGCCAATAAGTTTGATATCTCACATAAAAAAGCAAATTACTTAGAAAAACTATAACTTACCAAATACAGGAAACAGAAAAGAATAAACCTATATCTTTTAAAGAACTCTAATTTTAATTAAAAATATTCACCCAAAGAACACACAAGATCTATAGCACTTGTTAATTCTATAAAACACTGAAAAAAAAGAATACTAAGCTTGTCTTAACTCGTTCATCTGTCCATTTCAAGTACAACACCAGCAAAATCCTGTTACTAAAACCAGAACAAGATATTTAAAACTACAGACTAATATCTCTCAAGAACATTGGCACAAAATTTCTGAACAGAATATTAGCTAACCAGATTTAGCTTATATAAAAGAATGATATATCCTAAGTAGGGATTATTACAGGAGTGCAAAGATGGTATAACCTATGAAAACTAATCTATATAGTTCACAAAATGATTACAATAAAGGTGAAATTGTATGATCACTTTAGTAAGTGCAGAAAAGATCATATAACTCCCTCATGTTGTAAACTATCCAAAAACTAATAATAAAAGCAAGTTTTCTTAATCTGATAAGGACATCTGAGAATTCCCTATAGCTTGTTTCATGCTTAATTATGAAATATCAACATTTTTCCTCTAAGATCAGCAACAATGCAAGGACGTCTACTCTCACCATTTATACTTAACATTCTACTTACAGGAGGCCTTAGCAATTATAATAAAGACAGAAAAATGGACTTGGTCGGAGACTATCGTAGATAGCATGTGATATTGTTGAAAGAATAGACAAAAACATCAAAGGAATTGGAAGAGAGTCCAGAAATAATTCCACATCTATACAATCAAATAATTTTCAATAGGGCTCCAAAGCAATTCAATGGGAGAAAGAAAAGACTTTTCAATAAGTGGCAAAAAATGAATCTCAACTCTTATCTTATACTATATGCAAAACTAAATTAAAATGAGTCATAAATCTAAACATAGACACTAAAACTATAAGTTTTATAGAGAAAACCTAAGATAAAAATTTTATAACGTTGGAGTAGGCTAATAGGTTTCAAGAGGTAAGGGAAAACACTCAACATTGATAAACTGAACTTTATGAAACTTTTAAAAAAAGTTGCTTACCAAAAGACCTTGTTCAGAAAATAGAGAAGCCATGGAATGAGAGAAAATATTTGCAGCATACATGTCTGACAAAATATTTTTATCCAGAATATACAAAGGAATCTTACAACTTAATAATAAAATGGAAGACAATTCAATTTAAAAACAAATGGGCAAGAGAGTTGAAGAGACACTTGTGAAAGATGATCTACCAATGACCCTTAAGCACACTGTAAAGTGTTCAACATTATTCATCATCAGGGAAATAAAAACTGAGACCACAATGTGTTTCCATGGCATAGACACACTAAAATGGCAAAAAGACTGTTGACATGGGTGAAATGCAAGTGGAACTCAGCACTGGTCAGAGGGTAACCACTTAGGAAAACTACCTAGCAAATCATTCGTTAAACCATATACACCTGGAAGTAACACACATTCCTTTCTTCATTGCCCAGAACTAGGCATGAAGCCAACCCAAATGAAAGGGAAGCTAACGAGAATAGAGGAGCACATGGATGCTGTTGAATAAGAACTGTCTCTGCTTCATGGAGGTTTTACAGTACCAAAGGTGAGAGGTGAAGATGGCTTGAGTTAGGGTGGTTATGATGGAATAGAGAGAAAGGCATAAATGCAAGAGATGTTCCCAAGGTATCATTGAAAAGACTAAAAGAGTGTAAGTTGGGGCAGGGAAGAGAGAATTCTGGAGAAGAGAATGAAGAAAAATAAAATGTGTACAGTTAAACAACCAGTGTTTATTGAATGCTTATGGCAAAACTCCTCTCCAATAGTTCATCCTTGGGAAAGAGTGAAAGAAATTAGTTAATAATTAGGTTATTAAAATTCTGTTAGTTGTCTACCCTGATTTTACCTAATATGAAGCAGAGGTTTATCACATCTGGGCTAGTGACCTATAACACAAAGACTTATAGCTTTCTTCAATCACAATCTGCCATCTGTATTAGTCTGTTTTCTCACTACTATAAAGAACTTCCCAACACTGGGTAATTTATAAAGAAAAGAGGTTTAATTGACTCACAGTTCCGTATGGCTGGAGAGGCCTCAGGAAACTTGCAGTCAGGGTGAAAGGGAAAGCAGCATGTCTTCCATGGCAACAGGTGAGAGAGAGCCCGTGTCAGCACCCAAAAATCTACCACCAGATCTTGTGAGAATTCACTCACTATCACAAGAACAGCACTTCCCACCAGGTCTCTCCCTAAACACCTGAAGATTGTAATTCAAGATGCGATTCAGGTGGGGACCCAAAGCTTAACCATATCACCCTCCATCAACTCAATGAATTTGGACCACCTGTACACTCAGTGCTACCTTATTCAGCTAATCATTACCTTAGTTACAGGTGGGCGTAATCTACAGCCTCAATCTGACTCAGGGCAAGAGTAGATTCAACTCACTTAAGGATGAGGTCTGAATGCCAGAATTGCAATAGCCTCGAAAGAACTAAGAAACTGTTAGCACACCAAGTTGCTGCCTTCATGCTAAACCGCTTCTGCATGCTCAGGCTAACCTTCAATTTTGCTTAATTTTTTTCCTTTCAACCTCATATTTTATCTCTCAGTCTTAGAGCCTTAGCACTTAGCCTTTTCCCCAGGGGTAACCCTTGTTCCTTGAATCCTGTGTCTCAGCAGGGCCCTCCTGTGATCATACCATCTACCTGAAAGCAGGATACTGAGAATTGAGTGTATTCATGCTCGGCCTGCAAGAACAGCACTTCTCAGCACTCTCAGGCCAGTGTCATGCCCTACTGGGCAGAGCCAAGCATATAGTCTACAAGAAACCTCTGCTTAATGAAAGAAATATATGATTTAGTGATTTAGCTTTGTCTTTTTCCTACCAGCCTCTTAACAAGGTCCTAGCATGCCTCAACAGGGACTTACTGGAATTGTTCAAGATGGGGCTAAATTTTATTACTATAAAATAAAGACTTTACTTTTTAAGTAAAAATGATAAATGCTCATTACTTTTAAAAGCAGTGGAAAAATAGAACAAAATCTACATACTTATGTTTTCTCCTACTTCTCTTCTCTCCAACCTCTATTTCTTGTTTTCTCCAATCCTTAGCATATTGTTTTGAATGACATCTTGGTCAGTTGAATTTTGTTACTCAGAAATTCTTTTAAGAAGTGTTCATGAGTACTGTATACTGGAGGATGTTCATCTCCAGCCTCTATGCTGGAGGAACAACTTGGTATAAAATGCTTGGGTAAAAATTTCTCTTGGAACCTTATTGCTCTACTCACTTGTGGTGCTTCATATTCCTGAAATACATGAACCCATCTTGAAAGGTTTTCCTAATTTTTCAGAAGTTTCCTTCTATTGGATCTTCAAATACATTCTTGGACTTTTCCTATTCTATTATCCCCTGATGAAGCACTAAACCGAGTTCAGAATGTGACTTGTTTGCCTCCCTTAGCTACTCATTAGCTTCCCTATAATAATTTTTACCACTACTCTCCTCCACTTTGTGTTAGGCACTCTCTTTAAGACAGGACAACGCATGCCCAACTGTTTTCATTTGCATGTATTTAGTTGCTTCTAAGGTGGCTTTAATCATTTTTATAATTTAATCTATTTTATACCTTTTCCCTCAGCCTTGTAGCTAACTTACTTGATTTTAACCTTATTTGTTTGCCTTATATTATCCTCCTGATTTTGCATCTCTTTCTGACCTTTTTTGGAGAAACCCTTTTATCTAAAGCTGCTTTGAGTTTATAATGAAGTAGTTGTACGAACCCTTCCAGAATTTCTTTGGACAATTAATTCTTAGGATACATGTCTGTTTCATCTTACTTTTACTTATATTTTCAGTTCTTGTGCCAAAGGCCAGCATTGACTTCTTCCTGGCTATCACTTATCTGTAGAAGGGGCTAAGTTACTGAGGATGGGCACAAGAAGGGAGCAATAAAATCCTCTGCTCCCACTCAGCTTTATTGTCTGCAATGTGATTTCGCCAAAGCTTTTGTTTCTGTTTTTTGGGGTAGTATATTTCTTAGGTTTCATACACTCATTTATTATGATTGAATCAAACATTGTGTTATGAATATTGATGAAGATTTTATACGCCAACTCAGTCCAGATTTGGGGGATAGGTTGGTGAATAGGATGAGCCACATCTGACCTTTAGGTCCTTTTTTTCTTTTTAAACCAGTGAGCGTGGTTTTGTTGTTGTTTTTGTTTTGCTTTACAGGCTGATGAGGCCCTCATTTTTTAATGGGGATGAGAGACATTAAACAAGTAAACAAATAAAACATATGATTACAGTTTCTTATTGCTATTAAAGTTGGTTTAGAAATTTACTTGTGTGAGTTAGCACAAATTAAAGCTTTTGTGAGTCAGGGGCAAGTCACAGAGCTCCGAGTTTTCTCATTTAAAAATTCATACAAATAAACCTGCCCACTGATGGTTTTGAAGGGCCTTAAGTGGGATAATATATGTACAACACCTTTGGAAATCAGTTATATAAACCTTGAACATTGCTAAAACAAACACTTTTTTCTAACTGTACTTGCAGCTCTCTTTCTCCTTGGCTGATGATAGGTGAATGTACGTAGAGGAAAATCACGGGTGCTTCTTCGATTGCATCTCCCCGTCTTCAGCTCCCTCTCCCACACCTGGGAGTGGGGAGGCTCCTGCTGTGATTGAGAACCACTTTATTCCCAGTTACTGCTGATGCAGGGACCATGCTCATCTTCCACAGGGACCTTAGCACCAAGATGTGCTGACTCTGGACAATTTTCAGTGAGAATTAATAACAGAACATTATAATTTATCAACTGGCTTGACTTGAGGTAATTTAATTAAAATCAATTCCCCAGCATCTAATTATGCATGGTGAAGCAACCCCAATGCCGATTCTGAATCTGCAACCTTGGGAACTACTGGTATATGGTTCAGAGACTCCCCGATTCCCTCAACTCCAGACTTCTAATATAGTGTCTCTGTTGGAGTTAGAGTCTAAGGTAAAACTTTCAGAAAAGCCTTTTGAAGGGTGAGTGTGGAAGCCAGGATAGGTTCTTCAGCATGTTCTGTTAGCATAAAGAGTGCAAGAGATAATGAGAGGCTCATGGGTACACTGCCCAAATTCCTGCAGAAAAAAAATGTTAAATGCAATTAGCAGCAGTTGAATTATTGGAGCGAGAAACTATCATTGGCACAAAGGCTGTGTGATTTGAAGGGGAAGAAATTATTCAGACCTGAGCACCTGCTATATTCCAGTCCCTTTGTGTGAACAGGGTTTCATTCCTCCTCTGCAGTCCAGCGAGGGAACAGAAAAATTCAATATATAGCAGGCATTGTGCTGGGGAAACGGACAAAGTGCGCTTGGAATCCAGATCAGTGCCTGATGGAGTGGGGAAGAGATTTCTCAGAGGTTCACTTTTGATGTGGCCTTAAAAAGGAGTGGTGGATTGTCAGCCAGAAAAGGAGGAGAGAACTTTCAAGGCAGCAGGCATGAACACCCCAAAAGGTATGTGTGTTCCTGAAACAGAGTCTTCTAGTGTAAAGAAGAGAGGAGGATGTCGGGGGCAGGCCACGAAAAGCCTCAAATGCCAGGTTTCGTACAGTCCAGATTTTATTGAGGAGCTCAGTTTTAAAAGTTAGCCAGAGAGGTGATCTGATTCATAATATACGAGAAAGATGATAGTGACAGTAGTGTGGTGAACAGTCTAGAAAGAACAAGGCCAGAACCCACAGACTGGGAAAGTGGTCCTGGTGAGAGGTACCAGCCAGCAAATGTTGAGCAGTGGCCACAAAGCAGCATGCCAAGCACTGTATACATAGAACTTCCTATAATCTCTACAACCCTATCAGGATCCACAATCTCTCTCCCTTGTACAGATGAGGATGATGAGAACCAGAAGGATGAATTGTCCAAGGTAAGACATGTAGTAAGTAAGCGATGAAATTAGAGCTTAAGCCCAGGTTGAATGACTCTAGGTTGTATGTTCTTAACCACAAGGAAGAAAGTTCGTGCAGGATGAACAAGAACTTTCTAACAGACCTATGTCATTAGGTTACTGGGAAGAATAAATGAGATAATGTACTCAAAGGAGGCTCTATGAGATAGTGAGCTCACATCCAAAGAGGTGAACAAGCAGAGGCTGTTTACTGAGACATGAAGTTGAAAGCATAAGTCCCCTACCCAAACTCACATGGCCAGTAGTAGACCAGTCTATAATCCAAATCCAGGCTCCTCTGACCCCAAAGCCTGTGCTCTGAGACCCTGTTTCACACTGACATCTAATGTTCCTTCAGCATTGATGCTACGTTTTCATGATTTATCCTTTCGTTTCCCTTAAGTGGATTACCTACAATAGACCAGACTTCAAAACCTCCGCCTTCTCTCTCCTTAATTGGGGCTTTTCTGTGCTGAGAAACCGTGCTTAAAACCCCCACAGAGCTATGGATGGAGTGCCAGCCCCTGGGTTGCTTCCTGGTCCCCTTTCATCTGGTTTCAAAGAGAAGACATGATGGATAAGAGCCAGATTTATTTCTGGTTATCTTGCTAATTCTAAGCACCATGTCTCTGCTACAGGAGCAGAATGTTAAGGTAAAAATGTTCAGACCGGCAAAACAGAAACCCTCTTTGTAGATGAGCAGGACTATGCTAGCTGAGTGGACCTGAGCTTGTAAATGTGCAGATTTAAATGTGTGTTTGTGCGTTCATGTATTTGTGTGTGCGGTCGCTCTCTAAAAACTGACCAAAGAGAAAGGAATGCAGAGAAGTAAAAAAATGTTTAGGAAATTTAGAAATATGGTGTAGTCTAGAAGAAAGGGCAAGAGTTTGGAATGTAAATGAGCTGAGTTTAAGTTCCACATTGGCCCCCTAGATGCTGTGTGACTTCGGAAAAGTTAATAACCTCTCTGACACTCACTGATAAGATATGGAAAGAGGAGCATGGAAGAGGTATGAAAGGATGTCCATTCAGAAGAACCCCCTTTTTTCTAAGTTGGACCCTTTGCATTTCTGGACATCTGGGTTCTTACTCTCACTCGTTTCAGTGGATACTGCCTCACATAAGGGCTGACCTCCTGAAGATACTTCAGATAAGCTAGCTCTACAGGGGCTCATCTGTTGTTTCTTCCATATGCATACATTTTGGGCCCCCATGTCAATCGCCAGTGCAGTCAGCCTTGGCAGGGCTGCCTCTTTCCACATGTGGGATGCGGCAGCTGTCTGGCCCTTTTCTATGCTGGGGGAGGCAGAGCAGTGAAAATAGCCTCACTCCTTTTTACGTTTTGGCCGTTTTCTTCTGGTCTGTATTTCTCTCCCTCTAAGAGTTCTCAAAATCTTAATTGATTCTGGCATTGGTAGATGTCTTGCAATAAAGTTTATAGTTTTCATCTTAGAGATCATCCATGCTGTGGATATGCGCTGGGCATGGGGCCAGTGAAGACACTGAAGGTGTGGCTGCCTATAAATAAATAACCTATAAATGACTCTGAGAGTCTATTTTTAATCTTATTTCCTGCCTTTCACCATTAAGAAGTTTCCTATAATCTATAGACAGTTTAATTATATTTTTTTAGTGTATGACCTTAAACTTTTATAAGCACATATTAGTTAACAAAATCTAACTTTAATTAATATCCCTACCCTTCTCCTCTTGAATTGTGCATGGATCTGAAAACTCTTTAATTCCAATTATACCTCTCCTGCTTTACTAAGGATTCTATTTAACATTTTAATTTCCCATTGTATGTAAACTCTAAAATTAGTCATTATCATTATGACAAAGGTTGTTTTATTTGATCAATTCTTATTCGGGTTTTCTCACATGTTGATCAATTTCTTTGCTTGTCCTTGCTTCTTTCAGAGTTCAGTTTCTAATAGGAAAGTGAACTAGCTATCCAGGGGCTCATGGTCTGACGTTTCTTCTATATGTATACATTTTGGGCCCCCGTATCAATCACCCGTGCAGTCAGCCTTGGCAGGGCCCCTACTTTCCACATGTGAGATGGGGCAGCTGTGTTCCAGGCTTTGGTGTATCCTTCACTGAGATAAGTGAGTGGCAATCCTCTTGGAATTTTCTTTCTTTTGGGGAGAGGAGAAGTTGTAGAAATGCCTATTTCATCTATTCTTGAGTGTTAATTTAGCTCAGTATAAAATTCTAGGTTGACATGCTCCTCTGACACATTGAAGATGTGATTACATCATAGCTAGCTGTAGTTGTTTTTCTTGAGGAATCACTGAAATTGCATCAGTGGAATTGATGCCTTTTTGCAGTAAACCTCTATCTTCTCTATGGTTGTTTTAAAAGTCCTCCTCCCCTTCCCTTTGGTCTTCTGTTCCAACATTAAATGTCTAGAAGTTAATTCATTTTTCTATTTTGTCTCTGTATTTATCATTGTTCTTGAATCTGAGGATTCGTATTTTTCACACATTCCATAAAATGTTCAAACATTTCCCCTTTGAATATGTCTTTCCCTCTATTTTCTCCATCATTTCCTCCTGGAAATTCTAGAGATAAGTTGGATCATTTTATCTACTACTATCTGTGTCTTCTAAGCTCTCTTTCAAATTTCCTGTCTTGTAACTATGTGCTACAGGCTTGGTAATTACCCCAGGATTGAGCTTCCAGTTCACTAGTTCTTCCTTCACGTGTAACTAATTTGATGTTTAATCTACCCATTCCCTGTGAGCTTCTTTCTCAATAGGAATATTTTTATTGTAGAACACTGAATATATTCTTTTTCAAATTTGGCAGTTCTTTATTAATAGTGTTTCTGGATTTTCTGTTCCAATTTTTAATTTTTATGTCTTTAATTATATTACATACACACATTTTGTATTCATTTTCAGACTGTCTTTTATCTCATTCTCTAGGTAGTCTAATCAGTTTTGTTTTGTCTTCACTGTTCCACAAGTGAATATTTTTCATTTTGTTGTTATTATTTGTTTACTTTTTTATAAAAACACTTTATTATATAAAGCTTTTTGAAAATTTTCCCCTGAAAATCCTTCCTGTTGTGTGTTTTGAGTACACTTGGCCCTCCAAATTAGTGGGTTCCATATTCATAGATTCAACCAACCTCAGATAAAAAAATATTCAAAAACACGTTTTGTCTTTATTAAACACACACAGACTTTTATTCCTTGTCATTATTTCATACTCAATACAAAGCAGTTATATCGTATAGGTATTATTAATAATATAGACATGATTACATGGGAGGATGTGTGTAGGTTATATGCAAACACTGCACCTTTTTATATCAGGGACTTGAGCATCCTCAGATGGGAAGTCCTAGAACCAATTCCACATGAATACCAAGGGACAACTCTATTTCCCTCAAGACGTCTGAGCTCCAGTGGTTATCTTCAGCCTGAGACTGACTTTTATGCTACTTTCTTTGAGTGGGATTTCTTGCCCCACATAGGCAGTGTTAAATCAAGCCCCAGGTCCACATGAAGCCCAATGCTGGGTTTTCTATTCTCAGGAAAGGCTCTAATTTTCCTTCCCCATACCCCAGGCAGAAATTCTCTCTCTCTTCTGGGTTTTTTAAATTATGTCCTATGGAGACTTTTAATTATAAACATTATTTCTTATTTCATCCTTGGCTAGAAAATATAGTTGAATCAGAATCTAAATGAAACCCAGTTAACAGTTAATAAAGAACTTTTAAAAATTGAGAGTCTGTTGATTCAGATACTTTGAGATGATTAACTGTGAGCTAACCAATATACCTTCTAGATAAAAAGAGAAATATGAGTAAATATTGGCATACCTGTCAGCATAAAAATTAAGTCAAATCTGTGTTTATTCTGGATCTTGTTCATCATAGGGCTGAGTTCCTTTCTAAATGACTTGCTAAAATAGGCAAAGGCCTCTCTTATTATATTGAAAAGAAGTTTACAAAAATACTGCAGTTACAAGAACTCTTGAATCGCAACCTTGAGACTGGCACTAGGCTATATTTGATGTAAAACAAATGTTCTTAGAATGTATATTTTACACTGCATATTTTTGCATAACTTACAAACTATGTCTATCATGTAAGGTTGATCTTACCTACCTACCATGGTGATAAAGTGAATCACTATAATTTCCCTACTATGACATCACTGATATTACCCCAATTAGCTTAATCTTTGTGAAAAAGATGTAAAGGCAGTCTTAAAATGAGGCAGGCAGCTAACATCATAGTTCACTTTTTAAAATATATGTACAAATGAAAGCAGGTGACCAATAGACTCACTTGAGAATACAATATATCTCAAATTGGCCCTATAAGCCACTCTACAGAGGGTTCAGAGCTTTATGCAAAGGTCTAGGTTCTAAGTCTCATGTGGGTTGGATCCAGAACCTCTTTCCTGTCCTCACTACTTTTGAGACCTAAGCTCTCATTTACTGTGGTGGCTTTCTGCTCTGTCAGCTGCACTCAGATGGAATGGCATCTTCTAGAATCCCCTTCCCTGCATGGCTAACATTGCCCTCAAGAAACATTTTGTGCAAGACTTAGGAGGTTGAAGTGAAGTGGAAGCCATGGTTATTCTCTGAAGTCCATGCTCAGGGACCTTATCACGTCCTGCTGTGTCCCTCTGTTGGCATGTGGTGGCTGCTGGCCCTTCCTACAGCTGAGTCTACAATAATTACAAAAGTTCATGAAGGTGGCTGAGGATGGCTCATGTGTACCATCTCCAAAGCTTACAACCATATCCAAATATATTAATCAGATCATTTTTCCTGACGGAAGTTGTTTGGTTTTGGGCAATATGCATAGGGTGGATGGAGCTGGAAAGAGAGAATGCTTGAGGAAGGTCTGCGTTCATCTCACTACCCAAGAAGGTAGGAAAGTGGGGTAGAAACAGTGTGTTAAACTTTATCTGGGACTCACGCTTTGTAGATGTGAGTCTTTGATCATGCCATTTCATCTACCTTGAAAACTATTTCCCCAGCCCCATTTTGTGCCTAGCAATATGTTTCTATTTTTATTAAATAGGTAGCATATCATCTCCTTTTGAGGCTTTTTCTTGTCCTTCCTTTGTTAGGATGTTCTATTCCACCTCCAACAGGACTAGATATAATTATTGCCTCCTTAGAGTTCCCTTTCTTTTTGTTTGTACCCCTCCTGCAACACTTGTCAAGTTTCTTATTTTATTGTAATCACATTGAATACATTTCCACTCTCTCACCTCCCTCTTTACACCATAAGGGAGAGATAGAGAGAGAAAAAAAATAAAATAGAGGAAATAAGGAAACAAGAAAAATAAAGTGGAAGCAAGAATGTCAAGTTGTGAGAAGGTAGTTGAAATCTATACAATTATAACAGGTGTAAGTATAGAGAAAAGCATGTTCTACCAATCAGATTTTATAGATTGGCAAAAGAAGATAATCATGAATTTTGAACATGGTAGTTTCAGGATTAATGGGTGTCTGTGATGTTTGTGCTAACAGTTAGTGTTTACCATGCACCCATGCGACCTTTGCTCTCAGGCAATATTTGATAAAAATCTTGAGAGATAACTCAGACTGTTTTTATTTATTTGAATTTTGAAACTGAGGGAATTGAGTCTCAGGCAGGTGAAGTAATATGCCACATCACTTCATTAGTAAGTGGCAGAAGTAGCTCTAAAAATATTGACTCCTGTTTTAGTAATGTGTCCATTAAATATGATGTACTTGCATAAAGTTGAACCATATAAGATGTAACCACAAACCCTAGAAAAAGTGAAATTATTTGCAAAGTGAAATTATAATGTAGAGCAGAGAGAATAACCACAACTAATTGGGAAGCAGCATCAAACAGCCATCTTTAGCATTTGGAGAAAGAAATCATGCAGGCCAATGACTACTTTCTCTACCTTTGGATCTTGGCATCATCATTCACTACATACTGGGTTGCATGAATCAGGTCTGTGACTCTGGGCACTAGGGTGAAGAGTTCTGTGACATCGAAGATAAAACACATCTTCAGCACTCACAAGAATGGCTTTTCCAGGTTGAGAACTCCCATGTGGCAATGAAGTATAATGTAAAATATATTTTATCAGAGGCCTGGGTTTGAATCCCAGCATTGTTGTTATCACCAAGTCCTTTCACCTAGCTAAGCCTCCATTTTTTCACCTGCTAAGTGAAAATGATAATCTGCACCACGCTGGGAAAAATAAACAAGATTTTACGTGCAAAATACCCATCACATAATAGGAGTTTAATGAGTCCTCCATCTCTATCCCCACTTGCATGAGAGAAGGAAAAAAAAAGAATAAAACAAATAAGCTCATATGTGTTTTGTAGGGTGAGTTCGTCTTTTTTACTTCAGTGTAATATACTATGTGAATGTCTAAGGTGGCTGAGTAGCTAATAAATGCCTGTACTACATGTCTCAAAGTTGTCAACTAGCAGTTATGTAGAAGTATAAATACTTTAACTTTCATATTGGCTGAGACCTTGTTGCTCATAATTCCCTTTAAGTAAGTTCTTTCTTGGCACACAAAATAACAATTCCTTCCAAATGTTTCGCTCTGAGCAGCTTATTGAAGCTATTGTAGATATAATGTTCTACACTGATCTATCAGCATGATTACTTAATTCTAGTTCTACATCACTAGCTAAGGTAGAATAAAGGTTTGCAAGACAATTCTAGGGCTAAACCCAATGCTGGCTTAGGATCTGCAGAGCCAGCTGTATTTAAAATGTGTATTTTGGGTTACAAAAGCTGCAGCATGCTGTCTAAATGAAGGGGCCCTTGCTTCTGTGTGATGTGTGCTACAGAGTAATAGAAACTTAATAGCAGCCAAGTGATAGAAAGACCCTAATCACAAAAAAGCAGAAGGGGTAAAAAAATGGATGAAGTTTGCCTCAAGAGATTTCAGCAGAAAGCTCTCTAAGAGAAGGTAATAAGGTTGATAGTTTTTCAGAAATTGGTAGTGGGCAGCATTGCTGGTGATTAAAGTAAGAAACTGGGAATAAGATGGTCTTGACTCAACTTCTGAAGGCAGGGCTATTTGGCTGGTGATTCACAAAACAGAACTTCGCATTGCTGATGGTCAAATTCCCTCAGCTGTAAACAGACACCATAGCACAGCAGTTAGCAGTATTTCTCTTTATGTGGCTCTGTCTTTAAAGGGCAGTGTGGAATAGTTGAAGGAGCTTGGGCTTCACATCAGGCTCTATGTCACTACTAGCTGGGGAAATTTAGGAACAGGAGTTCCCGATTACCTTGCTAACTCTCTCTAAATAGGACTCCGAATGCCTATCAGACAGTGATGTAATGAAAAACAAATGGGAGTGTATATATTCAGCCAATACAATAAGATTCTGTTCTCCATGAACCATGTTAAAAAAAAAAAACTATTATAATAATTTGGCCTGTTGCCCTACGAATTTCCCTCCTGCCTTTCTTCCTCCAAGCCCACTCACTAGCCCCTGGATACCTGCATGATACACAAAAAAGGATGGGAGTGGGAACCCCTGAGCTGTCCAGGCTCCAGCATCCAGCTGGGGGATGCAGCAGGTAATTTAAACTCTCTGAGCCTCAGTTTCCTCATTTTTAAAGTAAATACAGCAGAGTTTCCCACATTTACTGGTTGTTCTGTATAGCAGAAGAGATACAGCATGTGAAAGCATTTGAAGACTTGTAAAGCCCATGCATATATTAGTTATGCATCTTTATGGTTAAAATTGCCTAAGAGAAATCAAGGCCTCAGGGATCCTAAGGGGCTCTCCCAAGGTCACGCAGGAGTGCAAAGTCAGAGCAAAGATTGAGATAGAAACTTTGGACTGAAGGACCAGGAAAATAAAATTTCATAGTTCACAAGAGACCATGAGTGATGCTATAGGACTAAGGATTACATGGCATGATTTTTAAAGCCCATATGTAACCCATATGCCATAATGTGCATATTATAGATATATATGTATAGTACACATATGTATACTACATATATATCATATACATGTATCCTAATATGTATAAAAATGTGTATAGGTGTACATATATATCTATGTATAAAGAGAATGAAAGAATGGAGTTCCAGATTCTTTTTAGAAGGCAAATTTAGATTTTAAAAATTGTAAGCAGGCTCTGCTTCTAATGTAGCAACTAAAATTCAGCTTTGGGGCTGAAACTTCCTTTCCTGGGGGAGGAGCTGTGAACGCAATCAAGTTTTCCAAAAGCAGCTGCCTCAGACTGAGATTTCTCTTCAGTAAAGCCAATAGGATACAAAAGCCATGGGATACCCGGGAAGGTTTAAAATTGTGTTTTTTTTTTTCCTAAAATCATCTTCAGACTGCCATATTCCTGACAACCACAGGACAATCTTTATAAAACCATCATTTCTGTTAGATTGAGAGGTACACTGGGCCTGGGTCAAAAATGGCATGAAAAATGACATGATTCACCCCAGGCTGGGAGGCAGATTGGCACAGGTCTAGGCTGTTTGTCTCACTCACTCACTTGGCATAAGTTAGGAGTCATGCAGATTTGAGGGGGTGTGTTGTGGCAATAGTATTGTCTCAATCTCGGGGCTGGACCGTGCCCTTGTGCCTGGTGTCAGGTTTACCCTGAACATTCCTACCTCCCATCTTTTTTTTTTTTTTTTTTTTTGCATTTGTCACAAACCTGAAACATTACAATTCTGAAATAAATGTTCTAAACGTAACTCAAACAAAACCTTCAATATTCATTCTCATCAGAGGTCTTGCCTATCAAAAGAAAATGTCCTTTATAAAAAGAAGATGAGGGGATTAGTGGAGAAGACTTTCACCTGAATGGGACTATGCCCTTCACATTTTCCCTCATCTCATCAGTTTTCACGTGCATGGGAGGGCGGCTCAGGCTAGGGAAGAGTGAGTGAGGATGCAGCCCTGCGGAGGCTTGAGTGGTGCTAACTGAGCAGAGAGTAGTCAGTGTGGTCTGCAGTCCAGTAAGGTGGAGGAAGGACAAGTCCTGAGAGAGAGTGGAAGAGAATAATGGTCACCTTGGGGTGTGGAGGTCATATGGACCTATTGGGGGCGTGTAAACAGGGTGGATTAACTGAATATCACTCAATAGGGCATAGAATTAAGGGATAGAAGTGAAGTGTGCTTTCATGGACACTTGAAACAGGCCTTCTGCTTTGGCACAAGAGATGAGACCAGTTAGCATCTAGAATATGGGAATGAGCGTGATCATTTGACTTCCAGAGTGCTGGGGGTGCCAGGCATTCGTGGTAGAACAGAACTTCATGGCATTTCTTGGTAACCAGTGCTTACACCGGCAGGGTACTGTCTCCTGGTGATGCTCTTCTTTTTTAAGGGTTTCAGAGATAACTCTTTCTGAGTTAGTTACACAGAGGGATATTGCCATTTTTTTGTGAGGAAGGTTGGACAAGACTCCATACAGGAGGGAGCATTTGGACCGGAATCTGGCAGTGGAGTAGGAGTTCCCCAGGTGGAGACGGACATCAACAAGGTAAGCTCTGTGACTGAGAGGCACTGAGAGGCACTGTTTGATTTGCTCACTACTGTGTCCCCAGAACCTGGAGTAGTGCTTGGCACATGGTTAGTGCTCAGTACATTTTTTATGTATGATCAGTGTAAAGTGTGAGGGACAGAGATATGATTTGTCAGCAGAGTGGTCAAAAGTAGCAAATGGACATCTTTGCTGGGGCAGAGGAATGACAACAAGAAATCATCAGAAGCTGAGGCTATAGAAAGGGAGAAGGGACAGATTGGAAAGGCTGTACTGGGGGAGCTGAGCATCATCTTGTAGGTGTCCTAGGGAAAATCTGCTGTCTGATAAGAAGGTTCTGGGTGCAATGCCAGGCATATTCAGATGCCGTCAAATTGCCCTGGAGCCATTCTTGATGTTTACCTCTTCAGCTATAGTAGATGAATAATGGCTCCCCATAATGATATCAGTACCCTAACCCCTAGAACCTGTGAATACGTACATGGTAAAAGGGCCTCCATAGATGTAACGCAGGTTACAGGCCTTAAAATAAGTAGATGAGCCTGGATTACCCAGGTAGACCCAATTGAATCCCCAGAGAACTTTCTCTGACTTGAGACAGGATAGATGTGGCAGAAGGAGAGCTCAGAGATTTGAGTCATGAAAAGAATTTGCTGCACTATTGCTGGCTCTGAGACCTAGGGGCCACATGCAAGGACCAGAGAGAGGCCCCTAGGAGCCCATGGAGAGCACAGGAAGGGATGTGGGTGCCCTGGACGAGCACAGGCTGGTCCCTGGCTAACAAACAGCATAACCCTGTCTCTCCTCCTCACTTTGCCTTATTTTTCTCTATAAAACTTACCCTCAGCTGACATTTTGCACATTTTCTTAATAGTCAGCCATAGCACTTACCTCTTCCCTAGCATCTAAGCTGACAAGAGCAGGGACAGTTTAATTAGGATGCTATCTAAGTTCCTAGAAGAGTGAGTGGTCTATAGCTGCTGCTCAAAAACATATTTACGTGAGTAAGTGATTTCTATCATTACATCCTCCCAAGAACCCTGTGAGGTATGCATTATTATTCTTGTTTTATGGAAGACAGCAACGGGGCTCTGGGAAGTTGCAAGACTGTCCCCAGACCTCCTCAAATTGCCCCAGCTTCTCAGCTCAGCACTAGAGACAAGGTAGGAGCCGGCACGCATTCTCTGAACAGCTAACCAAGGTGGCTGCATTGGAACCCAGGCCTGTCTCATGGCAGGTACAGGCAGTGTCCATGACACCTCGTGGCCTGCCCTGCTCTGGTAGCACGCAGATGTGTCAGGTGCCATGTGAACCCACCTCTGCCAGCCTCCGTTCATCTTCCTGCCGAAATGTCCTCCTTCCTTCAGTTTCCCATTTCCTTCCATAGTAAAGATTCCGTTTATTTCATGCCAGAGTAAGATTCAGCCTTGAATTACAACAAGGGATGTTATCTGACATCAGTTGCCACCGCTTAAAGAGGTTTAGGCTTGACGGATTGTAAAGCCATTTGCAGGGGCTGGAGCTGAGTGACAAAACGCCCGTCATGAGGCGTAAACCTGTCAACTGCAATTACCCACAATGGATTCCAGAGAGGCAGAAGAATTAAATCTTGTAAATCCAAAAGGCCCGATTGGAGTGACGTATTTATTGGGCATCACTTAATGAGGGCTCCCAAATGGACTTTGTTCCTCTCCTTGGGACTTTGCTTTCTTCCTTTTTGCATAACACAGATATGTACATGCAAGGGGAAGGGCAGGAAAGGGTGCCAAGGTACTGTGAACTGGTCATATGGTCGGTTAGAGCTAGAGAGTCCAAAGCCACCATCTGCTGGGACCACTGGGACCACCAGCCACAGCATCACATCCAACCCCTATTAACAAAGAGCCCTAAAATGCTTCTGGCTCAATCTTGAGAGACCCCACCAGACTACTCAACAAAATACTGTATCTTTTCATAATGTGGCGGTGTAGCTGGTGTAACCTGAATAATTTCCCAGGCTCACTTTTCATTAGCTAGGAACATATGTATATGTTCTCCATAGAGTCAAAGTGACAACCATGTCCACCTCTCTCACGGTTCTTCCTTACTCTCATCCCATCGTGGCAGGCAGATATAGGGAATCCAGCAGAATGGTTTACAGCTTCAGGGTTGAGACAGCCTCACCATGGAAGGAAACTGAGTCCCTGAATGACTTCTTGGAGCAGAACTCCTATATGGTCCTCACTGCCCCAGTTTCTGGTAGAGAGTAAATATTAAATAAATGGTAACTGTAGGCAAGGAAGGCTTTAAACTATTCTTTGAAGAATTAGTAGAGTTTCTGTAGTGAGAAAATATGGAAAAAAAGTGTCTGTATTGGAGGAAAAGTTTTAAGTCGTAGGAAACTTACATTTTTAAAGAATCTACAAAGTGGCCTGATTTCACACTTGGATGTGTAATAGGTATCTCAGACACAAACTAAACTCTTGTTTCTTAAATCGCCTGCTCCCCTACCCCATGAAAGACCCTTCCCTTCTCATCTCTTCCAGTAAATGGCAATTCCACTTTTCCAGTTTCATATGTAAAAATTCTCTGTGCCAAGCTCAACCCTTTTCCTTTTCTCTCACCCCACATATAATCTAGCAGCAAATTTTATTAACTCCGCCTTCAAAAGACAGCCAGATCCTACCACTTCTTGTCACTTCCTAGGCTAGTAACACTCTAATTGAAGCCAAAATCTTCCACCTAGACAGCTTCTAAACCCACTTAATTGATTTCCTTGCTTTCATTCTTAAACCCCTTAACTCCACCACTATTTACTGTCCACACATCCAAGAGACTATTTGAAAACATGAAGTCACAGCATGCCCTTTTCTGTTTTCTGAAGAGTTTCCAGTCTCATTAGTAATGGGACTGAAAGTCCTAGCTATGGGTTTTAAGGCCCTGTATGAACTGCCTCTCCATGACTTCTCTGGCCTTGTTTCCCACCACTTGGCCCCTCACCACCTCCTTTGCAACCACCCTGGCTTCCTTGCTGTTTCTCAAGCAGCAAAGCTCACTGCTATCTCAGGGCCTTCAGACTTGCTGTGCATTCTGCCTGAGAAATCTCTCCCCAAGTAGTGCACAGCTCACTGTTGCTTCTCAGCCACCCGCTAAGCAGGGCAACCTCCTCACTCTCCATCACCCTGCTTGAAATAATATCCCTGCCACTGGCTATCTCCATGCCCTGGTGGACAACATTTTCCTGCATAGCCTGAGATAGCTCATCTATATTTATTATCTAGTTCCCCCTATGGGAGCACAAACTCCAACAGAGCAGGGACTTGAAGCCGTGGCAGGAATTCATTGCTGCATACATACATATTTTTCCTGCCTTTTTTGCTTAGCCTTATACCATAGACTTTTTACCACATTGTTCATTAACACAAAACAAGTTGTGCTGATGGTCTTACCAGGTTTCCTATATCTCGTGACACTTAGTTGATGCATTGAAGAATGAGAAGCACTTCAGCAAGGTGAGGAATCCTACCCCAGGCAGAGCCAACCACACAGTGCTAAAATGTAGTATCTATAAAGTCAGGGTGCCTATGTGTTTTATTCACTGTTGTGTCTTCAGCAGCTAGGACGGTGCCTGGTGCATAGTGGAAACTCAATCTATGGAATAAATGAAATTTCAATACGCAAAGGTATAGAGAGGCAAAACTGTTTGATTAATTCAGAGAAGAACAAAATGCTATGTGGTTTACACACTGAGATTTACTGAATCACATTGTCAAGACACTTTTGGTGGCAAGTGCCAGAAACCCAACTTGAACTAGCTTAGGGGAACAGGAAGATTATTTAGATGAATACCAGGGTCCTACTAAGACAGCAGGGATTGGATTGACCAGTAGGCTAATGCCCTCCAGCCAAAGACTACCAGGAACACACTTGTAGTTAAACAAGTTGGATTAAGGGAGGATGAGTAACTTGGGAAACTGTAGGGCATCTCAGTAAGGGGGTGGCAGAAAGAATACAGTTTGGGCTTTGGTTGGGTGATTTTGTGGAGCTTTAAAGAAGTGAAGGTGTACCCTGGATTGAATGCTGTCAGGTGGCCAGGACAATTCTGTGATTGAGTATTTCAGTAAATCTCATCTATAAGGATGGAGACTAGAGAAAGGCTAAACCATAACTGATAAAATAGTACAGTCACTCATATCAACCAGGATTGGGGAACATTTGTTATTTTGTGGTCTGGACAAAGTTTATGCTCCTGATGGAGCTGTCTTGTTTTCATCTTGATCCATCATGGTCACGGCATGGCCTTGTCTGAGGTTGCTATTCTGTGAAATTGTTTATGTTCAACAGGAGTGAACCAAGGTCTAGCTGTGTGGGCCAGGCCAGCTCCCAGAGGAAAGAGCTGTTTTTCTGAATTATGAGGAATGACAGGGATGCAGCTGGGCTCCAGGAAGAACTGACACCAAGGATGTTAGCACCTCAAGTGTCTCCCTCGGGCTGAGTCTCCTTTTCACCTCTCTCCATGGGGGAGATATTCTCTAGGAAAACAGTAGCTCTCAATTTTCATTCAAACAAAATTCAATCAAATGGCAGTGGCAAGGGACAAAATCAGAAATAATCCATTTCCCCAAAAGTCTTCCATAAGAGTCTACTACAAAAATGCAATTTATCTAAGATGACTTTTTCTCAAAACTTACTGAGTTTGGGGAGACTCTGCCACCTTTACTCTTTGTTCAGATGATCACAAAACAAGTTTTGCTTTATGTCTTGTCCGTGCTAACGCATGGCAGGTCTTGCCCTAGCAACTTCACATGTGCTCTTTCTTAGAAATTCCTGCCTTTTCTTCTCTGCAAGGGGTCATTTGCTGCATTGGACAGTAGCTTTCCCTGTAGCAATCCCAAGCTCCTCAATGAGATCACAGGCCATTTCACTTCATAATAGGGTTATTTTATTATTTCCCCAAGCATGCAGATCAAATGGAATCTGGGACTCAAATCTTTGCTCAGCGAGGAAAACTAGCAGAAGGCTCCAAGCAGAAAATGGCTTTGCCAGTGACGGCTGCATCTGTTAATGGACCTGCTCCCTGCCTCTCCCCACCATTCTGTATGCTTCCTTGCCCTCCTCCCAAAGTAAACATGTCTCAATGTCAATTTGCTTTAAGGATAAGTAAAAGGGTATCTTAAGGGGAAGGGAAACAACTGAGAATTTATTGAGTACTTACCACACAATGAGCATGGTGAAAGTGTTATTTCATTTATTCTTCTCAATGGCCCTCTGGAGGCAAATTTTAACCCCCAATTTACAGATGCAGAAACCAAAGCTGAGGAGTTGGAGTTTCTTGCTCAAGGACACACAGCTAGCCAATGACAGATCAGGGATTTTACCCCACCCTGCCTTTTCAGAGGACATCATCAGGACAGGAAGGACACAGAGGCTAGGATAGAGACGATGTCCCTTAGTCAGAAAAGGACCTGGTGTTCAAATTCTGGCAGACCACAGTGGGATGGGAGGACATCCCTTCTTGCAATTTAGCAATTTGGAGAGAACAAACTAAAGCCAGATTCTGGAAACAAGAGACAAGTTAATATTAGGCTGGGAGAAAAGCCTGCCTCTCCTCTCCTTTTTTTCTTCTTGTCTTCTTTCTTTCTTTCCCCTTTATCTTCCTCTGTCACTTTTCTCCCTCCTCTCCTTCCTATTGTCTCTTGCCATCTTCTTCCCTCACTCCCTCCTTTCCTTCCTTCCTCTCTCCCTCCCTTCCACCCTTCCTTCCTCCTTTTCCTTTCTTCCTCCCTCCTCCTACCCTTCCTTCCTTCCTTCCACCCTTCCTTCCTTCCTTCTACCCTTCCTTCCTTTCCTCCCTTAATCCCTTCCTCTCTTTCTTTCTTCCTTCTTCCCTTCCTTCTTTTCTTTCTACCTTTTTTCTCTACAAGTAAATGTCCCTACCTATACATTATGCTAGGAACCAGAAAACTGAAATAAATTTGACAGAGGTCCTACTTTCAAAGACGACCACAATACAAAAATTAGGATCTGGGATCAGTCTCATAGTCAACTTATGTGGGATCCAGGATCCTGAAAAGATTCTGTTAGGCAGACAGAGCAGTACATGGGAGGATGAAGGACAAAAGTGTGCAGTGTGGAGTTTGTGCAGGAGCACCTGGTAGAACTACAGGACCACATAATATAAGAAAAAGAGATGGACCCCCAGCCCACCTATGAGTGGGGAAGAGTGATTTCTAACTCAACAAAGCAGGTTTCTGGTGCTTTAAGGAATGGGCAAATGGGGATTGGCCTGCAGACACTTTCAGGGGGACTGACTGATGAAGCAGGCTGGTGCTGACAGCAACAGAGCAATGGCCTCAGCTGTGGAAATTCAGCGCCATTCAATTCTTTCAGCACTACTGTCACACCTGCTCGGTTTTTTGCCTAGGTTTATGTCCTCCCTCCATTCACTTAAGGAAGTGCTTATTAAATACTTACTATTCATCAGTTCTTCTGTTAGCCCCAGTGGTATAATGGTAAGCCAGATGGAGACAGCCCCTGTGCCAACTGATCAACATGGTGGAGAAGTCAACAAATCAACAAGTGTACATGTAAAATAAATAAATGATCATGCTTGTGATGAGAGCTAGCAAGGATATACACAGAGTGACACAGTCAGAGATCACTGGGAAAAAAACTCAGCATCCTGGTGCCTCATCTACTCAATTTACATTGCAGAGATTAGAGAGATTTCTTCTTCTCTCACTTACGTTGGCTTCTCTCATATTCAACTGTTTCAGGGAGGGGGTACTCAGCCACCCCCTCTTACTAGAAGAAGCAAGCCTGGAATTCAGGATCTAATGAAGCTATACTCCAAGAATCTCCCATTGTCAGGATCTCAAAGGCTTCCTTTTCTAGTTCTGTGATGCTCCATTCTGTGTTTGAGTTTTCTCAACAATAATCCTGCCAAGAAGACAGGTCACCTCTGCTTACAGCCCTCCAGGCATGAGAAATGATGCATATCCCAAAACAGTCCATTGAGCCTCCAGACAATCTTTTTAGAAAGATACTTTTAAAATTATTCTGAATCAACTTTTCCCCACTGGTCTTAGTTCAATTTCTTAGGACCTAAAATAATATGTAATCTAACAAATTCTTTTGGGCACCTCCTCTGTGTCAGTCACTACATCACATAAATTCCTAGTTATCCTCTTGGCTAAATCAAAAGAAAAATATTTTACCCCATGAATTTGGGTTTATTTTTGGTTGATATAACTGGAGTTATATCACATATATATATATCATATATATACACATCTTATATATATATCATATATATATACATCTTATATATATATGATATATATATATCATATATATATCTTATATATATATGATATATATATATCATATATATATCTTATATATATGTATATCATATATATACATCTTATATATATGATATATATATATATCTACTACCATTATAAGCACCAATTATTCATACATATAAAATGAAAATCCTAAAACCCAACCACAGACAATTTTACCATTACCCATCCAGAGACAGGCTGGCAAAATGGAACGAGTATTGGCTTTGGAAACCAAGACAAGTGGATTTCAATCATTGCTTCTTCACTTACAAGCTGTGCAAGTGTCTGAGCATCCCCAAGTCTCATATTCCTTATCTATAAAATAGAAACAGTAGAATCTAAAAATTAGTCTGCAATGAGAATTCGGGATTACTTAAATAAAGCTCATGATGTGGGACCTTGAAAAGCAGCTGTTAATATTAACTCTAAGCACAAGCCCTATTTGCATTAAAGAATCTATTTGAATTCATAGGGTGGTGCAGCAATGAAGAAGTTCCAAGTTCATTCAGTCAAGCACCCTTCAGTTAGCAGGTGATGAAACTCAGCCTCACATTCTTTGCTTAAAATTATACAGCAAATCAGAGGAAGGACTCCTGGCCTGGTGATCACCTTGCTATCCCTGTGAACTCCAAAGCCTTGGGACTTGGCTTGGAAGCCTTGTGACACTGGGATGGATTCAGGGAAATTTCAAGGGGCATGACTCTGCCCCATTACCCCAGAGCAGCTCTAAATTTATCCTTTCAATATATTGGTATTGTCCCAATGTTTTCATTTGAAAAAAAAGTTTTACAGCTTTAAAACCAACAAAAAAATTTTAAAAACTACACATCTTTTTAGACCACCGTGTTCCAATGCCTTAGGGAAAGAATATAGACATTTGGCTAATATGCGTCCCTGTTGTGTTTTATCTCTAGAGAGCTGAGTTTTTAAAATGTACATATTCACATAGCTGTCAAGTTTTAATTAGTCTGCCTTTGATTGTGAAAAACTTTACTTAGATCAACTTATTCCCCACCGCCTGTCTCCCCCATTAAAAACCCATTTTAAAGGTTTAGCTCAATTATCTGAGTTGAATGGTTGATATAGAAGTATTTCAAATAATAGAGGCAGGCAGATAATTGGAAGCATTTTTCATGGGTGAGATAACAAGTGGAATATTGAGTCCCTCTAAGCACAGGGTGCAGGGTTTTCCTTAGAATTTCATTTGAAAAGATCTTCCCGCTTAGTACAGAGAAACTGCTGTCATCCAAAGTCACAGAGCTTGCTTCTTCCTGTGCAAAAAAGCATGAATTTGGGTAGGAAAAAAAGAGATCTGAATTTAATAGAAAACCACAGTGATGGAAAAGAAATTTAATTGTATATGCATTTTTTTTTTCTCTTGGCTTATCCTAAGAAGCATCCATTGAAGATAAAAGGAAAAAAATGCTTTCTAAAATCGGGGGTGGGGTCTCCTGGAGTCCCTTCTTTGCTCTCCCACCTCAGCTGCTACCCAGGCAGTTGACACCCTTTGCCAGTCAAGAAAATTTCTCCTAAACCCAAGAATAAGCTATGCTGTCCAGAGCACCATCTTTTAGAACATGCTTCACCTTCTACTTAAAATGTCCTTTCCCTGCTCGTCTATCTGGTAACCTCAGGACAAATGCCCCGTGGGACAAATGTCCCTCGGGGCAGCCTTACCTCGACCCTGCAGCAAATGGAAAGCACTTACTCTAGTCACTCAGTATGCATGGTTGCTCCTTCATTATAACACTTATTCTTTAGATCATAATTTAAATAGAATGATGATAGTAATAGCAACCATTGAATGTCTCTTAATTCTCGCATCAATCTATGGTCAATACTATTTCCATTTTATGGTAGAGGAAACTGAGCTTAGAGAGGTAAAGGAATTTGGGTCAAAGTCACACAGCTGGTGAGCAGTGAAGCCCTAATGACAACTCAGATCCAATGTCAAGGTGAGAACATCCCTGTCTTTCTCTCCTGGAAACATGAAGTCCCAGAGAGCAGCAGACTCTGTCTTCATCTTTATATTCCCCAAACCAGGAGAAGTGATGGTAATCAATACATACTTGCTGAAGGCTTGTGAAATGCACACATCTGTTTTTGCTCACTTGGGTCATGCCAATCTCACTATTGATCTGTAAATATGTAATAGGTCACCTCTCCTCAAAAAAAGACCTCTTCTGAAGTCTTTTGCCTTTGACATTAATTTAGGAGGGGAAGCAGAAAAGCTTGCCCCAAGTCACCTCCATTCATTTCCATTCTCTATGATGTCCCAAGAAGATAATCACATTCTGTTTTTTGACCACTTCCTTCAGAATTACAAATGCATTAGTTGTGTAATCTGCATCCCAAGTTCTCACAGGGTAAATATTTGTCAAATAGTTGCAACTGCATAAAACAGATCTCCGTTTTCCAGCCCTTAATAATAGCTTCCTCACTGCCCACCAGCCAGATTATAAACCAGTAACACTGTTATTTTTAATATTTTATAATGGCAACACCCTCACTTTTAGATGTCAATTTCTGTGTGAATCAAAATAAGTTAAATTGTTCTATGATAACAACTTGGAAATTTCTGCATTAAGACCAACCAACGTCTGTTGATTGTTGATGCTACTCTTCCAAAGCAGATTGGCTGGGAGGCTCTACACATTCTTGTCACCTATGGAGAAGCCATATCAAGATGAGCTTTGACAATCTCCACAGTAGAGATGAGGAGATGTGAGACATACCCTTTGGGTCTTAAGGCTTCTTTCCAAGACATCGTACTTGTCACTGTCACTAACATCTCATTGGCCAAAGCAAGTTACATAGCCATGTCTACTCAATCCTCGTGCCCAGGAATGGAGTCCCAGAATGTTAGTGGGTGGTCCTAACTACTCCCATGCCTTAGACGTAATGATGCCAAGATCATCAGCTTGAATAAGAGCTTGAATAACTCAAGCAAGAGTTGAATAATTTAACAGCTTGAATAATTCAACTCAGTACCTAGAAAGATTTCCAAAGGATCTGTTTGAGGAAAGGTATATGCTATAATCTTATCTCAGAGAGAAATCGACCTGTAAGGGCAAAACTCAAGGCATAGCAGATGGAAGTTACAGAAAGGGTTTGGTTTTCCATGTATAGCTCAAAATTGTTACGGGTATTTAAGAAATATTAAAGATGACAGTCAATAAGCCCTACTGCTCACATTTGGAATTTGTTGTCTGGCAACTTTGCTTTATAGCAAAATAATATATTTCTAACATGGTATAAGAGAGCAAGATAATGATTCTGAGTTTTGTTTCTATTTTTCCTTGTTTTTGCTTTTTTTTCTAGCTCCAAGTCAACTCTTGTTTGTAGCATCAAGCAAATCACACAAACTATTTTCTAATATGTAGGGACATAGTGATCCAAGTCCTACTCAGATTACCTGATGGGGTTGTTAATAGGATTAAATATAATCACATATAGGAAACCTTTTAATCAATTTCGAAGTAAATCCACCACCATGACAGTCATGGGGAAGACGGCCATAACTAATCACAAACTCAATCAGTGTCCACAGAATGGAAAGGTTTATTAACCAGGACAAAGTGTCATTAAATTGTCAAGTTCAACTTTTTAAAGTAAAATTTCATCATGTTCATATAGTAATAATGTCAAAGAATTTACAAAAATGTATTTGTATCTCATAGCTAAATTCTCAAATTTTTCAACATATTAGTATATTGATGAGTATAATTATATAATCATTCTAGTCCTATCTGGGCTAAAATAATCAAACCATCTAACACTGTATGCTAGACACTCTTCCTATTTTACATATAGTAGCTAATTTATTTCTTACAGGAAACCCATGTGGAAAATGTTATAATCATTATCTCCATTTTACAGATGAGAAAACTGAGGCACATAAGGGTTGAACAAATTGCTAATATCACATATTCAGGATACAAACTCAGTCTGTCTGACTCCACAGTCTTGATATAAAATCGTTTTTTCTATATCCCTGTTCCACCTATTGAAAGGGGAACATTGAGGTTTTGAGAGATTAAGCATACCAGGCGGTGAGGAATCTTCGGGATTTGCACACCACGAAAGAGTAAGAGGATGATACAGAAATGATAGACAAGGACTAGGTCATTTGGGGTCTGTAGGTCATGGTAAAGACATTGGGTATCGGGAGGCGGAACTTGCAGTGAATCGAGATCGCGCCATTGCGCTCCAGCCTGGGCGACAGAGCGAGACTCCATCTCAAAAAAAAAAAAAAATATATATATATATATATATATATATATATATATGGTATTATGTTGATTGGGGAGCTGAAAATCCCAGCATTCAATATCAGTCCAGTTTAGAAATGAGGAAAGTGATGTTAATTGGCCTGTTCAATCAGTGTGCTACTAACTGGCAAGCCATGAGTGGTCTCAAATCCTCCTTTACTGAAAAAGAGGTAATGGCAATCATGTATGTTTCCATGTGGAGGAGCTGAAGGGAAACTTGAAACGACTGCTGAAGGGAAGATGGAATTGCATGGGGATATAGATGGGTGTGGAACATTCCAGGAGACTGGAATTGTATAAATAAAAGTATATAGAAAAGGTCGAAGGCGAATTCAGTACCCTGTGAGCAAATCATTTTTACTGGAGTGAGAGGTGTCCACACACAGTATCGGAGCACAGGTTCAACTACTTTGATGCTATCATAAGGAGTTGGACTGAATTTGGTGGGCAGCAGAGAGTCATGAATGGTAATTAATGACCTGGTATGATCATGATATGACATGATCAAAGCAGTGAGAACAATCACTCTGTGAAGGAAAGGTAGATGGACTTGCATACAAAAAGCTGAGAACACAGGCAGGAAACCCAGTTGGAAAGTGACCGCTGTTCTGCCTTCCATACCATACCAGCCAATACCATGTGCAGCATAAGATTTGCCCAGCTGAGCCCTGCCTCAAATTTTTATTCATGAAATCATGATATAAAATAAAATGTTTGTTGTACTGAGGCACTAATGTTAGGGGTAGTTATTATGCAGCAAGAGACAACTGGATCAAATGCCAACAGGGGTCAGACTGATACATTAGGTATACATAGTATGAAAGCTTGGGTCTTACATTGCTATACACACTGATTTTTTCAAGAGAACAAATTAATCTTTATGTGAGATCTTTGGATGTTTAAATGTTTGCACTTTTTTCCCCAAAAAATCACTAGAGGGCAAAACAACACATTTGCCTTCATGGCCTCTGATTTTGAGCCCAAATCCTGTGGTCATATAGATAAGGTTTTCTACCCTACCTCCCCCATACCCCTTCCATTAGACTGCCTTCCTGGGCGTTGATGACAGAACCAGGATCTGAGTCCACGTTCTCTGATTTCAAGGTCAGAGCCTTTTCCACTGCAGTATTTTCCTGCAAGTACTCAGAATATGAAAGTCATGTATTTTATACATCTTTCTGTTCATCTATGTCTAATTGAGGGTTGGGTTTCTGATGTGTACTCAGTAGGCACTCATTGGAGAATTTAAAGGGCACCTAAATTTGTAAAAGACCAGGAAGTCCTGCTTCTCCACAGAGTCTATTTGGAACTGAAGCCAGGAATCTAAGTGGCATGTAGAATGATTGGAACTGATGGATGTATCAAATTGGGGAGCATTCTTCCTAACCCCTGGGTAAGATTTGCTCCAGTGGGAACCCAGACATAACACCAAAAGCAATATTAAAAGAAGGCCCTAGAATATTAAAAGAGATTCCAGCTCTCAGGCCTTAATTACACAGGGCCTTGCACAGGGGCCTCCCAACAAAGCAGGCTGGCAAAACATGCCCAAGGACTATTAATATTTTAGGTGCTGGCTTATACATTTCCATTGCCTATGGAGAGCTTCCCCTGAAACAACTGCCCCTTCCTCCCACCCCCACACATACACAACACTGCTGCTTTGTTCTCCAATAGCACTGGATACCTCTCTCTGTAGGACTATCGCCCACCTCCCCACCCTACCTTCCCCCTTCCTGTTAACCTGATCGCTTCAAGTGATGCTGACTGGCATTCCTCAATGGTATCCAGGTGGTGACTGAGCAATCTGCAGAGTGCAGGACAGCCTCACTCATGCCTGGCACCCTGGGGGGCAGGGTGGCTGGAAGGCTGGGTTCAGCTGGGCCCCTCTATTTCTTGATGCAATCTCAGGACTTCCCCAGGTAATCTCTTCAGTAGGGCATTTGGATATTTTACATGTTCCTGGCTCCAAGAGAACAAGGCTGAAGCTAACAGACTTTTCAAAATGAGACCCACAATTGAGAAAATATCACTTCCAGCATCCTCTATTTACCACAGTAGTCATATACCAGCCTAGATTCGATGGGAGAAGAAATAGACCCCATGCTTGAATGGGATGAATGCCGAGACATTTTCAGGTATCTCTTATCTGCTACAACGTATGAATGCACATCCTCTACATTATCCCATAGATCTCTGGGAGCCATTGGAGAGTTATTAGTGTTAGAGTGACTGTGAAAGATCACTGTGTCAGGAATGCACACCATACGCAGGAGGGGTGTAAGACTGGGGTCAGAATCCCAGCACTTTGGGAGGCTGAGGCAGGCGGATCACGAGGTCAGGAGATCGAGACCATCCTGGCTAACACGGTGAAACCCCGTCTCTACTAAAAAAATACAAAAAAATTAGCCGGGCGAGGTGGCGGGCGCCTGTAGTCCCAGCTACGCGGGAGGCTGAGGCAGGAGAATGGTGTGAACCCGCGAGGCGGAGCTTGCAGTGAGCCGGAGCTTGCAGTGAGCCGAGATGGCGCCACTGCACTCCAGCCTGGGCGACAGCGAGACTCCGTCTCAAAAAAAAAAAAAAAAAAAAAAAAGACTGGGGTCAGAAAGGCCAATTAGGGGACACTTCCAATCCTAAGGACAAGAGAGGACGGCAGCTCTAATTAAAAGTCAGGTGGTTTTCACCAAGAAAGATGGATTCAGTTAATATTTAGGAGACAAAAGTCAACAGAATGTGGGGGAATTGAAAACCAAGAAGAGTCAAGGCAATGCCTGATAGGAGGGAAGTTCAGGCCAGCAGCCTTGGGGCACTCAAGGCTGGAGTGGAGGGTCTTCTTTTACTTTTCTCTCCTTTTTTTCTACTTTTCTTATTGCTCTTCTGTAAAAATCATAAGAATATGGATCAACTACAGCATAAGATCAACTTTAGCCAAAATTTCCTCACTTAAAACTTAAAAACTTTTAATTATGATTTAAATAGTTGAATATGTTAGAGAACCTGTACAGTATATTCTGCTGATAGTTCCACATTTTGCTGGCAATCTTTATGTGCTTCAAAATAACTCAGTGTAGGGTTGAAAAGGATGCACAGGTGTGGGAGGTACACATGAACCAGATGGGCCATGAACATTGAACACTGTGGAAGATGGCTGGGGAGTATGTGGAGGTTCACAATACTGTTCTGTCCACTTTTGTGTATGTTTGAAATTTTGTATAATGGAACGTTTACATTGCATTACAAGTTGGCTAAATGTGTTACAACTGTGTTGCTCACATATTGATATTTTGGAGGCTCTTGTTATTAACAACAGTGATGAGTGCACTTCAGCCTCCACTGTGAAGCCAGAGACATGAGGCTCAGTCCACAGACCTCTTCTGAAACACAACCACAGTGAAGGCTTCTAGCTGAAATGAAAAAAGGAAGAAAAAGATGATTTGGTCAGCATTAACGAAATGGAGCTGAAATGTCAGCACTTGGGATCTATTTCACTTCTGCTTGAAATGAAATTCCCTTTTCTATTTGTTTAGTAAGAGAAGAGAGCGAGAGAGAAAGGATTTGTTTTCAAATTCCACCCCATGAAGCCTATTCACCATAGAGATGTGTGTATGTTTTTCAGCCTTACAGAGGGGTGGTTGGGACTCAATTTTTAAAATATTCATAAAGCTCATTAAGGATGAAAATCGGTGTGTTGTGTGGTGATTATTATTCTGATAGGACTAGAACTTTGTTTTCAGTGCTGAGATCTAAGGAAGTTAGCTGAGTCAACTTCATTAACATATCGGGCAGTGCATGGCCAGTTCTACCCTCTGACATCTTCTAAGAAATCCACCTGAAAGGACAATTCCAAAGCATAAGATGACACTTCTCGTGAGTTAGGAAGAGGGTGGGAAGGGGAATTACAGTTTAGTTTCTCTGCTGTTACCCACTTAACCTCTGCTGGGGAGAGGGTTTGCGGCCACCCAGATGGAATCTGAGATTAAAGCTGGTATTGGAGAGAGGATAGTTTGACTTTAGGAAGTCCAGGTTAAAACCAAGTGGTCATACTATTAATGACAGTGTTTAATTTCGTGCAGTATTCTTGCTTTAAAAAAATGAGTTTCAAAACCCACCTTTTCCGTCGGAGGCACTGTGCTAGGCACTATGATGGTGTAGAAAACATTTTCTGGCTATCAGGCTTGGATAAATGAATTCATTTCTCTGAGCCCCAGTTTCCTCATAAGTAAAATGGAGATGATAATCAGAGCTATGTCACAGGGTTGTTTGTAAATATTAAATTATATAACTGGATATGCATTGTTTATCGCCCCAGCTGGTGCAAATGGCTTGTAATTGGTAGCTATGCACCTTATTATTATTGCTGTAGGAATCTACTGGTATAGAAATAAATGTAGAAATTATTACACTTCTCATGAGTTAGAAAAACAGTTTGAAAACCAAAACAAAAAAGATCACATAAATGAGTATACTTCATCCAACCCAAAAAATGCATTACATGTAAATAGATCAGAAATATAATGGTTCAAATATAATGAACATAGAAATGTAATCCTTGGAAATATAGTGTAGAAACAGAATAAAGGATTTAACTCTTTTCAGTGTAGAACTGTTGCATAGAGATATAGCAGAAAGATAGTGCAAAAATTACTGAGTCTCACTCTTGGCAATAAAGCCAAGCTCTTTTATTCATTCTGCAATAAAAATTAAAAATGACCTCATGTCACAATGTCTAAAGGATCTTTCACTTTTGAGGCATCATTGATTAGGAAGAAGTGTGGAGAAGCTCAATGTTTTGCATGCTATTAAAACAAAGAAAAGGTGGATTTCTTTTTTTTTTTCTTTTTTATATTTCCTTTTTTATTATTATTATACTTTAAGTTCTGGGACACGTGCAGGACGTGCAGGTTTGTTACATAGGTATACACGTGCCGTGGTGGTTTGCTGCACTCACCAACCCATCACCTACATTAGGTATTTCTCTTAATGCTATCCCTCCCTTAGCACCCCCAACCCCCAGCAGGCCCCAGTGTGTGATGTTCCCCTCCCTGTGTCCATGTGCTCTCATTGTTCAACTCCCACTTAACAAGTGAGAACATGCGGTGTTTGGTTTTCTGTTCCTGTGTTAGTTTGCTGAGAATGATGGTGTCCAGCTTCATCCATGTCCCTGCAAAGGACATGAACTCATCCTTTTTTATGGCTGCATAGTATTCCATGGCGTATATGTGCCACATTTTCTTTTCTTTTTTTTCTTTTATTATTATACTTTAAGTTTTAGGGTACATGTGCACATTGTGCAGGTTAGTTACATATGTATACAAGTGCCACACTGGTGCACTGCACCCACTAACTTGTCATCTAGCATTAGGTATTATCTCCCAATGCTATCCCTCCCCCCTCGCCCCACCCCACAACAGGCCCTGGTGTGTGAAGTTCCCCTTCCTGTGTCCGTGTGTTCTCACTGTTCAATTCCCACCTATGAGTGAGAACATGCGGTGTTTGGTTTTTTGTTCTTGCGATAGTTTGCTGAGAATGATGGTTTCCAGCTTCATCCATGTCCCTACAAAGAACATGAACTCATCATTTTTTATGGCTGCATAGTATTCCATGGTGTATATGTGCCACATTTTCTTAATCCAGTCTATCATTGTTGGACATTTGGGTTGGTTCCAAGTCTTTGCTATTGTGAATAATGCCGCTATAAACATATGTGTGCATGTGTCTTTATAGCAGCAAAAATCACAAGCATTCTTATACACCAACAACAGACAAACAGAGAGCCAAATCATGGATTTCTTTTCATTACTCAAATTCTGATGCATGTCCCAGTAGCAATACAGATAATGTTACTGTCTCAAGGAAGATTTCAACATTTCAAATGAAACACATGTCTATGGAGTGTGAATGTGAGGGACTGCACTTTCTGACCCTCAGTATTGCTGAAAGGGTCACAAGTGTATCAGGAACCTACCCTAGAGTAGGCACGGTGGCTCATGTCTGTAATCTCAACACTTTGGGAGACTGAGGCAGGTGGATCACTTGAGGCCAGGAATTTGAGACTAGCCTGGGCAGCATAGGGTGACCCCATCTCTACAAAAATAGAAGAAAAAAAAAGTAGCCAGGCATGGTGGTATGTGCCTGTAGTCCCAGCAACTATGGAGGCTGAGGTGGAAAGATCACTGGAGCCTGGGAGTTTGAGGCTGCAAGAGCCGTGATCACACCACCACACTCCAGCCTGGGCAACAGAGCAAGACCCTGCCTCAAAACAACAACAAAAAAGATACCTACCTTACACAAGCTATAGCTTTCTTAAAACCACACCAATCTGGAGTCCATGCATCTTCATTACTGTTTTTGTTCTTAGAGTTTTTTTTTATATCTTCATCATTGTACTTTTATAGACAGGTAATTTTGAGATACTACCGCAGGTTGATTCTTCCATATTTTTTGTATCTTTTTTTCTGCTATTCAGGCAGAAGAACAGCTTTCTAAATTCACTGCATTCATGGGAAACAGTTATTTAACCTGGAAGACAAAAAGACACATTTTTTAGATTTTAATTCCAAATAAAGTTTCTTAAAACATATAACAAAGGAGTCGGCTTAAAACCAAACCCACAAGATGATCACAGGAGGCATGATGAGGAACAGTGGCCTTATATCAAGGATATTTTTATTTTGTCCTTACTTTGAAGCTGGACATAATATTCTATATTCCCTTTAAAAATAGTAAAGGCATTATTCTGTTGGCTTCATGCCTCCAAACACTTACGCAGTGTTGCTGTTGACAACAATTTATTTCTCCTTCTTTTGTGTGTGATATGATTTTCTCTTTGAAGGCTTTTGGATTTTTCTCTGTGGTCTTCCAAAATTTCACCTTTTTTATAGCAAAGTGTTTTACTTAACCTATGTCACCCTGTGTGCCCTTTAAAATGGAAACCTTCTCAGCCCAACATTTCCTCCACTATTTATTCTCTGCTTAATGTCTCTTTCCTCTCTCTCTCCTCTGGAATTTATGTTTTAAAGATGTTGACATTTTATTTCTACACTTGTATTTAGTAGCTACATTGTTATGTTTTCTGTCTCTGTATTTCTTTATTTTGGGGGTGGGGCGCATGCTCTGCTGGACAGATCCTTAGCCTGGTCTTTCAGATCAGTAACTTGTTCTTTGCAGACTTTTGTGTTTGTCCTAGCAAATGTGTCCATTGTTCTTTATAATTGCTTGTCTCTGCTTCATGTTACAAACACTTTTAAAAAAATTATTTGGAGAGTGTTTTCAATACCTGCTTTCTCGGGTTCATTACCTTTGGCCCACTTGCTCTAGATCCTCTACTCTGTTTTTATTTTGTTGAAGTTGTACTCCTCACATCTCATGATATTTCCCTTGTAAACTCATAGTCCTCTGGTGAAAATTTGAATGGGGGAAAAGCAAAAACTTCCCTTTAACTACATTCTCCTCAGATAACTGTGTCTCTCAGGGCTGTACCTGTACTTTTGAGCACCGTCATGCTCTTCATTCAAGATGATTTATGAGGTGCAGAGGAGTGAGCAGAGAAGGCCAGCTGGTTTACCTGCACATGACCTTAGGCACGCCTTACCCACTCAGGCCTTAGGATCCCTGCTATTTCCTTGTCGTCCTTCACCAGCCCGGCCTGGTGTGGCGTATTTTCAGCCACAGGCAATCTTGAGGAAGAAAGGGAGCATATCTAGAATGGAAACTGGATCTATCCCCATCTGAATCATCCCAATGTGTCTCCCCATGGTACTCTCTCTGCTGACACGGGACCCATCTGTGCTCTGTCTTCCCTAGGATATCCCCATCATTTCATGCTCATTTCTCAAATCCATAGGCCTCGTAGTCATTTTCTGTGTTATCACAAGGTTGAATGTCAAGGAAATAGCCAGAAACCCATATTTGTTGGTCACCTTGACAACAACCAGAAATTATCCTATTATCTGGGCATTTTTTATGTCCTCTTTTGTAGTCACTAGATGATGAATTCCAGGACACATAGGTTGAACTGAGTAATTTTTAGATGAGAAGAGAAACTTTAATAATGGAAAAGGTTAGGAGCCCTTGCTTTACTTATCCCCTAGTGGTTTCAAACTCATTTTCTTCAAGCCGTAGGGGTTCAGCAAAGGACCCAGCTGAAGTGGATGGGTGTTTAGTATTTAAGCTTCCTATTTTAACCACCTGTCTTATTTATAGCTGATCTACATATGGAGGTTTCACTTAAGATTTAGATGAATAAAAGATTTCAAAGATAAAAACAAGGTTTGAAAATCACAATCAGGCTGGGTGCAGTGGCTCACACTTGTAATCTCACCACTTTGGGAGGCCGAGGCAAGCAGATTGCTTGAGTCCAGGAGTTCGAGACAAGCCTGGGCAACATGGCGAAACCCCAACTCTATAAAAAAATACAAAAATTAGCTGGGCATAGTGGTGTTTGCCTGTAGTCCCAGCAACTCAGGGTGCTGAAGTGGGAGGATCACTTGAGTCCAGGAGGTGGAGGATGCAGTGAACCATGACCACCTCACTGCACTCCAACCTAGGCAACAGATAAAGACCCTTTCTCAAAAGAAAAAAGAAAATCACAATTGTATTGTTTTTACAGTTTACAAAGAGCTTTCATAGACAATATGCCATTTGTTTTTCTCTAGATGCTTTGGAGACTCTAATTTTACTATAAGGAGCATCGTTTCAGAAAGGTGACTCTTATAAGATCACATGACAATCAAGTAGCAAAGCTCAAACTAGCAGTGGGGTTTATCTATTTAATAAGTGTGCTTCTTCCTTCTTCTGTATCAGAAGTTGGCACACTTTCTTTATATATGACCAAATGGTAAATATTTTAGCATTTGCTTGCCTTATGGTCCCTGACACAGCTGCTGAACTCTGTAGTTACAGTGCAAAAGCATCCGTAGATAATATGTAAATAAATGAGCATGACTGTGTTCCAATAAAACTTTTCTTATGAACACAAATTTGAATATCATGTATTTTTCATGTGTCACAAACCATTATTTTTATTTCTATCAACGATTTAGAAATGTAAAAACTACCATTAGCTTGCAGGTTGTACAAAAACAAACAGTGGACCAGATTAGACTCATGGGACATTGTTCACTGATGCTTGGTGCACCTCATTGTAGAAAAACTAGAAGTAACAATAATTAATGAATATGACACAGCGGCCCTCTGACACGCTTGGTTCTGGAAGAAACCCTATGCCACCATTAAGTGGTCGTGGTTGGGAAAACTAGGAGCAAGAAACCAAGTAAGAAATCCAAATGTACCAAGGCAAATGGGAATTGTGGAGGCAACAAGCATTCTATAGTTCATATTTTAAAAATTATTTGATCTTCATAATATCTCACGTGCTTATTCCCGATCTCTTCATACAAATGAAAAAAAGTGTTGGACATGTTAGTGATGTGTCTGAAGTCACAAAAATAATGTATGTAACCAGGATTCAACTCTAGACCTGGTGAAATGAAAGCTCCTGTTCCTGCCCAGGGTACCATATGGCCTCACGTGGGATGCTAAAAAAGAGGAACGAAATAAAGTGAGAGGTACAACTTTGTGAGAACCTGGTGTATTTTCAGGGAAGAGGACCATTATAATCTAAGACTCACAACTTAGTATAAAAATAGCAGTGAAATATAGCTTAAAGCCCAAAGTCACTAAAAAAATGCATTCTGAGTTTTTTTAAGAAAAATAAATTTCCTGTATCAAATGCTTGCTATTTCACATCTTTGAACTCAGGGTTGAAAAACACTATTTGTTTTGAAGTTATAAGTGAAAAACATCAGATTAAAAGAATATTAGCTTCGTAGCAAAAGGGAACAAAATGCAATTAGAAGTGGTCATCTTGGATTTAAAGGAAAATTAAGAAAAAAAAGTGTCAGCTTTAGTTTTCTTAAACTCTCTTTTCTCTAACAGAAGGAGATGGAATAGAGACCTCTCCATTCTTTGTGATGCCAGCAATTCTGTACTCACAATAAGAGAGCCATTTCTTTTCATGTTCAATTCACCATGCGTTCTAAAGTAAGCTTTACCACATATAATTTAGAACTAGATCATTATTGCTTCCCAATGTCAAAATACTGACCACAAGATCTTTGATAACAGAGAGGCAGCCACATAAGTATTTCTTTCCAGCTGTTACTGGTTTTTAGAGATTGCAATATGGTTGTGTTTGGAATAGAACTGCTGATATTATTAACTGACTTTTTGGTGCCAAGCATATGAAACAGGAAAGAAAAAATCCGTGCAACTTGATTTCTTTCTGTCCAACATTCCTCACCAGAACTCTAGGACTCTAACTCTGCGAGGGAGCTCAGCTCACCCTTTCTTGTTTCTCCCTCCAAGGAGAAACAGATTGGTCAGATTCCAGGATGTTGATTGAGCCAAGTCTTCAGTAGTGAGCAGGGTCTAAAGATTTCCTCCCTTGATGTGGGTTACTAGACTTCCCCTGCCATCCATGAGAAGGGAGCAGTGAGATCCCCTGTGGTTTTCTTCCTGATGCTGAAGGCCAGCAATCTCTCTCTTCTCTCTTGTCTATAGTTTAGAAGTGTCAAGTAGAGGACCTGCAAGTGGTCAACCTCTATCTTTATTCTGCTTCTTCCTTCTCTATATCTAAAGGAGGAGAGATGTACCTGTGCCACAGTCTCTGTGTTTTCTCTGTACCTATTCTGTCACTGTTCCATTTTCTCTCCCTGCATGATATTGACTGGAAGATGGTAAAATCATGAGACTCAAGTTAAGCCCCAGTAAGTAAAGTGAAGACCACAGTAGGACTTGAACTCAGGTCATAGACTTTGGACCAGCCTCCCAGAATTCTAATAAAGTAGAACCTTTTGTCCCCCTATATATTTCTGTTTTCTGTGTGCACATCTTCTTACAAAATTCATAGAGATAATAAATATAGTGTAGAGTAGGATTCCTGGATCTCTGCAGTTCCCCAGGATTCCCTAGATGACATTTTAAAATAATAATTTAATATTTTCAAACATTCTAAGAATTTGTTGAGAGAGGAATTCTATTAAACTAAAAGTAGATTTATTTCATAAGTAATAACGATGTGACTTTTTAAATGTTTTCATTTCTTCAAGCATCTTTCTTGGGTTTAATATCATTTCAAATTCATTTCCTATTTGTCCACCAAAGAAAAGCTCTGGAATGTGGTTTATAAAATCAGAGTATTGAAGTTATATTCATAAATATTTTAAAGTTGTCCTTGATTTTTTTATTTTTAAATTTGAATTTTAAAAAACTTGCCTAATCAAACCCACATAATTTTCATAAAGATAAAAATGCAGTAAGAGGCTGAAATGCTTTGAAAACTGAGAAATGATACAAATGAGAGGACATTTAAAACAATAAAAATGATGCATTATACAACGCAATATGTTAAAAATAAGAACTGCAGTATAAAAGGAAATATAAAAAGCTAATTGTGTTTCCTCAATAGGAGAACTTCTAGCTTCTTATTAATCCTCTGAGCAATCCCACCATTAGACTTTGCAAATCTAATTTATTTTTGTATCCAGGAAGTTGTTAAATTATTTGGAACAAGGTTCTTTAAATGTATACCCAGCACTATTGGTTCCCAATTGCTTTATTCTTACCTTGATATACCTCGTTTTCCTCCAGAATGGGGGAGATTGAGATGTGACTAAAAATAGGGGAAAAAAATTACAGACCTTAAAAAGCCTGCTAGCTTGCAGAGTGTGCTGGCTGTTTGGGGGAATATGTTTCTCTGAAAGTCAGGGATGGGAATCAATTTTTATTCTCTACTATCAAGTCCTAAGTCCAAATAATACATAGGGGTGAATACTAGAGGGATCGGAAACTAAGCTCTTTGTAGCTAAGCTCTCATTCTAGTAAAAAAAAAAAAGAAAAAAGTTTTTGAAGGTGTACATTGTTATTTCTTGCTTTCAGCCCAGTGGGAGCTTCATACATGTTCAAGAATCTAGTTTAAGATTCTAGCTCTGCCCTAAACTCCTTATTCCAAGCATGGGACGAGGAGTCCACTATGGCATTCAGATGTGTGTGGAACGGACTGCTTTGTATTGCAGGTGATGATATTGTTTCTCTTAAACAGCATTGCAGAAGAAAGAGGGGGAGTGTTCCAGAAGAGGTGTTGGGAAGATTGGGGACCTCACATCATGGATCACAGAGCATGACTAATGTACCTGCAGGTATGTCATAATGTTATGTAGTGTGAACTGGCATTTAGGAGGGCAATGAAGAAATTATGTTGGTTCCATATGTGTAGAATCATAAATGGTGAGAAGGAATTATGAATATTTTTATCACACTGAATTTGGTGGGGTGTTTTTCCCTGTGGTGTACCTAAAACACACCGTACTTTATCTCACTTCATGCAGTTTCCTGTGCTCAGAGCTTACCCAACCTGTCATCTACCTCACTACAGCTTTATCTTCCTGATTCCAGATTGTTACTTAGTCATCACTTCCTCTAAAGAGGCCTCCATGTCATTGAATCTTGCTGTTTAGGCTCATTTCATTTTTGTTTGGGCTTATTTTAAAGTTATATAAAAAACCAATGACTCTTAAAGGGGCCTGACCATCTTCTTACTATGTAACAATAAACTAATTTTATTGGTATGGATTTAATTTGGATATCTGACTGTTCTCCTGAATTCACCTACCCCTCATTCTATTATTTAATGAGACTGATTTTTATAACCTGTAAATATACCATAGTACTAGAATTCTTAAGCCATGTAATAGCCCTCTAAAAATTAAAATCACTTCCTAGCCAGGCTAATATTTCCCTCTCCAGCCTCAATCTCTTCCCTTTGTTGAAGACAACCAGAGCCAGACACTCATTAAGGGGGTAAAGATAAATTTTATTCAGAAACCATCTTAATAGGGGAAAAGAGACTTCAGACGAGAACTGAGCACAATTCACAATACAACCAGGAAGCTTTAGGGTTTTCAGCCAAGGAGCAGGAGAGGGTGGTTAGTGGATGGAAAATTACTAAGAGGAGATATCAAGGGTAGGAGGATTCTTGCTAAACTAAAAACAGGATTCTTGCTGAAGACAGCCCAGGGTGATGAGTGGGGAGTGAGGAATGTGATCAAATATCACGGGTGGAGGCTTCCCACTAAACTGACTTAGCAGGATTCTTGCTGCAGCTGGGCTATACAATTCCAGCAAGGATGGGGGCAAAGGTTGACACCTAGCTGAGCAGGGGACTAAGAGCAGCCTGACTAAAGTTTGGTGAAGGAGAGAGTCTGTCACATTTCACCCATCAAAACCTACATTCCAGTGATGTCATTCCTCCTCTGAACTCCTTCCTCTTCAGAACCTTGGCTTATGACAGTCTCTCAGTCTGGTCCCTGTTGCTCCTCATCTCTTAGTTCGGATGTTCCTCCAGGTGTCAGGATAGACGCACCTTTCCCAGGATTTTTTTCTCTGATGCCTTCAAGTCTCAGCCAGCAGCCTCTCACAAGCACTTCTCACATGTGGTTGAAGTGATCCAGTTCACGAAACTACACATTCCTTAAAGTCAGAGGCCATGTCTGTCTTGTTCATTGTTGCATTCCTGGCATCCTCCTTAGTATCTGCTACTCTTTGGATCCACCATGTATTTATCAAATAAATAATGATCATGACTCGTACTGTATCTTAAATTCCTGTGGGGGTGACTAAACATAGAATTAGCAGCTGTTGGTATGGAAGCAAGTCCCACTTTAGGGCTCAGAAAGGCCTCTCTTGGGCCTTTTCAGAATTTTCTGTAACTGAAAATTCCCAGGGAGCTCTTCCAGGCTGGGAAGAGGGCCATTCTTACTAATTTTGTTAGGACTTAGGGGGCTGGGAGGACCAGCCTAACTAGATAGTCCAGGGAAAATTATTTCAATCTACTAAATAGGATGACTTTTCCCAGCCTACTGAAAATGAGCCCTTCCTATGGTCTGTTGCCAGGATGACTGTGCATTGGGAAAAAGGAAATACTCATACCTTCTGGGGATTACCGGACATAGGCTCTAAACTGATACTGTTTCCAGGAGAACAAAAATGTCACTCTGGCCCCACCAGTCAGTCAAAGCGGAGAGCTTAAAATCCACTGTAAGTGAGGTGATCAATGGAGTTTTAGCTCAGGCCCATCTCCTCATGAGACCATTGGATCCCTGGGCCCATCCTGTGGTTACTTTCCCAGTTACAAAAGGCATAATTAAAATAGACATACTCAGCAACTGCAGGATCCCCACTGTGGCTCTGGGAGAAGCTGACTGATCCCCCTTCAAGGGAATCCTTCAGAGAGATGACGACCACTTTTTGCAGGTAGAAGTCCAATGGTCACCCTTTTTTATTCCTTTAAAGTGTCTGATCAATGAAGTACATGTGTAAAGATCAATTGTCAAGTAAGAACAAAATGCCATCTTTATTCATCTATTTAACCATTGAAAATTTCATATTCAGGAAAAACACGAGGTTGAGCTTGTGGATAAACACTGGACAGAGACCCAAGTTATCACTCTCATTAACAAGAATCTGCTGAGAAAGATCATAGGGGCCGCCCTTCCTAACCCAGGTCTAAGAGTCACAGAGAGAACTAGGCCCGTCCATTGTGTTCTTGCTTACCAGGAGCCAGAGGACAGGAAGACCGGTGTTTACTCCTCCAGGAAGAGAAAGAGGCAGAGCAGGACATGCAATTGATACGCTTGTGCTTGTAATGCAGCGGCCCCAGCACAAGTAAAGCATGACCCTTAAAATCCAAAAACGCTTGCAATCAGTAGGAAAATTAAAGTTCCTAGGAATATGTAGTTATATATACACATCAAAGTCAAAGAGATGCTCCAAAAATGTGAAAACTGAGAGAAGACATTTGAAGTCTTCTGGTCTAGCAAGACCCTCAACCACTAGTTCCTTCTGCTGCAGTTCTTACGGCCTCTCGTGACCACTATTAGGGATGGAGAATTATGGCCCCTGGAGGTCTGTTATTCCTTTTGTAGATGGTTTTCACTGTCATCATCCTGAGGCTGTTCCCTGTAACTTCTTCCCTTTTATGGTTTATTTTATTTTATTTTATTTATTTTATTTTATTTATTTTATTTTATTTTATTTTAATTTAATTTAATTTAATTTAATTTAATTTAATTTTATTTTATTTTATTAGATGGGGTCTCACTCTGTCACCCAGGCTGGAGCACAGTGGCATGATCTCAGCTCACTGCAGCCTCCACCTCCCAGGTTCAAGCAATTCTCCCACCTCAGCCTCCCGAGTAGCTGGGATTAGAGAGGCGTGCCACCACACCTGGCTAATTTTTGTATTTTTAGTAGAGATGACGGTTCACCATGTTGGCCAGGCTGGTCTCCAACTCCTGACCTCAGGTGATCCACCTGCCTTAGCCTCCCAAAGTGCTGGGATTATAGGCGTGAGCCACCACACCTGGCCCCTTTTACAGTTTCTGTTTTTTAATTCTAACACTTCAACTCAGAGTGTGGCCCAACAACCAGCAATGGCAAATTCTGCTTTTTAGAAATGCAGACCCTCAGGGAACACCCAAAACAATAGTAACAGCGTTTCTATTATAACAAGGTCCCCAGCATATCTGCACGCATACTAAATTTGAACATTAATCTACGCCTTAATCTTCTCAGGCTGCTGTAACCAACTACCATAGACTGAGTGCCTTCAACAATAAACATCTATTTTTTCAAAGTTTTGGAACTTGGAAAGCTAAGATCAAGGTGCCAGTAGTTCCAGTGTCCAGCCATGGTCTTCTTCTGGGTTCATGGATGGCCATCTTCTTGTTGTGTCCTCATGTGGCAGAAAGGGTAAAAAGGCTCTCAAGGGTCACTTACAGGAGTGAACTCTCACAACCTAATCACCCCCAAAGGCATCATCTCCTAATATTATCAACTTGGGGGTTAAGATCTCAACATGAATTTTGAGGGCATGCATACATTCAGCACACATGGCAATGCATTATTCCAATGTAAAAGTTGAATGTGACTTCACATATTACCCCTTCAATACTTAAAAAGGGCACCATGTCTATGTCAAAACGCATCAGGATCAGCAAAAGAAAAACAGAAGAGATCTACACTTTTTAATCGATGACAACAAAATAATTTTTGGACTTCCGATATTACACTGTAGTCCATAAATTAGACCAACAAGCCTTGGTAGGCAAAAATCAATTCTGTTTTAGTTTTAATGCTGCCATTTATGTGTGATAAGCTAAATTTGCCCAGTAAAATTCTCTCTCATGTAAAATTAAGTTAAAAAGTGAGCAGAGCCACTTAAAATAAATTGGCCAAATATTGCTCAATTTTTAGCCAGCTGTGCCCAACTCCTTAGGACAGTGATAATCAAATGAAGACATTCTCTGATGTTCTTGATCAAGCAGGAAAGTATAAGATGGTCTATTCCAAACTCTGACCTGACAACAAAGACAAGCTATAGGAAATGTTCTGGCATCCTGAGTCTAACAGACAGGTCAAGAAATAAACTAAACCAATTTGAAGAATTCTACAAAATCAGAGATGGAAGAGACTATTTATTTATTTGGTTATTTAGAGACAGAGTCTCACTCTGCTGTCCAGGCTGGTGTGCTGTGGCATGATCTTGGCTCACCGCAACCTCCGCTTCCCAGGTTCAAGCAATTCTCATGCCTCAGCCTCCCAAGTAGCTGGGATTATAGGCATAAGCCACTGCACCCATCCCAGAAGAGACTTTAGAAATGATGTAGTTCAGCCTTCTCTAACCACATATGAAAAAACCGAAAATCATAGAGATGAAGTGAAATGACTTAAGTCAGAGATAAAAATGTGACTATGGCTGTATCTCAAATTAGGAAACCTGAATGCATGTTTTTAGTTACAAGAATTTTACTTTGAAAAAATATAAAATAAATTTGCCAATCACTTCCCTTAAGACAAAAAGTAATTGGTGTGTTCTTTCATAGCTTTCTTGAGATAAAATGTATGTGCAATTCACCCATTGTAGGTATATATTTCTATAATTTTCAGTAAATTTTATAATTGTTCAACCATCAATGCAATCCAGTTTTAGAACACTTTCTACATTTCCTAAATTTCCCTTATGCTCCTTTATAGTTAAATACCTCCTATTCCCAGCCCTAGGCAACCACTGATCTGCTGTCCGTATAATTGTGCCATTTACGGCCATTTCATTGAATGGAAATGTGATATGGGGTGTTCTGTGTCTGGCTTCTTTAGTTAGAATAGTATATTTAATGTTCATCTATGTTGAAGCACGTATCAGTAATTTGTAACTTTTTATTGGTGAATAGTACTCCACTGCGTGTGGCATATCACATTTCATTTATCTGACAGGTAATAAAACTTTGGTTTGTTTGCAGTTTTGGTTATTATGAATACTGCTTCTGTAAACATTCAGGTGTATGTCTTTTGTAGACATGCATCTTTATTTTTCTTGAATAGATTCCTAACAGTAGAATTTTTGTGATACATATATCTCACAGGTTCAGGTTTAATGTTATTTAATTGCCAAACTGGCTTTCAAAGTGGTTGTACCACTTTACACGCCCACCAGAAACATACTAATGTTACGGTGGAGCATGTCCTCATCAAAACTTGGTATTATCTGTTGTTATGGACTAAATATTTGTGTTCCCCCCAAAATTCATATTGATACCCTAGCCCCCTATGTGATGGTATTTGGAGACAGGGCCTTTGAGAGGTAATTACTTTTAGATGAGTTCATGAGAGTGAGGATCTCATGATGAGATCTGTGTCCTTCTAAAAAGAGGAAGACAGACCAGAGTGTTCCCCACTCCGACTTTATTTTAGGTTGATGGGATGAGAAATACAGATTTGATTGCCACAGTGAATGAACTAAATTACTGGGAAAAACCATTTGGAACAGTCATCTATAAGAGAGCTTTAGAAGTAATAATAATAACTACCATGTTTATTTTTAGCAAGTCCCATGTGCCAGTCATTAAGCACTTAGCATATAGTAATTCATTTAACTTTCCAAAGTTAAACTTACCACACCGTCTTATAATAAATTGCCTATGAATCTTCTTTCCATGATAGCAGGAGATAGGCTTTATTCAACTTTGGATCCCCAAAACTTATCACAGCAGTTGGCACAGAATAAGTGCTCAGTGTCTGTGTGTGTGTGTGTGTGTGTGTGTGTGTGTGTGTGTGTGTGTATTTTTTTTTTTTGTTTTATTTTTGGAGACAGTCTCACTCTGTAACCCAGGCTGGAGTGCAGTGGCACGATCTCAGCTCACTGTAACCTCCACCTCCTGAGTTCAAGCAATTCTCCTACCTCAACTTCTCGAGTAGCTAGGACTACAGGCGCCTGCCACCTCACCTGGCTAAGTTCTGTAGTTTTTATAGAGATGGGGTTTCACTGTGTTGGCCAGGCTGGTCTCAAACTCCTGACCTCAAGTGATCTGGCCACTTCGGCCTCCCAAAGTTCTGGGATTACAGGTATGAGCCACTGTGTCCGGCCCTCAGCATATATTTTTTGAGTGAATAAAAGAATGAATAGGAAAGAGACATCCCATTTGCCCCACATAAGCGAATGCTTTATTGTACACTGCTTTTGCATATTTGGTATCAATTAAGAATGTGAGCTTTGAAGTCACAGACTCTGGAGCTGAATCTCCACCCCACGCCTTTGATAAGGAATATAGTTATATGATAATATTATATCAGTTAATGTCCAGTTAAAGAGAAACACTCTTGTAATTTCAAGAAGACTGGGGCTTAATGCCAGTAATTGTTTACAATGGAGTTGGAAGAGCTGAAGGTTCAGAAGAGAAGAGACTGTTACTCTTAAGTCAAGAACATTCTGCTGCCCCTTGGCTGGAGCTCATGAACACCACCAGTGCCAGGTCCCTGCTGCTGTTGTTACTACGTTACAACGCCACCACAAGCAGGAGCCCCAGAGCCCCTACTTACCCAGAAACTCACAAATCATGATCACATGCTGGAGCCCACAGTAGCCTGTCTCAAATTCACTGGCCCTGCTCCTGCCTCTGTAGGAAATGCAAAAGTGGACAAAAATAGCTCCTTTCTTCCTCTTACCTTTTTATCTCCTTTAGTGCCTCCCACTGGCAAAAACTTTAAAGGAGGTTTGCTGGCAGTGGAGTCTGTTAAATGCAATTTTTTCAGTTCCTAGCCCCAGAAGTACAGAGCAGTACTGTCCCCTGGGGAACTGGCTAACATGCAGATTTTGAATTTGCCATTGTGGTGAGGGGGTCTGGGAGTTTGTACTTCTAAGAAGCTCCCAGGTGATGCTAATGCTGCCACTCTGCAGACCATACTTTCAATTGTAAGGGGTCCCTCAACAGATGTTCTGAAGAGGGCCTATGGGTGAGAACCAGGGACAATTAGCACAGTCATCTGGGATGCATGTTCTCTCTAGGAACTTCAGCTTCCTCATGAATAAAGTGAGACAACAACGTCTGTTTTCTCTCAGATGCTGGTTAATCTCAAACTGCCTCATAATTCCCTGGATAACTACTGAAATAGAAATTTCATGTTTCTATCCCAGAGTTTCTGTTCCAATAGGCCTGGATTGGAATTCATTTTCATAAAGCTCTTCAGCTGATCTCATGGGCATATAGGTTTGGGGAGTCTTACCTACCTCATAGGATTAGGGTTGATGCAGGAGTTTTCTCGGTCACTTTGCCAGCTGGGGACCTCCAGCTGGCAACGCCCCCGCCTGGACCTTGCTTGGGCACACTTCCTGCCACAGGAGGTGGCCTGCCCACTTGGCCCACCAGGCCGTGCCTGGCTTGTGCATGGGCTCAGCCCACCTGTGTTATAGCTCATACTCACTTTCAGCAGTTCCCAAGTCCTTGTCCTACATCCAAGAAGAATGAAGATACACTGACAGTTGAAGGATAAGGAGGGTGGAGAAGAATTTTATTGAGCGACAGAATGGCTCTCAGCAGAAAGGGGACATGGAGGTGGTCTCCCACCCAAAGTCCAGTGGTTTCTCTCCCAGTGTGGCTGACTCCCAGGCTTTTATGGGCCCAGAGTAGGGGAGTGCACTCTGATTGGTTTGTGAGTATGCAGAAAAGTTAAAGGCAGCACTCAAAGGTTGGCATGACAGTGTAACATGCCAATTAGGGAAGGTAGGTATATGTAAAATAGGTGAAGGGTAGGGACAATCCGAGGAAAGCACATCAAAAGGAAAGACAGATTCTCAATCCAGTCCATGGATTTACCTGGGACTTACAGCTAGACTTTAAATTGTCTTTGTCTTGAAGGTGGAGTTTCACTGGGAACCCAGCCCTGTCTTCCTAGGCATTTGTCTGCCTCCTGCCACTCTCAGGGTGTATATTAAACCAGGCATCCTGGAAATGTCCTAGCCTAGTCCCCGACACATTTACCCGCATTGCCTCTAGCCCAAGGTGGCACCAGTAAGAATGACGTTGAGATTGATTCGTTGGCAGCACACAGATTTTCACTTTGGCTGATTATCAAAAAAGAAGAAATAAATAACATTTGAAATGGGATCTATAAGTCACAGTCAACATGTGGAGTGTGAAATCCTATGAAAAATACCAAGATCACTTTATGAGGACATGGTGCAAATGGCCCCCTAGGCAGATGGTCAAAAGCTTTCCTTCCTAGAAGAATATTTTGAGTTGAGAAATGGAATATCTGCTCTGAGCCTTGTATCGTGTTGTCAACAGAAGGAATTTCTGGCCAATTTTGTCTCTGCATGTTCTGAGTCTGACCCTTTCGTATTCTTCTGTAGACCTGATTTCATATTCCTCTACAGACCTGATTTGTCAAAGAGGCTAGTCTGTCTGGATGTCTTTATAAAACTTTATAAGGTGATTTTTGTTTTTTTGTTTTTCTTTCTCTGCTGACTAGTGTTTTTGCTTAGGAAGAACATTTTTTAAGACTCCAGACAATCAAAACTGTACAGGCTGGGTCAATCTCAAAATAGAGATTTCATGTCAAATGATTTTTAAAAAATCTTTAGAGTTTCTCTGAGATGAATGATATAAAAATGTACCTAGGAAGTAAAGTGTTTCATTAAGATATTAAGGAATCATGAGCTAACAATAACACCACCTCATACAAAATACTGCACAATATATTTAAAAGGGGGAAAAAAAACATGTAATGAAATGATGATTGGCCTTGGGCAAACTTGTGCAGTAGAGAAAACTTCTCTGTTGCAAATGTCTGATCTTATACCTCATTATCCTTGTGAAGCCTTTTCCCCTCCATTACAAGGCCTAGTAGCTGCTAATATCTGAAATAGATGAAGAAATACTGAAGGCACCCACACTGATGCATTGAAATCTAACAGATGGACTTGCATCCTGGCACCACCATTTACTAACTGGGAGACTTGGACAAGTGACACATTATCTTACACCTCAGTTTTTCAATGTGCAAAATGGGACCAAAAAAATCAAATATATGAAGTGCCTCGGAAAAGTCTGCTAATTCTTAGACCTCTTTATTGACCTTTTATCTTTGCTCTGCCGATAGAGGGAGGTCTTCCAACAAATAACTTATCCTCTCAGCTGCAATTTCTCATCTGTTCAACAAGCGTGATAATCCATGCCTTAGCTTTACCCTCAGATTGTTGGGAAGGTCAAGGGGTAAGTGGGCACACTTTGAAAGGGGTTGTCCATGGACATGGGAGGGGCCTGTTTCATTGTTTTCCATGGCCATCTTGGGAAGCAAGAGATCACAGCAACTCTTTGCCACAATGTGTGTTAGTGACCCAATGTTCAGCATTCCTGGGAGCCTGCTCATCCAAGAACAGGAGACAGTGAAGTGTTACCTAAAAGAATAATTCATCAGCAATGGGGTACATAATCATTGGCAGAATAGATATTTCTAGTTGGAGGCATTTCCCAACATCTTCCAGTTAGCACAGTACCATTCATAGCGTTGAAGCCTTATCTGGTTAAGGCCATTCCTGACACATGTATTTGCCTTTAACTGGTTTCAAAAGACTTAGCATTTGAAATTTCAAGCAAAGTTCAAGGAAGCTGTATATTTGATTATTCTCAGGTAAAATCTGAGAATGTGATTTATTTGGTAACAGAAATAGGAATTGAGTGAGCAGATAATTTTCTTTTAAGACCCCTGTATACTAAAATTCTTCCAAAATAGTGTTTCACATAACACCTGTTTGTTGTTGTTTTTATGTAAATAGGCATTTCTTCATGAAAGGATTCTGTAGTAAAATTCATTCAGGAAACACCAGTTAAAACCCAGCCAAATTTGTGCAAGACTTTGATAGTCTCTTACAGCATGCTTCATAAGACTATAAGAGCAGCTAGGTTATTCAGCAGCCTTCACACTTGTTTAGCTGTTGACCCTTCTCTCCATAGTGTTTCACTAGAAAACTGTGTTCCATTGTTCAAAAGTGCGACTTTTCAACCAACAGCATCAGCTTTACCTGACCCTTGTAAGAAGTACAGACTCCCAGGACCCATCCCAGACTTCCTGAAGCAGAATTTAACAAAAAGCCTGGGCAATTTGAGTATATATTAAAATTTGAGAAGCACCATTTCACACTATTGCAAACCTCAATTACAGATTATGGAGCAGGAATGACCACAAGGGCTTTTCTGAAAATTCCTTTCAAGTATACAGATTGAATAATAATCCCTCAAAATGCTAGAGATAGAAATCACCTTGGAAATCATCTACTTCAAAGGTTTGCAAGCTGTCTCTGAGTAGCATTAAAAGACTCGTATGTGGAAGCCCAATATAAAATGGAGAAAATAAGCAGAGCTGCTCTGGTGGAAGCCAGGGGTGGCTCCTTCTTTACTCCAACCATCCCACCACCTCACCCGGTTGTCCTCATTTGAATCCCTAGGATACCACCAGTGCGACCTATTCACTCAGGTAAATTTACAAGAAGGAAAATGACTTGCTGACTTCTACACAGCCTTTTAGGAGCAAAGCTGGGGCTACCATCCAGCTCTCTTAAATCTAGCTTTCTTCTTTAAAAATGTTACAATAATGACCTCAATGAGTATGTACCTCTTGACTTCCCTTCAACCTGTGCCCTGGCTACATACTTTTTGCCCATTAGGATGGAAACCTGGAGTTTGTTGGACCCCTAAATAGCCAATGTCCATTCTTGGGCTAGAACTCAGCCAACGTTTTTCACGTCGTCCAGAGCTTAATCACTCTGATGATGACTAATTCCCCACACGCTGTGCCATCTCACAATGAAAATGCACAGATTGGGTTATGCTCATACTTCTCAGGGGGTACTATAATCATTGAGATAGGACTAGAAAATACAACATTGCAGAAAAGCATTCTACGTGTATAGGGAGGTTGCATAAATGATGAGGTAAGGGTGCTTTGGCATACAAAACAAAGAATACATCATGATTGCTAAAACAAAGTCTTATGTGTTAATACATCTTATGAGGAATCCTGAAAGGTAATGAGTTTGAACAGCTGGGACTAAATGGCAAAGAGCTTTGAATTCTGTGACAAGATTGGATTCTATCCTACTGTTTCCAAAAGTGTGTTCTGCAGAACACGAGTTCCTCTACATGCCCTGGAATAGAAAGGTTTCTGTAGTTGAATATGTTTGGAACCTGCTTTGCATCCCTCTTCTTAGAGACTCAAATCACACATTTGCATGTTTTGTTTTGTTTTGTTTTTGAGAGCTTCAAGAAGTACTTCAGTTTTTAAAAAGCAGATTTTAAAAACCTCTCTTTTATTAATTTCATATACCATTTTTTGGTAACATCTGTTGACATCTTAGGGAATTTAATTTGGGAAATAGCACTCTAGGCAAAGGAAAACCCATTGCTTCTCGGCACCCTCTGCAAGTCTTGCAGCTCCTCATCCAGGTAGGTGTGCACTGTATGTTCTGCCCTCCTTCTAACTTCCAATAAGTCTCAGCCATGTTCTTTCTTTTTTTTTTTCTTTTTCCTGCAAGACAGACCTATAATATATGACAATCTTAGAAATGGAATAGGCTTATTTTTTCAAATAGTGTTATTCAATTCTAAAACTTCTATTTCATTCTTTAAGTTTCCATTTCTCTAATGAGACTTCCCATCTTTTTATTGACTACAAGTTTATTTTCCTTGCTTTTTTGAATATAATTACAGTAACTGCTTTAAAATATTTGATAACTCCCATTAATCATTTCAAGATTGATGGATGTTGATTGTCTTTTGAGAATTAATGACATTCCTGGATCTTCATCTGTTGAGTAATTTTTGTTGTCATGTCTTGGACATATTAATGTTAGATTTGGAGGTTCTAGATGTTATATTCTTCGGAAATATAATTTTATCTGTCGGTTTGCTTTGTTTTTATCAAGGATTTAATTTGATTAGACTCAAATTGCAAACTCTAGCTTTTAAGTAAAAGCTTAAATTTCCACCTTAGCTAGAATCTGTCTCACACTTGCGTAGTTCATGAATCACTTGAGATTTGGACAGAATTTATACTTGAAATTTTTGTTCCCTCCTTCCAGTCATGCTCCCTTATTTTCCAATCATTGTGGTTGCTCCACTCTCTGTCCTTTGGTTCTATGAACCAGAAAGATGGTAAATTTCTTTATTTTTTTGGGGGGGGTTGGTAGTTTTGGTTGGTAGTTTTTTTTATTGTTGTTTTTTATTTTTATTTTTTTAGCTGTGTTTTGTTGGTTTGATGTAGCCATCCAACATGGCACTGACTTTAACCTGTTTTCAGGCTAAAAGTGAAAAAATAAAAATAAAAAGGGCCACTTATAGCATGTCATCCAGTCTTCCAGCCAGAGTCTGCCTGGTTTTGTTTATTTCTAGTAACTTTGGGCCATGTTTTGTTTTTCCCTCACTATTTATTATATTACCTGTTGGAGGATCATGTCTGGGAGGAACTACTTAGATATATTGCATTCAAAACTCCTCTGTTTGTTTTTATTTTTCCTCCTGTGAATGACTAAAGCAAATTCCAATCTACTATTTTAATCAAATAATTAATTAACAATTTATTGATACACCATTTTATGTGCAGTACAATGGTATAAGGGGAAGGGGATAGAATAAGTTCAAAATATGATAGAAACTTTGGTGTTTCAATTTACTTTTGTAAGAGTTGTCTGGCTTTAATGTTTTATCTCAGACTGCCAAAAACCATGGTGGAAAGAATTTTTGTTTTTTTTTCCTGAAAGGTAAATGGAATCTATTTCCAGCTCCGCCACTAACTTCCTGTATAATCTGGGAGATGTTATTTGACTTCACTGAGACTCAGTTTTCTCATCTGATATTAAAGCCAGATGTACTAGACAATCTCTGATTACCTACCAGGTCTAACATTCTCTCATTTTACTGAAGAAAAAATAGCTAATTCTTGGACCTCCCCCAGATGCCTGAAAAGTTGTAATTAGGACTTTTTTTATGTTCTTGATTTTTCAGATTCAGGGTTATTAAGTACAACATCCTACTGTGAAAATACTAAGAAGAAGTCTTTTCTTCCTCTGAGGTTAATATATAGGACATTGGTTCTTCTTCTAATTGGATAGGTCACCCAGAATACCTCTTACACTTTCACAGAGTGTGCCCAGTGTATAACGTGGCAGACCGGAGCACTGCCTAGAGTTGTAAGACCAAATTCAGATTGTAAACCTAAGCTCATTTACGAAGGAACCGCAGCTCAGGAATTAAATACAACTTAATTTAGTTCTTCACAGAAGATGAGTTTTGCAGTCAGAAATACCAGAGGTTATATCCCATTTCATCATTTAATAACTGTGTGTCTTGAGCAAATCACTGCATCTTTCTGAGCATCAGTTTTCTCAGGTTAAAACTAAACTAACAATCACCAGTCTACATATTAACATATTCCAAATTATCTAGTACAATGTCTAATTGCATTTGATCAATATGAATTTGTACCACCCCCATGCTAAGTTAGGCTCTGTGCAGTGATACAAAAGAAGGAACAAAGGAGAGGCTTGACCCACAAAAAATTTGCAGTCATAGTTGGAGACAGAAATACTACATAATTAGGTAAAATCTAATATGGGTCTTAGACAAGCAGCACTTATTTGTGTAGATTTTAGACATTTTTATTCATAACAGCTTACAAGAATGCACCTGCAAACCTTAAGAATCCAGATACACTATCTCTTAACTACTTTTAGCCACATTTAAAATTGCATTTGTATTTTATAAGCCTCCTTCATATATATTATTGTGTTTAAACCTCAGAACAACCAAGATGAAACAAAATACTGTCTCTTTCATTTTATATTTGAGGAAACTGAAATTTAAATGAGTCAAGAGACTTGCCCAACATCTCATAACTAGAAAGCTGCAGAACTATACTTAGATTGCAAGTTTAACTGACTTTAAGCCCATTTCTCTCTCCCCATTTCCTAGCTGCAGCAAATTCAAACCATTGAATAATTTTGATCAGGTCCAATTACACCATGCGTGGGGAAAGAGAGCTTCTCATTTTGAGGTCACATAAAATAAAGCATTTGACATTTCCTAGACAGTTTCCCAAACATGCACTTGCTTTTTCTTACCTACCATTCTTTTCTATTTTAGATGTAAGTACTCCTCACAACTCTGCTATGAATGTTTTTTCATGGTACTGGGTGAGTCAGTTAATCTGATTTCCACAGAATTTCTCATTTCTGGGCCCACCTTCCCATCTTCTGACTATTCTCTGTGTTCTGGTTCTCATTGTTTTCCTCCTAGACTTTCCTCTCTCTATTGTACCAATTAAACTGCAACTAAAGGGAGCCTCTTAATGATCAAGTAAGGTCACTTTCTTCACTGGTTCCTCATGGCATTTTGAACCCAAGCCCTGTATCTCCAAGACACTCAAGCCCTTCATGACTTAGTTTTTTCCTAACTCTCTAGTTTTATCTCTCATTTTTTGTCCACACTCACTGTCTGTTCTGGCCACCCAAAGCCTCAGTATCTCCCAAAGCTAATCATATGGTTTCAGAATTACATACCTGAAAAAGGTTCATCTTATTCCTCTTTCCTATAATTTCTTCCTTACGGTAAATAACTTTGAAGCCACAGTTCACCTATTCTTGATTTGGCAAAGATCCCTTGTACCTCAGATCTTTTGCAACCCATGCTCCTCTATGACGGACAGTGGCAGTAGCATCAGTCTTACCAAGCAGAGGTCATGTGCACTTTCACTTGTAATTAACATGGCAGATTGCCTTCCAAAGAGGCTTACAAATTTACACTTCCAACAAAGTGCGTAAAAATGCCTGTATCTCTACATTGTCACACACACTTTTAATTTTATCCATCCTTTTAAAAATTTCATCAATATGATGGGTCAAAAATGATAGCAATTTTTAAAATTTGTATGTCTCTAATTACCAGTGAGATTGTCCTTTCATTTATTAATCTCATTTGTAGTTTCTCTTCCAGAAATTGCTTGTCCATATACCTTTAATTGAGATATTGTTTTGCCTTATTGGTATAGAAGAGTACCTTACATATTATGGATTTTAATAATCTCTCTATTTCTATGTCTATGGCTGTCAAGATACATCACATGCATTTGCCTGTCATTTGAGTTTTAACTTTGTTTATGGGGCTTTTTGTGATCCAGAAATCTTCAATAATAATGTAATAGACAGATCTTTATTTTCCTTTATGACTTTATACTTTGAGTTATTTAGAAAATCTCACGTACTCCAAATTTATCTTATGTTTTAATATCAACTGCAATTCAATATGAACTGTATTATTGTGTATAGTGTAAAGAAATTTTTTTGTCCAGTATATAGTTGTCCCAACACAAATAATTATCCATCTACTCTTCACTAATTTGATATACCAACTTTGAAATATTAAGTTTCCATAGTCATGGGTCTGCTTTTAGCTCTCAATGCTGTTAAAATGACCTATTATTTTAACAAAAAATACTAGATGTTTCATCCAAAGAGAATTTAATTTACATGACATAATCAATTGAAATATCTTGATCAAGTAAGGATTTATTAATATCACATAACACAAAATTCAAGGGTGGTCAGCCTAAGCCACAAATGAGCTAGGGTTGCCATCCTTGGCAATAGTGGCTCCCAGAAAACTCACAATATCCCCAACAGATATCTGCTTACACCTCATTGGTCCACAATGAGTTAGGTAGCCTCTTCCTTCCACTTGCAGGAGACATTGGGGAACTGACATATTTAGCTCTCCAGCCTCCATAGTCAAGGAGAACAAATGAGAAGGTGGTGAATCTAGATATTAAGAGACGAACCTACATGTTAGCTCATTGTTGAAATATTTACAGTGCTAGAGTAAGTTTTTCAACTAGTACACCTAGTCAGTTTCACTGTTCTTCTTTTTCAAATACTTCTCAGTTGCTCCCGTTTTTATTGTCCAGATTCATTTTTAAATCAGTGTAATGAACATGGACATGTTCTACTCAGATCTCCACCAAAAGAATTTGCTGTAAAGTCAGAGTTTCTGACAGCCCTAACTGCTGCCCCCTGAACTCTGAGGCCATGCATTCCCCAGGATGCCCCCAGCCAATGACTAAACATGGTGGAGGACTAGGACCGGGATATTCCTACTCAATATGAAGCAGCCTCTGCTTGAGAAATCCCCATTAGTCTTAGAGTTACAAATGCACTGTGCTCTGAGATTCAAACTTTCCTCTTCTCTATCTCATTGACAGATATCAGATCTGCATCATAATAATCTCTTTATTACTGTTTTCCCTTGTCCTTTATTCATTATAGGTTTTCCCCCAATATATTTCTTGAATATCTAATTCCATATTGGTTTATGCTTCTCAGAGTATTAGAACTGACAGAAATGTCACTGGAAGTAGTCTGAGAAAACAGGGGTAGAATCGGACATGAGAACTGGATCATTCACCACTTGACTAGCAAGGAAGATAATATCCTATATGAAATGTGGAGTACAGATTGTCCCTGGCATAAAGTGGAGTCCAAATTGTTGAAGATTTCATCAGTGGTTACCTGAAAAAAATGTCATGATGGAGGATAGTACTTTTGCTTGTGTGATAATTCAAACACTTGGAAGATATGAAAGAGACAAGGCCTTCAAAAACAGTGGATTTGTAAGCAATTATTATGTTATACTGAAGTCCTGTAGAGAATTAACGAGATACTAACAATAGCTAATGAAGAGTTAAAGGTTAAGTATCAGAGTCAAAGTGCCCTTTGGTAGCTCACAAAGAGACACTTATATATCCTGAAATTGAAGAGGACTCACAACTGAGAAGTAGACTCAAAACCTGTTAGAGTCACAGAGGTCCAGAGGCTCTCAAGTGGTAAAAAGAGAAAGCTCTGTTACGCTGAAGTCAGGGCCCTGGTGAGAAAAATCTGGGACCCTAAAAGTGGGATGGGAACATCTGGGTAGGTGTCCCTGAGAATAGGTGTCCCTGATAATTTTGGCTTTACAGACATCCCTGACCTCAAACGAGTAGAGGTTGCAAAAACAATCCACCCACCCTATTAAGAGCTAGCAAATCACCGTTAAAGGAGACTGTTGCAGAGATTAGATTTCTCTCTAACTAGGCAGTAGGAACCCTTATCAGGAGTTGCCTTCTCCTCCCTGCTGGCTTCCAGGTTATTAATAATGGTTAATTCTCAGCATAATTCAACTAGGGGATATGCTGGACCTCATAATGGAAAAAAAAAGAGATTACACAATAATCATGCCCACTTCTGAAGGAGAGTTTTGCCAGATATTGAATTCTTGACTGATAGTCTTTTTTGTTTTTTCCTTCAGTATTTCGAATATATCAACCCATTTCTTTCTGACCTCCATGGTTTCTGATGAGAAATCTGCTCATAATCTTATTGGGATCCATTGTATGTGATGAGTCACTTCTTTCTTGCTGCTTTGAAGAATCTCTTTGCCTTTGGCTTTCAACATTCTGATTTTAATGTGTGTTAATGTACGCCTCTTTGAGTTTTTCTTGGAATTCATTTCTTGGATGTTTACATTCATGTATTTTATCAAATTTGAAATGTTTTCAGTCATTATTTCTTCAAATAATCTCTCTGGCCCTTTCTCTCTCTCTTCTTAAAATCCCACAATGCATATGTCATTCTGCTTGATGATGTCCCACAGGTCCCTTAGTCTCCGTTCATTTAAAACATTTTTTTCTTTCTCAGACTCAATAATTTCTATTGTCCTATCTTCAAGTTCACTGACTCCTTCTTCTGACTGCTCAAATCAACTTTTAAATCCCTTATTTTAGTTATTATATTTCTTGCTTCAGAATTCCTTTTTGGTTATTTTTTGTGTGTTATCTATCTCTTTATTGATATTGACAATTTGTCAATACATTGTTTACTTGATTTTGTCCATGTCTTCTTTTAATTTTTCAAGCAATTTTATGACAGTTGTTTTAAAGTCTTTGCCTGGTAGTTCTATCATCTGGTCGTTCTCAGGGACAATTTCTGTTAATTTATTAATTTTCCTCTGAATGGGCCATGCTTTCCCATTTCTCTGTATGATCTGTGATTTTTTTGTTGAAAACTATATATATATGGTATATATATGGTGTGTATATGTGGTATATATATGGTGTATATATATATGGTATATACATATATATGGTGTGTGTGTGTGTATATATATATATATATATATATATATATATATATATATATATATATATATGGCAAATGTAACTGTGGAGATCCAGTTCTTTTCCTTCTCTAGAGTTTTCTATTTTTGTTGTTGTTTTGATTGTTGTAAGATGGCTCTGTGCCAGAGACAGCCTAATGTATAAAGTCTTCTTCTTTTCAGAGCCTGTGCCTCTTTCTTGGCATGCACAGTAAATTCCATTGTATTTGTGGTTATTTTTGAATGTAAATAAGTGTTTGGCTTATTTACATTCAAAATGTAAATAAGTGGCTTTTGTGTTTTTGTGTTTTAGTGGTTTTGGCTTAAGTGTTTGGCTCCCAAAGGTGGAAAAGAAAGATAAATGGGAACAAAAAAGATACTCGTCACTGACCCGTTAACTCCCCTGGAAGTACCTTCCACCAGAGGGAGAGGAGCTTGCAAAAATGACTGCCCACCTCTACAACTGCATCTCTGAGATCAGAAGCAGTAATCATTGATCAGAGCACTAATCCATGATATTTAGAAAACAGATTCCTTTTTTTCCCCATCCTGGCTATTGCAAGTTGCATGCAAGCTACTCCTAGACCACAGGCACAGCTGCCTGTCATAAGGCAGTCTGGGGGTGGAGGATGGGTGGCTGCTACCATGCTAAGAGGTGAAATTGACCAAAGTAAACTATAATTTATTGTCCAAGCCTTTCCAAGGACGTTGGAAGCTTTCAATAGACTCCAGAGTTCCAAAATAGTTATACAGAATCTGCTAGTGCACTTGTTGTCTAGTTATAGGGAAAGATTCCTGGTGCTTCCTACTCTGTCCCCTTCCCTCTAGCTCCACTTTAAGTTTATTCTTCAGTGTTTAATAGTTTTGTCATTATTGTGAGAGGTATTATTGTTCTTAATAGATAATTGATCATTTGCTACACTGTATTGTGATGATCTATCTATTTGTCTTTACCATATTGAATTTCTTGAGGTCAGGCACTGGGTTGGACTTACTTACCAGTGTATCTCCATTGCTGAGTATACTTCTTGGCACACAATTGGAGCTTAATATGCCTTTGCTTGATTAATCATTCAATAAAGTAATAACTGAATTATGTGCTGCCAAAACCCATTGTTCCACCACTAAAAGGAAAATTCAGTGACCATATTTTGACCATATTTTGTCCAGCGTTTGGAACTAATCCTTTTGCTGCAGGGATAATTGAGTACTAGCTGAACAGAGTCCAAACCATATGCTCTGAAAAACATTTCTCTTTGTAAATGGCAGAAATAGTTCTGAGCCTTCTTATGGGATTTTGTGACAAGGTGGCTGCTTTGGGCAATGATGTTTTAATGCTTGCCCACCCCCTTGACTTTCCTAATGCTTCACTGCAACCTGAAATGCCAGTCACTGATATGACCCCTATCTTTGTGTCCAAACTATATTCTTTCTGTAAGACTCAGTTCAATTGCCTCTGTCACATTAAGCCCAAGAAGGTTTTTGGTCCACTAAGCTTCAAGAAAATGCTTACTCTTCTGCAAATATAGAAAATTATGAAGTGTATGCTTATAGCTAATATAAACATAAATGTTTACATATATTAGCTAATTTCTGTGTGCAGAAAATATTTTTAATGACAATTTGTCAAGTAAAGTTAAATGAAATAAAAATGATGTGAAGCGAAATGAAATAACATACAATGAAATGACACAAAGTGAAAGTTGCCAGGAGGTCTGTATAAGCATGCCTCACTCCATCACCGTTCATTCTCTCAAGGGTAGAAAGTCCAGTAAGTGAAGACAGTGAAGAGCAAACTTATACTGAACATTAATAATGTGTTAGACAATGCATTATATATTTTAATATATTCATAAATAAGGATACTAGCAAGAATACTAATATAACACATTTCATAATGGCTTCTGTTGAGTTGCTTTCATGTGTGTGGTATTTTACATACACTATATTTCTCAACTTTACATGACAGATAACATATCAGAGATGAAAAGACTGAATCTCTGACTATATTCACTTGCCTAGGATAACTCAGATAATAAATTCCAAAGTTTGAAATTTAATCTAAGTCAGTCTAATCTTAATTCTCATACCTTAAAGCATTTATTACATTGTCTATATTTGGTTAAAATGTCAAGTTATACATTGTAAAAATCTGTAAACTTAACGTACTACACAAATATTTATCGTTGCCATGGTTGATATTGTTGTTGCAGTTACTACTTTTTTTCTGGCCTCCCTCACCTGCAATTCAGTTTCGTTAGCAGAAGAATGGTAATAATTTAAAAGTTATAAATAAAATATGTGAATTTTATGGAATATAGTGAATACTGATGAAGGGTTTTTCATTGTTATGATTTTAATTACTTATGTTTTCTGACTTAACTTTGACAGTTGATTTTTAAATTCAATTGAAAGCAAAATTAATGAGTACTTACTCTGTATTAGGTGCTACAGATGAACATAAATTTGAACCAGAAATTTGACATAGATAAGGCATGGCTCCTACCATTGAGGAGCTCCAAGTGTACACACACTTGGACAGTCTTGCTCTGTCGCCCAGGCTGGAGTGCAGTGGCATAATCTCGGCTCACTGCAAGCTCCGCCTCCTGGGTTCACGCCATTCTCCTGCCTCAGCCTCCCGAGTAGCCGGGACTACAGGCGCCCACCACCACGCCCGAGTAATTTAGTAGAGACGGGTTTCACCGTGTTAGCCAGGATGGTCTCGATCTCCTGACCTCGTGATCTGCCCGCCTCGCCCTCTCAAAGTGCTGGGATTACAGGCGTGAGCCACCACGCCCAGCTGTCATCTAGGTTTTAAGCCCTGCATGCATTAGGTATTTGTCCTAATGCTGTCCCTCCCCTTGCCTCCCACCCCCTAACAGGCCCCGGTGTGTGATGTTCCCCTTCCTGTGTCCATGTGTTCTCACTGAAGAAATAGAAATATATTTTATAAGTAAGTCATCAGGCAAACCAAACCCAACAATAACTTAGAGAAAAATGAAATGTAAGGTAGCAAAGTAAAATGATTGTGATATATGTGACATGATCCATATGACATAGTGTACATGACATCAGCTGTTAATGTTGCCTGAGTAGCCATGATGATAAAAACAGAGTTGGGGATGGGGAAATGGGAAGTATACTTTTTTTTTTTTTTTTTTTTTTTTTTTGAGAAAGTGTCTCACTCTGTCACCCGGGCTGGAGTGCAATGGCGTGATCTCAGCTCACTGCAACCTCTTCCTCCTGGGTTCAAGCGATTCTCCTGCCTCAGCCTCCCAAGTAGCTGGGACTACAGGTGCCTGCCACCATGCCCAGCTAATTTTTTTTATATTTTTAATAGAGACAGGGTTTCACCATGTTGGCCAGGATAGTCTTGATCTCTTGACCTCGTGATCCGCCCGCCTCGGCCCCGCAAAGTGCTGGGATTACAGGCGTGAGCCACCGCACCCGGCCGGAAGTATACATTTTAACAGCTCTACATAGTAGCTGCTGTCAGAATTCAAATGAAGATATCTACCTTTAAAGAACAGTGACTCCTGGGCTCTGTATCAGAACCAAAGCCCAGGTTTTTGGTTTACTTATATGAAAGAGAGGAAATCCTAAGGGAAAATGTACTAGACTGACAGCAAGGTTGTCCTAAACATCAGTTGTGGGGCAATGAAGTGCACTGAGGAAGAAAATGCAAGAATGCCCTCCTAAGATAATTTTTAAGGTGGAAAGTCATTTTCCAGGGTGAGCAGAGTGAAAGGTGGGGGTGTGCAATCCAGCAAATTCCTCATGTTCTTTTGTGAAAAGTGAATTGATACTACTTCAGAGGGACTAATGAATTGGTAACAATCTACACAGGCATTTAGAAACACCAATCAGGTACACGAGTTCAAAGCGTGTTGCTTCTGCAGAATGGGTGAAAGGGATAGGAGAGGTTTGCAGCGCCTTTTTATTTTCCTGTAACAAGCCATGGAGAGATATAGGACTTTGTAAATTCGGTACATACCTTAAATAAAATAAATATAGAAACTAAATGGAAGGAAAAGAGAGGAGGAAGGAACTTTGGCAATTGATTTTAAATTCAATTGAAAGCAAAATTAATGAGTACTCTGTATCAGGTGCTACAGATGAATGTAAATTTGAACCAGAAATTTGACATAGATAAGGCATGGCTCCTACCATTGAGGAGCTCCAGGTGTGTGTGTTTTTAAAAATATTATTTTTAATTTTGCTATTTACCTGATGGTAAGACTTTAGTAACTAGTTTAATTTTAAGAGGCTGCACCATGAATTTTGATGATGTGAAGGGAAAACTTTGTTGAAATAAAAGTGCATTGAAACTCCTTATTGATTTTTGTACTCTCCTCCTGGGAATGGGGTTCCTATGAAACAGGAGATATTTCCATAACCACAGGTTGGCAAACTCTTAATTGAGATAAACCAGAACAATCTTGCTTTGGTTTCTCTTCTGACACAGATTCCAGGTTTCTTAGACAAATTGGGCAGTGTAGAATCTGAAGAGAATATTTTATGAAGTAATTGTTTGCTTACAAATATATTTGGGCATCAGCAGAGGTGAGAGAAGGTTTCACATTACAGGACTGACAGCTCACTGACATTCTGTGGGTTTTCCTTTGATCTGTTAATGTGCAAAGCTTTCAGTGAATTTGATCTGAAAATGATATATTGGGCATTTTCTTGCCAGAATGTATAATCTTCTAACATGATGTCTTCAGTAGCAGCACATGTAATGAAGCTGTCTGGGCCAAGACGGTGATATTTTCGGGATAACTCTAAGTTTGATGAAATAGGATTGTGGAGGAAAGGAAGTGAAAGTGTACCCTGTTGCAAATGAAACCAGGAGGAAAAAAAGATATTTCAAGACGAAGTTGCATGCAGGATACAAAGTCAAGGTTACTCCATAAAAAGAACATGGATTTTGAGTCCAACAAGCTTGGGTTTAAATCCTGGCTTAACTTTGCCTTGTGACCTTGGCCAAATAAAAGTCCGTCTCTTCTGATGGACTTTTATGTTCCCCATGAAATGTGGAAGATAAATCATATAAGATTGTGAAGATTAGAAATTTTGATGCAAAAAGCCTAACATTGTACCTGGTAGGCATTCAATAAATATCACATCTACGCATACACATACACATACATGCACACGTACCTGCACGTACCCACACACTCACACGAAGGTGGCAATCAGTAAGGAGAAGACATAGTCAGATCCTACCCCAGGGAAGTCTTTCTGCCTCTTTCTTTCTGCTCTGCTTCTATTATATATTTCTTGGAACATCCACCTCTACTCTTTTGCTGTCTCTGTCTGTTCACTTAACATCTTACCAAGGTTACCAGCTGATGTCACTGAAAAGAAATGTACGCAGTGTAACCCCCTCCTTGAGCAGAGATCATGATTCAGTAGGGAACACAAAGTGGGGAAAAAAGTCATAGTGCAATATAATTGCTTTACTAGATGTAAGGACGTGATGCAGACCACCAGATAGCGGATCCTCAACTCAGAGTGAAACAGAACATTTTAACAATGGGATGGGATTGGGGTGAAGCTCCAGGTAGAAGGAGATGACTGTGGGTTCCATCACTGTTGTTTCCAAAATGTGTTCCGGGTGTAAGCTGTCATATGTGTGGCTGGACATGTTTAATGCAAGGCTGCTTCATGACCTGGCATAAACAATTATCTTAATTGCAGGACTGTTTAGGATGGCCAAGAAAGAGGTGCTCATATAAATCTGCTTGCTTGCTTGCTTTTCTTTCTCATTTTTCCTTTCTTATGTTCTCCATTTTGACCCATCTATTCCACTTCGTCAAGACCAAAATTCCATCTCCAGGCTTTCCTCCCATGTCCTTCCTTAAAACTAACTTCTTTTTTCCTTTCTTTTCTTTTCTTTCTCTCCCTCTCTTTCTTTTCTCTTTCTCTCTGTTTCTTTCTGTCTTTCTCCATATGTTTTCAGAGTCATAAATCATGTCAGGTGCTGAAAATACAGAGGCGAAGAAAAGCTGTCCTTGCCCTTGACATGTTAAATATCTAGCAAGGAAGGCTTCCAAGATCTTAAATCAGAGGCAAGTATCTTAACTTAGAGACAAATAATGCTGAGTATTATAAAATGACCAAGAAACTTGCCTTTGATGTCAGAAGACCTGAAGGTTTCTGTACAAGTAGGTGGGGGAAGGGAGGATCTAAAGAGGTTTCTGAAAGGCATGGGAATAAGATTTTAGAAGAAACTTGTGGAAAGGAAGCATCCCAGGCTCAGGAGGTAAGTTAAGTCCTAGACTTTTGAAAGCAGAGATTTATATGGCGAATGGCAACTGAAACATTCTCCAAAGCACAATGGTCTTACTAGGGAGCCACCTGTGAAGTGCACAATGCCCAGCTGTTTCTAGTTCCTGACATCAGTCACGGACACAGTCTGGTGCTGGGAGGGGCTCATCCACAGGATAGGCCGTGACACATTAACCCAGAAACTGCTTGGTTTTAGGTGAAATAAGCCAGACCTTAATCATTCCATTTGATAATGGCTTCCTAATACTAGAAGTTCTCTTTTAAAACTGTGACCCATTTCACAATTTACAAATAATTTTAAAGTGTTACCCCCTCCCTCTCCTTGGGGGATATGTAGTGTTATACCTGCTTTACAGATGAGGAATGCATAGCCCAGCAACCATACATCCAAGAGGGCCATGTGGAAACACAATCCAGAAGTTGGCAGAAGGGTCCAGGACAGCTGGTGAAATGGTGGTGCACCCTGATAGTTTGGGCATGGTTGAAGTTAGCAATTTAAAAGATGGTGCATTGTGGAGAGGAGCAGCTGTCAAAATTCAAAGGAAGATGATCTACCTTTAAAGAACAGTGATCCCTCGGCTCTAGATCAGAATAAAAGCCCAGGTTTTAGGTTTACTTCATATGGGAGAGAAATCCTAAGGGAAAATGAACTAAAATATCAGCAAGGTAGTCCTCAACCTTAGTTGTAATGCCCTGAAGAGCATGAAGGAAGAAAATGGAAGAATGCCCTCTTAAGACAATTTTAAACATAGCCATTTTTTAGCATTGCTCCAAGACAAAAGCAGAAGGGCCATTGAAATAAATCTCTAGGTTTTTATACTCTCATGATTATCCAGGGTGGGACAAGAAAGCCAGTTAACAGCATGTTGAAAGGTCACTGCAAAAATACAGAGTCGACTCAGTTTTTCTTTCTTATGTTTACCATTTTGTCTCATTTATTTCCCTTTGTTATGTCAAGGCCAAAATTCTAACTGCAAGCTTTCTTCTCAACCTGCTCCATCTCCCATGTTCCTTCTTAAGCAACCTGCTTATTTTCTTTCTGCTAGGTAATGTATAAAGAATTGCCTCTTACCAATGTGAGTCCTTCATGTTAAACTCACAGTTAACTATTGGATCTCAGGCATCAAAGGGGCATTAAAAGTTTACCTCGCATAGTCACTCACCCAGTGATTGGCATGTGTCTATACCATCCTTGACAGATTGTCTGATAAAACTATACTTGGACAGCTACAGTGATAGGAAACACATTTCTAACTAAGTCTTCGTGTTCCCTCACTGGGCAGCTATTTATTACTAGAAATCTCGGCCTCCTGAATCCCATAGAGCAAGTCTGTCTTTACTTTGGCTTGAAGATCTTTCAAATAAATGATGTAATGCTATCTCTCTCCAACTCTGGAACAAAGTATTAAAAATCTCCCTCAGATTGAACATTCCCACTTCTTCCAACTGTTCTTATATGACATGTTTTAGGTTGTTCTCCACCTCACATTATATGAGTCACTCTATCCAAAATGGATCTCAGTTAAAAAGCTCAATAAGCCAAGTGGGTTCTGACATCACATTAACAGAATATAACTGCTAGTTCTTTATCATTTTTGCCTTTATAAGGTAATTTTTTAAAATATTGAACCTGGGTAAAAGTCAGTGTATCTATAGTAAACATATATTCTTTCCTTTCCCGACAACCATTCTCATTGTGAGGCAATGGGCCCATTTGTTATTTGGAGATGCCTGCTCCCCAATTCTCATTCCACGTTGTTTGAGTCAGGTCTGCTCCAGTCCCACAGAAGGAGCAGGGACATGCCTACACCAGTCAGCAGGTCACAGTAATTGGCTCGACAGTGGACCCTTGACTTCAGTCAGTGAGATCAGAGTGGACTGAATAACTTCAACTGAGTGTATTTCAGGTGGCCATTTTTATGCTTGATTTAAGCTTAGAAAAGATGCAGCCTAGATGCCATATTGAGCCAATTGGTGACTCTGAGACCTATTGGAAAATGGAGTCAGCATAGAGGAAGCAGAGCGAAGATACAGAGAGAAGATAAACCACAACCTGGTGGTATTGCTGAAGCATTGGAGCAAGCATATTTGAAGTCGGATGGATTCCTAGGTACTTGAGTTGTATACAGCAGTACATTCCCTTTTGTAGTCAAGTCAATTTCAATCCGTTTTTTAAAAAAATTTACACCAAAAGAATACTAATTAATAAAAGATAATAGTACAGTCAAGAACTTAAGAAAGAATCTTAAAGATTCTTTGTGTTGGTTCTGATGCAAGTTTATAGGCAATTTTCTGGGCCTGTTCAGCCATCAATAAAATGAATACCTTCATGTCCATTATCAGAGGAAATCCACACGGCTTCTCCAAAGATGCTTTCAAGGACACTTCTAAAACATTAATATAGACATATGAATGACAGAAATTAATCCTGTTGCTCCTTGTTGATTTTGAAGATGCACATGGAGGCAACAGTGGGCTGACTCTCAAGACCTGGACAATAAAACTGCTGTACCCTTAAAGCATACCGGGGAAGCCAACACATAATATGCTCATAGAAAATTTATGTTAAATGAACAAATGAATGACTAATTTATCCTAGTTATACCATTTTTCCAAACCTAGATCTTTGGAACTAATACATATTCAAGGACAGAAACATGAATAAGATATGGTCTCACCCACAGCCATCATGAGAGAGAGTTTCATGTGGTACTTACCTGACGGTTCCGATGGTAACCACATGGATGGTCTTAAGGAGGGGCAGTGCCCTGGCAAAGAGGTCATTGAGAAGACCAAAACACAGGTATCCACGATGCACAAAAACCACACCTAGGATGCACCGTTTTTCCAAAGCCCACTTTCGCTTCCCAACCCTGTCCTACATCCAATACCATACAAGACTCAGACAAGCAATGGAGTCCCTTAAGAAGGTGGAGGGCTCCTCACAAGTCCTATAAAAGCATCATCTACCTGCTGTTGCAAAGCTGCTGGCCTAGTGTGAGGCAGAGCAAGTCTCCCTGGAAAATTGCATCAGCTTACTCTGACTTAGAGGACTTAATGCATTTTTACAAATGGAAATAATAAACCCTCAGGAAATATTATGAAAATGAACCTGTAAACACTGAAATTGAATCTAATCATGAACAAGTCATAGCTTAGACTAATGAAGAATAAATTATGCTGAAATACGAACAAAATTTGTCCTTCAGTCTGATGGGGAAAAGGTGTCAGTAGGAGGCAAAACCCACACATGACTTTGGACTACAAGATATAATTTGATGAGCCACTGCAAAACTCATCTCTAAACAGACTTATTTGGCTGTAAGTATAGGTCAACCACTAGAGCTAGAAAATAATCAAACCATATAACCTTTGCAGGAGCTACATTTCTTGCTCAAAACCTTTCTCATTTTTTTTCTCTCTTATTCACTCTTTTCTGCTCAGGAAGCATGTAGGTTTGCTAATTCCTTGGGATACATTTCATCCAGACTTTATGATCTATAGGTCACCATTTTTTCCCCAGTCATATTGCTGATAACAATTTTGAATTTTCAAACCAGGTCTTTTTTTTTTTTTTAACCATTTGATGAGCTTTTATGAATGGATCCACCCATATAAACATCATAGCATTCAGAAAATAGAATATTTTCATCACTCCATAAAGCTCCTTTACAATGCTTTGCTGAAAATTTCATACCCCTCTTCCCTGCCTTCCAGACAAACACTGAATGCATTACTTTTTCACTTTCTTTTTTTTGTTTATTATTATTATTATTATACTTTAAGTTTTAGGGTACATGTGCACAATGTGCAGGTTAGTTACATATGTATACATGTGCCATGCTGGTGTGCTGCACCCACTAACTCGTCATCTAGCATTAGGTATATCTCCCAGTGCTATCCCTCCCCCCTCCCCCCAACCCACAACAGTCCCCAGAGTGTGATGTTTCCCTTCCTGTGTCCATGTGTTCTCATTGTTCAATTCCCACCTAGGAGTGAGAATATGCGGTGTTTGGTTTTTTGTTCTTGCGATAGTTTACTGAGAATGATGATTTCCAATTTCATCCATGTCCCTACAAAGGACATGAACTCATCATTTTTATGGCTGCATAGTATTCCATGGTGTATATGTGCCACATTTTCTTAATCCAGTCTATCATTGTTGGACATTTGGGTTGGTTCCAAGTCTTTGCTATTGTGAATAATGCCGCAATAAACATACGTGTGCATGTGTCTTTATAGCAGCATGATTTATAGTCCTTTGGGTATATACCCAGTAATGGGATGGCTGGGTCAAATGGTATTTCTAGTTCTAGATCCCTGAGGAATCACCACACTGACTTCCATAGTGGTTGAACTAGTTTACAGTCCCACCAACAGTGTAAAAGTGTTCCTATTTCTCCACATCCTCTCCAGCACCTGTTGTTTCCTGACTTTTTAATGATTGCCATTCTAACTGGTGTGAGATGGTATCTCATTGTGGTTTTGATTTGCGTTTCTTTGATGGCCAGCGATGGTGAGCATTTTTTCATGTGTTTTTTGGCTGCATAAATGTCTTCTTTTGAGAAGTGTCTGTTCATGTCCTTTGCCCACTTTTTGATGGGGTTGTTTGTTTTTTTCTTGTAAATTTGTTTGAATTCATTGTAGATTCTGGATATTAGCCCTTTGTCAGATGAGTAGGTTGCGAAAATTTTCTCCCATTTTGTAGGTTGCCTGTTCACTCTGATGGTAGTTTCTTTTGCTGTGCAGAAGCTCTTTAGTTTAATTAGATCCCATTTGTCAATTTTGGCTTTTGTTGCCATTGCTTTTGGTGTTTTAGACATGAAGTCCTTGCCCATGCCTATGTCCTGAATGGTAATGCCTAGGTTTTCTTCTAGGGTTTTTATGGTTTTAGGTCAAACGTTTAAGTCTTTAATCCATCTTGAATTGATTTTTGTATAAGGTGTAAGGAAGGGATCCAGTTTCAGCTTTCTACATATGGCTAGCCAGTTTTCCCAGCACCATTTATTAAATCGGGAATCCTTTCCCCATTGCTTGTTTTTCTCAGGTTTGTCAAAGACCAGATAGTTGTAGATATGCAGCATTATTTCTGAGGGCTCTGTTCTGTTCCATTGATCTATATCTCTGTTTTGGTACCAGTACCATGCTGTTTTGGTTACTGTAGCCTTGTAGTATAGTTTGAAGTCAGGTAGCATGATGCCTCCAGCTTTGTTCTTTTAGCTCAGGATTGACTTGGCGATGCGGGCTCTTTTTTGGGGCCATATGAACTTTAAGGTAGTTTTTTCCAATTCTGTGAAGAAAGGCATTGGTAGCTTAATGGGGATGGCATTGAATCTGTAAATTACCTTGGGCAGTATGGCCATTTTCATGATATTGATTCTTCCTACCCATGAGCATGGAATGTTCTTCCATTTGTTTGTATCCTCTTTTATTTCCTTGAGCAGTGGTTTGTAGTTCTCCTTGAAGATCAAACCAGGTCTTTATTACTTTCTCATTACCACAACATCTTTTATTTCTACTTGAATTGCAGATTCCATTTTGTGACATCATCTCTTCGTCTAGTTGTTGGCATTATCTGAAATACATTGTCTTTTGTATCTTTGGCTGACCAAATTGTTAACTTTTAAACTTTATTCTGAAGAATTTGCTTCATTTATACATTTCCCCCATCTGCATATTTAAGCTGAATGCTATCCATGCTGTCTACATTCGTCTAGTCTTTCACACTGAGAATTCAAGTTTCCAAAGAAAATTTGTCCATACAGAGAGATACCTCATGTCATATATCCCTACCTTTAACCACACAACCATAGCCACACAGAGTATGACCTGTCTCCATTATATTGTTCATATCCTTGGTCCTGAACCACTCACCCCCACCCATCCTGAGCCATACCAATTAATTTTTGTGTAGATTTGTCCCTATGATCTTTCTGGTTTTTTCCTTCTCTTAATCCAGGCTATGGTAGCCAATCTCCAAGATGTCCTCCAGTGATTCTCACCTCCTGATTTTCATGCTCTTGAGTAAGGCTATAAGAAAAGAGATATTACAAAAATGACGGTGTGACTTTCCAGGATAGGTCACGTATTCGTTCGTTCTCACACTGCTATGAATAGCCGAGACTGGGTAATTTATAAAGGAAAGAGGTTTAATTGACTTATAGTTCTGCATGGCAGAGGAGGGCTCAGGAAACTTGCAATCATGGCAGAAGGCAAAGAAGATGCAGGCACCTTCTTCACAGGACGGCAGGACAGAGTGAGTACAAGCAGGGCAAATGCCTGATGCTTATAAAACCATCAGCTCCCCTGAGACTCACTCACTATCACAAGAGTAGCATGGGGGAAACCACCCCATGATCCAGTTACCTCTACCTGGTCCAGCCTCTGACGTGAGGATCATGGGGATTACAATCCAATATGAGATTTTGGGTGAGGAAACAGCCAAACCATATCAGGTCAGAAAAGTCAAAGTGGCTTTTGAGTTGCCCTCTAGGATCACTCAGTCTGGGAGATGCCAGCTGCCATGTTGTGAGGACACTCAAGCAGCCCTGTGGTGAGATCCATATGGCAAGGAACTGAAGCCTCCTGCCAACAACCAGAAATAGCTTGTCAAACATGTGAGTGAGCCATCTTGGAAGTGGACCTGCTAGTCCCAGGCAAGCCTTCAAATGACTACAGTTCCAGCCAAAATTTTGACTGCAGTTTTACAAGTGATCCTGAGCCAGAAACACCCAGGCAAGCTGCTCATGGATTCCTGACCCGTAAAGTTAAGTAAAATAAGAAATGTTTATTGTTGTTTTTAGCCACTAAGTTTTGAGATAGTTACACAATAACAGATAGCAAATGCATGGAAACACTTTAGATTATTTAGGTTCAACTTTAGCTTTCTTATTCAAACTAAAAATGCAAAGCAAACAAATAACAACATAGGCACTTTGTCTGTTTGTCAGTAAATGTTGTATAACTACTGTGTGTCAGATGTCACTTAAATGAGATACATTATGTATGCATAACTACTTATTAATCAAATTATATAGATAAAATTATACCTGCAATATAAAGTTTTAATGAGGATTTAATAAGATGATACATGGAGAAAGCTTATTAATACCTGGCACATAGTTGGCACTCAATTATTATTTTCTATTATTATTATATGATCAATATTATGGTGGCCAGACAATTAAGTAGCTTAAGCAAGGTCCCAGTAGGTAGGTAGATAGGTAGGTAGTTAGGAAATCAGGACTCAAACCCAGGTCTATTTGATTCTACTATACATGCTCTTAACAATTAATTGGCTACAATTATATGATCTAAGCCAAGCACTGTATAGAACATTTGGGAGGGAAAAATAACATTCTCCTTCCTCAAGGTCTTAAAGTCAAGGTGGCTTCTATTTTATAAGTGTTACCAATTCTAAAAAGCAGCAGGATGGAAATCTATGCAACATGGATGACACAAGGAAGAAAATGTCCAGTCAACTGCTTTGGCTTGGTTTTACCTCTGCCACTTTTGATCAAAGTTCTTTCAAACCTTGTCTTCCCCACCTCACGTCCCACACCAAGATACTTCATCTCTCATATGTCTCTCCTGCATCTTGACATCTCACAAATTGAAATGCTTGCTCCCATTTCCAGAAACCAGCATGGTTCTCAGGGACAATGGTTTCCAAGGGGCCAGCACATGTAAGTCTATGGTGGCAGGCCTTTGACACAAATCTTGGTGTATTTGGCCTTCTGTCTTGGTCTCAGCATCAAATGAATGAGGGAGGAGATGAGCACATCAATAGCAAGAAAATGGTAGATAGGCAGCCTTCACCATTCTTTAAGGACTGACAAGTATGACGTGGACAAAGTTTCAGCATAGGAAAGGACTCTCCTTGTAAAGTTCTCTCCTCCTCAAGTTCTCCTTTGTCTTAAAACCATATTGTTGCTCAGCTAAATATACTTCTGCCATAAACAAAAGAAGGAAACCTTCTTATTCCTGAAAGGTGGGTAGAACCCAGAAATGGAGAATTTGACTTAGAAGTAAGTTTTCATTTTCAATACCTGTAGAATTCCATAGACACAGCATGCTGAGCCTACGGGTTTTTGTTTCCACCAGTGGCAGACCCTTTCCTACTAAGCCCTTGGTGACCAATGACAATTGCAAACAAGAACATTCCTAAAACACCACTTTCTATTGCAGACTGCTTTGCCCCCAGCTCTAGCCCAGCTGGTAATTGGACTCACAACTATAAAATGGATGTGACAGCAGGACAAGTTGAGGTTTGGGCTTCAGTGAGCTCTACCACTATCCAAACTTTAATTACAGACTTGTCATTGTACCTCAGCCTGTAAAATATGCCTGTAGAGCAAATCAGTGTTCATAGTCCAAAGGACATAGAAAAGGATAGTGGTTAAAATGGGGAAAGTATCCTCTCTCGCCTTGTAATCTCAAACAATTGGATCCATAGAACATTGAGAGTCAATAAATATGGAACTGCATGAAATCATTTTTATAGGCATTTTATGAGTATAATAACAAGGAGAAGGATTGCCCGTGACTGAGATGCAGTTTATGGAAATGAAAGTTTGGTTGGTTCTCTCTATATGCCCTCCTTTTGCATCTTTCACAGAAAAATGATTTAGCTATTTCTAGTTATATGTAAATATATACATATATTTATTTTGAGCCTTCTGAGGACAGTCACAATGAATTTGAAATCTTGGTTTTTTACTGATTTTATACTAATTAATGTGTGTTTTATTGCAATCCATTTATACTTAATGATGCATCCAGTAGCACTACAATTCGGAAGATGTAAATGATGTGATATTTTAATGGGTTTGTTTTTTTTTTCCTAACCTTGTATATGTCATGGGGTAATAAAAAGGAAATTATCAGCCTTGGTTCATTTTCTAGGTTAGGAAAGGGTATTTTGCAACTTTCTTAATTGAAAGTTTGGTTTCTCCATGGTCCTACTTAATTCCTTAAAGCCTATTCAGACAGCCAGAGCAGCGTTTGAGCAAGTCATTACCACATGTGAATGCATTAGCTTGGAAATTGATTAATCCATCATGTGAATGTTTTCAACCACTCCAAGGCAAACAACAAAATTCTAATGAAAATCCATTGTACGTGGTGAGGGACAACACCATTGACAAGGACCTTCAATCAATCCAAAGGCCTCCGTTAACCTTTCTTGGAGTTGGATTTGTTGTGCTATGTAGTTTAACAAGATTAAAGATGTGACTGGGTCAAATTAAGCAGGATATTTCTTGTGTATCAGGGCAAAATTGGTCTGCAATGTTAGGTGGCTGGAAGTAAGGGAGCAAGCATTCAATGCAGCATCCAAAAACATTGCTTTCTTTGATGGATGCAAAAACAAATACTTCCCCCCGCCTCTTTTCCCTTCCTCCTTTCTTCCCTCCCTCCTTTCTTCCATTGTTCTCTCCTTTTCAGTAACCAGGTCTATTAATGCTTTCCTAAATTAAATTTTGTATGGTTTATTAGAAAGAACACCTACACATATAAATCCTTTAGTGCCAATTTATAAGAGGGAATTTATTATTCTAAATTATTATCTAAATTTTATTGATAGAGTTTAAGGGACTTGGCCAAGATTGCAAACAACTAAAGGCTAAAGTGAAACTTAAATCTAATTTTACAACACATAATAATCACCTTAATTATGTATTATTATCCCCATCTTATAACAAAGGACATAGAGGGAGTAAAAAAAAAAAAATCCTACCCAAGATTATTCAACTACTAAGCACAAAACTAATATCTGAATCCCAACTCTGTCTGAGTGTAAAGAAGGAATGATTGTGCACTATGGCTTCTGAACAACATGTAATAAATAAAAGCTTATGGAATCCTGTGTAATGTTCAGGATGGAGAATAAGATCCTATTCTAGGACCAGGGTTCTGAGGCCCTGAATTTCTTTTTTTTCTTTTTTTTTTATTTGAGACAGGGTCTCACTCTGTTACCCAGGCTGGAGTGCAGTGGCACAATCTTAGCTCACTGCAACCTACACCCTACACCTCCAGGTCTTAAGCGATCCGCCTACCTCAGCCTCTCGAGTAGCTGGGACCGTAGGTTCACGCCACCATGCCCAGCTAATTTTTGTATTTTTTTGTAGAGACAGGGTTTAGCCATGTTGCCCAGGCTGGTCTCAAACTCCTGAGCCCAAGCAATCTGCCTGTCTGGGCCTCCCAAAGTGCTGAGATTACAGGCATGAGCCACTGTGCTCGGCCTCTTTGTTATTTTTTTTTTTTATGAACTTAAAATACCCTACCAATTTCACATTTAATTTGAATTACAGCATGCAAGTTTATGCAATATAATGGCAGAAAAACAAATAAATATAAATTATGGGTCAGGTAGGACCCATCCTACCTCATAATTGAGTGTATCATTAAGGCAGAGTAGTACTGGCTCGTAAACAGATAAGCAGGACATAGGATGGAGTAAAAAGTACAGAATTAAACCAAAATATGTATTAGAATTTTGCATTTGATAAAAATGAAATTATAAATCAGTGGAGAAAAAGTGATTATTTAGTAATCTATGTTAAGAAAAGTTGTAGTGATTTGGAGTAGGATATCTTGAACCTTACACCAAAATAAATTTCTAAAAAGCATACAATTACTAGAGAAAAATATATATACATATAAAATCACAATGTGTATAAGGCCTAAGTATGGCATAAAATCCAGATTCTCTAAGTTTGATGAATTTAGCAACACAAAAACAAGCCTGCGCAGGGGAAAAAATATATAAAGAATGCAAAAATAGAGAAATGAAAAATCTGTAACATCAAAAGGAGAAACAAAAGGTCAATTTCCTTAATATATAAAAATCATGGTAAATCGATAAGGAAAAAAGCCCTCTACTGTAAAACATAGGCAAAGAATGTAAAATTACTGTTCAAATAATAAAAATATAAATGGCTCTTAAAACATTGAAAAATACATTATTAATTCTGCCTATAAAAAAACGCAACTGAAAGTATAGTGGAATATCATTTTCCAGGTACCAGATAGGCAAAGATTCAATAGGTCGATAACATACTGTGTCGAAGAGAAAACTGATTAATAAACATATTTCTATCTTGCTGTAGGAATGTAAATTGATAGAATCTCAAGGGAAGGGAGGTTGACCCTTGTCCATTCTTCTATCCATCCTCCCCTTACACATTCTGTGTCGTCTTTTGTGTACTGTTCTGTGTCCTAAGAGGCTAATCTCTCTAGACTTCTTTGCCTGTTGGTTTCTGGTTGGCTTCAGCAAATGGGAGGTTTTAGAGGGGTTGAAGTATCTGACTGACTCCTTGAAGGTTGCACATAATAGTCAATTCAGTACTATCATATATTGGTAGAGTTTAACTTTCATTTGGAGGAATGACTGGTCACTAGGGAGGGTTGACTTGGAAGCTTCACCTGCCTTCAGCAAACCAGCTCTCATCCCAAATCTGCATAGTCCCTTCAGCCCAAGGAAGTCCCATAGCAAAGAAATACACTCAAACGCCTTTGTAGAAAACTTACTGGCCATGAATTATTCTCTCAAAATGCCTGTTTCTTCAGTGATATTCCAAAATATTTTCCAAACTTAGAAGGCATTCTCACTGATAGTTTTTTGTGTGCTGTTTGGGTTTTTTAAGTATACTATTCTGTCAAACTTTTAATACCCTAGTAGCCCTCTACTACCGCACTAATATTTAATACCCACCTAGACTGTCACACCTTGTGCCTGTATTAATCTCGCCCTGAGGATGCTATTGGCATCCCAGGAAGCCATCATAACTCTGTCTGAGGAAGCCTTCACAGAAGAAGTGGCTACAAAACTAGGTTCTGAAAGACGTCAAAATTTGCCAGGAGAAGTCGGAGGAGAAATAGTCTTCAAAGAAGACTGTGTGGGAGAGCATGATAAGAAAGAAAAAAAAGCAGAATATGTTCAAAGATGACAAGGAATTCTGTGTGGTTGTAACTCAGAATAGAATGCAGAACAGAGGCCGGGTGCGGTGGCTCACACCTGTAATCCCAGCACTTTGGGAGACCGAGGCAGGCGGATCACGAGGTCAGGAGATCGAGACCATCCTGGCTAACATGGTGAAACCCCGTCTCTACTAAAAATACAAAAAAAAAAATTAGCCGGGTGTGGTGGTGGGCGCCTGTTGTCCCAGCTACTTGGGAGGCTGAGGCAGGAGAATGGCGTGAACCCAGGAGGCAGAGCTTGCAGTGAGCTGAGATCGCGCCACTGCACTCCACCCTGGGCAACAGAGCGAGACTCCGTCTCAAAAAAATAAATAAATAAATAAATAAAAAATGCGGAACAGAGAGATGTGGTCAGATGGGTGAGAGGAGGTTGGGTTGAGAAAGGCCTTGTAAAACCATATAAAGGAGATAAGCATCTCCCCAAGTATCTGCACTGAATGTGACTGCTTCAAGATGCTCCGTAGATACATTGTTCCTTGTCAAAATCTTGGAAAGCGGGGCGTCTTTTAACTCTCTTAGAGATCTTCGAAGCACAGTAGCATAGTGTAAGCTCTGAGAATTCCTGCAATGTAAAACCTTCTCAGCTTTTTTTAAATTCAGGATTCCAAGTTTTTATTTTTAGGGGGTCAAACTAGAAAGTCAGAAGTTTGCAGAGTATACCAGCCAGGGCTGGTACTTCAGCAACATGGTACTAGAGGCAGAACCTTAAGAAAAATGTTCAGTATTTATATAAGCAAAGTTCATAGCTTTCTCAAAACCATAACAATGATAACTGGGACTCTGACATAAGAAAATGAATTTTTTAGTGCCTATTTTGTGGAACTGGAAGCATCCGAAAGAAGGTCCAGAGAACCTGAAAAAGAGAAATGAAAATTAGATTATAATAAAATACATCTTTTATCTATTTCTAAATGAGGAGGGTTTTATATATAATTATAGTTAATTATACAAAACTGAGTTTAAGATAACTACCTAGTAAACTGCTTATTGATTTCCATTTGCAATGCTTCTTCCATTTGTTGCTTATTTTCTTCCACAGTAGGCCAGGCTGGGTTAGGGGGTAGTGGATAGGCTAAGGGGTGTCAGTTGAGGACCCAGAAATTAGAGGAGGGGGTCTTCGGTTTTTTTTCTTCCTTTTTTTCTTATTTCTTTTCTTTCCTACCCCTGCAAGTCCCTCCAACACAGGCCATCTGTCCCTTCTTCCCTAGAGTTAAAAGCAACCTACGTCAGATTGAAATGGATAAAAAGATAAATCACCACCCCTCTGCTGAACACAGAAAGCTAAAAGGGAGAAAGAAATTGCATTTGCCTTTGCACTCAATATATCAGAGTGATTTATGTCAGAGCCACTCTGCCTGCTTTCATACATATTCGGTTTTAAATAAAATCAATCTCTCCAAACCTGTAATCGCTTTCTTTGTAAGACTCCAAAAAAAAAAAAAAAAAAAAAAAAAAGAGTTGCTAAAATATGGTTCCATTAGAGGCCAAGTTGGTTTATTGCCTTACAAAATCATTCATTCTAATGAGATGTAAGGTTAAGAGACATTCCTACGAACATATTAAATGGCTAATAACCATTCAGGAGCTGGTTAAAGCTCACATTAAAAACAGGCAGAGAAGGGTTAATTGGGCAGACTTTTAGACAGTAGGAGGAGAGGAGCCCCAGAAGGAGATGGGGTTGGAGCCAACTCTAGCACAGTGGGAGCAACTGCTGAGACCAGGAAGGATTTCCTTTATGCTGAGAGTATCATGAGGATCAATCGGGGGTCAGCTCTACCTCCTTCTGGGACCTCCCTAAGGGAGAAAGAAGGGCAGCCACCATTTCTGAATGTTGACTGTAATAATGGCACACACTTGTATAGTAGTTACTCTCTGCCTGACACTGTTCTCTATCCCTAATGACCCTGTGAAGTTAGTGCTGTCATTTCCCCCAATTTACAGAAGAGGAGACTGAGACATCAAGAGCTTAAGTAATTGACCAGTGTCCTCACATGGCTGTTAGACAGCAGATCTAGAACTCAGTCCCAGGTCATCTAGTGCAGGATTACCCATGCTTAGCCACTCGACTCTCTTGCCTCCTTTCTAATCTATTAGTTTCTGCATATAAGTCTCCATTTTCAGTCACCACAGACACTGTGAGCAGTGTACCAGTATTCTCTTTTTAAGATGAGGAAACTGAGGCTCAGAAGGTTTGGAGTGTGTCTCTCTCAAAGCCTGAGTTCTTTCCTTAGCAGAGACTAGTGAAGTGCTGATCAGAAAGGGCAACGGCAACCAAGAAATTGCATCTCACCACCAAATGTTATCTACCACTAATTCTGAACTACATACAGCATTTTGTTTTGTTTTGCTTTGTTTGTTTTTTATCTTGAGTCATGTATACCTTCTATAAAGAGTTGACCATGAGTCAGCATTACTGAGAAAGAAAGAGAAATTCTGAAGTCAGAAACACATGGCTATGAAGAAATCCCAGCTTCACTACTGAGCAGCTGCAACTGATTAGCTCTGGGCTGGTTACATTATCTCAGCTTCAGAGTTATCACTGAAATGGGAATGATCATCCTTGTTCTGGGAGTTGCAGGATTAAATCGTGAATGTGAACTCAGAGCATAATGTTGGGCACCCTGAAAGCACTTGGTTGGTGAGTGAGGACATGCTGATTGTTGATTGCCTGTCTCACACCCTCCCAACTTCCTCCCAAGCCATACGCTGGTGCAGACCTTATCAGGGAGAGACAGGGAAAGGTCATAATATAAAACGTGTGCCCAGGGTGGGAAAATGTAATGCAAGAAAAGGAGACAATTCTCTGATGCTGAGTATACTAGTCATTTTGCAGTTTGGGGTGGAAAATTAGAGATGATTGAAGGAAACTCTAAATCCATCCCCTAGACAGGCATTGCTCATCTTCCTAGTACCTGGGGCTTCTGAAAACTGCATTGCTTCTCTGTTTTCCAGATAGGACACATGGTCTAAAGGGAGGGTGATAATAAGAACATTGATCACCTACAAGTTAGCCAGGTAGGTGCCAGGAAGACACACTTAGAGTCCCCGTCCCTCTGTGAAATGAACTGAGACATAAGAAAAGGCACATCACCTGCTGGCTATGGGACCTTGGTTGTATACTCTCCAGCTGCAAAACTCTAATGTTTATTTCTGAACTGAAGATATCTAATACTAGATTCAACAGCTGAAGATTATTATAAACATGAAAAATAGCTGAGAAATTTCAATTAAATTCAACAAAGCTGTATTAGTCTTCAATGCCCTGAATATATGCTAAGCCCTTGAGAATTGAAGGAGAATAAAAATCATGATGATGGCTGTAGTGTATAGTACTATTGTTTAGAGAGGCATATAATGAGGCACTTAAGAGCAAATCTTGGAACTAGATCTTCTGGCTTCAAATCCACCTCCATCATGTATTAATAGTTTAACATTACCCAAGTTGCTCTACTTTGATTTGCCTGTAAAAAAAAAGTGATAAATGGGCTTAAATAAGGCAATAAGTATAAAGTTGTTAGAACAACTCCTAGCATATAGAAAGTAAGATGTAGATGGTAGATATTTTTATCACTGAATTTAAAGCTGAATAGAATCTTAAACTGGCCCACTAATTTCACAGAATAGAATGCTGAGCTCCAGAAAAGCAATGGGAAAAATTAATTTCAACAGAATGAACAACTAAAATGTAAGACTTCAAAAATATTAGAAGATACAAAAAAAGGTCTTTGTGATCTTGGAATAGGAAATTTTTTAGACAAGAGACAAAAAAATTTAAAAGGAAGAAATTAACTAACTTTTCTTCAATAATATTTGTAATTAGAGAGTTAAGTCTTTGAGCCATGTGATATCATCCTGACATCTAGCCCAACATGAAAGAAGGATAGAGATTTGAGTTCAACATTTCAACCAATGATTCAATCAATCATGCCTACACAATGAGACCCCAATAAAAACTCTGAACACTGAAGCACATATGAGCTTCCCTGGTTAACGTAATTCTGGGCATGTTCTTACACATTAAGTGACACATCCTGACTCTATGGTGAGAAGACGTGTAAGCTGCTAATTCAAGACTCTTCTAGATCTTGTCCTATGTACCTTTTCATTGGTCTTAATTTGTACCTTTTTTTTTTTGCTATAATAAAACTGTAACCATACATAGAGTACTTTCTTGAGTGCTGTAAGTCATTCTAATAAATTATTGAATCTGAAGGAGTAAGGGGAACACCAAAATTTGTAGTGAATTGGTCAGAAGTATGGCTAGCCTGAGGTCCTTGAGCTTGCAGCTAGTGTGTGAATGAACGCAATTATGGGGAGGACTGTGCTCCTCACCTGTGATGTCTGGTCTAACTCCAGGTAGTTAGTGTTAGAGTTGCACTGCAATAGCAATCAGGGAAATGGAAATGAAGAGTGAGAGATGATTTTATACCCAGTGTCTTGTCAATACTCAAAAAGCCTGGAAATAGCAACAATCAACAATGATGAAGGTAAACAGGAACTCTGATCTGGGGGTGGAAATGAATGTTGGCGTAAATTCTCTGGACAGGCTCTTACTTGAATTCCCACCAACTGAGACAAGGACCGATAAAATGAAAGGATAAGTTCCATAGCTGATGAATCCAAAAAATAAGAATTCTACCCAAGTCACTGAATTCCAAATCCATTGTGCTTTCTCCCACAATTGACAGCCTTCCAAGGTTGATGAAATAAACATTTTTAGCAAAACCTTCAACTTACTATGCTTTTTATATTAGAGAACATTTCTTATCCATTAGTTTATTCTATTGTCATAACCCTTAAGAAAGGTAAACATGATAACACAAAAAGGTTCATTAAATTAGAGGGTGATTCTGAAACTTGAACTTGTTCTCAAGAATCCAAACATGAACAGAGATGTTATGAAAGCAGAGCTTTTCCAAAGCACATCTCAGAAGATGATCAGATTAAAGTCATGGAATTGCTACTAGCCTTAGTTTTGTTACCTGTGAAATAGGAATAACTATGTGCCATTTCATTCAAAGAGTTGTTGATATGACCATTACCTAAGTGCCAACTCCAACACCCACCCAGTACCCATGTTCTTATTCATTTATGCATTCATTGCACCATTTTGAAATCCTGTGACAAGGCAATCAGCAACTGTGCTACATACCATGGCCCAAAGACTGCAAAGTCCACAGGAGCTCTTGGTCTAATAGGGAAAATAGGCTTATAAAATACCAGGAAAACCATGCAAGGAGAGAATGGTGAAGAACAGACAGAGAAAGGGGATGCTCAGAAAAGAGAAGTCTGCCTTAAATGTCGGGAAGGGATTTAAAACCATGATGTAGGATAAGAAGTTCACCAGGAAGGGAAAGGGAAGGATGCATCTGAAGGTAGAAGCAAAGATATTGAAATGATCTTGACTAACCCAGCACTCTGCATTCTTAAAAGACTAATGTTAATCAGTCCACTCTCCTTTATAGTTTTTCAATCAAATGGTTTGGAATATTCAGCTCCTCTTAATTATAACCAAGGACTAAGTTTATTAGTTTATAATTTTTATTTCTATTGCATACAAATACATTTAATTATGTATTATGTACATTTATCTTTTGATATAAATGGCCTGATTTTATATATATGATCCTGTAGCCTCTTTCTTTTTCCCATTTGGCAATGTATCATGAGCATCTTTGCATGTTAATGCTCATTGTTCTACCTCATTATTTTTAAAAGCCACATGGTCTTTCACTGATGCATACACAGTAATTTATTTAACCCATTTCCTTCCACTTTTTTTTGAGATGGAGTTTCACTCCTGTTGCCCAGACTGGAGTGCAATGGCACGATCTTGGCTCACCGCAACCTCTACCTCCCGGGTTCAAGTGATTCTCCTGCCTCAGTCTCCTGAGTAGCTGGGAATACAAGCATGCGCCACCAAGCCTGGCTAATTTTGTATTTTTAGTAGAGATGGGTTTTATCGATGTTGGTCAGGCTGGTCTCAAACTCCTGACCTCAGGTGATCCACCCACCTCTGCCTCCCAAAGTACTGGGATTACAGGTGTGAGTCACCATGCCCAGCCTCCTTCCACTTTTTATTGATGTGTATTTACAATTTAAAATTACAACCAAATGAAAATTCCCATAACATACATTTTCATGCTTATGCAAGGCTTCCACAAACACATCAATTGCATTCCCATCTCAACCTTTTCAGTTGCTTTTCCCTATTCTTGGAAAGTTCTCCCAGAAAATTATGTGACTCACCCTCACCGTGACCTCAAACAAGTCTTTCCTGGCCTCGTTATCTACAGTAATATGTCTCCATCTCCATCTACCCCTTCACCTGCTGTGTTTTAAACAGAGCACTTCTTACTAACATTATATATATTCTTGTCTATTGAATGCCTCCCTGACTAGTGTAGAAGGCTAAACAGAGGTAGGGATTTTATTAACGTCTGTGCCCCCAATATCTAATATGCTCTTGGCACATAGCAGTCAAAATTAATTTTTGACTAAACAAAAGAATGAATTTATTATCTGGGTAGAATTACTGGGTCAGTCATTATTAATGTTAACAGATATTGGCATGCTGCTGCTTCAAAAGGTTTATATTCTCACCAACAATGCCTATTTTGCTTATTTCACCCATGCCAGAATTGGGTTATATCAATATGTTTGGTTTTGCTCATGTTTGGTTATTAATGGATTAGCAAGGTTATGCATTTGTTCTAACTTATTGGGAAATTGTATCTAGTGTTAAGTGCATAGTTCTGCATTCCCTGTGCTCATTTTCCTATTGAGCTCTTTCTCATTTTCTTACTGATCTGTGGGTTTTCTTTCTACTACATGATTGTTAACTTTTTTGCATAATGAACATTCTAATCAACTTCCTGGGCTGCCTTATGCCAAAAAAAATGTGTACTGTTTGGTTATTTTGTTTTTTCTCTTCTATTTTTTTTTTAAGTTCTAGGTTACATGTGCAGGATGTGCATGTTTATTACATAGTTAAATGTGTGTCATGGTGGTTTGCTGCACCTGTCAATCCATCACCTAGGTAATAAGGTCAAGCCTTGGGTCTCTTCTTCTATAACCACATTTAGTTTGGGACATATTACTGTGATGGCCATTTATAGAATGGGAAAGTCCACAGAGCACAGTCAGAGGCTGTTCTGTAACCACTAGAAACAGCAAGGTTCTGAACTGACTGTGGCCTTGTGCATGGGAACTGGGCCCCACAACTCCACCTGCTTCAGCAGCTTGGAATCTTCAATCTCTGCCTCATTGGGTCAGCACAAGTGCCTCTTTCCACTTGAGCTCCATCCTCATGCTGTGCGGTAATAAACATGCCCCAGACAGAAAGCCAGCATGAATATTGGGCTTCTCTCAAGGATATTTTGTCCCAAGAATACTGTCCTGTTTATTGGTAATGTCATATATTTCATCCATTTGCATAGTTGTTTAGGATAAAATAGTAAGTTATGGCTATAAATAGAAACCTGATTTTTGTATCTCTTTAAAAATTTTCCCCCCAAAATTAGATTTTACATGAAGTCCGCTGCAAAAAGTAAACTCAATCAGAATTGTTCTGTTTGAATAGAATGTAAGAGGTGGTGCCTGAATGTCCCTTTTAACATGAGGGCTCCTTGGACATAGTTTAAGACCACTTCTGCTGAAGAGAGGGAGCAAATGAAGGTGAGAGTGTGGATTATTTCCAGAAAGGCATGAGTGAATCAGTAGGGTCTAGACCAAGGATAAAAGAAAGAAAAAATACATGTTTTAAATGTTTCAAGGGACTTATACTTAACTGACATTTGAAAGGAAAGAGGGAAGAAGAGAAAGGAAAGTCAAAAATGTATTAGGTTTGTGTAAAAGTAATTGTGGTTTTGGACTGTGACTTTTAAATCATTTAAACTAGGCTCAAACACATCTTTATTAATCAAAATGGGAACCATTACAAACAACACATTTTTGCGAACGAGAAATAAGTTTGTTTATTCCTGTAGCATAAAAATCTGTGCTTCTGGATTCAATGAATTCTTGGAAAGCATTTTCTGCATCCTGCTGGTTGTGGAAGCATTTTCCCTGCAAAAAGTTGTTGGGATGCTTGAAGAATTGGTTGTCCATTGGTGAGAAGTCAGAAGAATATGGTGGATGAGGCAAAACTTCGTAGTCCAGTTTGTTCAACTTTAAAGTGTTGGTTGTGTTACATGCGGTCGGGCATTGTGGTGGTGAAGAACTGGGCCCTTTCTGTTGACCAATGCTGGCTGCAGGCATTGCAGTTTTCAGGGCAGCTCATCAATTTGCTGAGCATACTTCTCAGATGTAATGGTTTTGCCAAGATTCAGAAAGCTGTAGTGGATCAGACAGGCAGCAGACCACCAAACAGTGACCATGACCTTTTTTTGGTACAAGCTTGGCTTTGAAAATTGTTTTGGAGCTGCTTCTGGGTCCAACCACTGAGCTGGTCATTGCTGGTTACTGTATAAAATCCACTTTTCATTGAACGTCACAATTCGATCAAGAAATGGTTCACTGTTGTGTGGAACAAGAGAACACTTCAAAACAATTTTTTCAAATTTTCACTCAGCTCAAGAGGCACCCACTTATCCAGCTTTTTTACCTTTCCAATTTGCTTCCAATGCCGAATGACCACAGAATGGTCGACATTGAGTTCTTTGGAAACTTCTCGTGTAGCTGTAAGAGGATCAGCTTTGGTGATTGCTCTCAATTGGTCATTGTCAACTTCCAATGGCTGGTTACTACGCTCCTCATCTTCAAGGCTCTTGTCTCCTTTGCAAAACTTCTTGAACCACCACTGCACTGTTTGCTCCTTGGCAGTTTCTGGGGCAAATGTGTTGTTGATGCTGCAAGTTGTCTCTGCTGCTTTATGACCCATCTTGAACTTAAATAAAATCATTCAAATTTGTTTTTTGTCTAACATCATTTCCATAGTCTAAAATAAATATAAAATACATTGCAAGTAATCATTGGCAAAAAAAAATGTGCATTAAAATGATGTATAACATAACCACATTTATTTTAAAATATATTCCAATATCAAATAGGAAATTTCAGCAATTCAAAAACCACAGTTACATTTGCACCAACCTAATATGTTGTATTTGGGGGAGGATGATGATGATGGTTTCTCATGGACCTTCTGAAGGTGGCATCACCATCACATCATTTTTAGCATTATCATGAGCCAAAGCAATTTCCTAAGTATTTTACTAAGTATTTTACTAAAAGATTGTCTCAGTTCACTATCACAACTATTAGGTAGTCGTTTTTATTTATATTTGTCAGGGGAGAAAACTGAGTCCAGAAAGTCGTGACAAGTAAAAGAAGTTGCCCAAGTACACAGCTATTGGTGGGAAGATCAGCAGGGTGCCTGAGGCAAGATAGAATTTTAATAAATAAATGCCCCAGGAAAGGCACGCTCCTCTCCCTCTCTGAGTAGCCCTCTCATCTTGTTTGCTTCTTATGTTCTTCGCTTCCCTCTTTTTTTATTTCTTCCAAGAAAAACTATGATGGACATGTCTTTAAAGAGACAAAGGAAAGAAGGAAAAGATCTATTTGGATCTGCCTGAAGGTAAATGCAAGTTTTTCAGCTTAATATTGGCTGCTAGGTTATCCTAAACAGCATATATGTTCTGGGAATTTGAAGTGTGGACAGCCATCCATTGATTAACTCTCTAAGCACATGTAGTGAAGCACATACTATGTCAGGCACATAGCATTGTGCAGAATGGAGCATACCTCTCTGCCCTCAAGGGTAACTCATATGTTAGTCTCCTTTTCCTTTCCCCATCACACAGGATGTGATGTAGCTGGGGAGGGAAGACTTGAGAAATGACTTCATCCTATAACCACGGAGATCCTCATCTCCAGGTAGATTTTCCTCACTGCCTGGCTGTCCTACCTGCTGTACAAACAAAGTACCTACATTTCTCCAATGTAATGGCACCTGACCCCAAGAGCGGTCTTAGTAGAGATTTTATATAAATGGGTTTGGGTGGGCAGGTCAGTGAGGCAGGTTGATATGCATGGAAATTATATCCCTAAAACTGCACTGTCCATGACTAGGATTGAATGTTAAAAGGAGGGGTAAATATTACCATTTGGGGTTCAAAAGTGGAAGAAGTTATTTTCTAATGGATGGCTCAGAGAGGAAAGTTGACATGGAGAACCTGACATCTGGTCTGAGGTATGTAAGTAAGTAAATACATAAGCAAATAAACAAACGGTTAATAATTTGGCATAAGGAGAAAAGCACTCCAGGTTTGGGGCATGTTGTAAGCATGAAATGAGAAAAAGCAGACATTATCTAAAAAGGCAAAAAGGGTTTGAGGGCACCAAAGTCACACTTTGCCGCCTTTCCACTTTTTCCCTGGAAAAGGCCAGATCCCACGGAAATATGAAAGATACAGCAGCTCAGCCAATTCTATCTTCAGAGACTCAAATGATCCCTGGACAGCCATCCTCTCCTGCAGCTATGACCTGATTTTACAGCTCAGCAGGTCTCTTTGGCCACTCTTTCTGTGATGTGGAGGTTCTTCATCCTTAGGGACCATAAACAGAACTGTACGAATGCTATTTGTTCATGGAAGATTAAGAGACACAGACTCCCTTAAGTCTGAGAGAGTTTCATAGCAAAGCTTTGCCACTTTGCAATGAGAAACAAGCATCTCATTCTCCAGAGGGAAAACAAGAGTAAGAGCCCACCTGCTTCCTGTTGTTTCCTTTTCTCAGGGCTGGAGACATGACTCGCACATGGCCGGGTCAGCTCCACACTGGCCCCTAGGCCAGTCCTACAGCCGGAGACAGAATGAATTTAAGATACTGGTTTTCAATGCCAGCACTCAGCATAGCTCATTGTTGAGACTTCATGCCTGGCTCTGGTATCTGGACCTAAGTCTTGCTGTTTTGGTCTCAGTCCCTATTTGAGTAACAACATCAGAGAAGCACTCAATGCTTGCTGTCTAGAATTCCACTCTTGGGATCTAGAGTCCCATCACTGAACTAGACCTTAGTTCATGGAGTCCCCTACCTGTCAGGAGACCACTTTGATACAAGTCCAACTTTCTTCCTGAAGATTTCTTCCTGAAGATAGAGCTGTCATGATTCCTACCATTCACTGAGCATGCTCTCAAGAGACACAGCTGAACATTTCACAAGCTCAGCTAAATTTTAACTCTCACAGTAGCCCCATGAGATAAGTACAATAATTGTATATACCTTGTATACTCAGAGACAAAACAAAATATGAAATTAAGATGGGAATAATTTTGGCCTTTTAGTTTTATTAAACTTTAATTGGAAGAAAATTTAATTTGGGGAGTTTTAATTCTTCATTAAAAATATAATAACAGAAGTTCATATAGCTTAAATTGGGTATATTTTATTTTGCTGGCCTTGTATTATTTGGAATATTTTGCCACCATTGTTTCTATTCCACATCTACTGGCCATCTCTGTCATTCAGTGTACCTGGCATATTTTGAGATGGAAAACAGAATCAGGAATGGTTTCTTTGTGCAGAGTGCATTGTGAGCTTAGGGTTAACTCACATAACATCCTGTCCTGAGAGTTTGGTATTTCTCTTCCTCCAGGCTAGTTAGGCTCTGATAAAATCCAAGCAGGTTAGGCTCTGAAAATTTAGTTTTTCTTGTGGGCAGGCCCTGTTAAGATCAGAGGCTCAGCATGTATTTCAAAATGGCTGTTTTTTCCTTCTTCTTGCCAGAAGCACAAGGGAACTTTTCTCCTTTCTTCACTGTGAGAAGCTATTAGAGCTCCAAGAGGTAAAATTCATGAAAGTGCAGGGGCACCCAAAGATTGGGCCCCCATGATGGTTTTTTCTAACTGTATTTTGTAGAGCAGTTTTCTGTTTACAGCAAAATTGAGCAGAAAGCAGAGCTCTCTCACATACTCCTGCCCCACACAGGTGCAGCCTGCCCCACTATCAACATCCCACACCTGAGTGCAACATTGGTTACAATCACTCAACCTAGATTGACATGTCATTATTACCCAAAGTTCATAGTTTACATGATGGTTCACTCTTGATGTTGTGCATTATATGGGTATTGGCAAATGTATCCAGCATTACAGTATCATGTGGAGTAATTTCACTGGCCTAAAAATACTCTGTGCCCCATCAGTTCATCCCTCTCACCTCCCTAACCCCGATAACCACGGATCCTTCTACTACCATAGCTTTACCTTTTCAGGATGTCATATAATGGGAATCATACAGCATTTTCAGATTCCTTCTTTCACCTAGCAAAATGAATTTAAGATTCCTTCATGTATTTTCATTGCTAAGACAGACCATCTCTTTTTAGCACTGAATAACATTCCACTGCTTGGATGTCCCATAGTTTATCCATTCACCTACTGAAGGGCATCTTAGTGGTTTCCCCAAGTTTTGGTAAATGTGGATAAAGCTGCTATAAACATTCATGTGCAGGTGAAAGAAGGAATCTGAACAGGCTGTATGATTACCATTATATGACATCCTGATAAAGGGCAAACTATGGTGATAGAAGGATCCGTGGTTATCAGGGATTAGGGAATTGAGAGGGATGGACTGTTTGATCATATGTTAAGAGTATGTTTAGTTTTACAAGAAACTGCCCAGCTGTCTCCCCAAAGCGCCTGTGTCATTTCCATCCTCACCAACAGTACATGAGAGTTCCTATTGCTTCAGGTTCTCACCAGCATTTGGTGTCAGTGTTCCGGATTTTGGCTGTTCCAATAGGTGTGTAGTGGTATCTCATTGTTTTAATTTGCATTTCTCTTATGACATATAATGTTGAGCATGTATTTGTCAGCTGTGTATCTTCTTTGGTGAAGTGCCTGTTCATATTGGTCATTTTTAAATCAGGTTGTTCTATGTTTTATTGTTGAGTTTTAAGAGTTCTTTGTATATATTTTGGATAAGAGTTCTTTCTCATATATGCCTTTTGCAAATATCTTCTCCCAGTCTGTGGTTTATCTTCTCATTTTCTGGACCCCCCTCTGGGTTTTTAAATCTCAGAAATGTTCAAACTAAGTCTCCAATAATTCCTCAATTACAGATTTGGTTTTCCTAATTGGTTCCCATCAAGTTTTCTGCCCTTGGGATTCTGCTCTGGTAAGCTGACATTCTTTGTATCTAATTGTCAGCCTCTGAAATTTTCAAGGCAGTGGGTTTCCCTATCACCTTGGTTCTCTGATGGATCTAAGAAGAGTTGTTGGTTTTCAGTTTGTTCGGTTATGTCTTATTATGTGAACCTAAGAGATGACTTCCAAGCTCTTTACACGCTGGACTGGGAATCAAAAGTTTGCGTAGTCTTACTTGTTTATAATTTAAATAACTCTGTAAGTCAAGGAAAGCTGCTTGCATTATATCCTATTTATAAATTTGAAAACTGAGTTGAGACTAACTTGCTGGCCAATAGTAACACTGATAATTGTTATCCAAGATAGAATGGAAAATCAGGTTTTTTGGCTTGCAGTTCGGGGTTCTTTCTACTGAAACTAGCTGCTTGGCATCTACCTGTTGTGTGACACTATGCAAGTCATCTGAGATCTTTGGATCTCAACTTTTGCATCTGTGAAATATTTAAAACTTTTAACAAACTTTATAATGTTATATTGTGCCTAAATAGTTTTTATATCCCCACAAGACCTCTCTCTTTGCAAAAGGAATGGCTTGTTACAAGGCAGGTCAGCTGTGTTCTCCTCAAATCTCCAGCTTTAATAATGTGGTAAGGCACCTTATAAAGGGAAGTGACTCTGTCTTGTAGACATGGAGAGGGAAGAGTGGGGGCAGTGAGGTGGGAGCAGGTGTGGAGCCCATTAACTGGGCTCAGCCCACATCTTAAAAAGCCGTGATGTATGGCACTGCCTTGCAGCCCTTGCTTTTTCTCTTTCTTTTTAATCATTAACCTTGCAAGCAGGAGCCTTCTTATTTTAATCTTCAAGGTTGCAGTAAGTCTTCCCATCTGTAACTGTTGGTTCCCATATGGAAGCCAACAGAAGTTCTCTCTGCTGTCAACTCAGCAACATGATGCCTTTGACAGATCTTTTTCTAAAAACAGAACTTGCTGTTTCCAAGGAGCAGTGGAAGGGACACTAGAAGAAGAATGCCAATTCCAGAGGGGTGTGAAGATCGCACTCAGAAGATCTCCTGGTGTGCCAGCCATAGGGATTGAGGACAGGCTGATTTGAGAGTTCCAGAAAACCAGTGGTAGAGGAAGAGATCTGAATTTGAAGGAAGATTTGGGTTCAAATCCTGACTTTGCTTTCTCTGACCTGGGTGGAATTTTGGCGAGGACAACTTGTTTATTCATGTGCTTCAATTCTCCCATCTATCACTGGGTGGAATTTTGGCGAGGACAACTTGTTTATTCATGAGCTTCAATTCTCCCATCTATCAAATTGAGAAAATAATACCCAAGTCACAGGTCTTTGCCAATATTCGAAAAAGTGCAATATTTACAAATGTGTCTTTCTCAATGCCCAGAACATGTTTCCTCCCTCCCTCCCTTCCTTTTCTATTCCTTCCGATCTTGTTCCTTAGACTATATCTGTATTAGTCCGTTTTCATGCTGCTGATAAAGATATACCCAAGACTGGGGACGATACAAAAGAAAGAAGTTTATTGGACTTACTGTTCCACCTGGCTAGGGAGGCCTCACAATCATGGTGGGAGGTGAAAGGCCCATCTCACATGGCAGTGGCAAGAGAGAAAATGAGAGGCAAGCGAAACGGTTTCCCCTTATCAAAGCATCAGATCTCCTGAGACTTATTCATTACCACAAGAACAGCGCAGGAAAGACCTGCCCTCATAATTCAATCACCTACCACCGGGTTCCTCCCACAACACATGGGAATTGTGGGAGTTACAATTCAAGATGGTATCTGGGTGGGGACGCAACCAAACCATATCAGTATCCTTCTTCAGTGATCCTTTTAGGACAAAAGCAAGATTGGAATCAGCCATGAAAGGTCTTAGTGAGTTGCCTCCTCTGTTAGACGTACAGTTTGAGATCAAGGGTGAGAAAGGAGATTAGCAGTGTCTGTGATGGCTCATCGTGACCATTTCAACATCAAGGTAATTTGCCAGACAGAGGCACAGGAGAGTGGAGTCCAGTTATGTATTTTTGGGCAAGTCTGAACCATATGCTCAGTTTCTACACCCATGAAGAGACTCGTTACACATGCAATTCTTGAGAATCAAGAAAATTGACAAGTATGTTTTGTTATGTTTCATTTGAGAAAGTTGAACACACTATGCACACATGGTATTTTATAACTAACATCTATGGGTTGGCAACTCTTTGACCTAGAGCCAGGGAAAGTCAATGTAGGAAGCCATTTAGAGTTAATCAGATAAACTGAGGCTCAAAAATTCAGTTCAAGTGACTTTACTGAATTATAAGAACTTTCATATACCTTATCTTTTCTATAAGGGGCTGACCCAGTATCAAAAAACAATCAAGTGTCCGAATTTGTCTAGAAATCCAAATGATAACCTACCTGAGAAATTCAGAATCTTGATTATTCCAAGACTATTCTGGTTTAATTTTTGTTATTATTTTCAAAAATGATGGCTTAAGTATCTGACTAGATGTTTTTTTTTTCATTTTAACAACATTATTGTCATGCCTAAAAGCTAGCAGCATTCCTTAATACCATCAAAGATAATTTTTTACATATTAGTTTGGTGCAACACTAATTGTGTTTTTTTGCAATTACCTTTAATGGCAAAAACACAATTACTTTTGCACCAACCTTATATATATACACACACACATATATACGTAGATATAGATAGATGTTATAAATTAGAACAGGATATAAATAATATCCACACGTTTCAATTGGTTGATACAGCTCTCAAGTCTTCTGAGTCTGTCCCCCATCTCCACTCCCACCCCCACCCCCACCATTGCTCTGACAATTTATTATTGAAGGAACCAGATCATTTATGCTGCCAAAGTTCTCATAGTTTGGATTTTGATGACTACACCCCCTGATGTCCATTAACTTTTCCCTCTGTCCTCTGTATTTTCTGTAAACTGCTGAAGCTGAAAGCTTGATCAGATTCAAATTTCATGGTTTTTGGCAAGGCTACTTCACAGGTGGCATTGTGTCCTGATATCATTGGGCACATAATACCTGGTGGCCTCTTTTATGATATTTGCAGCCACCAAGGCTCAGTGCCTAGATCCACTAGGTTTGAAAAACTGTGATAATCCTATTCTATCATTTGTTCTTCACCTATTAGTTGGAATAGTTTTATACAGAGAAACTTGCTCTCATCAACTATTTGGTACTAGATATACAGTCATGGAGGAAAGCTAGAATAATTGCTTGATTCTTTTTCTTTATCATTTTCAAGTGATACATTGATTTACTGGCATCTATCACCATGTAGTCAGTTTAAGTTTTTTGTGTGTGTCATTGTAAACCAAAGGATTTAAACATACTGCATTTCTCCTTCCACTGACGTTTCTTACTGTTGCTCAAATCATGCCATCTTTGGCCAGTGGGAGCCACTGCAAGTGGGTCCTGTGTCCTTTAGACATCACCCTAGTACTTGGATTACTTCCTTGTTCTCTCATTTGAAACATGCTCAAGACTCATCTTGAACATTTCCAAAAATTTCTTTCCTTTTAGGAAGGAATGATATTTACAAACCACAATCTGGGAACTAAGGATATGCACACTGCCAATGGAGAGGTAGGTGACTGCTTCAATGCCTTTCAGAGGACAAGGCTAGGAAATAATTCTGAAAATAAAACACATTATAAATACACACTGATGGTTTCATTTCAAATGCCAAGCTTCAGGGTTTTTACTTAAGCTTCTTAACATATATAATTATCTCTGTTCTTAAATACTAAAAATCTAGATATTCAAGACATTAGAAAAGATCGTATTGGAATATCATACAATTACTCATTTGTTTCATCATGTAATATGCAGACAACAGTCTTAGAGTAATATCAACAACATACCACAAATATTTGTGATTCATTTTCTGAATATCAAGCCATAGTAATTCATCATGTAGACTACCTTTTTTTTTTTTTTTTTTTTTTTTTTGAGACAGAGTCTCACTCTGTCACCCAGGCTGGAGTGCAGTGACGTGATCTCAGCCCACTGCAAGCTCCACCTCCCGGGTTCACGCCATTCTCCTGCCTCAGCCTCCTGAGTAGCTGGGACTACAGGAGCCCGCCAACGCACCCGGCTAATTTTTTTTTTTTGTATTTTGTAGAGACAGGGTTTCACCGTGTTAGCCAGGATGGTCTCGATCTCCTGGCCTTGTGATCCTCCCACCTCAGCCTTCCAAAGTGCTGGGATTACAGGCATGAGCCACTGCGCCCAGCCTCATGTAGACTATCTTATTTGCTTTCTTTGTCTTGCTCTTATACTTATATTGTCTGTTATTTTGCAAAAATTGAATTTCATTCTGCTGGTTACCTTTCAACTAATACTCTTATGATAAACTTTGTTATATAGTCAGTACTCCAAAAGGAGAAATATTCTGAAGATGAGTAATTAATACAGAAGAGTTGTCTCTGGCAAACGGGAACTTAAATCAAGACACTACTACTTATTGGTGGAGCCTTCATTTAAACCCAAGTTTGCCTGACTTCAGAGTTCCTTTTCTTTTTTTTTTTTTTTTACAATAACGCAAGGTGACCTGGAGAGATAATGCTTGATAATGCTTCATATGTTTCAGTCTTGGAAGTATTCTCAAAAGAAAAATATTTTTAGGATATTTTAAGATTCATATACTTTATCATCCAAACCACAACACTTTTAAGAGTAAAAGTGCATTCTAAAAGTCTGTATGTGTGTGTTTGTACATATATATATCCACATTTGGATAAGCTCACATATGTGTGTGTGTATATATATCACATGTATGTATGCACACATCTAAATATACATATGAAAAAAGAAACAGTATCGGTAGACCTATGAAAGAGTTCTATACCAAAACTATTTTCTAAAACAAAATTTTTTTTCTACAATTTTAAGTAGCATAGATTCAAACATTTTAAGAGAAATATTACAAATCTTTTTTTATCTAAACATTAAAAATAACACTAGCAGAAATCACAACTTTAATACAACGCATAGCCATATCTGATTTTAATACAGTATCACTGATATTTTCTGACAAATCTGTTTTTAGCAGTCATTTTTTTTTACATAAAAGTTACTGAAACCTTTTCCAAATATGCATTCTATGAATAGTAAATTTGCAATTGTTAGTACCTAATAATTAACCTAGAGATCATAATAATTTTAATTGAGAAAACTTTCTTGCTCGAGGGAAAAAAGTCCTCTTGTAAGCTCAGAGTAGATTCTACTAAATGAAGATTATTCTTCATTCTGTTTTATACTGAAATACATAAAAACATTGGCATACACGTTTTTACCAGTACAGCCATTTTGCCTCTATGCAGAGTGCTTTTATACAATATATATTTTATAAGACAAAATATGTCAAGTAAATTGTATTTCCATTTTGTTTGAATATTTTACTAAATGTAGAAGCTGCAAAATTATAGGCTTTTTCAATCTAATTCCAGTTTAGTATAAGGTATCAATTATCTAATTAAAAGTTGAAGTTAAATAAAAGGATTTTTCCCTAAATTGAACAATGTTAACATTTCAAAGTGAAATATTATATACCCTTTGAGCTCTTATCACTTAAATATTTTATTTCTTCCTCTGCCTTTGTAAGGATACATTTTAGTATCTTCCTGTTTGCAAGTTTTGTTTTTGGTAATAGCAATTTGCTTTTAACCCTCAAATTGCTTACTTTTTAAACTATCTTGAATAAAGATTTCTAAGTCATTTTTGAACAAAATGGTACCACAATTTAGAGGACTTGTACATAATAGAAGTTCTAAAGTGCTCTAAGACACTTAGGTTTATTTACAAAGTAGTTCACATTTTCACAGGTTTTTAAACTGGGTCAATTTTAAGTAGCAATGAAGGAAAGCAGATAGATACATAGTAGGTAGGTAGGTAGATAGATAATCTCCCTCACTTGTTTAAATAGCATTTTTAATTATGTAGCTCTGTGACCAAGATCAAGTATATTTCTGCCTCATGGTTGTTGTTTTTCTTAAATTTATTAACATTATTTGTACCACAGAACTGGTTTACAAAAACTTGTTTTCATAATATTAACAGAAAATTTATATCTTCCATGTTAAATTTTCACTGAATTTATAATGGTATTCACAATAGTATATGTTTCATCTTTGAAGAAATGAGTTTGCAAAGCCCTCCTTTGATTTCATGTTTGGATAAAAATATTAAATATCATTGAAATTACCTGACTTTCTATATAGTTTTATCATCTAAGTGTTTGCAAAGTTCCTCTTTTGATGGTGGTAGCATATTAGCCACCATTTTGTCCCTTTTCAAACATTTACAAGAAAACATGACATCAAATATGAGTGAAAATAATTTCTAAAAATCGTTTGATCTAAATGAAAAGTCATGCTTTACAGAGTAAAGGTGCTCTCTGAAGCTGCATGTGTGTCTGTTATATGTGCTGCCAATTTTCAGGCATGGTCTTAAAGTATAATCACTAACTTTGAAATAGATACTGAAGTTTCTTTGGCAGATCTGTATTTTCTGGAGCTAAGTGGTCAGTGATTTCATTATCAGCCTTGTGGTGGATGGCAAACTGACAAACTTTTTTTTATAAGGAACGTGTTTCTTATCAAAACTTTTTGGGGAAAAACAGAAGGTAGGATTAAATTTAAATGTCCTTGAATGTACCCTTTAGTTTGGGGAATAATTTCTGGAATTAAATGTTTTTTACAAAATAAATAACAAAGCTTAAACATAAAACACTAAAATTATGGTAGTTGCACACCATACAATAAATGACAGAACCAATGGATCCAAGGCATCCAGCTCATTCCTCATGCTCTCTATGGAAGGACTGTGCAGCCTCTCCTCTACACAAATATCTTTTGTATTCCTCACTATTAGTTCTCCATGCTCCCCACTGATCTGCCCCCTGACAGACTGACAGCTTTGTGCACTTCACAGGCTGTTGCCCACAGCACATTACATAGCTGGAAGGTACAACAGGTTCAAGTATGTGTTCCCCCTATCACCCATGACCAGAAGGAATCACAGGAGTGAGACCCTAATTGATTGTGTTAATTAAGTTGCACATGCAGAGTCAAGACAGGAAGAACAGATTATAGCTGGTTGACTTTCAGATTTGACAACATGTTAAGAGAGAATTTGGGTGCTTGATTTGGCAGCACATGTTCTCACTTTGGCAGCATAATACTAACATTAAAATGATACAGAGAAGTTTGGGTAGCTATTCTTATGTCAGTCAGAAAAACAGACTTCAAAGCAATAACAGTAAAAAGAAGACCAAAAAAAGCCATTATGTAATGATAAAAGGATTGATCCAAAAAGAAGATATTACAATCCTAAATATATATGTACCTAACTCTGGAGCTCCCAGATTCATAAAAAAAGTACTACTAGACCTAAGAAAAGAGACAGACAACAATACAATAATAGTGGGGGACTTCAACACTCCACTGACAGCACTAGACAGATTATCAAGACAAATGGTCAACAAAGAAACACTGGTCTTAAACTGCACTCTAGAACAAATGGTGCTAGTAGATATTTATAAAACATTCTACCAAAGAACTGCAGAATAAACATTCTTCTCAGCAGCACATGGAATATTCTCCAAAATGAACCACAAAATAAGTCTCAATAAATTTTAAAAATCTAAAATAATCTCAAGTATCTTCTCAGACCACAGTGGAATAAAACTAGAAATCAACTCCTAAAGGAACCCTCAAAACTACAAATACATGGAAATTAACCTGATCCTGAACAATTTTTTGGGTTAACAATGAAATCAAGATGGAAATTGAAAAATTTTTCAAAATGAATAATAGTGACTGACACAAGTTATCAAAACCTCTGAGATACAGCAAAAGTAGTGCTAAGAGGAAAGTTTATAGTGCTAAGTGTCTACATCACAAGGTATGAAAGATCACAAATTGACAACCTAACATCACACCTCAAGGAACTAGAGAAACAAGAAGAAACCAAACCCAAAGCTAGCAGAAGAAAAAAAAATAACAGAGCCGGGCACAGTGGCTCACGCCTGTAATCCCAACACTTACAGAGGCCGAGACAGGTAGATCCAAAAGGTCAGGAGATCGAGACCATCGTGGCTAACACGGTGAAACCCCATCTCTACTAAAAATACAAAAAATTAGCTGGGCATGGTGGCAGGCGCCTGTAGTCCCAGCTACTTGGGAGGCTGAGGCAGGAGAATGGCATGAACCCAGGAGGCGGAGCTTGCAGTGAGCCGAGTTCATGTCACTGCACTCCAGCCTGGGCAACAGAGCAAGATTCTGTCTCTAAAAAAAAATAATAACAAAGATCAGAGCAGAGCTTAATGAAATTGAAACAAAAAAATACAAAAGGTCAATGAAATGAAAAGTTAGCTCTTTGAAAAGATTTTTAAAAAATGGTAGACCATTAAGTAGATTAACCAAGAGAAGAAGATTAAGCTCAATTAAAAATGAAAATAGAAATATTTCAATTGACACCACAGAAATACAAAAGAACATCTGAAACGGCTATGAACACTTCTATGCACACAAACTACAAAATCTAGAGGAAATGGAAACCTAGATGAAATGGACAAACTCCTGGAAACATACAATCCTCCTAGCTTGAATCAAATGGAAACCTAGATGAAATGGACAAACTCCTGGAAACATACAATCCTCCTAGCTTGAATCAGGAAGAAATAGAAATCCTGAACAGACCAATAACAAGTAGTGAGATTGAATCAGTAATAAAAAACAAATTGCCAAGAAGAAAAACCCAGGGTCAGACAGACTCACAACCAAATTCTAACAGACATTCAAAGAAGAACTGATACCAATCCTACTGAAATGATTCTAAAAGATTAAGAAAAAGGGAATCCTCCCTAATTCATCCTATTAAACCAGTATCACCCTAATATCAAAGCCAAGAAAAAATGTAACAGAAAAAGAGGACTACAGACCACCAGGTGCAGTGGCTCACACCTGTAATCCCAACATTTTGGGAGGCCAAGGTGGGTAGATCACTTGAGCTCAGGAGTCCAAGACCAGCCTGGGCCACATAGGGAGACCCCATCTCTACCAAAAATGTTTTTAAATTAGCCAGGTTTGGTGGCATGCGTTGTAGTTCCAGCTACTTGGGAGACTGAGGTAGGAGGATTGCTTGAGCCTGAGAGGCAGAAGTTGCAGTGAACCAAGATCACACCACTCCGCTCCAACCTGGGTGACACAGTAAGACCCTGTCTCAAAAAAAAAAAACAGAAAAAAGAAAACTACAGACCAATATCTCTGATGAACACAGATACAAAAATCATCAACAAAGTACTAACTAAATACAACTGCACATCAAAAAGATAATTCAACATGATCAAGTGGGTTTAATTCCAAGGATGCAGGGATAGTTTAACATATATGCAAGTCATATATTATTCATATGTTAGGCATATGTGATTTACCACATAAACAGAATTAAAAACAAAAATCTTAAGATCATCTCAATAGATGCAGAAAAATCATTTGATAAAATCCAGCATACCTTTGTGATAAAACCCTCAATAAACTAGGCATAAAATGAACATACCTCAAAATAATAACAGCCATATTTGATAAACCCACAGCCAACATTATACTTAATGGGGAAAAGTTGAAAGCATTCCCCCTAAAAATTGGAACAAGACAAGGATGTCCACTTTCACCATTTAGATTCGACATAGTACTGGAAGTCCTAGCTAGAGCAATCAGGCAAAAGAAAGAAATAAAGGGCATCCAAATAAATAGGAAAAGAGAAAGTCAAACTGTCTCTGTTTGCCAGTGATATGATTATGTACCTAGAAAACCCTAAAGACTCCTCCAAAAGACTCCTACATTTGATAAATGAATTCAGTAAAGCCTCTGGTTACAAAATCGATGTACACAAATTGGTAGCACTGCTATACACAAACAGTGACCAAGCTGAGAATCAAATCAAGTACAATGGCTACAAAAAAATACATACATACATACATAAGATATCTAGGAATATACTTAATCAAGGAGGTGAAATATCTCTACAAGAACTACAAAACACTACTGAAATAAAACATAGATGACACAAATGGAAAAATATCCCATGCTTGTTGATTGGATGAATCAATATTGTGAAAATGACCATATTGCCCAAAGTGATCTGTAGATTCAGTGCAATTCCTATCAAAATACCAACGTGATTTTTCACAAAATTAGAAAAAAGCAGTCTTAAAGTTCATATGGAACCAAAAAAAGGGCCTAAATAGCCAAAGCAATCTAAGTAAAAAGAAGAAATCTAGAGGCATCACATCACCCTACTTCAAGTTATATTATAAGACTATAGTAACCAAAACAGCATGGTATTGGTATAAAAGTAGATACAGAGACCAACTGCACAGAATACAGAAAGCAGAAATAAAGTCAAATACTTAGAACCAACTGATTTTCGACAAAGCATACAAAAACATAAATTGGGGAGGGGACACCCTATCTAATAAATGGTCCTGGGAAAACTGGATAGCCGCATGCAGAAGAATAAATCTAGATCCCTACCTTTCACCGTATACAAAAATCAACTCAAGATGGATTAAAGACTTAAATCTAAGACCTGAAACTATAAAAATTCTAAAATAAAACCTAGGAAAAACTCGTCTGTATTTTGGCCTAGGCAAAGAATTTAAACTAAAAAGCTCTACACAGCAGAAGAAATAAACAGACAACCCATAGTATGGGAGAAAATATTTGCAAACTATGCATCCAACAAAGGACTAATTTCCAGAATCTTCAAGGAATTCAAATGAATCAGCAAGAAAAAAATAAATAATTCCATCAAAAAGTGGGCAAATGACAGGGATAGACACTTCTCAAAAGAACATATACAAATGGCCAACAAACATATGCAAAAATGCTCAATATCACTAATCATCAGGGAAGTATTAATTAACACCACACTGAGATACCACATCACCCCCTACAGAATGACCATTATTAAAAAGTCAGAAAACAATAGATGTTGGCATGGATGTGTTGAAAAGGGAACACTTAAGTACTGCTGGTGGGAATTTAAATTAGTACAACCTTTACGGAAAACAGTTTGGAGATTTCTCAAGGAACTAAAAGTAGATCTAACCTTTCGATCCAGCAATCCCACTACTGGGTATCTACCCAAAGAAAAAGAAGTCGTTATATCAAAAAGGCACTTGCACACATATGTTTATTATAGCACAATTCACAACTGCAAAGATTTGGAAGCAACCTAACTGCCCATCCAATGATGAGTAGATAAAGATCATACACACACACACACACACACACACACACACACACACACACCATGGGATACTACTCAGCCATTAAAAAAAAAAAATGAAATAATGTCTTTTGTAGCAACTTGGATGGAACTGGAGTTATTATTATACATGAAGTAACTGAGGAATGGGAAACCAAAAACCATATCTTCTCACTTATAAGTGGGAGCTAAGTTATGGGTATGGAAATGCATATGAAGCGGTATAATGGACACTGGACAGAAGAGGGGAGGGTGGGAGGGGGTGAGGGATAAAAACCTACAGATTGGGTATAAGGTACGTACCTGGTGATGAATGCACTAAAATCTCAGACTTCACCGCTACATAATTCATCCATGTAACCAAAAAGTACTTGGACACCAAACATTAAAATTTAAAACAATTCAAGAAAAAAAGAGAGAACTTGGTCACTACACCCATGAGACTGTGGCAGAAACCAGAAATATGAAACAGAACTCTACCAAACCCATCCCACATTGTTTTATTGAAACTATTGTTAATAGTAATTTGTAAAATAAAAAATCCAGGACAAATGATGAATTAGATATTTGAAATGTTATTTGAAATGTTGAGACAACAGACATAATCCATGAAAGACTCAGGAAATTAAAGGATTAGTACTCAAGCTCCATTACCCCTAGTCAAAACAAGCGTGTGTGTGTTTGTGTATATACGTTTTTTACATTTTATATTTAAGCCTCTAACAATTAATGGACTGCCGTGTTCCAATTTTGAGGCAGTATGTATGAGTGAAAGAGTACTGCAGTAGGAGAAAGGTTATCTGATGCTAGTTCCAACTATTTACAAGCTGTATGACTTGGGACAACTTCCTAAATCTTTCTGAGCTTCAGTGTTCTTACAAAGAAACATATTTAAAAAAAGACTCATAATATGTGTGAAATATGCATGAAAAAAGACAATGTGTTTAAAGGAGGCTTTCACCTTCAGGGAAGCTTTGATGGAGCAGAAGAGATCTTGCTTTTCCAGCTCAACATGTATTCCCAGTCTCATCTCCCATCACCAACTCTGTGCATTTCCTATCCTTCGATAAAGGACACGTATTTGTCTTCAAACATCATCTACTCTTTCACAAATTCAGGATGAAACACAGCTTCTCTTCTAGGTTGGGATGCCTTTATTCCCTATTGTTCACTGGAGGGAAGAGAATATTTCTCTCCTGTTCCTTATGGGTAGAAAGAACCTCCAACTCAATCTTTTCCAGCTATTACAGGACTTAATCTAATTGGACAATATTGGAGATGTTTACTAGGCTGTGTTCACTAGGAGGCATAATCATTGAAGACAGGCCTACTCATGCATTCTCTCTCTCACAATTTCTACATAAATGTGGTAAGCAGACCTTGGCAGGCCCTAGTATCTCAGGGCAGACGGCTGCCTTCTTTCCTCCCTCTTCCAGCTTTCATGTGGTTAGGTAGATAATTAAACCCAAGAGTCCACTTGAATATGATCAGTCTCTCATTCTCCACAAATAACCAAAGCATGCCAAGAATCAAATCTGGTGGTAAGGGCAGTGAGGATGGAGAAGAGGGCAGAATGAGAAGCACTGGCATTGCTTTGAGCCTTAGTTTCATGCTCTAACTCAACCTTTAGGAGCAAGCTCCATGTTAAGGTATTGCACACTGGGTAGCTCTTAACAAAACAGTTATATTCTTGTTCCTTGTATGTTCCTCTCTCAGAGATGCAAAGGAAACTACTGGGATGATTGACAGAGTGGGATGATTGACAGGGTGGGATTCAGTCTCTCCTGGGCCCTGTGTCTATAACACCATCACCCTTTACCTCCAGTGTGACCCTTCCAGCCTGCACTCAAATGCCAATCCAATGAACCCTCACTCAACCCCTATTCAGAATTCCCTGCTCCCAGCTAGCCTCCCACAGCACTTTGCTCACACCTCCAGTACAGCCTACATTTTATTCCCCAATGTTCCACTGATTTGTGCATGTCTGCCTCCCCTTTCATACTTGAAATTCTCCAAAACATTTCTATTCCATATACATCCTCCTCAGCTCCCACAGCTATGTCTGGGAAACAATAAGTCCTCAATAATTGTGTTGAAGGAGTATTAATTTAACATTACTTAAATGTTATCTGCATTTATTCTCCACAGGGGAATTCATATCTGCCATCTTCATAGTTTATCTCTTGAGAGAAAGCTGAAAGAAAAGGCCCCTGAAAGCCTCTCAGAATTACTGAGCTAACTTAGAAACCCCTGAAATCACTGTAGCATTTCTTTTCCATTTTCCCTGAGAAACTTTCTTAACTTCTTCTGTGGGCTTTATTCAGGCTTTTAAAGTTTATGTGCTTCTACTAGTGCCAAATATCTTTCTAGAAGTTTCATAATATCAAATTCCCCTGCCTGGTAAACAGTCTTCAAAGCATTTGCAGTTGCAGTTCCCATTGAGCTGAGTGGCCAAAAGTTCGTGTGTTAACTCTAGCTTGCCTGGGACCTGTGGCTGACTAAGCACATTAATTTGGGGCCTCTGCTTTCCCCCTACCTGCTGCAGTTTGAGGTTTTTTCGCTTATTGTCAAGGAACAGCTACCTGCTCAGACCGGTGTCAGCACTGTTTCCAAGACTTTACATGCAATAAAACACAGCCACCCTCTGAAGTAAGAGCTGTTAACTATCCACATATGGCTGACAGGGAAACTGATGCCTTGACTTTTTTCACGGCTCCTCCAAGGCCACACAGCTGCAAATGGCAGGAGGAGGTTCCAATTATAAAGCCCCACTGCGTCTCAATCAGGAGAACACGGACTCTAGGGTCAAACAAAATGGGTCCTGTCTGCGTAACCTTTATAATCATGAATGTTGCAAACTCAGGCATGCAAGAAATGTAACCTTAATATTTTTATCACTTTAACTTTTAATGGGAGCATAATTTATATTCAATTAAATACTCAGATCTTAAGTGTACAGTTTGATAAGTTTTGATCAATACTGGCACCCATGTAATGTACACCCCCCTCAAGATATAGAACATATTTATCATGCCCAGAAAGTTACTTGAACCCCATCCCAGCCAGTTCCCACCCCTCCAGGAAATTATTTTGTTTTCTGTCATCAGAGGTTAATTAATTTGTTATTTTTAACTTGACCTAATTTCTTCAAACTCCCATTCCATGTAGTATCAGAAACTTCATCTCAGCCCATCATCAGGGCTCTTCCCACTCTGTTTACCTGGGGTTCTCTATAACATTTAGATCAGGTTGGGATACATGGCTCGCATTTTGTGAGATGGTGGGAGGTGTTCTCAGTTGCTGCCTATACATCTGATCTCTGCAGAACGATCCCTGCCCTGCCTGGTTCTTAGCTACTGGCCCACGAAGGATGCTGCTCTATTTCCTTATCTCCAGCATCAAGGCCTCTTGAGCCTGGACCCTTTCTCAGCTACACCCATGCCTCTTTGAGTACAAAAGACCATTTGCAGCCCTACGGCCACAGTTCTACCCCACACCACTGAGTGGAGGATACCCTGAGGCCCTCGAAGTCCCTCTCTTCCTAGACCCACCACAAAGCCACACCTTCTCTGACATATTGTCACCTCTCCAGGCACAACTGGGAAAAGTCACCTCTTTCCTTGGATCTCACAAAGCAAAGAGGGTTTATCCACCATCCTTCTTGCTTGGTCTATGCAGAGTAGAGCAGTATAGAGCAAAAGGCTCCTTTTTTCCAAGGGAGCCCCAATGCTTACTCTCTTCTTCCCTTTAATATCCTCCCTAACTAACTCCTGAGAAATCTTTTGGAGTCTCAAGATTAGACACATCAGACATCTCAGTGTATTTTTGCTGTTCCTCCAGAATCACCCCTTCTCTGAGGTAAGAGATAGGCAAGGTGTCCCTGTAGCAAGGAGGAAGAATTTCAGTGTAGCAGAAAATCCAAAGGAAAGAACCACATAAGTTAACAGATTGAAATATCATCCCAGTGCAGAGAAAAAGAGTGGTGTAATAAGAACATATGGCTGTTGCATTAGTGAGCTGATTCCTGCAAAACATTGATGTAGTTAGCACTTAACATATTGGCATTATTATTATATCTAGATATGGAGAGTGTTATCAGGTTGAACTTGAACCAAAAATCTTTACTTTTTGCTATCTGGGTGTTGTCTACAGGTGGGACTGCCATGAGCTGACAATGGCACCTGGAAGGATAGTATGAAACACTGGACTGACAGGAAGTTTGGAAAGCCCTGAGTAGCTGAGATGGAGGAAGTGAGTGAAGGTAGTGGCAAAGAAATGTGAAGTATGGCTTGGGTCATTGCCGACAGTTGCAGTTACAGCCAGTGAAAATAGAGGAACATACAAGCATACAAGTTAAGCAGGCAAGCGTTAGTTATATACCTAGTTCCCTGGACCCAGAGTTGCACCAGAATCTTTTTGAAAACTGAGCAGCTAATGTATTTCCAACTTCATGGTCATATCTCTCCATGCCGTATAATATGCTATTAAATTAAGTTTAGCCCAAAGCTACCTCTTTACATATTTTAAGTTTGGCCTAAAGATTTCTCTGTACCTAGTGAACTGTAGCCTAACTGGATGTGTAAACAGACTGTAACCTACTTTTGTACCAGTCATTGAGTTTTGGCCAATCAACGGCAGCCAACTCTTCAAACCAGGTTCAAATAAAATAAACATTCAGCTGTAACCAATCTGGCTGTTTCTGTACCTTATTTCTATTTTCTGTATGCCATTTTCCTTTTTCTGCCCATATATCTTCAATCACACAGTAGCACTGGAACCTCTCTGAACCTATTCTGGTTTGGGGGCTGCCTGATTCACAAATCATTCTTTGCTCAGTTAAACTCTGTTAAATTTAGTGTGTCTAAGGTTTTAACAATGCTATGGTGGAAGAACCCAAGCCAGGCAGCTCTGGGTGTGAGCTCAGCAGCCCAGCATGGTTGATTAGCTCTAGAGTCAGACTCCCTGGCTCTGCCACAGAAGAGTTATATAACCTGGGCAATTTACTTAGCTGCTCTTTCCCTCCAATTCTTACTCAACAAAATGGGGAAAATGGTTAGGGGTACAAAGAAGATGCCTTTCTCTTCATCTCTGGTTTCCAAGAAAGAGATTGTCCCTAAACACTCCTGGCTACTTGGCCCCATCATCTCCCCCAGTCAGAGATGGATTGAGTTACCTCATTGGTGAATGGCAGCTGTTGATACACATTTCTTGTATGTGGGTGGAGCTTATTTATCAAAGTCCAAAGCACAGAAGTTTCTCTCTTTGGACCCTACCTCACCTGGATAAGTGAAAGGGCATCATCATGCATATGTCTGCTCTGTAGACCTCAATATCCATTGAATGGGCTTTTCCAAGGTCAAATTTGCATACAAGAGCATTAGAAAGTACAACATTACCACTTGTCTAAGCCTTGTTCTCTAATTCGGTTTTCATCAATATCTTAGCTGATCCATTTACTTCTGTCTGCCTCTCTGCTTTATATACTCATTGGTCCCCTCAAACTCCAGCAATAATGATGTCTCCCATATACAATCTTGGGGATGATGACTGAGATAATAAAGGTGTAAAGTGTCTGGAACATATTACATGCTCAATAAATGTTTGCTATTGCAATTATTAATGGATACTTCACTTCTACAAGTCACATAAACTCCTATTCTCTAAGCTTTCTTGTTTTAAAAAGTCATTAATAATTGTATGGCTTAAGTAAGAAAATGCATATAGGTTACTTGGCACGTGGGTTGGCACTCAATAAACAGTGCCTCTCCCCAATTCCAGTTGAAATGTGTTAGAAGAGCATTTTGACTCTGTTCCATGGCACACCAACAAACAATAAAATAATGTTTTACAAATCCTACTACTAAAGAATGGGTTTCCCAAATTGTATATAACATGTGTTCCCATGCAAGATCATTGATGTGCTATATAACCCTCCCTTAAGGCCCTTACCAAATGTTCTCTCCTCCAAAAAGATTTTTGCAGATTACCCAAAGTCCTATAGAACCTGTCTGCTCCTATCTTACCCCATATATAAGAGAGATTTGTTTGAATATTTACCCCAGAAATGGCATGAGATTTGAAGACAGATGATCCAGCCTTCCAAACTGGACCTGTCACTTACAGAATATGTCATTTAATGCCTCAGTTGGTTTATATATAAAATGGGTGTTGATAATGAGATGCATCTGATAGCATTGCACTGAGAAGTAAGCAAGAGAATACTCATGAAAGTGCTTCAAAAACAGGAATGCACTATAAAAAGGTCTCTGCATGTAAGAATATTATGGTAAGCGTTAATGAGAAGTACCACCTTGTTTGTAGGCACACTAGTTAAAAAGAACCCAAATCTCAAGGGAATTGATGTCATCTGTGTCTGTTGTGAAATACACAATGAACTGTCTTCTGACGGAGTCAATTTACAAAACATCAGAAGTTTTAAGTGCTTCCATTTATGGATTTTGTGGCTCTTGGGATATTGTTGCTATTATTATTATTATTATTATTATTATTATTATTATTATCATTATCATCATCATCATCATCAACTCCTACCAGACTCACATATTATGCTAGAGCAGAGGGAAGGTAGACACTCTTTAGAACATAAACTGACAGAAGCTGCTTTTTTCCTCCAAGGTAGTGGCATAATTCAAGAGAATATAAGGCACAATTATTTATGAATCATCTTGATGTGTCCTTTTGTAGGAGAAAAGTGAGGCCCCTGGGCTGAGCCCAGATGAGAAAGGGGAGGCAAAGAGAGAGAGGACTTGCTCAAAATCCTAAGGGGAAATAAATTTTGAATTACAAAGGGGCAAAAGCAGAGAAAAAGAGTTTGGAGCCTCATAAATTAAGAAATGGAGGGAAATGAATGGCATTTGGGAGAGAGAAGAAGAGAAAAAATGAGAAAGAGACAAAGAAAAGTGGAGAGTGTGATAGAATGAGAGACCCAAACGACATGGCAGGGAGGGGTGGAATCTACCTTTTGGATTGGAAGACAGTGATTCCCATCACTCCTGTGCAAAAACGAAGTGAGAGGGGAGCATAGATTTGGAATCCCCCAAACACTCCCAACTCCAGGATCTCAGAAATCTTGTGGAAGGGACATACTACATGGGGACTCAGATAATTGTATTTAAATCTTAAAAATATTCCCAGAAGATAACATAAGCCCCTGGGAGGTGGATTCCTGAGCTACACTGTATTGATTTCCGTTACTTTTCAAACATGAAATAGGAAGCACAGAAATCACCAGATGCAACCACCTCAATCTGGCAATGAAGAAATGGAGGAAGACCCAGAGGCACTGGGCAACCTGGTTTCCAGGGCAACCTGGCAACCAATTCATTACTGCTGGCTTACTGAACCAGGTACATTTGATAAGGAACAGTAACAAGGTTTTCTTTCTTTGTGTTTTGTTGTTTTTACTGTTTTGGCACTACCTCAATCTGTTCTGTTGCATCTCCCTGGTCTTCCCCTTAACAGCATCTCAAGCAGATACTAAAGATGTTTAGCCATTTTCACCTATAAGAACAGTTCCATGTTCAGGTATCAGAAAATATAATCTTGCTATATCAACCCTTTCATCTCAGTGTCCTTTGGAAGCTCCCCCTCTCCTATTTCTCAGCTCTGGAACCAGCGGGGAGCAGGGGTGGGGGGCATGACTGGTTCCACCTCCTTCCTTGCTCCATATCTCCCTCCACTACACCTGCTCCTTTGGACTCCTCCAGTGTCCAGACAAGAGAAGAGTGAAAGATAAGAGAAAATATACAAAAGGTGTTTTTACTTAGCTTAAGTATTTGAAGCCCTCTCTGGACTATCAAATGCCTTGTGATGGCAGGCATGCAAGGCTAGCTCTTTCCTGTGGGGGTCTTTGTGGGGCTTTGAACATCCTCAGCCCACACCACAGAGCAAGTTCCCCAGGCACTGAGTCAACTCCTACTTAGGGTTCCTCATCATCAGCTTAGACTATGGGACCACACCTCCCTCCTCTCTTTGGCACGTGTGCATACACACACACACACACACACACACTCACAGAAGTAAAACAATTGCCATGTCCTGTGTTTCTCATAATTGTCTTCAAAGATGCCTTTGCAATGGCTCTCCAGCCTTTTCTGCAAAGCAGGGTTGATGTTCACTGGATCTGCATGGACATTCATGGTGAAACTGTGGAGACAAGTCTCAGACTGCATGGGGCACCTGTCATCCATGGTGATCTTGGCCAATTTGCCTCTCAGTCTCCTAGTTTCTTTGTTGATGAAATGGGCATGATAATAATAGTACCCATCACAGAGGGTGTTTTAAGGATTAAGTGAGGAAATATATTCAAAGCTCTAACAGCAGTTTCTCATCCATAATTATAAATATTGGCTATTATTTTTCTTATTGTCCCCAGCTATGGATCCTCAGCCAAAACTCTGAAGCAGCAGGAAATAACCCATTAAATACCATGTTTCATTCAGATGTCCCCCAGTTCAATCACATCATCTTCCAATGAGGAAACAGAGACCCAGAGGCACTGGGAAACAAATCCAACCCTGACTGGTGTTTCCCCTTCTCAGTGTCCACAACATTCATTACCCAAAATATATACTCTGGAAAATGATTGCATTTGGTGTAGCATTTGATTATAGAGTGTCTAATCCTTTTCTCTACAATAGCATGATGAATAAGAGTTTTCCTATTTCCTAAGAATTAAAGCTTAGAGTCAAGAACAAGGAAGCACTAATTACCCCCACATTCTAAGGAGGGCTGTAAGCAATTAGGCCTGGACTTCTCTCCCAGGGATTACTAAGAAATATAAGAATCTTCCCTATAAGAGCCTTCAAACATCCCACCCCTTCTTATCATGGTATAAGAGAGAGGAAAAATGAAAGGGCAAGAATAATTGGCCTTGCAGATGCAGTTACTAGATAAAATACAAGGCACACAGTTAAATTTAAATTTCAGATCAACAGGAATAACTTTTCTTACTATAAGTATGTTCCAAATACTGCATAGGACATAATTATACTAAAAACTTATTACTTGATTATTGGAAATTTCCATTCACCTGGTTGTCCTATATTTTTATTTGCTAAATCTGGCAACCTTAGTAGGAAGAGCAGTGTTTGTGATAAGAGTGAACTCTGTCCCCTCTGAGATGGCCAGAATAACACTGAGCACCCCTCAGAGGACACCACCTGCACTCCTCAGAGGCCACTATCTTTGAGAAAATTGCCAAGAACAGGTCAAACCACACCAAACCGAGAGTAACAAGGAATGTCTCTTCACTGTTATCACATGGTCAGTTGCAAAATAGAGTCCCTGCCTTCTCTAGCTCCAGAGAAGCTGGACTAAGATAAGGAGGAGAAAGGAGATGTGTGTGTGTCTCATTTGGGGACAAAGCAGATTATGATCATCTCACCCCGCCCCCCTCTCTCTCAACTCCAAAATGGAGGAGAAATGACAGTGCAGATCTCATGATCACACATCTCTTCCCATTTCAGGTCACTCAACACGAAGTTTAAAAATATACTTCGGATTAAAGCTTTAACCTAGAGCACACTTTTAATAATTAAAAAGAGAATGTATTAGTCGGTTCCCACACTGCTAATAAAGACATACCCAAGACTGGGTAATTTATAAAGGAAAGAAGTTTAATTGACTCACAGTTCCACATGGCTGGGGAGGCCTCATAATTATGGCAGAAGACAAAGGAGAAGAAAAGGCTCAATTTACATGGTGGCAGGCAAGAGAGCATGTGTGTGTGAACTGCCTTTATAAAACCATCAGATCTCATGGGACTTATTCATTACCATGAGAGCAGTATGGGGGAAACTGCCCCCATGATTCAATTATCTCCACCTGGCCCTACCCTTGACTTGAGGGGATTATTACAATTCAAGGTGAGATTTGGGTGGTGACACAGCCAAACCATATCAAGGACAGAACTTCTGCTTTCAGAAAGATGAAGTAGATGTATTCTATCCTATTCTTCCCTAAGTACAAACAGAAATCCTGGATATGGCAGATATAAAAAAAAGAAGACTAAAAAGTGGAGAGAGGAAGGCCGACAAGCTAGTAGCCTCGGGACCTGAGAACGATGCCATGATGAGTTCTCTATTTCGTGCTCGTTTGGTTGGTTGGTTAGTTTTTCCTCTTATATCTCAGACTGTATACTGGAGAAGCCAGCAACTCAGAAATACCACTGACTCAGGCAAAAAGAAAAAAAAAAGCCACAAGGAAAGCTTGCTCTTTCTAGCCAAATGATCAAAAAATGGGCAGCCTGGCAAGGTAGAAGGCTTTTAGACAATAATTTCTCCACTCTAGCCAAACACCACTTTTCTGGTAACCCCACCAGCAAAGAAAGGTAAAGTGGAGAACATAGACCTCACCGTTGCTGGGCTATAACAAGATGCCCAACTCCCTTGTTGGGGTACATTCAGAGATGGTTGAGTCAGGAATCAAGCCTTTCATCACTACTCAGCAATAAGGAGGCCTCTCTCCATTCTCCCTCACCTTCTCTCTCCTCCTCTGAGGTATCAGTGGGGTCCACATGGGGAGGCTGGACTTCCATCCCCACTAGATAACAAGAAGCTTCTCCCCCTGTCTACCATCATGGTGTCAGAGAAGACCTCATGAGATGGGAGAACTTTAATACTACTCATGGGTGCTGAGGCAAGCACTCCACTGACAGAGTCAGGAGGGGCCATGTGGGGAGTGGTAAGAAAGTTCCCTGATGGGAGACAGAACTCCCACACCTACCCAGCAGTTACAAAGAGCACTTTCCACCCACAAATGTCAATGGAGTCTGAACGGAGAAGTTGTAATTCAACCCCACCTGGAAGTAATTAGGTGGCTCCACACTTAACCCATCAGACTAGTTTCAGGATGTGCCTGCTAAAATAGAAGCAATAAATAACATCCGTATAAGAGTCATAACATAATACCCGAATTGTCCTGGTTTCAACTGAAAATGACTCATCATACCAAGAATGAAGAAGATCTCAAACTGGGCAAAAATAGAGATGAACACTGAGATGACAATGATGTTAGGATTATCTGACAAGAACCATTATAATGAGCAATTATGAACACATTTGAAACAAATGTTAAAATGGAAAGCTTTAGCGTATAATAAAAAGGTTCAGCACACAAACAGAAGACATAAAGAGGAACCAAACAGAAATATTAGAACTGATAAATAAATAAGGAATAAAGGAAGTTCTCTAAGCAGAAATAAAATGATAAAAGAAGGAACCTTGGAAGATCAGGAAGAAAGAACAAACAGGAAAAATATGAGTAAATACAATAGACTGTCTTTCTCTTCTTGAGTTGTCTCAATTACGTTTGATGATTTAAGCAAAAATTTTAACACTGTCTGATTTGGTTCTCAGTGTATATGGATTATAGCATAAGTGAAGGAAGGTAAAGAGACATACAGGGAGGTAATATCTTTCTGCAGTTCATTTAAACTAGTGAAGTGTTCATACCAGTAGGTTGTGAAAAATTGTATATATGCAGTGTTATACCTAGAACAACCACTAAAAACAGCTAATAAAATATATAGATATTCACAATAGCAAAGACATGGAATCAACCTACATGCCCATTGATGGTTAAAGAAAATGTGATACATATATACCATGGAATACTATGCAGCCATAAAAATGAGATCTTGTCCTTTGCAGGGACACGGATGGAGCTAGTGGCTATTATGCTTAGGAAACTAAAACAAGAACAGAAAACCAAATACTGCATGTTCTCACTTATAAGTGGGAGCTAAATGATGAGAACATATGGATACATAGTGGGGAACAACACTGGGGCCTTTTGGAGGTGGGGAGGGTGGGAGAAAGGAGAGGATCAGAAAAAAAACAACTAATGGTACTAGGCTTAATACCTGGGTGATGAAGCAATCTGTTCAACAAACCCCATGAAACAAGTTTACCTATTTAACAAACCTGCACTTGTACCCCGAGCTTAAAATAACAGTTAAAAATAAATGAATAAATCTATTTCAGTTAAAAAATAGATAAATGAAAATGGAATTACCAAAAGCATTCAAGTAACTCACATAGATAGGCATAAAAAAAGAAAACAGAGAAGCGAAAAACAGAACAAATGGGGCATGGGGAGCAGACTTAAGCCTTAACATATTATGATTACATAAAATGTAAAATGTTGAATTACTCCAATTAATACATAAAAACTGGAAGAGCAGATAAGAAAAAAACATGACTAAACTTATGCTGTCTACAGGAAATCATTTCAAATATAATGATACACATAGGTTGAAATTAAAAAAATGGAAAAAGGTATAATACAGAAACTATATTAGTCTGTTCTCACACTTCTATGAAGAAATACCTGAGACAGGGTAATTTATAAGAAAAGAGGTTTAAGTGACTCACAGTTCCACATGGCTAGGGAAGACTCAGAAAACTTACAATCATAGTGGAAGGCACTTCTTCACAAGGCGGCAGGAGAGAGAATGAGTGCTGAGTGAATGGGGAAGCCCCTTATAAAACCATCAGATCTCATGAGAACTCACTCACTATCATGAGAACAGCATGGGGAAACCACCCCCATGATTTAATTATCTCCACTGGGTCCTGCCCTTGACATGCGGGGATTATTACAATGAAAGGTGAGTTTTGGGTGGGGACACAGAGCCAAACCATATCATTCCACCCCGGCCTCTCCCGTACCTCATGTCCTCACATTTCAAAGCACAATCATGCCCTTCCAACAGCCCCCCCAAAGTCTTATTTCAGCATTAACCCAAAAGTCAAGAGTCCAACGTTGCTTCTGCCTATAAGCCTATAAAATCGAAACCAAGTTAGTCACTTCCTAGATACAATGGGGTTATAGTCATTGCGTAAATACACCCATTCCAAGTGGGAGAAATTGGCCAAAACAAAGGAGATACAGAGCCCATGCAAGTTTGAAATCCAATAGGGCAGTCATTTAAACCTTAAAGTTCCAAAATAATTTTCTTTGACTCCATGTCTCACATCCAGAGCACACTGATGCAAGAGGTGGGCCCCCAGGGCTTTGGGCAGCTCTGCCCCTGTGGCTCTGCAGGGTACAGCCTCCCTCCAGGCTGCTTTCATGGGCTGGCATTGATTATCTGTGGCTTTTCCAGGTGCATGGTGCAAGCTGTCTGTGGATCTACAATTCTGGGGTCTGAAGAATGATGGCCCTCTTCTCACAGTGCCCCTAGGCAGTGCCCCCCTGGGGACTCTGTGTGGGGGTTCCAACCCCACATTTCCCTTCCACACTGCTCTAGCAGAGGTTCTCCATGAGGACTCCACCCCTGCAGCAGACTTCTGTCTGGACATCCAGGCATTGCCATACATCTGCTGAAATCTAGGTGGAGGTTCCCAAAACTCAATTCTTGTCTTCTGTGCATCCCCAGGCCCAACACCACATAGAAGTTGTCAAGGCTTGGGGCTTGCACCCTCTGAAGCAATGGCCTGAGCCATACTTTGACCCCTTTTAGCCATGGCTGGAGCTGAAGCAGCTCGGATGCAGGGTACCATGTCCTGAGATTACATAGAGCAGGGGGGCCCTGGGCCCAGTCCATGAAATCATTTTTCCCTCCTAGGCCTCCAGGCATGCGATGAAAGGGGCTGCCGTGAAGGTCTCTGACATGGCTTGGAGACATTTTCCCGATTGTCTTGGTGATTAACATTCAGCTCCTCATTACTTATTCAGATTTCTGCAGCAGGCTTGATTTTTTCCCCCAGAAAATGGGATTTTATTTTCTATTACATCATCAGCCTGGGAATTTTCTGAACTTTTATTCTCTGCTTCCTCTTGAATGCTTTGCTGCTTAAAAATTTCTTCCACTAAATACCCTAAATCATCTCTCTCAAGTTCAGAGTTCCACAGATCTCTTTGGCAGGAGCAAAATGCTGCCTGTCTCTTTGCACAGCAAAAGTGACCTTTACTCCAGTTCCCAACAAGTTTCCCCTCTTCATCTGAGACCACGTCAGCCTGGACTTCATTGTCCATATGACTATCAGCATTTTGGTCAAAGCTATTCAAATAAGTCTCTAGGAAGTTCAAAACTTTCCCACATTTTCCCATCTTCCTCTGAGCCTTCCAAGCTGTTCCAACCTCTGCCTGTTACCCAGTTCCAAAGTAACTTCCATATTTTGGGGTATCTTTATAGAAGCGGCCTACTCCCAGTACCAATTTACTGTGTTAGTCCATTATCATGCTGCTATTAAAAAATACCTGAGACTGGTTAATTTATAAGAAAAGAGGTTTAATTGACTCTTAGTTCCACATGGCTGGGGATGCCTCAGTAAACTTATAATCATGGCAGAAGGCACTTCTTCATGTGGTGGCAGGGGAGAGAATGAGTGCTGAGTGAAGGTGGAAAGCTCCTTATAAAACCATGAGATCTCATGATAACTCACTCTCACAAGAACAGCATGGAGGAACCGCCCCCATGATAAAATTATCTCCACCTAGTCCTGACCTTGACACATGGGGATTATAACAATTCAAAGTGAGATTTGGGTAGGGACACAGAGCCAAATCATATCAAACATTAATGAAAAAAGCAGAAGTAGCTATATTAATACTGCATAAAGTAGACTTTAGAAGCAAATTACCAGAGACAGAGAGGCATGCTTATGCAATGATAAAAGAGCCAATTAGCTAAGAAGACAGAGCAGCCCTAAATGTATATGCACCAAACCATAGAGTTTAAAAAAAAATGTAAAGCAAAAACTGATAGAAATGAACAGAGAAATACACAAACCTAAAATCATAGTTGAAGACTTCAACACTTCTCTCACAACAATCAAAAGAACAACTAGAGAAATTACCAAGAAAATAGAAAAAGTCAACCATACTAACAGGATATAATCACACTTGTAAAACATTCCACCCAACAACAGCAGAATACATTATCGTCTCATGTGCCCACAGAACATATACCAAGATAGATGACATCATGCCAACAAAACAAACCTCAACAAATGTAAAAGAATTGAAATCATGTAAAATATGTTCTGTAACCAAAATAGAATCAAACTAGAAATCAACAAAAGAAAAATAATAGAAAATGTTTTAAACACTTGGTATCTAAATGATATGCTTCTAAATTATCCATGGATCAAAGAGGAAGTCTCAAGGGAATAAAAAATACATTGGACTGAATAAAAGTGAAAATACAACATGTTAAACTATAACATATGGATCCCAGAGCAGTACTGAGAGGGAAACTTATAGCACTACATGATATTCGAGGAGGAAAAGTCTCAGATCTATAATATAATCTCCCAACCCAAGAAATTAGAAAAACAAGAACAAAATCAAAGTTAGCAGAAGGAAAGAAATAATAAAGAGCAGAAAAACATAAAATTGAAAACAAAAACATAAGAAAATAAACAAGATTTTTTTTAAAAGATCAATAAGACTGGCAAAATTTTAGCAAGATTAACAAAGAAAAAAAGAGAGAGAGGACACAATTTACCAAAACAAGGATATCACTGCATACCCTGAAGACAACAAAAGGATAATAAGGGAATATTATGAAAAAGCCTATACAAAAGATTTGATAACTTAGGTGAAATGAGCCAATTCCCTGGAAACAAGCCAACAAAGCTTATTTGGTGTGAAGTAGATAATTTGAAGAGTCCTATGCCTCTTAAAGGAATTTAACTTGTAATCAAGGACTACTGAAAATAAATCTTCATATCCAGTCAGTTTAACTAGAGAATTCTACCAGATATTACAAGAAGAATTAACATGAATTATGCACAGTCTCTTCCAGAAAAATGGAGGAAAAGAGAACATGTCACAACTTGTTCTGTAAAGTCAGTATTGCATTATTACATTCATACCAAAATCAAACAACAATATCATAGGAATAGAAAACTACAAACCAATACACTGTATGATATAGATAAAAAATTCTTAATAAAATGCTAATCATTGAATCTAGCAATATATAAAAGAAATTATATACCATGACCAAGGGAAATTTGTTTCAAGGATGGAAGTACAGTCCAATATATACATATAAATTGATGCAGTTCATCATATTAACAGGCTATAGAAGAATTTACTGATCACATCAATTGATGCAGAAAAGCTTTCATATATTTCGACACCAATTCATGATATTTAAAAAATTCCCAAAAAATAAGAAAAAAGTTTCTCAAGCTTGATAAAGGATATCTACAAAAATGTACAACTAACACCATACTTAATGGCTTAAGAATGAATGTTTTTCCTTTAAGATTGGGAATAAGGCAAGAACATTCACTCACACCAGTCTATTCAACATAGTGCTGAAAGTTTCAGCTTGTGCAACAAAGTAATAAAACAAAGTGAAAAGCATACAGATCAGAAAATAAATTGTTTCTATTTGCCAATGGCATAATTGTCTCTATAATATAATTATGCTGAGGAATCTATAGTCTGCTGGAACAAATAATGAATTCGTTAAGTTCATAGAATGCAAGATCAATATACAAAAGTCAATAGTATTTCTATATACTAGCAATGAAATGTGGACACCATAATTAAAAATACAATACCATTTACAGTTGCTCAGAAAATAAAATTCTTTGGTGTCAATCTCACAAAACATGTATAGAATATTTATGTTGAAAACTACAGCACATTGATAAGAGAAATTTAAAAAAGAAGTAAATTTATGGAGATACATACCATATTCATGGATTGGAAGATTCCATGTAGTAAATGCATCAATTCACTTCAAGTTGATATGCATGTTTAATACAATTCCTATTTTTAGCTGTTTTTAGCAGCTTCACTTATAATAGCCAATGGAACAGAAGAGATAACCCAGAGATAGGCACACACAAGTATGGCCAACTGATTTTTGATAAAGCTGCAAAAGCAATTCTATGGAAGAAAGACAGTGTTTTCAAAAAATAGTCTGGAAGACAATAAATAAATAAACCTCCACTTAGAAACTCCCAAGACAACCCTCAATAAGTAAATGCTTAAACAAACTATGTTACATCCATATAATAGAATTATATGGAATTCTACCCATCAATGAACTATTAATACACACAAGTTGGATGGATCTTAAGAGCATTATGCTGAGTGGAAAAAAATCCCAAAAGGTCATATACAGTATGATTTCATTTACATAACAATTTTTGAAAGAATAAAATGTAAAGATGGAAAACAGATTAGTGGTTACCAGGGGTCAGGGATGGTAGCAAGTGAGAGTCAGTGTGATTATAAAGGAGTTCCATGAGGAAGATCTTTGTGGTGATAGTAAGAGTTCTCTGTCATTATTGTGGTTGTGGTTACACAAATTTATTTCTTATGAGACTTGAAGTCGTGAATAATTAAATTTTAGGTTCCTCATTTTTAAATTAAAGGGTAAAGAAAGTTTTCTCATAAAGTTTATCACCATCAAATATAATACCCAGGTCTCTCTGGCTTCCAAATCCATGTGCATTCAACATGTAATGCAGGACTGGAAGTCACTGATTAATTATGAATACTTTAATCTTATTTGGGTATGTATGAGTTGGCTTAAGGAACATTGACCCATAGGTGCAGAAAACAGAACAGGTAAGTTTTGATTGCTGAAGGATGAAGCAGGAAAAAGTGAGAAGATGTTTCTTAAGTGGGTTACTGCTCTGGTATTTTCTGGGCATAACTCAGTTTCTTATAGAAGTTTAGGCATGACCAGGAGAGGCAGTGATTTGGAACCAAGGCATGATAGATTTTATGTCAATAGCCTTAGCAAAAGTTGCTTTATAAGGTAGAAGGATCACTCCAGAGGCAAAGTCATAAGAATCAATAGTGCTGTTCTGTTCCATTAAGCAAATGCTTATTGATTACCTGCCTTATGTAATGGCATTGTGTGAGACCCTGGAGAAAACAAAGATGTGTGAGGCAGTGTCCCAGATTTCCAAGGAGTCTCCCAGCCTAATGGGAAACAGATGAGCCAATGTGACTGCAAGTGCCAAGTTAGAGGAATCTTTGGGGAAAGATGCAACTTTGGGAAAGCGATGACTTGACATCGTCTTAAAGTTCAGGCTATTTTTTGATGTGGTCTCCAAGGCAAGATTCATACACATTTACCTTCAAATTTTAACTAATTGAGAAATAGACATGGATATTACAAAGAATAGAAGCAAAAGAAGTGGTTGCTTGTTTTGGTAAAACTACATTGTGTAACTCAGCTTGAATCTATAGTCAAAATCACTCTGAACCTTGGAATGAACAGAAGGAGAGAATCAGATCTCAAGAGAAGACCACACACCTGGAGAAGCTCCAACTTCTTCACACCTGACAAGAATTAAGACCTCTAAGAAGAGAATGATCTACAGTAACCATGAAGCTGATATGTTACTCCCTCTCTGAATTCTGGGTTTCCTTTTTTTTTTTTTAAATGATTAGGGAAAAATATGTGATTGGCACTTCTGAGGGCCCTAAAGACACTTAAGCTGTGTTAAAAGATTAGTACAAGTGAGCCACACATCCTCCTCAGGGAAAATCACATGGCACTATAATACATCACAGCTTGCACAGGGAACTTCATGCTGTTTGAAATTACTGAGGTCTTATACATAAATCTGGAAATTCAGTCTGCAATAAGGGTTTAAAGCTAAGTGTACCAGGAGGGTGGATACTGGTGAGATGGGAAGACCGTGGGGATGGATGATTCAGTGCTAGCTGTTAGCTTTCCCAGTCAGGAAACATAGCATGTTGGAGCTAGTGGAGTCAAGTGGCTCCTGAGGAGGGCTTAACAACTGGGAGAAAATATGATACCATGGGTATCTGAGATGATACCATGGAAGGGAAATCCCATCTGCTTAAGGGCTATGTTTGCTAGTCACACTCTCACCTTGTACTTCCTAGTCACAGAACAAAAACTAGACATGGGTCTAATAAATTTTGAATTAAAGAGATTTTTTCCTCAGAGGCAATCACTGCTAAAATTCTCTATGAAAACCATTTTCCACTTTCTTTCTTCCCTGCTTGTCCAAAAGCAAATCTTACAAAAGAACCTCTTAAGAGTGGCATCTGTGGTGCAATCTGCCACTTAATCCCTTTCAGAATCATCAGCACACTTGAAATTCATCTGCTCCTCTCCAAATCCCTGGGGGGCATCCACAATAGCTGGCATCATCAAGCACTTTTCTTTTCCAACTCAACTGTAAACTTACAGTTTTCAAGGCAGTGACTTGACTTTGCCATGCCTTTTCATTTCTTTTGGCAGAATGTGAGTGTGAGTCCCAGCGCAGATGATCAGTGTGATCTTGGACAAGTCTCCAAAATTCAATGATCATTTGTTTCTTTATGTATAAGTTGGATATAAGAATGTCTAGAATTATGTGGAAGATTAGAAAATATAGTATTTATAAAACATCACTAAGGGTTTGGCACTAGTAGGTGCTCAGCAAATGTATCTGAAGAAAGGAAGCAACAGCCTCCTCATGCAGTGCTCCAATTACTGTGTAACAACATTTAGTAAAATAACTATCATTTTATTGTGCTCACAATTTTGTGGATTGGAATTTGGACAGACATAGTAGAGATAGTTTACCTCTATTTCACAATGACTGGGCCTCATCTGGGGTGATGCAAATGACTGTAGATGGCTGCAATGGCTCAGTCAGGTCTTATGTCTGTAGCCTGAATTCTTGCTTCCAACTGGGTTCCTTGGTCCTTTACCCATTGTGTCTGGAGGGACTGAAGTGACTCTTTCTTCACCCTTATGTCTGGGTTTATGACTGGGTTATCTAGAATATCTGGAATATCTGGAAGCTACCTAGGCATCTGTCTCTTTCCGCGTCGCCTCTCCATGTGGCTAGCTGGGGCTTCCTCACAGCATGGTGGTGTCAGCATAGTCAGCTATTTTACACTATGGCTCTCTTTTCCCAGAGTAAGCGTTACAAAAAGCCTGGATGTAAGTTGCCACATCCTACTGTCATCTGGCCTCAGAATACCAGAAGCTTCTATTGGCCAAGCATGTCACTAGGGCCAACCTTAATTCAAGCAGAGAGGAATTAGATGCCACCCCTCAATTTGTGGAATACAAAGAATTTGCAGTCCTCTGTTTAGATGCTGAAGTTTAGAGCTATCCTTCTAGTCTCTATGGTACCCATCGCAAAATACTTTAAGATGTCCTTCAGTCTTACTGTTGGAATTTCTCTGGTCAGATTTATTCCTTGTCCTCTCTTCTCACTTCTTAAATTTATTATAAATCTTATGTTGCACACATTTCTTTCTACTATTGACATATTAGAGGCAAGTCAATATACATTATGCATTTATGGCCCTATAAAGGAAATAGAAAAGAAATGTCAATTCATCAAATACATTTTGCTTCTCAGAGAAACAGGGCCTTCATATAAAATGATGGTGGGGCATATGGGGCATGGAGGTGGGAGAGATTGTGGCAAAGAAGTTAAATCACCCAGCTCAGATCATAGAGCATGTTAGCAGCCCAGCTTAGATAAGGACAGTAATAGCCTAAACTTTTTATCTGCCTAATTTTCTGCTATCTGTGCCTTCTCCCTCATTCTCAGATATTTGTATCCCACTGGAAAAGTTTATCTCATTTATGAAAAGGTCCCAAGTTATCTCCAATAAGTATTTGACTAGATATAATTATGTCCCCTCCCTCTTTGTTTTTTTTTCAACCATGTATTAATTAAACCATAATTACCAAGTCCCAACCATATATCAACCTCAGTCCTAGGCACTAGGGTACACCAGGAAGTAAGAGACAAAGTCCCTGCTTTCATGGATTATTTATAATGAAATAATAATAATAATAGAGTGCTTGGAAAAGTGATGGCAGGTCACATACACAAAAAAATCAATTTAATGTGGATGTAATAGAAAAGCTTAGAAGATTTGCAAACTATAAGAAATTTACATTCCCATTGTTTTCTAGGTCTTGCTCCATATTAAAGGAGAAGGAGGAGGAGGAGGAAAAGGAGGAGGAGAAGGAGGAGGAGGAGGAGGAAAAGAAGGAGGAAGAGGAGGAGGAAAAGGAGGAGGAGGAGAAGGAGAAGGAGGAGGAGAAGGAGAAGGAGGAGGAGAAAGAGGAGAAGGAGGAGGAGAAGGAGGAGGAGGAGAAGGAGAAGGAGGAGAAGGAGGAGGAGGAGAAGGAGAAGGAGGAGAAGGAGGAGGAGGAGAAGGAGGAGGAGGAGAAGGAGGAGGAGGAGGAAAAGGAGGAGGAGGAGGAAAAGGAGGAGGAGGAAAAGGAGGAGGAGGAGAAGGAGGAGGAGGAGAAGGAGGAAGAGGAGAAGGAGGAGGAGAAGGAGGAGGAGGAGGAGGAGGAGAAGGAGGAGGAGGAGAAGGAGGAGGAGGAGAAGGAGGAGGAGAAGGAGGAGGAGAAGGAGAAGGAGAAGGAGAAGGAGAAGGAGAAGGAGGAGGAGAAGGAGGAGGAGGAGAAGGAGGAGGAGAAGGAGGAGGAGAAGGAGAAGGGGAAGGGGAAGGAGAAGGAGAAGGAGGAGGAGAAGGAGGAGGAGGAGGAGAAGGAGAAGGGGAAGGGGAAGGAGAAGGAGGAGAAGGAGAAGGAGAAGGAGGAGAAGGAGAAGGAGAAGGAGAAGGAGGAGAAGGAGAAGGAGAAGGAGGAGAAGGAGGAGGAAGGAGGAGGAGAAGAAGAAGAAAAGAGAGAAGAGAGAAGAGAGAAGAGAAAAGAAAAGTAAGAGAGGAAGGGAAGGAGAAGAGAAGGGGAAGGGGAGGGAAGGAGAAGGGGAGGAGAGGGAAGGGAAGAAGGGAGGCGGAAGGGAGAAGGGAGGGGGAAAGGGAAGAGGGAAAGGGAAGCAGGAAGGGAAGGAAGCCAGGAAGGAAGAAAGACAGAAACTGAATATCCAAGCCAACATAGCCTAGGTATAGTTGTCCACAAATCTTCAGAGTTGTGTCATAGTTAAAAAGGCCTCCTCAACTCCATATAAAATTATTATACTATAGTTTCTTATTCAACTTTAATGGATTTATTTTAAAACTTTAATCTTTTTAAAATTCATTCTTTATAAAGTAGAAGGTAAGGATCCCACTTTAATTGAGATTGTTATCCAGTTGTCCTCACAGCATTAAATGAATAATTCATTTTTTCCTACTTATTCATTCATTCAACAAATATTTGGACATTGCTATGCAGCAGGCATGGATCTAGCGGGGAGAAACACAGCAGTAGAACAAAACAGAAAAAACTCCTGCCCACATGAAGCTTAACTGATATTGTTGAATTTCTCTGTGCCTTCAGGTCTATTCCTATACTTTTTATTTTATTCTCTTGAACTATATTTTAATTTATGTGACAGTACCATACCATTTTCATTATTGGGGCTTTTAATTAATGTGTTTAATACCTGATAAGGGTAGTTGATTCTTAGTATTCTTTTTCATAATTTTCCTGGGTATTCTTACCTGTGTATTTTTTCTGCATGATGCTCACAATCAGCCTGTCTAAAACTATAGGAAAATGACTCTTTGTAATGTCATTGGAATAACAGTTTAGATTCAGAGAGAACATGTGCAGATTACATGAGTATATTGCATTAATGCTGGGGTCTAGGCTTCTATTGAACCCACCGCCCAAACAGTGAACATGGTACCCAATTGGTAGTTTTTCAGACCTTCCCCCTTCCCTCCCTCCTCTCTTTCAGAGTCTCTAGTTTCTGTTGTTTCTGTCTTTATGCCCATGTGTAGCTCACACTTATAAGTGAGAACATGTGATATTTGATTTTCTCTTTCTGTGTTAATTCACTTAGGATGGCCTCCAACTAAATCTATGTTGCTGCAAAGCACATGATTTCATTCTTTTTGTGGCTATGTAGTATTCCATGGTGTATATGTACATTTTCTTTATCCAATCCACTCTTGGTGGACACTGAGGTTGATGAAATAATATTAAACGCATAATTTTTACAAGAGAGAATAGATATATTTATAATATTGAGTCTTCCTATTCAAGAACATATCAGATATTTCTAGTTCTGGAGTAGTTTTTTATATCCCTATGGAAGTATTTTTAGCTTTCTTTACAGATCTCTTTCAAATTACTTGAAAGTTTCTAGGCATTTTATCTTTCATGTTCCTATTGCAAATGATATTGTTTCCTCTATTCAATGAGCTAACTGGTCATTATGTATATGTGAAAAAATATGATGTCTCTGTATTAATTTCATCCTTAATTGAATTTTCTGTTTGTATTGTCTTTTCCATTGATTCTCATGTTTTCTAGGTGTATAATTATACTATCTATAAATAGTAGTAATTTTACAAAGACTACCTGTAAAGCAGCCCAAATGTTCTACTTGCACCCTTGCTGGTACCACCTTCCAACCCAGTTTTCACCTGGCAGGTAGCATGAACTTAATAAAACACAAATGTTATTATGACACATACATTACTCCCTCCATTGTAAATGCTTCCCATTTTTCTTCAAATGAAGACCACAATCCTTAACACCATGGCCCTACCTAAATCACCCCTTATCTAAGTTCCCGGCCTCATTCCACCCAGAACTTGTCCTCAGTCTCTTTTTTCTACTTCCTGGGCTGTGCCAGGCTCCCTGCCCCAACGTAAAGAATTTACCAATAATTTTCGTTTGTCTCAAATACTTTGATACCTAATCACCACCTACTCATTCTCTTGATCTCAATTTAATCATGATTTCTTCAGAGACTGTTTCCATTGACTCCCTAATTCTGGATCAAGTCCCATTACTCACTTCCATACACCACATGTCTACCCTACAGGTGCCTATCATGGTTGTAATTTTCCAACTGGCCATCTTCTCCCTATTCTAATGTTCCATTAAAGAAGGGACTATATCTAATTTTTCTTTCCATTATTTCCCAGATCTCTAGCATTGTGCCTGCCTGGCGTAGAGGTACCTATCTGTGCACTCTCCAGCAACATTATGAATATTCAGAAGGAAGGACCCACATCTTACTCATTTTTGTGTTTTTCACCACAATACCTAGTACAATCTGATACAAACAATTATTTGAAATTAACCTCTAAGTTTATAAGATTAGCTCTTACACATAGAAGCTGCATAAGGCACTAAAGTTTCATTTCCATGCAGAGGCAGGGAATAAAATAAAGATGGACAAAAGAAAAAAATAGAAAAAAAGGAAATGCCCAGAGTCACGGATCTATACAAAATGTCTGGGGAATACCAAGGAGGAGCATGAAGCTGACTAATATAATAGCCTTTCTGTGTCAATGATCAATATATGGCTTTTCATTAGTCTTACCTCTACCAACCAGACACCCTCTATGCCTTCATTTTTCTTCAGTATTTGGAAAACATTTATTTCTTTAATAAGTATATATTGCAGATATGTTCTGGCTCCAGGGACCCAAATTTGAACAAATGACATACTGAAATTCGGAACTGGGCATTGAAGAGCAAATTCAAACCATTTAAGAGGTTTTGGTTAAAATTATCACCTCCCCATCAGACTCATCCCAGGGATGCAAGGATGGTTCAACATATGCAAATCAATCAATGTGATATATCAATAGAATAAAAGAACAAAAAACATATGATGATTTCAATTGATAATGAAAGGCATTTTATAAAATTCAACATTCTTTCATGATAAATCTCTCAGGAAACTGGGTAGAGAAGGAAAATAACTCAACACAAGAAAAACCATATACGACAGAACCCAGCTAATGTCACACTGAATAGGGAAAAACTGAAAGCCTTTCCTCTAAGATCTGGAGCAAGACAAGGATGCCCACTTTCACCACTGTTATTCAACACAGTACTGGAAGTTCTAGCTAGAGCAATCAGACAAGAGAAAGAAATTTTTAAAAAATGGAAAGGAAGAAGTCAAATTATCCTTGTTGCAGATGATATGATCTTATATTTGAAAAAAAACATAAAGGCTACACCTAAAGATGTAAAAAACTATTAGAACTTATAAACAAATTTAGTAAAGTTGCAGGATACAAAATCAACATACAAAAATCAGTAGCATTTTTATATGTCAACAGCAAAAAATTGAAAAATCAGGAAAGTAACCCCATTACAATAGCTACAAATAAAATTAAACACCTAAGAATAAACTTAACCAAAGAAGTGAAAGACCTCTACAATGAAAACTGTAAAACAATGATTCAAGCAATTGAAGAGGACACCAAAAAAAGGGAAATATATTCCATGTTCATGTACTGTAAGACTCAATATTATTAAAATGTCCATACTACTCAAAGTGATCTATACATCCAATGCAATCTCTATCAAAATAATAGCAACATTCTTTACAGAATAGAAAACAAAATCCTAAAACTTACATGGAACCAGAAAAGAACCAGAATAGCTAAAGTCATGCTGAGCAAAAAGAACAGAACTGGAAGAATCACATTATCTGATTTCAAATTAAACTAGAACTATAGTAATCAAAAAGGCATGGTACTGGCATAAAAACAGCCATATAGACCAATGGAACAGAATAGACAATCCACAGATAAATTCATACATCTACAGTGAACTCATTTTTGACAAAAGTGCCAAGAATATCCACTGAGAAAAAGACAGTCTCTTCAATAAATAGTGTGTGAAAACTGGCTCTCCATATGTAGAATAATGAAACTAGACCCCTATCCCTCTATCTCTCTCCATATACAAAAATCAAATCAAAATGGATTGAAGATTTAAATTTAAAACCTCAAACTATGAAACTACTAAAAGAAAATATTGGGGAAACTCTCCAGGACATTGTTATGGGCAAAGATTTCTTGAATAATACCCTAAAAGTACAAGCAACCAAAGCAAAGATGGACAAATGGGATCATATCAAGTTAAAAAGCTTCTACAGGGTAAACAAAATGCTCAACAAAGTCAAGAGACAACCTACAGAATGGGGGAAAATATTTGTAAATTATCCATTCCAACAAAAGATTAATAGCCAGAATATGTAAGGAGCTAAAATAATCAGAAAATATATAATCATCTTATTACAAAATGGGCAAAATATCTAAATAGACACTTCTCAAAAGAACACATACAAATGGCAAACAGGATTATGAAAAGATGCTCAACATTATTGATTATCAGAAAAATACAAATCAGAACTACAATAAGGTATCATTTCATCCCATCAGTTAAAATGGCTTTTGTCCTAAAGACAAGCAATAATGAATGCTGGCAAGGATATGGAAAAAAGGCAACACTCATATACTGTTGGTGGGAATGTAAATTAGTATTAAATACAAACATTATGGAGAACAGTATGGAGGGTCCTTTAAAAACTGGAAGTAGAACTACCACAGGATTCAGCACTCCCACTGCTAGGTATGTACCCAAAAGAAAGTAAATCCATTTATTGAAGATAAATCTGCACTACCATTTTTACTGGGGCACTATTCACAATAGCCAAGATTCGAAGCAACCTAAGTGTTCGTTAAGAGATGAATGGATAAAGAAAACATGGCACATATTCACAATGGCGTACTATTCAGCCATAAAAAAGAATGAGATCCTGTCATTTGCAACAACCTGGATGAGACTGGAGGACATTAAATTAAGTGAAATAAGCGAGGCACTGAAAGAAAAACTTTGTATGCTTTCCCTCATTTGTGGGAGCTAAAAAGGTAAATAATTGAACTCATGGAGGTAAAGAGTAGAAGGATGGCTACCAGAGGCTGGGAAGGGTAGTGAGGAAGAAGTGGGGGAAGTGGACATGATTAATGGGTACAGGGATACAGTTAGATAGAATGAATAAGACCTAGTATTTCATAGCACAACAGGGTGACTACAGTTGGCAATAATTTATCATACATTTTAAAATAACTAAAAGTATAATTGGAATGTTTACACAAGGAAATGATAAATGCTTGGGGTGATGAATACACCATATGATTATTATACATTGTATACCTGTATCAAAATATCTCACATACCTCATAAATATACACATCTACTATGTACGCATAAAAGTTAAATTTTTTTAATTACTACAACCACCCTCTTTCTCCCACTCCTCAGCCACAGGTTTTTACATACTTTCCATTAGGAAAGTACCACTCCCATAATAATCACCAGGAGTGGATCGAGGTTTATCCTATCTCTCAGGTATATTGGGACAGGGAAGCAAAAACTGAGGACCTCTGAATTACAGGAGTGTTATGAGAGGATGAAGCATGCCTCCATTACAGCTCGACACTTACTGAGAGCCAATCATGCCCTAAGTGCTACTTTCTAGCACCCAGAGTTCAAAGTCTACAAGATAAATTTGGTCCTAATTGAGATCAGAGTTGACTAGAGCAAAGGAACCTGTAAGTGGAAAGGACAGAAAGTGAGGGAGCAAAACAAAAAACACAAAAGTGGGCATGTGGGGACTATCTGTGTGAGTATACTTGTTTTATCTAATTGGGCTGGGTGGGGTATAGTTGGAAAATTGCCCAGACTAAATGCATCTTAAAATATTGGAAATCCTTCCCCAGCCCTCTCCTCTTTCTGACCCTGTTGCTGCTGCCCCTGCTGAATTTGTCATTCCTAGTACTTGCAGATAACACAGGCACTGGTCATTCCATGGGCTATGGTCTGAATGGCTCCCACAGTTTAAGTGTTGGTGGTACTAAGTTTAACTGTGGTGGTACTAAGAGGTGGGACCTTTTGGGAAGTGATAAAGTGATGAAGACTCTGCTTCAGTGAATGGATGCGTGTCTTTTAAAAGGGTAGACAGGAACTAGCCTAGGCCCTTTTTGTTCTCATGCTCTTCTACCATATGAGGACATATTATTTGTCCCGTCTTGTCCTTTCCATCCCTTTGGCCACATCAGGACACCTAGACAGTGCCACCTATGAGGAAAGAGACCTAACCTGATGCCAAACCTGCCTTGATTTTGGACTTCCCGGCCTCCAGGTCTGTGAGAAATAAATATCTATTGTTCATAAATTACCTAGGCTGTGGTACTTTGTTGTAGGAGTACAAACAAAACTATGACAATATGTCACTGTAAATAACCAAAAGATAAGGTAAAAGTTGATTATTTTCCAATACAACACACATGACACAAGATTACCCTGAAAAAATTGTGTCATAACAATAAATAATATAATTTATTGAGTCCTTACTATGTTCTAGGTATTATACAGAGGATTTTTTTTTTTGAAATGGAGTCTCACTCTGTTGCCCAGTCTGGAGTGCAGTGGTACAATCTCAGCTCACTGCAACCTCCACCTCCTGGGTTTGAGCGATTCTCCTGCCTCAGCCTCCCGAGTAGCTGGGACTACAGGTGCCCACCACCACTCCAGGGTAATTTTTTTTATTTTTAGTAGAGACGGGGTTTCACCGTGTTATCCAGGATGGTCTCCATCTCCTGACCTCATGATCTGCCCACCTCACCTCCCAAAGTGCTGGGCTTACAGGCATGAACCACCGCACCCAGCCTATACAAAGCATTTTACGGTCATTAATACATCTAATTCTCACAACAATACTGTGAAGAGGTATTACCCCTACCTAATGAGCAAGAAACTAAAGCTCAAAAAGACTAAGCAAAATTCTCAGTACTATATAGATAGTAAACAGGAGAGCCAGGAATCCAACTCAGTCTGTAATTGTGGTTTGATGGGTCCAAATAGAACACCCGCCGAGTTCCAATCAACTGACATATGGTGATATGAAATCAGACAGACGGAAATTCTAATGCCAGCTTCATGACCAGTGAAAATAAATTAGGAAACAGGACATGGCTAAGCTGGGCAACCAAACAAGCTTATAATGTTCCTGGGAATTAAGGTGGCCCTTCCTCCAAAATGCAGGTCCCTGTGGCCCAGTGTACTTTACAAAGAGCCCAGATTAGAATGCTTTCCATTTGCAGGTTCACCCCAAAAAGAGAGGAGGCCACAAGTCAGGGCCCCTCAAACCCAGTGTGTCCATTGGGCACAAGGGGCCAGGAGTACTGTGTTAGGAAGTCTTTTAAAGCAAAACGAAGGAGCAAGAAACAAACAATCCACCCTAACATTTCTTTGACCTTGGCCCTCTTAGTTCATTGGGGTTTGATTTTTAATCTAACCCAAAACAGGAGTGAGGCTATGCTTTTCAGGGGAGGACCTCACATTCAATACCAACCGCTCTTCCAGTGTCACCCTGAAACTGTGGATGGGTAATTTAGATTTTGCCTGTAAAAGTTTCTAAAATTATCTGAATAATCAATTCATTACATGAACTTCAGAAACCTCTACATACAAGCTGAAAATGTACTACTAGTTCTTTTTCCCACCTCCAGTTATGTTGAGACAAATTGTCTAATACTACTCATGGGAGATTCTGTGATAAGTTTTAAGAATGACAGAAAGATACCTTGATAACTTGAAGTCAATTACATGGAAATGCCCTGAAGTTGAATAAAAACCAGCCTCATTATTGTATTTGCAGAAAGAAATTAAACTCCAGAGATTCAAGTCCTTTTGCAAGATAAAATATGAAGCATTTGTTGTGTAAAGGAAGTAAAGGCCCAAATAAATTCTCTTGCCTTTGTCAGCTAAAAGTCTGTGGCCTATGGCAGAGCTTTTCACTAAGATTCAAGGTCCTGGCTAGGCACGGTGACTCATGCCTATAATCCCAGCACTTTGGGAGGCCAAGTCAGGTGGATCATTTGAGGTCAGGAGTTCAAGACCAGCCTGGTCAACATGATGGAACTCTGTAGCTACTAAAAATACAAAAATTAGCCAGGCGTGGTAGCACATGCTTGTAATCCCAGCTGCTGGGGAGGCTGAGGCAGGAGAATTGCTTGAATCCGGGAGGTGGAGGTTGCAGTGAGCTGAGATTGCACCATTGCACTCCAGCCTGGGTGAAGAAGTGAGACTCCATCACAAAACAGACAAAAATAAAGATTCAAGGTCCTCTTTCATGATATAGAATTGTTATTTGGAATTGGCTGCCAATCCCACATTGCAGACTCCCTTTCATCTAAGTGTGGCCAAATAGTTGAGTTCTGCCAATGAGATGGGGGCAGAAGTGGTATGTTCCCCCAGGTCCAGACCAGGTTCATAAAAGCCTGGATATGTTCCTCCATTCTCTCTCATTTGTCCCCTCCACCTGATGAATATCTACAACAAGAATAACCCTACAGATCACGCAACCATGTTACCAAAGTCTTCATCAGAATGAGTTTTCATAGGACTGCATAGGGCAAACACTCTATCACCACAAAAGACAGAATTTTATGTCAAAAGTCCAGGGTTTGCTTGTTATGGCAACTAGCATTAACGTAATCAACAGAAAGTCTTAAAAAGTCAAAAATTCAACATCCCTAATTTTGGTTTTATTATGCTCAACCTCAGCCTAGACTTTCATTCAGAGGTATAGCTGAGGTAGAGATAAGACTGAGGTTCCTTCAGGAGTCCCGTCTGGGCTGTTCGTTTAGACATCCATTTATTTAGGACTACAACAAAAAATGTTCTTTTGAGCTTCATGATTTTAAGAGTCTAAACTGTTAACAGAATGCATAAGATTATCACAGCCCTGGGCCCACACTCATGACATTGGAAAAGTAAATCCTCAGTTCCTAGGGCAATTTTACCAAGCAAAATGATGTTCCCAGAACGTAAGAATGGATAGCCACCAAAAATGAAACTGAGAGAAGGGGAGGGTAGGGGAAAGTGATCTTTCTCAACATCATCATGACCAAGTCACTGCTCATTCTAACGATGATTGTCCAGGGCTCGTGACTTGTGAGACTAAACACGGCACTCTCTACCAGATGGAGTGTCATAAAACCATGTTACGACACTGGTTTGCCATATTGAGTAGGGAAATCCACCCATGCATGCTTTTTCATTTTCCAGAGAGTAGCATTTGAGAGTTGCCAAATTAGCACAGTTTCAAATGTTACGATGGTGACACTCTCAGTCATCAGTTCTTACTCAAGATGTTTTTAATTTCCATCCTGCATCTTCCAACATCTCAATTTCCATTTCCCTCTGAGTCTTAAGGGTCTGGCACCCCTACTTTTAAATTTAACAAGCATTCCAACTTATTGGAATAAGCCCCACAGTCTCCTGGGAGCATGTCTCTGCTCCTGTGTCCCAGTGGTTGTCTACTCTGCTTCCTAGTTGGAATTGCTTACATTCAAGATATCAATTTCATAGGGTATTTTTTTCCTCTAGTTTCCACATTTTTTCTCACTGGGGAATCATCTTTAATGGGTTACTGAACAGCAACCATTATTGATGTTTCTGAGGCACATGTCCTAGGGAAAGAGGGAGGACAAATACCTCTGCAACGTGCCCTTAAGATGCTGCCTCAGGTTTTTAAAGTTCCTTTCTTGGACAACCTTTCTTTCTTCCATCTCTCCTTTTATTTCTTGTCTATTTGGACATACTACCACTCATTCATTTCCATCTGTTGTTCACCTACTTAGACTCAGCTGAGTTTTTAAGAGTTTAACCTGCCTCATATGTGGTTCCCTTTCTCTCTCTAACACACCTAAGCTAGCTCATTTACCAGAATGAAGTGCCTTTCTTTGTTTTGTTTCCCCTTCGCTTTTGGATAGTATAATATACAGACTTCTAGAGCTTTTCTCAACAAAAACGACACTAATCTTCATCCTCTCCTCATTTTGCTTTGAACCCATCTTTCCAGAGGGCACAGGCAGCAACAAGGGAGAGACATTGCCCCACCATTCACTGATGAACCTGCGGTGGTTCCCACACTGGCAAAGTTTCATTAAGCACTTCAGCACACTGGTACAACTGCTGCCAACAGTTAGGCTTCAGCACACGTCTCTGCAGCATCCAGGAGCTGACACCACCCAGCCTGAAGCTCTCACCACCACTGAAATCCTCCAAGGAAGTGCCATGCATTGCCAGCAGCTGCTTTCATGACTTGCAGACATGTAGGCTGGATTTGTTAGCTCCTTATCAACTTGCAAATGACTTTGACAAATTTTCTTGTTTGTTTTTTTTCTTTTGAGGAAATGTTTGGATTGCTATTGCAGTCTTGTTTATAAGGCAATTAAAGCAGGAAGCAATTATCATCAATTATCATGTAAGACTAGCTACTGTCTTGTAATTACTGTGTTAATTGGCATTAAGTTTAGGTAGAAATTATTGTTGCCCACTTCCAACTAAAAAGTAAAGAATGTCATGTCAGGAGTGAAGAAAGCACATCTAAAATATAGTTTTCCCTTTAAAGAAATTTTATCTAGAGAGCACGTTTCTTAATGTTTGTATATTTCTCATTGCTTAAGTCATTCATTCAAAAGTTGATGATGATGATGATGATGATGATGATGATGATGATGATGATGTGATAGACAGCTTCTAAGATGGCTTCCAATAATCCATGCTTCCTAGCTTTCATGCCCTTGTATAGAAGTGACTCATATAGCCAATAGGATATAAACAAAAGGATGGCATGTGACTTCCAAAGTTAGGGCATGAAAGTTATTTTAGGGACCATCATGCTCTCCTGGATTGCTCAGTCTATAAAAAGCTGTCAAGAGAACCAATATGTCAAAAGACCCTCAACTCTGTGGAGAGATCAACATGGCATTGAACTGAGGCCACACACCAACCAGCCCATACCAACTTTCTGCCATGCCAGTGAACCACTGTAGAAATGGATCCTGCAGCCCTAGTCAAGTCTTTCAAAGACTGTAACCCCAGCTCACGATGTAGCTCAATCTCTTGAAAGACTCTAAGCCATATCTACCTAGCTAAGTACTTTCCAAATGACTGTCTCATAGAAATTGTAAGTAATAATGAACATTTGTTGTTTTAAGCCACTAAATTCTGAGGTAGATTATTATCCAACAGTAGATAATTGATACAGATGGTGATTATTATTGTTAATGACTATGGTGGTGATTCCACCTCTCATCCCCTAGGAAGAGAAAATGTACAATCAGACATGGGATTTGCCCTTTAAGAAAATGACAGCCTTAATAAAAGATAAACCACAAGGTAACTCACTTAGCACTAAAATAAGATTACTTATTTAGATTCTGGTTTTATAGTTGCATTGTGGTTTTTGATTTGTTTTGTTTTGTTTTTTGAGACAGGTTCTCACTCTCTTTCCCAGACTGAAGGGCAGTGGTACAACTGCGGCTCACTGTAGCCTCAATCTTCCAGGCCCAAGCCATCCTCCTGACTCAGCCTCCTGAGTAGCTAGGCCAAAGGTGCATGCCACCATGCCTGGCTAATTTTTTTAATTTTTTTTTTTTTTTTTTTTTTTTAGATTCAGTGTCTCACTATGGTGCCCAGTCTGGTCTCGAACTCCTGGGCTCAATCTTCCCACCTCAGCCTCCCAAAGTGTTGGTATTACAGGCGTGAGCCACCATGCCTGGCCTATAGTTGCATTCTCTTAATAATGAAGTAGAGTAAGGACCTAGATATTTTGACAGCAGGACCTAAAAAAAAATAACTTATTTTCTAACTGAAGAGGAAGAAGCAAAGTTCTTGGAAAGAAGAATTATGACAGGGCTCTTCTATCACTCATATAGATTTTCTGTGCTGTATTTTCTACCATGCAGTGTAGAAAAGATAAGATCTCCCTTACTGTCAAATTGTTTTATTACAGAGCTGTCTTTGCCCATCTGAAATATAAACCTGTATGCTTGTACAAATGTTAAAGTTGGTGAAACATGTTTTAGATAATTATATACAATTATAAAACATAATTCTCAGAGAAGATATAATTTTCTATAAATCACTCCTTTTGTTAAATATAATTGAACTTAAAATAAATGTATTTTGTTCTGCTTTTCCATCTTATACTGACACTGGTGATTAACACACTAGTATTAAAAATAACGTATAGTTCAGTATACATCTGGCCTTTTAAACTGTTGTAATTTTCTGCATTATTTATTCAGTAGTTCACAAAAAAGATTTGATTTAAATAATCGTATACCTCTAATTTTTTCCAACTCTAAAACATAGTGTGAAGTTTTGTTCTTCTATACATGAGTGTAGTATTTTGGGGTTTAGAGAGCATTTGCCCGTACGTTTTCTCATGTGCAGAATATAATAATAACAAAAAACATCACCTGATTAGGCATCTTGATGCTCGTTTTACAGATAAGTAAACTGAAACCCTGAAAAGTATAGTAACCTAGAAAAGGCACAGTTAAAACTGGATGCCAAGCTTAGTAAGGGCCAGAGCCTGGAGTTGAAACTGTGGTTGCCTGACTTTAGGCTGCTGTTACAAGTTGAGATAAACAGAAGTACTATTAAATGATATTTTATTCAGAGTGCCCAGGAATTTGCTAATTCTGCCAGGACATATCGCCATACCCTGCAAGGTTCCCTAGGAAGATAGGTGCACAGAGCCTACCTGGCAGAGCAAAGCACATTTCATTAGTTGTGATTTTGTCCCCAGCCTCTAAGACAACACACTAATAAACCAGGCGGGATCATGTGATGTAATTTCCCAAAAGCCAAGGCTTATTCCTTACCTCACCATTGCATTGCAAAGCAAAGTCAAAAATGTATACTCAGCTACACTGAAGAGAAGACACAAAGCTCTTTAGAGAGTGAAAATGTATCTTGCATGGAAAGTCCCCAGGCATTAGCTCCTGGCCTATCATCTAGAGATGCAGGATTGCACGATTGGGTGCCACATTGGAAGAAGAGCAAGCTTCCTGATACAGCATGAAACAGACAGGCACACCATATGAGACCTAGCTGACCTTGCTCTCCTGCCCTCCAGCATCTGATCTGCATGGAAGGAGTTGATGGAGGAGAGTGTCTGTTGAACTTGGTCTCTATTTGTTTTTGAAGATTTACCACGAAAATGTAGCCACGTCAGTTCCACAGGCATTGATCTAACCTAATCAGACTCCTGCTTCTGGTTTCTGGGGAGTTTGGCCCCTGACCCTGCCTCCTTCTTATAAAAGCTAGAGAAGGAGCTACACACTCTCTAGGGGCCAACATCTATGTGTTTTCCATCATGCTGCTCTCTTCTGAGGAACAGGATTTCTGCTATGATTTCCATTTTCTTGGCTATGTCCTTGCTACCTGCTGAGAGATATCCCAGATGCTGACTGGCCACTAATAATAGTCTGGCTGCCTGTTTGCCATCTGTTCCTGAATTAGCAGCTGCCATTCTCTACCCACTTCCACCACATCCTGAGTTGGATCTTACTGAAATACCAATGATTGTACCAGACTATCCACAGCCAAAAACTACCTATTGTGTGACCCTACAGAGACTTTATCCAGCCTAGTAGGCTGTCCTTCTCTCAGAATCCATAGAAAAGTCTCTGCCTCTGTCCTCCTCTTTCCATCTCGACACTGGTCAGGCACCATCTCTCTCCCGAATGATGGTAATAACTGGTCTCCCTGCATTCTGTGATACCTCTTTACAATCTATTTTCTAAACAGAAGCTGAATAAGTCACAACACCAGTTCTCTCCTGAAAGCTCTGAAGCATCTAAAATGAAATCTAAACTCCTTACCGTGGCTGAGGCTCCAAGAGCTGAGCCTCCATCTCCATATCTTTCATGTCAGTTTCTACCTGGTTCCTACATTTTAAGCCAGTGGCTCTCAAACATTTTGACGAAGACCCACAGTGAGAAAGAAATTTTGCATCATGAATTAGTCCATACATGTGTGTACTGGATATAGTGTTGTACACACACACAAATGACACACACACACACCAGAAAGAAAAGTTCAATGAACTAATACCTTTCTAAGTATTTAATCTTACTAAGTATGAAGCACTCTGATATATTTAATTTGGTTCTATTTAAATCTATTCTTTTTATTCATCAATTTCTTTCTATTCTTTTATGTTTTTATTGTTAATGCAGGTGTTGACTCACTTGACGCACTAGTGTATTACAGCTTCTGCAATTTGTCCCATACCATCCACAACACATTGCTTCAAAAATATCAAACTTGGAGCAGCAATGGCATCTTTCCAATGATAAGTTTCCACTGTGGTTTTCAGTGGGGCTCAGTTGGCATTTGGGGGTTTGATATGGTTTGGCTCTGTCCTCACCCAAATCTCTTCTTGAATTGTAACTCCTATAATTCCCACATGTCATGGGAGGGACCCAGTGGGAGGTAATTGAATCATGGGGGTGGGTCTTTCCCACACTGTTCTCATTATAATGAATAAGTCTCATGAGATCTGATGGTTTTATAAAAGGGAGGTCCCCTGCACATGCTCTCTTTTGCCTACCACCATGTAAAATGTGGCTTTGCTCCTCCTTGCCTTCTGCCATGATTGTGAAGCCTCCCCAACCACGTGGAACTGTGAGTCAATTAAACCTCTTTCCTTTATAAATTACCCAGTCTCAGGCATGCCTTTATGAGCAGCATGAGAACAGACTAATACAGGGTGGAACAATTTTTTATTGTAAGTAACTGCCTAATTCATTTTGGGATATATGGTATCTTTAGCCCCAAATCCACCCAATGCCAGTAATGTCACTAATCATTGTGACTATGAAAAAATGCTTCCATACATTTCCCAAAGTCCCTGCTCCAATTGAGAACCATTAGAACTCATGCTTCACCTCAAGATTTTTGCGTAGATTGCTGTTCTTTTTACTCCACTCTCACCTTTCAAATTCAAAGCCACAGAGAGACCTTCTCTGACCACCTAATCTAAATTTGCCAGTGCCCATCAACTCTGTAATAATACCATGTTTTAATTATGTCATAAAAGTTTTGATTACCTGAAATTATTTCATCCATTAATTGACTTATGATCTCTCCATGCCCCCTCTCCTTTGGAGAGTTTAGGAAAACTCTCCAAGTGTGGGAAATTTGCTTGCCTTGCTTTCTGGTCTGCCCCCAATATCTACAAGATCCTGACCCATAGTGGGTGCTTTATGAATAAGTAAATAAAACTCCTTGAATCCTGGTATGACTGAAGGCCCCATTTACTTGTTTCACTTTGTCAATCTTCTTCACTCCATTTATGGTTTATATATGTGAGCCATACCAACCATGAACCTTGTTTTTTTTCAGACAGAAGTAGTTCCATACTTTTGCTCTGACACCTCTAAGAGCAACCCCTTCCCCCACATTCCTAAAAACCTCTTGATTGTTTGGGGATGCTGTCCCTGAATTTATCCAGCACTATGATGTAAGGGAATGAGCATAAACAGAGGAGGCAGACAGACACGGACATAGCTTCAGTCTTGAGTTGCGGCTCACCAACTGAGCAATATTGCATAGATTTCTAAGTTTCTGGTTTATCCTCTGAAACAATGAACTTTAACAGCCAGGTCTCAAGATGATTATAAAGGTTAATCAAGACAATATATGCAGAATATAGTAGTACTTAATAAGTGATCATTCTTTCCCCAATCCCCTCCCAAGGGTTTACCTACTCACTGTCTGAATGTCCACATTCCTGTTCAAGAGAAAATGTTTATTTTTAGAACTCTTTTTTAACACTTTCTTAAATAACCCATTCAATAGTTAAATTAGGAACTCATGTGAAGTAAGCCATGTGTGGAAGCCAAAGGACAGGGCAGTTTAAGCTTGTTTACCTTTAGAACCTGCAAAGCTAAGAGCTGCCATAATGATGACCATCAATGTAGCAATACACAGTTGCAGTTGGGGTCCTACAGTTTTGCTTAATAATTTATCTTTACTAAATGATTTCATGAATTCTCCTAGTCATATATTTGTAGCTTTCTTTTCTTTTCATTTGCTGTATAAAGGTCAGAACCTTGTTTCTACTTTAATTCTGCTCATTCTAACAGTTTTATGTAGCAAACATCCTCAATTCTGCACACAAATAGAGACATCGTGGTGCAATAGATTTTAACAAGGGATCTGAATTTTGGGAAAATCTTTGTGACTAACTGACAATATGATATTGAACAAGTCTGAATTTTTCTGACTCCCAGTCAGCTCACCTGCCAAATGAAACTTATAGAACCTAACTAACCAGCTCATGAGACTGTTGGGTGGAAAAGTGAAATAATATATGTGTTAGCTCTGTGTGAATTATTAAGTACAGTAGTCAACAAGTACTTGTAGAATAGATAATTTTTTTTAAATGAGTAAGTAAATTACCATGTAACCATGTGTCTTCCCTGATAAAGTATTTTAAGTGGTCAGCTTGGCCTTTGGGAGAAAATCTAAACTCAGTAGAACCATGCCAGTTGGTCCCTCTCTGTTCATCCGTGATCCCTGAAATTTTGTGACTGTGCCCTGCAGCCATGCTGCACCTTCTCACTCTGATCCATCCTGTTTCCATACCTGAGCATATGTTTTTCCTTTGGAAAGCTCCTCCTCTCCCAGGGCCTCCCTGGATTTTCCCCATCTGAAGGCTTCTCCAAGTGATATGGTTTGGCTGCATCCCTACTCAAATCTCATCTTGAATTGTAACTCCCACAATTCTCACATGTCATGGGAAGAACCTGGTGGGGGCCGATTGAATCATGGGGGCAGGCCTTTCTTGTGCTGTTCTCATGATAGTGAATGAGTCTCATGAGATCTGATGGTTTTAAAAATGAGAGTTCCCTGCACAAGCTCTTTTTGCCTGCCCGCCATCCACATAAGACATGACTTGCTCCTCCTTGCCTTCTGCCATGATTGTGAGGCCTCCCCAGCCACGAGGAACTGTGAGTCCAATTAAATATCTTTCTTTTGTAAATGGCCTACTCTTAGGTATGTCTTTATCAGAAGCATGGAAACTGACTAACACTGTAAATTGGTACCAGTAGAGTGGGGCGTTGCTGAAAAGATACCCAAAAATGTGGAAGTGACTTTGAACTGGGTAACAGGCAGAGGTTATAACAGTTTGGAGGGCTCAGAAGAAGACAGGAAAATGTGGGAATGTTTGGAACTTCCTAGAAACTTGCTGAATGGCTTTGCCCAAAATGCTGATAGCAATATGAAATAAAGTGCAGGCTGAGGTGGTCTCAGATGGAGATGAGGAACTTGTTGGGAACTGGAGCAAAGTGACTCTTGTTATGTTTTAGCAAAGAGACTGGTGGCATTTTGCCCCTGCCCTAGGGATTTGTGGAACTTTGAACTTGAGAGAGATGATTTAGGGTATTTGGCAGAAGAAATTTCTAAGCAGCAAAGCGTTCAAGAAGTGACCTGGGTGCTATTAAAGACAGTCAGTTTTATAAGGGAAGCAGAGCATAAAAGATCAGAAAATTTGCAGCCTGACAATGCTGTAGAAAAGAAAATCCCATTTTCTGAGGAGAAATTCAAGCTGGCTGCAGAAATTTTCCTAAGTAACAACCGAATGTTAATGCCTAAGACAATGGGGAAAATATTTCCAGGGCATGTTAGAGGTCAAGGCAGCCCCTCCCATCATAGGCCCAGAGGCCTAGGAGGAAAACATGGTTTCATGGGTCAGGCTCAGGGTCCCTGTGCTGTTTGCAGCCTAGGGACTTGGTGCCCTGTGTCCCAGCCACTCCAGCCATGGCTGAAAGGGGTCAATGTACAGCTCCAGCTGGGGCCTCAAAGAGTGCAAGCCCCAAGCCTTGGCAGCTTCCACATGGTGTTGAGCCTGTGAGTGCACAGAAGTCAAGAATTGGGGTTTGGGAACTTCCACCTAGATTTCAGAAAGTTAATGGAAATGCCTGGATGCCCAGGCAGAAGTTTGCTGCAGGGGTGGGACCTTCATGGAGAACCTCTCCTAGGACAGTGCAGAAAGAAAGTGTGGGGTCAGAGCTCCCACACAGAGTCCCTACTAGGGCACCACCTAGTGGAGCTGTGAGAAAAGGGCCACTGTCCTCCAGACTCCAGAATGGTAGATCCACTGACAACTTGCAACATGTGCCTAGAAAAGCTACAGACAATCAACACTAGCCTGTGAAAGCTGCTAGGAGTGAGGCTGTACCGTGCAGAGCCACTGGGGTGGAGCTGCCCAAGACCATGGGAACCCACCTTTTGCATCAGCGTGACCCAGATGTGAGACATGGAGTCAAAGGAGGTCATTTTGGAGCTTTAAGATTTGACTGCCCTGCTGGATATTGGACTTGCATGGGGCCTGTAGCCCCTTTGTTTTGGCCAATTTCTCCCACTTGGAATGGCTGTATTTACTTAGTGCCTATACCCCCATTGTATCTGGGAAGTAACTAACTTGTTTTTGATTTTACAGGCTCATAGGCAGAAGGCACTTGCCTTGTCTCAGATGAAACATTGGACTGTGGACTTTTGGGTTAATGCTGAAATTAGTTAAGACTTTGGGGGACTGTTGGAAAGGCATGATTGGATTTGAAATGTGAGGACATGAGACTTAGGAGGGGCCAGCAATGGAATGATATGGTTTGGCTGTGTCCCCACCCAAATCTCATCTTAAGTGGTAACTCTAACAATTCCCACATGTCATGGGAGGAACCTGGTGGGAGGTGATTGAATTATGGGGTCAGGTCTTTTCTGAGCTGTTCTCATGACAGTGAATGAGTCTCATGAGGTCTGATGGTTGTAAAAACAGGAGTTGCCTGCACAAGCTCTTTTTGCCTGCTGCCATCCACTTAAGATGTGAATTGCTCCTCCTTGACTTCCTCTATGATTGTGAGGCATCCCCAGCCACATAGAATTGTGAGTCCAATTAAACCTCTTTCTTTTGTAAATTGCCCAGTCTCAGGTATGTCTTTATCAGCACTATGAAAACGGACTCATACACCAAATGAGAGCCTCTACTCCCGTGCACTCATATTACCTTAATGACAGTACTCACCACGCTGCAATTTTTGACTCAAAATTGATCTTCTTGGCATTATATTTTTGACTTCTAAGTGACACAGGGTTGCTATGGATTGGTCAGCTTCTAGAATATTGTATCTAATGCCAGTGAATGGTGATACAATTTTTATTTCTCCATATAAATGGGACAGGTCAGTGCACATGGAGCTGGTATGTATCCCTGTGTTCTTGATTTATTCCACACAAATAAAGAGATAAGTATAGTCCAAAAATTGCTGCCCTAACCTTGAGAAGACCTGGAACTAGGTGGAACTAAAAAATGAGGCAAACTCTTAGAAAAAGTGAAGTGGTCTCCAAACTACTCTGCTCATGCCTCCTATCAGTAAAAAATTATTTAGCATGTACCGCAATATACACTTGTTTATTAACTAAATACTTATATTTATAGACTAATGTTTATACATGCATATTCTAAGCTATATATCTATGTAAATTAAATACCAATGTGTTATATATTTTGTGAAACATGTATGAAAATAGACCTTACTTGAAGATAACAGTATCAATCCATTTCTTAAATATCAAAAAAAAACTTGATTCTGTTTTTCTTTTAGATAAAAAATAGCCAACTTCTGGCGAAACTATGCAGAACAAACATGTGCTTTTATTCCATTTCCTCATAAAGCCCCTGCTAAGTTACTAATTATCAGCAAAGAAATACAAATATATAAATCCACCCAGATACAGAGAATGAAAAGGAGATAGCACACATTTTTAAAAAGCAAACACAGTTTCAAATATGTAAATCAAAACTGTGGTTCACTACTAAACTAGCAGATTACAGAAAAAAAAATCTGGATTTTTGTAGGTTGGAACACAACAAGAATTAAGCGTTTTTGAGATGCAGAATCCTGGAAAGGCTCAGGAATTAGAAATGCCAAATAGTTCTGAAGGCAGCCTCTAAGCAGTGGAGCTAAAAGCAGGAAGATTGGGTGAAAGTCAAACAAGAAGCAATAAATCACCCATACCTATGATTCTACACCTCCCTCCCTGCTCCTTTGCCGTGTATATAATCAATAAAATATTAGTATCCATAATTTGGAGAGAATTCCTACAAATTCTTAAGAAACTCAATAGAAAAAAAAGACAAGAGGCAAGAATGAGCCTTTCACGTAAGAGAAAACATAAATGATGAGTATACTCACTTCACTGGCAATCAAGAAAGTGCAAATCAAGAACAGAATGAGATAATATTTTATACCATTCATTGAGCAAAACTAAGAAGCCTTAATATAACAAGCGTTATTGAGGATATAATTTGGCAAAATTCTTATAAACAGCAAAGTGAGAGCATAATTTAGAAAACAATTTGGCATTATTGTGTGCATTAGATTGGCTATGCTAATAACTATAAAAACCAGCTCCTAAATCTAAGTGACTTAACACAATAAAAGTCTAACATAAGAAGTTTCTAGTCTTTCATGTGAGTGCTCCTAATTAAATGGCTCTCCTCCAACTGGTGGACCTAGAGTTCCAGGCTCTGTCCATCAAATGGTTCTGCTATCTCAGAAAATTGTGCTTCTAGTTTGAAAGATCACGTGAAAGGTTATAGGGCCAGATATGCCTTGAGTTAAATTACTTCCACTCACATTACACTAACCAAAGCTCAGTCACATGATCCTATGCTATTTGCAGACAAGGCTGGAGAATGTAGTCTTCTTGTGTAACCAAAAAAATTGAGATTTGTGAGCACCTGGAAGGTCACTGGCATATCTTGTAAAGTTGAGCATAAATACACCATACATACTGGGAAATGCTCTTTTGGATATGTTGGAGTTACTACTCGGAGACCCCAGAGGGATTCTTGCACATACAAACATACAAGTATGTTGATGAAAGCATTGTTCCTAATAGCAAAACCTGGAAACAACCCAAAAGACCCTGAAAAGTCCAAATACCCACCCATAAAAACTTAGCAACAATCCAAATCAACAAGTAAAGAAATAGCTGGGCACAGTGGCTCACGCCTGTAATCCCAGCACTTTGGGAGGCTGAGAATGGTGATCACCTGAGGTCAGGAGTTTGATCCAGCCTGGTTAACATGGTGAAACCCCATCTCTACTAAAAATACAAAAAATTAGCCAGGAGTGGTGGCACACACCTGTAATCCCAGCTACTCGGGAGGCTGAGGCAGGAGAATTGCTGGAACCTGGGAGGCGGAGGTTGCAGTGAGTCGAGATGGCGCCATTGCACTCCAGCCTGGGCAATAGAGCAAGACTCTATCTCAAAAAATAAATAAATAAAATAAAAATAAAAATAAAATAAAATGAAAGAAAGAAAGAAAGAAAGAAAGAAAGAAAGAAAGAAAGGCTTATTCGCCAAGTGGAATGTTTTATAACAGCAAAATGAATGAACTATAATCATAGACAGTGAAAAAGGTGAGTCTTGTAACAGATGTTGAGCGGAAGAAAAGTGAATCGCCAAAGAGCATCTTCAAATATATTATTTTTAAATAAAACTTAAAACCTAAACAATTCTAAATCAATTTGTGTAAGGGATGTATTAGTGGTTTCTAAAATTATTTTAAAGTGCATAAGAGGATGATAAACACAAAAAGGAGAGAACCTATGGGAAATTCCAACACAACCAGGAATACTCTAGTTATGAGTTGTTATGAAGGTTCATGGGTAACCATATTATTACTATAACGTTTAACTCATATATATTCTAAACTTAGGAGGAAAGTCTCTATTTGCTTAGAAGTCATGCTTATTTGCTAACTTGTTATGTTTCTATCTTTAAGTAGGGAGAAACATGAAGAGGAAGACAATAGAGTTTGGATGAGCTGCTGCCCAGAGCCCTTTGTTTCTGTCCTCAGGTAAAAATATCCTCTAGACCTGATTCCCATTGGATGGCAGCCTTGTGGACCCTGCAGAGATGTCACCGTAGAGAACCTTCTGTCAGCTACCCCCAGTCACTAAAGGAAGGATAGAAGGATCTGTGACCTGGAAGTTTAGGACTTTGCAGAATGTAACTTTTAGGATGAAGGCTGGAAACAGTGCAAATAATATCTGGACACTGTTTCACACTCTGTTCGTTGCAAAAAACGGCATTTAAAACCCTCCCTTTGATGTGATGAGATTTGCATTGCACTGACATTTAAAAAAAAAAATCAGAGTACGGCCTGGCATAGAGAGAAAAGCAAACTCCAATATGACAGATCCTAAGACTAATGCACTTAAAGCAATAACTGGAATCATAAGTGCATTTAATACATGTTTGTTGCTATTGTAATTATATTAATATTTACTATACATATATGACATATATGTATGTGTAAGTATACATATGAAAATATGTATTTATTCAAGGCTTTCATTATATACAGACAACAGACTCTCTTCTAATCATGGGATAGGCATAAACTCTAGTCTCCCCATCATAGTACTTTCGACCCTCATTCTCTTACTGCTCTATCATGCTGTCTTCACCTTTGTCTTGAGCATCATTTCCTGTTTAACAGCATCCTTTTCATGCTGATTACAACAGTTTGCATACCTTCTTCCTTTTCTCAGTTTCATTTTTTAAAATGTAAGCGTTTCTATTAGAAGAAGAAACATTCACTATCTCCATAATTTGGAGGTTAACCAGTTATTTCCTATTTCTGTATTTTTTTTGCCACTGTATTTGCATAGAGCTTAAAAATAAAAACAGAACCTTGGGAGTCATTGTGTTGCGATTTGTAAAGAAAGACTTAGTTGCTGATAAGACTACTCAGCAACAACATATGGAGAGACGAAAGTAGTTAAATATAATGTCGCCTGGTGTCCCTTCAAAGCCTATGGTCTTGCCAGCTCCTTGAGAATAATGACTGTATTGTTCACCTTCATATTTCAGGTCTCTAGAGCACAAAGTTCCTGAAATTTCCACCCAATAAATATTAAATAAATTTGTGAATTAATAAGCAAAGAATGGATCTTTAAAAAGAAATCATTTCCTTAAGTTTGATGGAAGATACAAATAGTCTATCCCAGGCTTGGGAAGAGAATAGTGTCTCACCCACCTCACTTCATGATGTTCCCCATAAGGATTAAGGAAGGGGACCCTACTTGCAGTTGAATACACCAAAAGGCATTGAATATATCATTATATGAGATACTCCAATTTGCTTTTGTATACTTGGAATTATTAGAAAGTTCCCTTTTTCCATTATTAACCTATGGAAAATTCCAACATGGCCAGGAATATTCTAATTGTGTGTTGTTTTGAAGATTCATGGGTAACCATATTATTACTACAATTTTTAATTCATATATATTCTAAACTTAGGGGGAAAATCTCTATTTGCTTAGAAGTCATACTTATTTGCTAACTTATTTTGTTTCTATCTATAAGAACAGAGAAACATGAGGAGGGAGACAACAGAGGCAGAATGAGCTGCTACCCAAAGCCCTTTGTTTCTGTCCTCAGGTAAAAATATTTCCTGGACCTGATTCTCGTTGGATGGAAGTCTTGTGGACCCTATAGAGATTTGGCCATAGGAGTAACACTTAACCATCTGCTGTGGTGGAAAGAACACTCACTGTAGGGTCACTCTAGCCTGGATTCTAATCTCAGTTCTTTATTTATCAGGTGAGTGCCTATAGATAAGTTACTTTGACTCTCAGAGCCTGAGATTCTGTATCTATACAATGGGGGAAGTAATGCCTGCCATAATGAAAAGCTTATATAAGATAATCAGGAAGTTCCTGGTTTAAGGACGAAGCTGAATGTATGTCATTCCCCCTAAATTTGCGCCCATTTGCTCTGGTTCAAGCTTACTATCCAACAGTGAATATGTTCTCTCGCTTTTCCAAATGATAGCCGCTCTATTAAGTACAACCATACTGTCACCATTTATGATTTACTCCAAACACAATGGACCAGGTTCCTTCAAATGTCAGTAATACGGCGTAGTTCATGATCCTTTGGTGATGACATCATAGAAGGCAAATATGACTCCACAGCAAATAAGTGAAGTGAGCCTGACAGGCTTCATCTGTATTTCTTTAGGGAGAAACAGGGCTTTAGGAATGAAGTATGGCTTCTCATTGTCCACATGATGCTTGGTCAGCAGAGGGCTAGGCCTCTCAGGTCATTCCTGTACCCTAGGGATCCATGGGGGGAAAAGTGACCCTCTCCATGTACTTCTGAGGTCATGAAGGTCATTCAGCCAGTTGCAAGAAGAACTGGAGCTAGAAGCCAACCCCACTCCCACTTCCTACCGTATCTTCTTTCTACCTGCTCCTTCCCTATCCTCCCTCTTGCCTATGGCAGACACTGTGCTTTTAAGGTACAGTCAGTTTTAAGTCTAAAAATGAGAAGTTGTTTTTACACAGTCTTGCTATAATTAAGTCATCAGCACAACTCATGAAAACATAACAGTGCCTTTTTAATTAGTGTCTTGAATGTGAATGAATGGTTCATTATTCTTTCCCATCTCAAGCTGAGATCATTATTAAAGTCTGAAGAAATAATAAATAGCCAGACAGGGAAATTCAGAACTGCTTGGTGAGGGTCACTTTTCCCCCTGGGTCCCCAGAATACAGAAATGACCTGTGAGGCCTGGTGTCTGACCAAGCAGCATGTGGACAATGAGAAGCCAAAGAAAGCTCCTAACATTTGGGCTCGGGTCACCCTCAGAGCAAAGGCATACCATTGAAAGAATAAGGAGACTTTCTAAAAAGACTCACCTGGTTCTCCTTTGAGGTTTATTGGATTTAGATAAATAAGCAATCCTATTTAAGTCCAATATGTTGATTCTGGGCCAGAGAAGTCAGAGTTGTCTTTTATGTGTCTACTCTACAAAAATGTGTTGAGAACATACCGTGTACCAGTTCCTGTGCTCAGTGCTGGGATCCAAGATAACTAAGATGCAGTCCTTGACTTCAAATATGAGATTCTGTTATATGTGAATAATGATTGCAGTACTCTAGGACACACCCATTCAGGAAGGCTGTTTGGCTGTTGTCCTGATATATACAAAGGTCTTGCCAAGGAGCTGATGTTTAAAAAACTAGGTCTTGAAAATTGAGTGAGTAGCTGTGCCCCTTCCTCTACAAAATGTTATATAGCAGAACTTTTTCCTACAGCCCTCTACATATTTCATGACACCTGCTAGACAGAACCTGCCATATAACCATTTAAAGAAATAAAGGAAGTGATTTTAATTTCAACTGCATTTATTGAGCACCTTTTTGGCAAGACACAGAGGGGGTTATAAAAGATACAGTTTCTGAGTGTCAGCCTATAATTGGTGGCCATTGTTCTCTATATAAAGAGGTCAAACTGTAATGATTACCACATTCTGTGATTAACCGAGAGATGGCCTAGTCCCAATTATAAAACTAATTTGGGAAGGAGTCTTTCCCTCCTGGCGTCTCATCTGTAAAAATGAAGAGGTCAAACACAGAGGCCTGAAGCTTCCCGTGCTGTGAGTCTATGATGTTATGATTTCTGTGAAATATGCTTCTGCCTTTGAAACACAGTCCCAGAATGATTCTACCCTCAAGGACAGCATCGAAAACTCAGCTAAATGCTGGGGTATCTGATGGTCAAGAAGAAAATCCATTATCCCAGAACATTCAAGGAGAATTGAAAAATTTCATACCAAATGTAGCCCACAACCTTGCTTGTCATGGTAAGAAGACAGAGACAGAAGTGTGTGCAGGCCCAGGGAGCTGGGTTGTAAGTGGAGGCGCATTAGCTGAATGAAGTGATGGCAAGGAGCAGGCACGCATAAATATTCCATGACACCCAGTTGATTTATCAGAATGAGTTCCAGCCCTCATTTGTGAAACCAGCAATGAGTCTTTTGGTTGTTCTTTGGCCGCTGCCATCCACTATGCTCTGCCTATGGCTGAAGTTCTTCTGCTCCACCAAAAAAATCATCCCCAATCTACTCTCCCTTAACACTACCAAGCTACTGAAGTTTTCCAGCATTTGGCTTATGAAATATTCACACCAAGTGTAGCAGGACACTTGAGAAAATGGAGGCAATGGAAATTGAGAGAGGTGATGTATGAAACAGCAACAGTGCTCAAAATGGAATGCCAGATTTTCCTAACACTTGAGTCTGGACTCTTTTCATTTAGAATGCTTCTCAACTTTGTCAAGTTATGGCACACACAAAAAATGTTAACATTTGTCTGGCACAATGGAATTAATAGATGGGACTCCCTGAAACTGGACAAGATACACGCTGAAGTTCCCAGGTATCCCACCCCAAGGACTAAAGGAATAGCTTAGCACCGTTATGGTATTAGTCAATTTATGCCAGCTGTTGTAACAACCAAAATCTCAGTGGATTAACACAAGCAAGGTTTATTTCTTATTTGGGTCATTGTCTAACTAGGCATTCCAAGTAGCAAGTGGTTTTCTAAATAGTGGTTCCGGGATCACAGCTCCTTCTATCTGTGGCTCTCCCATCCTCTACACTCTCCTGAGAATCCTCCATTGTTTGATTTATATACAGCCTGCTGATAAGCCAAGAGACAGAAGGAGGAGAATCATAGGACATCTTATGACAGTCAGGCATCCACCACTGTCTCCTGTATCCCATTGAGCAGATAGCAGCCACATGGTCCGTATGGCAAAAGATCCTAGTGCCCCTGACTATCCAGAGCAGAATGGGGTGGCTGAGCATCTTCCCATTATCTGTCACAGGCTTAGCCAGGCTCTTCCTTTGACCTTAGGTCCCCAAAGTGTGCTCCATGATTAGCAGCCCTGGCAGCACCTGGGGCCTTTTCAGAACTACAGAAGCTCAGGCCCTAGCTTAGGGCTGTGCATTTCAGTAAGATCCCTAGGTCATCTTGTTTTGAGAAATATTGCACCAGACCACTCACCCATCTAGTGACCATCAAAACTGCCAAACCCATCAAAACAGCAAAGAATTTTAATCAGTAAGTTTTCTATGGCCATGAACTCCCAACTCAAAATTATGTGGATACATAAAGAAAGGCACCTATCTTGCAAGAGCATCAATATTTATTAATCATGTATTTAGTGTCAAATACAAAACCAGAAACATCACACACATTATCTCATTTAAGGACTACCATAATCCTGGCCGGGCACAGTGGCTCAGGCCTGTAATCTCAGCACTTTGGGAGGCTGAGGTAGGCAGATCACCTGAGGCCAGGAGTTCGAGACCAGCCTGGCCAACATGTTGAAACCCCATTTCTACTAAAAATACAAAAAATTAGCCGGGTGTGGTGGTGGGTGCCTGTAATCCCAGTTACTTGGGAGGCTGAGGCAGGAGAATCACTTGAACCTGGGAGGCGGAGACTGAAGTGAGCCGAGATTGTGCCATTGCATTCCAGCCTTGGCAACAAGAGCAAAACTCCGTCTCAAAGGGGGGGAAAAGAAAACAACCTACCACAATCCTGAGGGAGGAGTCATGATCTTTGCTAAAGAAAAGTGAGGAAAAAGTAAGTTTGATATGTAAAGAAACTTACCCAAGACCCCCCTGCTGGTTAGTGAGACAGTGAGACCAGAATTCAGAGCTACATGTTTCTAGTCTGGGACTTTCGGTGTTCTGCCGTGCAGTAGTTTAGCTGCATTTCAAGCTCAGTCTTTAGACAATGGCCCAGTCGATAATAACTTGAAAAGGGCTCTAGAATTATGTAATTTGGAGAAGAAAATGAAATGCTCAACAGAAGCTTAAAACATGCACATTTAAAAATTTTAAATTATTCCATGTAAAAAAGATTTTCTTGAAGTTAGATTAAAAAGAGATCTTACAGGCTGTTCCAGTTAATTTTAACCTCAGTGAGAAATGTCACATTTCCCATGCACATTTGATTAGGCATCCGGGAGTGTCAGGACATCCTGTCCCATGGTGGATTTCTGTGAGAATTATATGGTCTATGGAAATAATTATAAAACAAAGTCTCATCTCAATGTGAACAAGAGGAAGAAAATAAACCTCTAATATTCTGATATTCCAAGGACATGGCAAACCAAGATGCACTCTGAGCTCTGAAATGCCCTTTCATCCTTACACTTCTCCTATTTAGTAATACTTGTTAACTCCTGTGGTAATTGTTTGCATCTCACTGGGGATATGTTTGAATTTATTATGATCTCGACAGGCAGAGAATTTCTCATCGTGTTGACCAGTAGTTCTCAAAGGTAAGTGAGCATGAGGATACTGGGAAAGACTATGCACATGTATATTCCTGAGCCCCATCCCCAGAAATTCTGACTCAGCACATGTGGACTGGCACTCAGGAATCTAAATGCTAAAAATGCAGCCTAGGTGATATTCCTGCAGGTGGTCCATGGACGTCACTTTGAAAAATAAGAATGTCTTTTGCAGCATTGCAGTCATTCATTTGCAGTCTGCTCACTCCTTTCTGTCATTATGGTAGGACCCCATTTCTCATTCTCTTACTTCTTAATGATCAGCTCCTTGCCTAGAATCTCAGGACACAATTATTTTAATCTATAATTCTCAATAAACATTTGCTTAATGAAGGAAAATAAGTGTATAAAATAAAGAAGGTGAAGTAGATGAATGAATAAAAGAATGAATATCAAGTACAATGGGCTTCACTGCAGCATGTTGTAAGGTACTGCCCCTGTCTGTCGTAACCTACTGGGGATTGAACCGACATATTTTTCTGTTTCTGTGCTAAATAATTCTGGGACAAAGCATATTTTCCTGTTTTGTGCCAGGCAATATTGAGATCAAACAAAAATAATTTGTCTTCATTTCCAAAAAATATCTTCTCTTAAAAAATAAGGCTATGTCTTAATTGATCAGCTTACGTATCAGGGCTAACAGCATCAATACGCACATCAACACCCTCACCTGCTTTGCCATGCACAGAAATCAAGTGTTCACATTATAAACTCTGCTCAATCTTAACTAGTTCCCCACCTTGCAACCAGTTCCCTACCACTCAAGAGATAGTGAAGACTGAAACCACAGTAGAAGTCACCTACTTTGAAATACTACTAATCCACTCTCTTCATTTCTTATTTTGAAGATACTATGAGACTGTTGAGGTGACGTCGCAAGAACAAAAAACCAAACACCGCATATTCTCACTCATAGGTGGGGATTGAACAATGAGAACACATGGACACAGGAAGGGGAACATCACACTCTGGGGACTGTTGTGGGGTGGGGGGAGAGGGGAGATACACCTAATGCTAAATGACGAGTTAATGGGTGCAGCACACCAGCATGGCACATGTATACATAGGCAACTAACCTGCACATTGTGCACATGTACTCTAAAACTTAAAGTATAATAATAATAAAACAAAATAAAATAAAATAAAAAATCATCTTAATAAGCTTAACCTTCCTTGATCAGAAAGTTTTCTGGGGAGTCAACAACAAATACTACAAAGCCTCTTAGCACAGAACTATATAAAACCCAGCACACCATGAGCCTTCAATCATTGCTCTAGACTGGACCAAGAACCCTGACTTATGTTATATTACTATGAGTAACCCTATAATGTGTAATATATAATATTACTCTGGTAATCCTCTAATAATAACATATAACATGTATTTATAATATATTTATATTTATAATATGCTCTATATTATAGGGTTATCCAGAATGATTTTCAAGCCAACCCCTTCTGGGTTGCCTGGGTTGGAGAAAACAGAAAGACGGAACATTTTGTATTCATTCATACATTTATTTGTGCATTCATTTGACAAATATTTATTGGAGAATTATATTGAGCTGGGCACTAGGGATAAAATGCTATGCATTCGCTGTCTAGCAGAGGAGATAGCTATGTAAACTGATCAGTGTAATGATGTGTCACAAGGGCTGTGATGAGTCTATTGGGAATGGTAGGAACATGAAAAACAGAGTGGTCTGTTCTACCTGGAGAGGGAGGGAGTACCACTTTGTGCATAATGGACTTGATGCTTGAGCTGAGATTTGTAAGATTAGGTAAGATTAGATATTACTAAGAAGATGAGGTAAGATAAACATCACAGAAGACAGAAGGAGCAAAGTTCCGGAGGCATAAAGAGGCTGGGGTCAATGGAGTTATAAGTATTTTGTCTTTTCTGGAACACAGAATTTGAAAAATAAGTATGGAAATGTTAGTAAGGGCCAGCGAGATAACAAAATGCCTTATCTCGAAAGGGTATTTGACTTGATAAAACACTGAAGGGTTTTTATTAAGATAATGACAGGACAAGACTTATATTGTAGAAAATTCCTTCTGGTGACAGAGTAGAAAGTGAACTGGGAGGCAAAATGACACTGGACCCAAGGAGAGTAGTTGGTAAGCCATTACATTTGTCCCATCAAGAGATAGTGAAGGTTGCAACCAAGGTGTTGTAGATTGAACAATCTCTCCCGAGAAGATAAGTTCACCTCCTAACCAGTATATGTGAACACAATCTTATTTGGAAATAGGGTCTTTGCAGATGTAATCAAGTTAAGATGAGGTCATAACTAACAATGGTGTGCTCCAGTCCCTGGAGTCCTTAGAAGAAGAGGAAAATTTGGACACAAAGACATACAGAGGGAGAAGATCATGTGACAGTGGTGGTAGAGATTGGAGTGATGTGTCTGCAGGCTAAAGAACACCCAGAATAATTACCAGCAACTACCAGAAGCTATGAAGAGAGAAGGAAGAGCCTTCTGAGAGAGCGGGGTCCTGGCCACATCTCAGTTTCAGATTAGAACAGTAAGAGAATAAATTACTGTTTTTGGTTTTGTTTTGTTTTGTTGAGACAGAGTCTCACTCTGTCACCAGGCTGGAGTGCAGTGGCATGATCTCAGCTCACTGCAACCTTCGCCTCCTGGGTTCAAGTGATTCTCCTGCCTCAGCCTCCCAAGTAGCTGGGACTACAGGCACCTGCCACCATGTCTGGGTAATTTTTTGTATTTTTAGTAGAGACGGGGTTTCACCATGTTGGCCAGGATGGTCTCAATCTCTTGACCTCGTGATCCACCTGCCTCGGCCTCCCAAAATGGTGGGATTACAGGCATGAGCCACTGCGCCTGGCCAAGAATAAATTTCTGTTGTTTTAGGCCATGTAGTTTATATTATTATAGCAGCCCTAGAAAATTAATATAAAAGCAAATTGTAGTAGAGAGTGGGATAGGGGGAAAAACAAACTATGGTTAGGGAATAGAAACTTTAGGGCTCAGAGAAGACTGAAAATGGGATTTAGGAAACATGGCGGGGGGGGTCAAGGTGAACCCAAAGCTCTGTACTTTTTTCAGTGTTGGACACAGTGTATATGAATATCTAAGAGTTTTCCAACTAAAGGAGTCTGACAGGAAAAAGTGCTGGTCTGTGGGCCAGGAAGAAGGGGCAGACTGGAGGGTCCCAAATGTCCACAGGAGAGGGAGCCCATCCCAGGCACAGTGTACAACCTGAGACACCTGCAGAGTACTTTGGAGAGAAAAATGTACACTCTTCAGTACGTGTGCCGTGTAACTCAGGAAACAGATGTTTCTCCTGCCTGTCCTTCAATCCGAGGGCTAATGTGTTTTAATTAAGCCTTGACAAATGTCATTTTATTCAATTGACTGTCTTGTCCACTTGTGTAACATGACTCCCATTCCAACTCTATCTGCTTGTTGTAGCATCATTCTGTCTGTTTTTCTCCCTTAACATTTCTTACTTGGCTCTTCTCCACTTTAGTTCCCTAGCTATTGCCCCAGTTCCAGTTCTCACTACTGATTCGGCCTCCTAATTTTTATTCCCTACCTCTAGTCTTCTCTTTCTTCTTCTTTGAGACAGAGTCTTGCTCTATCACCCAGGCTGGAGTGCAGTGGCGCAATCTCAGCTTACTGCAACCTCCGCCTCCTGGGTTCAAGTAATTCTCCTGCCTCAGTGTCCCAAGTAGCTGGGATTACAGGCACCCACCACCATGCCCAGTTAATTTTTGTATTTTTAGTAGAGACAGAGTTTCACCATTTTGACCAGTCTGGTCTCAAACTCCTGACCTCAGGTTATCTTCACACCTCGGCCTCCGAAAGTGCTGGGATTACAGGCGTGAGCCACTGTGCCTAGCTCCTTCTCTTCTTTTTTCCCCAAATCCATCCTCCAAATGCAGTCCAGAGATTATTTTCTCAAATACAAACCTGATTATGCAGTGACTCTCTAAGACTTCCAGGAGTAAGTCCGACTTCCTTTGCCTGTTGAGTCCTTTGACATCCAAACCCTTTACACTTCTCCAGTCTTTCTCTGAGTGTGTCCTTTAAATTTCTGAATCTCATTATTATCCTGCTACTCACAGCTCTTCAAACTTCACTCTACTGTGATTGTTATTCCTTCTGTCCAGATTGACTTTATCTTTGTTGAACCCCTTACTCATGTCCCTAAGTGTTACCTTCTTTATGAAGCCTACAGAATTCCTAACCCAGTGCAAGAACTGACCACCTTCTCCTTTATACACACGCTGTGAACATGGGGTTTCTCTACAATCCTGGACTATACATATTATGCTTCTGTCTCTCTAGACTACAGTCACAGAAGAGTGTCTGCATCATATTTATCTTTATAGTTGCAGCACCCAGGAAAGTGGCACATAGTAGGACTTAAAAACTAGTGATAAATGAGAACAACAAAACTATTTAAATCCTGCTGGAAGCCTGCTCTCCAAGATAAGTGCATCCAGTGTAAGTCCCCTGAGATTCTCCTATCAGGGCCGGGTGATTTACGAGTTGTATGATTTATCAGGCTCCATGTACCAGGTGTCACCTCTGCATTCAGCTTCACTGATCAAGAAAATGAATTCGATCCTGGATCTCTGTCCTTCCAATAGCAGCTTGCCAGGAGAAGTCGTTAATGTGATACATTATCTTGCCGGCTGTTAATATCATGTACCCGACTTGTTTCCCTTCTTTTAGTTCAGCTGAGCATCAATTTGTGCCATGATATTTACATGAATATCTTCATTTCATCAGTACCATTGTCCATCTGTTTGGCTGAGGGCTGAATTACAGAGCTGTGGCCAGGAATGGAGGCATTAGGCAGTCTAAATGCTAACTTCTCCCAAGAGAGAAGGGCAGTCCCGTTTTCAGTTTTCCTGCCCCTGCTTGCTGCTGAAATGCAGCCTAGCAGACATAGAGCAGGAATTAGAAAAATCATCCTTTAACAGAAAGTTAGAAAATGATGAGGGGCCGGGTGCAGTGGCTCACGCCTATAATCCCAGCACTTTGGGAGGCTGAGGTGGGTGGATCACCTGAGGTCAGGAGTTCGAGACCAGCCTGGCCAACATGGTAAAACCCCATCTCTACTACAAATACGTAAATTAGCCAGGTATGTTGGCAGGCACCTGTAATCCCAGCTACTCGGGAGGCTAAGGCAGGAGAATCACTTGAACTTGGGAGGTGGAGGTTGCAGTGAGCCAAGATCTCGCCATTGCACTCCAGCCTGGGTGACAGAGTAAGACTTCATCTCAAAAAAAAAAAAAAAAAAAAAGAAAGAAAATGATGAGGTAATTTGTCTTCTCTAAGATAGAGGCTATGCCATGAAAGCTGAGTGCAGAACGTGAAGGAAGCACCCTGGCCTCCTTAGCTGAGTCCCTAGTCTGCAATCCCAGATCTAACAAATACACATTATTCACTCATTTAAACATAGTTAACATGAGCTTACTACAAGCCAGACACAGTGGACTATGAATTCAAAATAATCTCTGAATTTATGACTCTTCCATTCCATCAAGTCAACAAATATGTCTTGTACACCTACTGTATACCAAGCACTATGCTAAGTCCTGGGGATGAAGCATTGATTAAACCAAGGACATGCTCTGAAAGACTCAGAAGGTGACGTTTGACAACCACATTTGGAAAAACAGCTTTCCACGCAGAAAAGAATGGCTCTTGCAAAAGGCTCCAGGACAGAAATGAGTCTGACACATTCAAGGCACAGAGAAAAGGTGGAGTGGTGTGAGTGAGCAGCGGGAGTGGAGGTGGGGGTTGCGGACAGAATCTAAGGGATGGCAGTGGCCATGGCAAGCCTTGGATCTTACTCTACATGTGATGAGAAGACATTGAAGAGTTTTAAGAGAAGCGCTGCCATCACGTGTATTACTTTTTAAACAGATCATTTAGTCAACCCCCCTCGTGGAGAATGGGCTGCAGAGGAACAAGGCTGGAGGGAAACCAGTTAGAACTATTTCATTTGTCAAGATGAGAAATAAGGTAGCTGGAACGGGGGTTGTTGCAGGGAATATGGTAAGAAGTGATTGAATTGGGATGTATTTTGCAGTAAAGGGGCCAGGACTTCCTAATGGAAGAGAATGGGTTATGTGTGAAAGACAGAACAAAGCTAACTCTGAGGTTTGTGGCGTGAGCAACTTTGTGGATGGCAGCACCATCTTTAAGGTAGGGAAGTCTTGGGAGTGGGGAGCAGATTTGGAAAGGAAAATCAATAGGTCTGTTTCTAACATGTTATGTTTGAGATGCCAATCAGACATCCAAGGGAGGATGCCAAACGTGCTTATGAAAGGCGGAGAGAAGGAGGCAGCCAGGTGAGGACATGGAAACAGAAGTGCAGGGTGGCATAGAGGCATTCATTGCACAGATTGAAACGCAACTCATATTGCTGAGCATCTGCCACGTGTCAGGCATCAGACTTTAACTCTCAAGTGCATTATCTCATTTCACCCACACCACAAGGGAGGTGTGATTTCCTGAATGATGGAGGGCTTCAGAGTGAGAGCACTGCAGTCTACCGCATTTGTACCCCAGTTCTGCTACTTTCTGTCTGTGTGACCTTGAGCAAGTTATTTAACCACTACAGGTCTTTGTTTCCTCATCTGTAAACTGGAAATAGTAATACAACCTTTATGAAGAGTAAAGAGGTAATGTATGTAGACATCAAATTACAGCACATATAAACAATTACCAAATAATAGGCATTATCATTATCATTCTTTATGTTCATTCTGTTGTGGCTTAATTGTGTCCCATAAAAAGATGTGTTCTATTCCTAACTGCCAGCACCTGTGAAGGTGAACTTAGGGAAATATGGTCTTTGCAGAGGCAATCAAATTAAGATGAAGCCATACTGGATATGAGTGACTCCTAATCCAATGACTGCTGTCCTTAAAAGAAGAGGGAAATTTGGGAAGGGCAAGGTGGCTCACACTTGTAATCCCAGCACTTTGGGAGGCTGAGGCGGGCAGATCACGAGGTCAGGAGATCGAGACCATCCTGGCTAACTTGGTGAAACCCCATCTACTAAAAATACAAAAAATTAGCCGGGCATGGTGGCGGATGCCTGTAGTCTCAACTACTTGGGAGGCTGAGGCAGGAGAATGGTGTGAACCCGGGAGGCAGAGGTTGCAGTGAGCTGAGATTGTGCCACTGCACTCCAGCCTGGGCAACAGAGCGAGACTCCATCTCAAAAAAAAAAAAAAGAAAAAAAAAGAAAAGGGAAATTTGGACACAGGGAAAGACAGGGAGAATGCCATGTGAAGATGGAGGCATGTTGCCTCAAGCACGGAATGCCAAAGATTGCCAGCAACCAATAGAAGCTAGGAGAGAGACGTGGAATGGATTCTCCCTCAGAGCCTTCAGGAGGCTCCAACCCTGCCAGCACCTTGATTTCAGACATCCAGACTCCAGAACTGTAAGGGAATACATCTCTGTCATTTTAAGGCACCTACTTTGTGGTATTTTATTACAGCAGCCCTGGGAAACTAATACAAGTTCTATTTTATGAAAGAGGAGATGAAAGTTCCAAAGAGGTGACATGGCTCTCCTAAGGTCACCTGGCAAAACGTCGGCATCCCTGAACCCATGTCAGAGAATATGCTTCCCCCACTCAGCACCTGTGAAGGGTCAAGTGCACTATTAGAAACTCAGCTTGCAAATGACTTAGTCATGCCCTACAGGGACCCATAGTCCACGGATGAGACAGGCAGAAAATTGAGCAAAGAGAATGAGATGCTGACACCAAGGTACTAGGAAAGGTCCGTGGGAGTATAGACTGAGGGAGCCATTCTGATTTGTGCAGGGCTCAAGAATTTGACAAGGCAGGTGAAAGAATGGCTGGATGTGGAGCAGCAGATGTAAGGAGGGACCAGTCCCTGTAAGACTTGGGAAAGAGTCAGGACAAGTGGTACTGTTTGCACAAGCTGCCGGCACTGTGCAAAACATAGACAAGCATCATCTCACAAAGACCTCATGCCAGCACTTTGAAGGAGGGTATTATCAGTCATGAATTCAACAGCTAAGAACACTGAAGTTTGAGGGGCTAAGTCACTATCCCCAGATCACATGGTCAGTGCCTATGGACAGAAACTGTAGGAAATTATTGGTCTAAGCCTTCTGCTGTGCTGGTTCTCATCTCAGTTACTAGCTGCCTGACTTTGAAAAGGCAATTACCTTACCCCAGGCTCCTCATCTGCAACCCAGGAATGGCAATAATCATAGTTGATGGTCAGCATGCACATTACCCCTGCAGCAATACCAGTCTAGTGGTCTCAGGTGGGCCTCCTCAATGCTAGTAAGGCCACAGAGACACAAGATCAAGAATGGTTCTTACCAGAATTCTCCCCAGTTCCTTCTGAACATTAATAGTGGACAATGAGGTTGCCGGTCTTTTTGCAGCATCTTTGGGGGGATCAGAGGCAGGAAAGGCCAATTATAAAATATTCTGAGAGTTGGTCACAAACACAAAAAAAAGGATAGAGAAATTGAGTGTTAAGTGTTTCTAACAAAGAGGAACAGATGTAGCAAACTGGGTTCACAGACACACGGCAATTTCATCTCAATTGGATGTTAGCTCTAGCCTGTTTAACAAATACACCTGCTGCCTAAGGAGATCATCAATTCAACTTTAAAATGAGTCACAGAGGGGTGCAGCAAACTAATATAGGTCTAGGTAGTTTTAAAAAGCAGAAGGCAGCTGGCTGAAGTGTGGGAAAATGAGATAGGAGTATAGCGTGGTTGGCTCCACAGATAAGAAGCATGACTTGGATGTGGATCCATGTCATCCCAAGTACTGTCCTTAAACAGAGATGCAATAAGAGACTTTTATTGATTGCTTATCACATGCCTGGAATATTCTAAGCATGGTTACACTACATATTCTGGCTGTCACTCACACCAGAAGGATTTTTAGAACTCTGTGTCCTCGCCTCCTGGGTTATTCAGAATACACTCCAGTAAAGAAGATGTTATTTTTATTTCTATTCTCTATACATTAGGGAAATAAGGCAGAGGAATATTTGGACCCAGGGAATCTTCCTCCCAAGTGTGTGCTCTTAATCACTATTCGACTCAACTTCAAGTCTAGCCCACAGGAAGAACAAAGAGATGAACAGGATTTAAGTCAGCTGTTGGAGGATTCCAAGCTAGGCTTTCCCTCTCGAACATAAAACCGCAGATGTGGGTAGAATCAGGGATAAAAGTGAGCAGAGACTCTAGTAATTCTGCAGAAGCCCCAGGGGCTGCCATGAAGTTTAAAGTTTCCAGCATCAGTAGAACAGCCCTGAGAGCAACTCCAATCCATCCTGCCAAGAGTTTCCGGCACTCTGACCAGTTGTGTACAGTTGGTTGTGGGAGTGGGCCCTGCAGCCTGCATAGGACTGGGCTCACTTCTGCTGGATCTGGGATTTAATGGGAGAGGGAACTCAGAAAGGAAACAGACTGCTGATGCTGTTAAATACATTATTCAGTGTGTTTGTTATGCAGACTATTTGTGCCTACAAAGATTTTGTGGTGCCTTCATCAGATGAAGACCAAAAAGTGAAGAAAATCTAAATATCAGGAAATCAACAGATTCTACAAGATGGTGTTCCCTGTACCTTCTAACAGACAACCTGTATATAGCAAGACTATCATGAGGTGGAGCGCTCATTACGTTTGAGTCAGGGCAGCTGCATGCATGACATATCGGAGGAGATGTTTAGTAACATGGGAAGGAGCAAACCTTGGCACCCCTTGGGAGCCAGACCAGGAAGTGCAGAGGAGGCAGCTCTTGGCCACCACTGTGTTCATGAGCTGTCTCTACCCATGTGACTTTCTTTTTCAACACTGGTATGGACTCTAGAGGCTAACTCTGGAAGCCCTAGAATTGTCCAAATACAAAAGGCTGGAATAAGTCCCCAGTTGTATGATTTTAGCTGAGTTATTTAAACTTTTGAAGCTTCAGTTTTGTCTACTCCAAAATAAGATTAATAATAGTGGGTGCTGTTGCAGGGATTAAATCACATAGTGTACACTAGATACTTAGGGGGGCACTCAATAAGTGGAAAGTAATAACTTTTGTTAATGAATGTTTGCTGTTGCTATTAATGAAGTTCTCTACAAGAAATCTTGTGCTTGTGTGTGTGTGTGTGTGTGTGTGTGTGCATGGTTGCATGGATGTATCACTGATAATAGACCAATATTACAATGTACTGTTGTCTAATTTTCACTGGAAAGCCTTCATGAAGGAAGTAGAATTTAATCTGGGCTTTCAAAGAAAAATTGACATTGATCAGAGAAGAAAAGGGTGAAGGGTTTTCCAGACAGAGACACCTGCATAGACAAAGCACAAAATTGCCTGATATATGGTAACCCATGGAGCCTGACACCTCTGTGAGGGAATTGCCTTAGCCTCTGGCTGTCTTAGAAGTGATGCTTTCTTTTCTAAATGACAGAATAAAGGCTCAGCAGGTGCCACATTTTATATCTCTATTTGAGAAACTCCAGTTTATCTCTTCTGACCACAGCAGTTCAGTCCAAATGGCCACATCATGGACACCCACAACCAAGTCTAATCTGTGTCCCTCCCTGGTGCCCAGATAGATCAGGCTGTAAGAAACCTTCTGGAAAAAAAAAAAACAATTCTGAAGGAAAAACTCTTGACCTTGATCTGCAAACACCTGGGTCACAGTGACGAAGTACGATTTGGGGAACAGCTGGCACCTCCACTTCCTCTCTGAATGTTAAACTTCAACTACTCCTTCAGGCTCCAGATTCAGAGTGCCCCAATTACAGAGATGACTGAAAGTAAAACCGATGTGCGGCATTGGGAGGGTGCTGTGTATGTCCATGCACCAGGACTACTAGAAAGTGGGAGGAGTCTCCTCTGCTCCCACACAGAACGAAGTGTGGCTTCAGGACAGTGGAACATCCAGAACAATCTGAAATATACTCAGGGAGGCACCAAGAAACTAGCATTATTAGGGGAAAAAAAGGACAAAAGCCAAGCACCAGCCCAGCATCTCTAGGGACAGTAGCAGGCACACCAGCAGGGACTAAGCAATGCCAGCAGCCAGCAAGGGTGCAGCAGAGACAGCAGCCCTCCAGGAGCACCAGGAGCACCAACTGGCAGCAGGCACCATGGTGATGTTATAGGATCTTTGGGGTATTGTTTTTCTGGCCAGAAACCCATGGCCAGAGGCATCTTTGCCCAAGTTTTGCTCAGGCCCATTTGGGCTTGTTTTGACCACTTGGCTTGGCAGGCTGTGCTTGGCTCATGCTACTGGCCTGGGTCTCATGCCTCCCAAGAGAAAGTCAAGCATGGAATGGCGTGGGGAATGTGAGTGAGCATGGGGCCCAGCCACTGTGCACAGTCAGACATGCCAGCTGCTGCAGCAGGGCAGGCAGCTCCAGGTGCCAGCATGGATGCCGGCTCTGTGAGGCTGCAGCTGGACCAGGTGCACCACAAGCAGCTTCCATGACTGGAACAAGTGGTGCCTGGAAGCTTGCAGATGCCAGGAACCACAGGCCCTCAAAGAGGGAGTCACAGCCCTGGATCCAGGAGCTCCCAGGTCTTGGAGGGGCACAGTTTTTTTTTTTCCTTATCTTCACCCACAATGTGGTGAGCAAGGGGCATGTCTCAGCCCTGTTTGTGACACAGCTCTTTTAACCTCACCATTTGGTGAATCCCAAGTTCTTGTCCTGTGGCCAGGAAGAATGACGTATGCAGACAAATTAAGGGAGAGCAAGACAATGAGGAGCTTTATTGAACAATAGAAAAGCTCAGAGGACACCCTCAGGGGAAGCTCCTTTCCACAGCCAGGGCATGCCAATGAGTGTTTAGCTCCTAGAAGAGAGGTTATCTCCTCTCTGCTAGGCAATTTGTCCCAACAGGTGTCCAGCTATCAGCAGATAGGGTAGCTGCTCCTCTCTGAAGCTGATCATCCCATTGTCTGCACAACTCTCAGCAGAGAGGAGGCCCTGGAGTGGGTTGCTCCTCTCTGCAGTTGATCATTCTGACTTCTGCTCAGCTCTGGCTGAGCCCGGGGCTTTTATGGGCCTCAGAGGGGAGGAAGAGCACATCCATTTGTCCATGGTTGGCTATGAGTGGGCCCAGAAAAGACACCTCAAGTTCCTACTTTGATCTGTGGGACTGGCAGCATGGCCCCCAGCTTTCAGGTCCTCCCTGGCCTGAAGGTTGGGCTTCACCAGGAAACCTCCCACTTCTGCCCAGGAACCTGTCTGCCTTCTGCTGCTATTTATGGTGCCCAGGCTGTAGGTGCCAAGGGATGCCTGTGGGCTGGTGCTGAACTGCCATCAGCTCCCCCTAGGGTTCCCTCCTATGCTTTTTGGTGCCCAAAGTCCAGAGGGGGCCAAGGTGGCAGGGTGCTGGCATGTCAGCATTGCCCTGAGCATGTATGTACCCAGCCGGGCCATGACAGTGCCCAGGCGTGGCCCCCACTTTGCTCCAAGGTCAGAGCCAGTGCCAATAGCAGGGAGAAGCCAGACAGCAGGAGCAGGTACTTCTAAGCCTGCAAGAGTGGGGGTGCCTTCCAGGGCCCCCAAGAGTGCAGAGATGCCTGAGTCTTTAGCCACAGTCTGGATGGCTGCAGCTGTGCCAGTGGGGCAGGGCTTCTGCCTGCTCTATGGAGCAGGAGGCCCAAGTCTGCAGCTGTGGTTTGGGCAGCTGCAACTATACCCAGGAGGGTGGGGTTCCTGCCTGCTCCCAGGCCCCAAGAGCACAAGGATGCCCAGGTCTGCAGCCATGGCTTGGGCAGCGGCAGCAACACCCAGGGAGTTCCCTCCCCAACTCAGAAGGGTGGGGCTCCCGCTTATCACCAGCTTCTGCCAGCTCCCACCGGCTCCATGGAGCATGCAGCTCTGACTGTGTCTCTCTGCTGCAGCTGAAGTAATGGCAGTGGTTGCTCCAGATGGCCTGCCACTGCCATCAGTGAGAAGCTCGCTGGGCTCAGTGGACACTGGAGGGCCCAGCAGTAGGTGTGGCCAGAGGAGAGAAACTGGCAATACCAGTGGTATTTGAGGACTTAGTCCTTCCTTTGGGTATTCTGAATAACCCAGGAGGTGAGGACACAGAGTTCTAAAAATCCTTCTGGTGTGAGTGACAGCCAGAATATGAGTAATTATTGTTATTTATTAATATTATTTAATAATGAAGAAGAATATTCTCATCCATTTACTTATTCAACAAATGCTCATTGAGCATCCACCAGTGCCAGACACTATGCTGAGCACTGGGAACATGTTGGTGGATGAAAGAGACACAACCCTTTCCTTCATTAATGTACAGACCAGTGGGAAAGACAGACACTAACCAAAAAAAAAAAAAAAAAAAAAAAAAAAAACAAAGAAATGAGCAACTAATCACAAATAGATGATGTCAAGTTACAGAAAAATTAACCAAGATGTGCAAGATGTGGTAATGGAGAATAAAGAAGAAGGGGTGTCTACTTAGACTGAATGGAGAGGATCTATCCAAAAGGCGACATTTTAGATTAATTATGAAACACTGAAAAGCAGCCATCATGAAAACCTCAGGGGAAAGAGAATTCCAGGAGGCCTTCAGGTGGGAAAGATGCATTTCAGGATTGCCAACATGGCTGGCAACAGGGAGTGGCCATTTTACCTACAGGCTGGTATAACCTAGAGAAGAAAAGAATGCAATGAAATACTAACAATGTCCCTCTAATAACAATGGCAACTCCCACTTATGCAGTCCTTTCTGTTTCACAATGCATTTCCTATTTACTTTTTCAGTTCCCAGTCCACACTCCTGTAAATGATAAAGCCAAGGCTAATGTATCCATTCATATGAGACAACTGAGGGCTGTAAAATGTGACTTACCCAAAACATAATGGTGGAGATGCCAGGCAGTTGACTTGGGTCTCTAAAATTTCAGTCCTTACTCTTCCCCAAGTCTTGTTGCCTTGACTCACTGGGGTCATAATTTGATGACACAGGTCCCACATTTTAATCCTTGCCTTCAATAAGTCATGGGATGCCCATGCAAGCCACAGCTCCTTGGTGGAGACTCTTACCTCTGGACAAACAGGACCTGTGAAAAGCTCCTGTCTCCTACTCTGGATACTTCCTGTAAACAGGACTCATTTTCAGTGTGACTCTAATAATCAAGAAAATAAATTAGATCCCAGAATCTCTCTCACTTTGGATAATAGCTCGTTCCAGGAAGTCATTAATGCAGTAAATCAAACTCACAACTGTTGACACCATGAAAGCACATTGTTTACCTTCCTTTGATTCAGCTGAGTATCAATTAGCTCAGTGATATTTACATAAATATCTCGATTTAGAGGGTGGAATTGTCCATCTGCTTCTGGAAAGATTTAATTAGGTCTGTGTTGCTAGAGAAGAAATTAATCCTTTTCAACATTAACCTTTTCAACTAATATATGTTTTGCGTGTATTGTGTAACATGCCTTGTTATGTAAATTGGACAAACTGAAATATTTCAGGCTGGTGAAATGATGTCTTTTAAACTGAAAATATATCTCTCTTTCCAAATCTTGAATGCAAGTGCATCGTTTTGTGCTTTCATATATACAGTCCTTCTTGGTGAGGGTTCTTTCAATCCAACGTCTTGAAGGCTTGTCTTCAACGTTGTATATGCTCTCCAGTCTGCAGAGGATATTGGTGGCATTCTCTGAACCTCACTCCTGCTGGGCCTCTCACCTTCACATTTTCTTCCTCGAGCTGTGAGTCTTTCCTGGGATCCCTGAGTAAGATCAGGACCCCACGTCATTTGTGTCCTTTTCCATAAGGGAACTCCTCACTTGAAGTGGCTCTTTTATGTGTGTCTTACCCACAGAAGTGACCACTCTAGGAATATAAAGATCGTGGATTCCTTGTCTGCTGCCATTTGCCTTGTGCCTAGCAAATTGCACATTTCATAAAAGACTCTCACTAAATGTATGTTGAAGGAATGAATGAGCAAAACCAGAATCATCAGGTAACAGTTTCACTGTGATCTTACAGCTCACCACCCAGCTCACAGAAGCAAACATTTTGTTAAAGGTATGGATATTATTAATACAAAAGTCAAAATGGGTTTAAATGTAAAGCATCCTCCCTTCCTTTTATCTACACTGACATGAACAGGTGCTCCTGCTTCCAGATTATCCCCTTTCATGAACCCTGTACAGCCAGGTGAGCTCACTGAGGACTCTTATTTTGCTCAATCCAAGCCCTGCAAGGTCTTACTGTTCAAGAAAAAGGTCTCTTCATCTTCATTGCTTGAAATCTTCATCTCTTCTCCGTTGTCTATGATCAAGTGTTTCTCACTTCTTAGAAGCTTTCCATGAGATCCAAATGTTTTCATATAACTTCTCAAAAGCCTCCACTCAATCCAAGGTAGGTAGGATACTCGTAATAATCATAGTCACCACTTATCAGATCCCTACTCTATACCAGGCACTTCTCTGGATCCTTCCTACATAAATCCCTAAGCTTACAAAACACTGAAATTTAGGCATCACTGCCCATGTTTCCAGGTGGCAAAACAAAGACTAAGAGAGGAATGTGATTGCCCAGTCACACAGCAAGTAGGGTAGAGCCTGGATTTTTAAACTCAGATCTATCTACCTCAACAGCCTTTGTCTGCCCTTAGAGCATCCTGTCTTCAGGGTCCCTGCGAACCAAAGCACCAGTGCTGAGTAAAGCATTAGGTCTTCGGTTACAACTCTGTTAACCCAACTGACCAGGATTAAAATGGCTCAGAATAGGTGATCTCAAAAGATGTGACTCTGTTTGCATCATTGCCTCTATAATAAATCAACCCTCTGTAAATTGGTTAACAAAATATGGACATATAAAGCAAACAAAGATCAGTAAACTTCTTCTGTGAGGAACCAGATAGTAAATATTTTTGGCTTTGTAGGCCATACAATCTCTGTCGTGACTTCTTAACTCTGCCACCGTAGAATGCAGCCATAGACAAAACATAATGAATGGATACAATTCTGTTACAATACAACTGTATTTACAATAGGAGGCAGGATAAATTTGGCCCACTGATTTGCTAACCTCTGAAACAATGGGAAGGTAGATGGTGTTTTTTTACCACTCTACATTAAGAATACAATTTAATCCTCATGTTAATGTTTTAAAGGAGGTTGAGTATTGTAGGGAGACCCCCTGAAACTATTGCTATGGAATAAAAGATGAAATGCTCCTGATTATTGTAAATACAAAATTGCATGCAGGATTGTGTAAAGATAACGCCAGGTTGGACTGCCAGAACGAGCCAACAGCACGTGATGTGCTTCCCCCTGCAGAGAGCCTATGACTGGACGTGCAGTCAGGAAAGTTTCGCATCACCAAGATTCCTATCCCAGAAAAGCAGATGTTCATAGCTCTGGGAATGGAATGCGACCCTTGTGGAGAGCCTATAAGTGGACGCATGGAGGGAGCCTGTCCATATGGATAAGATAGGGCTATAAACGCCCTCATTTTGCCGCGGCTCTTCTAGGCCTCTTTAGGGTTAATGCATACTCCCTTCTGAGAATTTCTGGTCTGACCAGTTGTCTAGCTGCACGTCCTGTTTCCATGGATTATTTGTAACCAGCTTTTGTTGCAATTGTTACTGCTGATTAATATCTTGCTAATCATAGGTTATGGAAAGACTGTGTTTCTGTTCTAAGGCTCTGTTAGAAATTACTGATGGGCATACAATATTGTAAATTCTTATCTCTGTATACTGTACTTCTACATACAAATGTACTGTACTTCCACATACAAATGTTATGTTAAAGAATTACTTCATCCCCATGTGACCATCTCACCTCATAATCAAATGACCCTAAATCCCTCACTAACCTACCCCTGCCCTCACTAAACTTAATAATAAATGCTGGTATATCCAGTGCATTGTTGGCACCGCGGGACCAGAAGGCGGTGACCCCCCGCCGGACCCAGCTTTCACTATCTTGTGTGTGTCTATTATTTCTCAACCTGCCGATCTGCCTGGGAACAAAGAGAGAGCCCCGTTGCATTGCAGGCTGCCGGCCAGATCCCACAATATCTCTGGCCAGATCCCGCAATAGAGTATTATCTCCATTTTAAAGACAAGAAAATTGAAGTCCCAGAGGACAAAGAGGTTGAGGTCCAAGGTTACACAGCTATTAAATGTGCATCTACAACCCCTGGGCACAAGAAGGTCTTCAGCTTCTCAGTCTGGGTTGTTGCTATTATTTGTTTGTTTCATTGTTTTTTCCTTTAAACTGAGAATAGCTTTAAATTGATATTGTGTCAGAATCCATAGCCCTTCAACTTCCCAATCTTCAAAGTGTCCCCTTTCCTTCTCCAAGCCCTTTCGCCTATGGTGAGGGCAGGAGATAGTAACCTGTTATACAAAGGTATAACAACCACTTTCTCTAAGAAAGTGACAAAGGTAACGTGTAATACAAAGGTAAAGCAACACTTTCTCTAAGAAAGTGACAAATGACAGCTCCAGGCAGAAAGGAACTGCCTGGCACGTAGCACGTGATCAATAGTTCCATATTGAATGATTTAAGTGGATGAGTGAAATTGACAGAACATGAATTTTGTTGCCTTGGGTTATGGCAAATTATTAGACAATTAATGGGACTTTGGGTCAGACCTACCTCCTCAAAGTCCTGATCTTACCACTTATTAAACAAATAACCTAGGAAAAGTTACTTAGCATTGGTGAACCTCAGTTTCCTCATCTGTAAGAACACCAACAATGCTAGTACCACTTTAATAAGTTGTTATGAGGATTAAATAAAATAATTCATGTAAGATACTTAACTCCTAACTCAACAAGTGGCATCAATGTGAAGGCTATGTTTGGCACTGTTACTTACTGCATTTGCATTCTGAGCTCTCACTGGCTTCTATATCCATCATTTCCCATCCTAGAGATAAGAACCATGAACACTGGTTAAGGATACTAGGTATAATATATTAAATCACTAAATATGTTTGTGTGAGAATAGCTGTATCTATCACCAAATGCATCCTCAAAGACCAAAATTCTAACTTTAAAAATCTCAGTAAAAAATTATGCCAATATTGGAATTAAAAGAATGCAAAAAGATGGACGCATACCAACGTAGAGACAAAAGGGGAACATTAACAAATACAAACAGTTTTATTTACCTGGCATGATGAGATATGTTTTTTCCATTTTTTGTTTGTTTTTATGTTAGCCACAAGGTTACTTATGAAATAAGAAAAAGTAACGAAGAAAAAATTCAATGAAATTACATTTAAAAGCCAATGATAGCAGGAAAAACTTTGCCGTGTTCTAAAAACTGAAATTACTTTTGTTAACCTAAGCATTCATGAGATCACAGCTTCGTTAACTTGACTACAGAGTTTTTTAGTTACTTTTTCTTAAAAATCTCATGAATTTCTGCTTTACTGCTTGAGATCCATACAACAGACTACTTGGCTGGTTTCCTTTTACTTGCCTCCCATGTTTATTACTGATTCCCATTCAACAGCAGAACAGTGAAACAATAGGGCTATTCATAGGAAACACTGATGATTATTTTTATGAATTACGTGTGTCCCGTCAGATGAACTCCATTAGAACTTCCCAGAACAGTACAGATGGAAGGTTCTCAGGCCCAAGGTCATCCACTTGTTATTCCAAATAACCAGGCACCTCATTGACAATTAAGCAACACGCCTTGAGATTTCTAAGAGTTCTCTTGTTTCACAAAATTTCTTATTCCCACAAAGACCTTTAGAGAAGTATTCTACGTCATTCCCCTTTGGCCCCAGTACTTACTTGTTCCCAAAACAGCATCCTATATGCAGTCAGCAAAGCTGGGTTTGCATCTACTTCTGCCGTTTATTAACCATGTGACCTTGGATAAAACGCTTAATTTCTCTCAGTTTTAATTATGTTAACAGCCCTATCCACCTCCCCAATATCAAGTATATAACATTTTTCTACCATAATTCTATTTTTTCCTAAAACACAAACTGAGCACTTACTAGGTACCAGACCTTCTGATAGGTATTTAGGACCCGAAAAGGAAAGACACAGGATCTGTATCATTAGAGAAGACAGACACACAGATGATAAAAGTATAGGACACTGTGAGACCGCAGTGGGCATGTTGTGGGGTGGGGCACCCATCCATCCTCAGGGCATAAAAGGCTTCAAAAGACGTGATATTTCCATTCACTCTTGGATAAGAGGGACGGAGACAGGAAGGACAGTCTAATTAGTGGAAAGAGCATGGGGAAAGATACCACCACGTCAACAAGGCCAGCACATCTGGGGAAATGTGCTGCGACTCATCAGGGCTGGAGTCCAAGGGAGCATGAGGGGAGGAGGCAGGCAGGATAAATATAAAACTAGAAGGGAAACAATCACATTGATTATTGAGAATTTGTTGGTAACACTAATTAAAATAATCCTTAACATCATTGAGCTTTTGTTCCTGATTAGGTATTCCACAAATTCTTACATTCTCATTTATATCATTACCACAATCCTATGAGGTAGGTGCCATGACTATTTCCATCTTTCAGATGAACCAACAGAGGCCTAGAGGGTTTAAGCACAACAGATGACCAATTCAGGACTCTAACTCAGTTCTGTCTGATGCCACAGTCTCTGCTACTCCTAACCAATGAGTTCTCCTGCCCCAGCTGAGGGTCTGGGATTTATTGCATGGTCAGTGAGGGCCTGTGTTGGATAGACTATAGGGGGACCCCATGACCCCCACCTCTTGGTAGTTGCCTATGTAATTCCTCCTATGTAATCATCTCTCTTGAATATAGGTTGGCCTAATGACCTTTCTCTAACTGACGGATTACAGAAAAAGCAATGAAATATCAATTTCATAATAGAAAACTGTGATGTCCCTCTTGCTAGTAGGCTCTTCCTTGTTGACTGTGATGAAGTAAGAGACCATGTTGGAAAGCCCCATGAGGCAAAGAACTGAGGGCAGTTTCCACTTAACAACAATGAACATAATCTCTCAAACAGCTCTCCGAAAGCCGAATGTTGCCAACAATTTGAGTGAACTTGGAAGTAGGCCCCTCCCCCGTCAACTTTTTAGTGGAGACCCAGCCCTGGACAACTTGACTGAAGACTTGTGAGAGACCCTGACACAGGGGTCTCTAGAAAAGCAGTGTCCAGGTTCCTGCCTCACATAACGGTGAGATGATGAACATGAGCTGTTTTAAGTCACTAATTTGTAATGATTTGTGACACAGCAATCTATAAATAGCACAGAAACTTTGAAGGGTTTAAGCATAGGAATGATAAAAAATTGATCTATGTTTTATAAAGTCAGTTTTGTCATCAGGGCACAGAGTAGATTAGAGGAAGATAAGGAGGAGAGATTGGCTAAGAGGCTATTTCAAGGCAAGACATGATGGTGACCTAAATTAAGGCAGCGACAAAGGGAAGGGAGGAAGAATAGGGGAAGTTACAGAAGAGATATTGGAGGTAGATTCAGCAGGACATTAGATCCAACTTGATATATGGAAAAAGGGGAAGGGAGGGAGCATTGAGTTTAAACACAATGGGAGTCACTGCATCAGCTTCACCCAGAGTTGTAGACCTTACTGCTGTCAGCAGCTACTTGGAGCAGCAGCCTGACCTTCATCAATACCAACAACAGAGGATCCACTGAACACCTATATGGGACAAGGGAATTTCTTAGGCCATTTGGGTACCAAATTCTAAAAGCCTCATGCTGAGAAAATTTGACACTCTTTAAGACCACAATAAGAGAATCATCCTCTTTGAAATTCAGCCCAGACAGGAGTCTTGGCATCAGGACACTACATCTAAATGCCCCCTCAATGAAGCAGTTCACTTTGGAGAGAACCAGAGGCAAGTAAATGGTATCTTCGAAGGTGAAGATGCACCAAGTGCCTCCATTCCAGGAGGACATGCAGCTGAGAGGATGGCTTCATGATCTTAGCCATTCACTAAATTGTGTTGCCTCCTTACTATTGCAACTTCTTTACTCAAAGCAACCATGCTTATGGCTATGCAGAATTAATAGACCAAAATGAGGTAAGATCATTGAAAAGGGAAAGGAACTTTTTACCTGACACCTGATCCTAACATGGTATAAGAACGGAACTTCAGAAAAGTTGAAATGTAATAGAATAGCTGGCATTTTTTCTGTTTTAAACTTTAGTACTAGCAAAGGGCCATCGTAAGCATCAGCTGACTTTATCCTTATGACACCACTTTGGAGTAAGTATTATCTATATCTTGCACATGAGAAAACTGAGTCTCAAAAAGATTTAAGTTTCCTTATGAATATTATTTTGCAGGGTGAATTATGCCTCCCTTACCACCAAAAAAAATTATCTGTCAAAGTCTTAACTTCCAGTATCTCAGATTGTGGCCATATTTGGAGATGGGGTCATTAAAGAGGTAATTAAGTTAAAATGAGGTCATTACAGTGGGCCGTAATCCAATCTGACTGTTGTCATTATTACTAAGACAGACACAGAAAGAAGGAAGACAATGTGATGACGTGAAGACACAAGGAGAAGACAGCCATCTACAAACCAAGGAAAGAGGACTTGGAAGAAATCAATCAATGTCAAAACCTTGATTTCAGACCTCTGCCCTCCAGAATTGTTAGAAAATAAATGTCTGTTGTTTAAACCACCCATGTGTGGTACTTTGTTATGGCAGCCCCAGCAAACTACTATAATTACAAAGCAATTAGGCTCTGAAACCAATCAAAGTACATCTCTGCCCATCAAAAATCCACCCAATTCTTCTATTAGAATCAAACATCAGCATTGGGGTGCAAAAAGGTACTGGTGGCTGGTCCCAAAACCCTAAATAGTACTGACCAATGAATTTCACCTTTGTAACCACTCAGCTTAGAATTGACAGCTGAGGGTCAGGACAGGACCCTAGAGCAGCAATACTTGAAGCATGGTCCCAGCATCACGCAGGAGCTTATTAGAAATTCAAACTCTCAGAGCTCACACCAGAATCTTTCATCTTGGTGCTCAGAAATAGATGTTTTAACAAGCTCTCTAGCTGAATCTTACATATCCTAAATTTTGAGAAGCCCTGGGCTGGCAGAAAGGTGTGTAAATAGTGTAATGTCCTCCTGCACCTCTGACTAACACTATGTGTTGGAGGTGGCCAGAGAGGGGCATGGGAGATGTCTTCTGAGGGGTGCTCAAGGCCGCAGTGATGAGGAAAGGATAAACACCTTATTTAGCAACAAATATTTATTGAGCATTTACTATGTTCCAGGAACTATGCAATATGCTGAGGAAGTAGAAAAAGACCAGACCCTCAAGTTTACAGTCTTACAGGTCATATCAAGTAAGGAGTGGAGGAGACAGGAGAGAGAGTGGCAAGGCCAGCAACTTCGAGGGTTAGGAGAGTTGACCACCCGGCCTGCAGAGTGCCCCCATGTGGTCCAGATGAGAGGTGCTGGGGGAGAAGTTGAGGTTCTTTCAGGCAATACCAAGGGCCCCTGCCTGGAGCAGCCCAGCCTACAGGTGCCAGGTTCATTACCCCAAGTCCACCAGTGGCTATAGCACCATGGCGGTGTTCTAATGAAAAATACCCTATCTCCATCACCTTTAAAGCCACCTTCCGGTGGTAGTCTTTCCAGATCTCCTCTATCATAGGTACTTCTCTACTTCCTCAGTATTTTGATGTATTGTCTTTAGTTTGCACTCCCTCTGAAGCAGACCCTAAGATAGAAATTTGGTACAGGTGCCTTATTTGGGAGAAATTTGGTACAGGAGTCCTATTTGGGAGATGATTCCAGCAAGCATGGTGCATGAGTGGTGAGGAGAGACAGTGATGAAAGGAAAGCTAATAAGGCTAGGGTAATGAGAAGGTCACCACTGTGAGCCACTGGGACTCAGTCCCACAGGGGACCCTCTGAGAGATTGCAAAGCACAGTTCAGAAGTGGACTCTCCAAAGGCAAGGAAACTGGAGTCCTTACCTAGCTCCTCTCCTCCCTCATGGGCTGAGAACTGCTTCAGGGCTTTAACCTTCCTCTCTTCCAACCTGTCCTGCACATGGACAAAGCATCCTCCTATGGGCCAAGGGACTCATGATGCCACAGACTGGGAAAGAAGGGTCTGCAGATGACCTCAGGGAAGCAGAGGGTGTCCACCAACAGTTATCCTACAAGACGCTTCACCAGAGCAGCTCTTATAGAACCACATACATGCATCTTGTATCTGAGCCCTGCAATATTGTCCCCACCAAGAAAATCTGCCATTCTCTCCTGTTCATGAGCCTCAAGTTGGGCAAAATATAGTGCTCTCTATTGGTTTCTTCAACCATCCTGTCTTATGGAATAAAGTATGTGTCTTCCAATGAGGCATGCAGTGGTAAAACACACAGAGGTACTATGATTCCAGGCAACAGCAAAGAAATGATGTTTCCATTCTCCTGCACAATGCTATTATGGTTAAATATAAGAAGATGTTGGTTAGGATTTTAAAATACTGAAAATTACTAGTGGATTCCAACCATTGCCTACAAAGACTCGCTAATGGTCTGTGGAAACATTGCAATCTCCTGGGGCACAGGGACCCTGTCTCGTTCCTCACTGCCTCCCCGGCACCCACAGCAGTGCCCACACAGAAGGGAAACACCCTGTCTGTGTGTAGTTTGCTGACTGAGATAGGCTTCCAAAGCTTTAAAGGGCTTTGGGTGTGCTTCATTCCACATAAGTCTAATTTCACTTAAAAATTCTGAGAGTTTCAAACAGACATGTTAAAAATTCACGCTTTCATTCACTTTTAATGAGAACTTTCTTTTTTCAAGAATCATCTGCAGGCTGCCTTACAAGTAATTCCACAGCCATCTGGAAGACTTGTGTTGCTACTTAGAAGTGCTAAAAGGGATATATAAGGAGGCTGGCTCCCGACAAAATTGGAAATGAGGGGAAGCTCGCTTCAGCAACACATGCCTCCCCTCCCTGCCTCCCGTGAGTGCCCAGAATCCTGGACACAGCCTACACACACGCCTCCAAGTCACACACATGTTTCAGAGATTTAAGTCACTGCTCTTCCCACAAATATATTTTGTTTTACCGAGAACACTAGAGGATGAAATACTTATTTTGCAAGAACAGTTCAATAATGGGAGCATTTCAGGCATCATGATTCCAGACAGGAAAGATAGCCAAGGACAAAATAATCTGTCCAGGTCTCTAGAAATCATAAGACATCAGCCAACTGCATCCATTCATAAGAGCAATGCTGGTTCCCAGTAACCCCGTTCAGTACACATCCTCAGAGCATTTTACTAGGTGTCAGGAACTGAAGAAATGAAAATGAGAAATCCATGACCCTACACATAAGAAGCACATACTCCAGGGGCATAGAAAGCTCATCACTCAGACATCCAAGTGTGCTGGGGAAAGAAATAATTACCTAGCTACAGATACATACTGAACTGTCTATTATAAGCATGGTGCTGTGGGAGGCCAGAAGAGAACACCTCAAGCTCTGCTGGGATGTCCGAGGAGTCTGGTGAAGCAGATAACAGTCAGGCTAAGCCTGAAGACCACAGGAGCACAGCAACAGGAGAGAAGGTAGAGAAAGCATCATTGACTCTACAGCTGCAAACCAGACAAGCAAAAGACTCGAAGGGAGGAATTGCAGGGCAGTTTGGAAGGACAGAGAATTGTGCCCAGTAGTTGGGTTCATCAGGATGAAAATTTAAAGGACCTCTGGTGGCTATTCTAGACAGGAAATTTAGTTTAGTAGTTAAGAGCTGATATTCCAGAAACAGACTACCATGGTTCAAAGTCCAGCTCAGCAATCCATCAACTATGTGACGCTAAGGAATCAACTTAACTCTTCTTTGCTCCAGTTTTCTCATCTTTAAAATGGGGTTTATAAGAGGCATTCTTTCTAAGATTGCTATGATGTTTAAATGAGCTAATGCATTTAAAGCACTTACGTTATGCCATGACATTGTTAGTTATCATTGCTATTATAAAGAATGTGGACAACAAAGGCAGTGCTTTGTTTCTGGTATCTGGAAAACTGGTATGTATGTATTTAGTTATTCATTCAACCAACAATCATTAAGGGTGGATGAGAGCCAAACACAGGTAGATGTGTCTCTTGCCCTCTAGAGGCTCATGGTCCCATCGCAGGAATACAAGCCTCGTTGGGTTATTATCAACGTCTGCAGAGGACAGTGGGAGGGCAAGCACAAAGCAAGGAATAAACTGGCTTGAAGTAGTCTGGAAAGGCTTTGATGTGAGCCTTGGTTTGTGGGCTGAGCTGTAGGATGTCCACATCCAAGTGTTTGTCCTACCAAGTGGGACCCTGTAACAACAGAACAGGGTGGGTCCCCTGTGAGCCCGGAATGAGCATGGAGATGGGTTAGGAAGGGATCCTGGTTGCTTGTCATCTCATATTTACCTGAAACACACCACGGCAGCAGAAGCAGCTGGTGAAAGCCCAAGGCCTTTCTGATTGGACAGTGCTGGTGCCAACACAGTGCTGGTGGAATATTTGGACTGGACTTCTGAAATTCTTGGATGAAGAGTCATGGGCACAGAACTCACAGGGTTCTGGGGAAAAGGGGAAATGGAAGAGAATTCATGCTATTCTATAACGCCAGGAAACTCTATCTGAAGGCACAAATAAGGCCCTGTGAGCAGAAAACATAAAAAAAGCTACAAGAAGAGATTGCTGAGTGGGGTGGGAGGGCCTAGGTTGCCATGCTAAGCAGAGTGTGAGTTTGTTAAGTTCCATTGATGTGATCAATGCTTATGCAAGCCTGTCATGCTCAGTTCAACACACATGTCCGCAGTGCTAGAAAAGCCACCTGCTATGAAGGATCCCAAAATTACAATCAGGAAAAAGACTCTACACTTTTGTTTGAGAATATTACAATCCAATCATATTAGATAAACGTATCAAGCTTCTAAGCTTTATTTCTTAATCACTGTGGGAGGTGGGGGTGGCAGGTGGTTGGAGGCACATAACTGAAGGAGATGAAAAAGAATGGAGGAAAAGTGCAGCATATTTGTGTATGTCTTGACTCCCTCAATTAAGTGGAAAGTTCCCATGGCTGAGAATTATGTTTTACATTCCTAATTGCCCCTCCCTGGCTCCTACCATGAGACTGAGTGCATAGTAGGTCCTTAAATCTGCTTCCTGAGTTTAAGATGCAAAATTCCCCTCTATGCAGAAGCCTGGATTTTGCACACAAACAGCTCTAAAGATAAAGCTGATATTAGTTTGCTGCAAATAGTATGCATGTTCCTCTTCTAGCTGATGAATATTTCTCCCCTTGAGATTTTTTTAGTGATTCTAGCCCACTGGCTATTTTAAGACCCAGATTTATTATTTTCGTTCATGTCCCTAAAAGATTTTAAGAGTCCTATCCTTCTCTTTTATTACCTTCACACATCCTCCCACCTAATACACAAAAGGAGAATAATTTGGGGTCACATTCCTGTGCCGGGCCCATCTAAAGATAATCAACTGCACATTACAAAAACAACACAGTCAGGCTGAGGCTGGCAGCCTCAGTGTCTTAGGTCAGCAGACACATTGTGGGGCCGCAGGAGAGCAGGGGAGAAATGAGGCTGGTGAGCTCTGTTTATGGTAGTTGGACTTTGAAAGTGCCATTTTAGAGGAGCATATTTCAATTGATAAAATGACATAAATGTCATATAACAAAGTAAGTATGTTGTGATTAGAAAACAATGAATGCACTTCTAGCATTGTCTATGTTTTCTGATGCAGAGCTACAATTAGTGTTTAGCAAAAGGAAGGACAAAAATGTCATCTTATTATAAGAAACTGACATTGTAGCCCCTGGACTATTTGTTAGAGATTAATAAGAAATAGGTGTGTGCACATGTACCCTAAAACTTAAAGTATAATTAAAAAAAAAAAGAAAAAAAGAAATTAGGGCAAAATATGTATGAATAAAAATAAGGTGTTAAATGTTTAATGCTTGAAAAAAAAAAAGAAAAAAAAAAAAAGAAATAGATTCTCATTTCTTTCTTGTTTTGGTCCCAGCTCAGAGGTCTTTTTTCCTGGAGAAATAATATAATAAGCAGAAGCAAATCCTAAAAGAATTTGAGGAAGCCAGGAGTAAGGCAGACATATCCAGAAAGAATAACCAATAGTATTCACATAATAAAATGAGGCTGATGGAATTTAAAAATTGCATTTTAGCAACCACTAATATAATAATTGACTCAGGGAAGAATCATCAATGAATGCTTTTCAGTTACTACTACAGCATAGCAATTATCCCAAATCTCTAGCGCTAAAGCAACCATTTTATTTGATACATGATTTTGTGGATCAAGAATTTAAGACATTGTCTGGGCAATTCTTGCTTGCAGTCATTCATGTGGTTACAGATGTCAGATGGAGCATCAGCCATCTTTAAGGTTCAGCTGGGCTGCAGCATTTAAGGTTGGTCACTTGTATGGTGGCAGTTGGTGCTGGCCATTGGCTGGCAGCACAGCTGGGCTGTTGACCACAGCATCCATTCATGGCCTCTCTAGCATGGCAATCTCAGGGTGGTTGGACTTCTCATTTGCTGCCTAGTTCTTCCCAAGGCCAGCAGCCCAAGAGGACAAAACACAAGCTGCATGACCTTTAGTAAGGCAGCCTCAAAGATCACACAGCCTCACTTCCCCTTTACTCCAGTAGACAAAGCCATCACAGCCTCATCCAGATTTGATCGGAGAAAAAGTAGACCTCTTCACAGGAGGAAACTCAAAGAGTTTCAGGGTCATATTTTATAAACTGTCATGTACCGTTGCCTAAGAGTTTACTAGGGAAGAGGATATTTACTCAGTCTCAAAGTATTTCTCATAGATTATCTATTTATGAGTAAGGGAAAATAGATGTATTTATGGTGAAGAAATCTGGCAGACACCACCTTAGCCAAGAGATCACTTATTGGGATAAGACATCAGTTTGAAAAGAGCTCCTACCAGAATGGTGAAATCATTGATGCTTTATGAAAAGTTTATGAAGACAATGCTCCAAATAAAGCAGCAGTTTGCAAATAGATAACTCATTTTAAGAAGGGACAAGACAATGTTGAAGATAAAGCCCTCAGTGACAGACCATCCACATCAATTTGTGAGGAAAAAAATTAATCTTGTTCATGCCCCAATTGAACAGAACCAATGATTAACAGCACAAATAATAGCCAACACCACAGACATCTCAACTGATTCAACTTACACAATTCTAACTGAAAAATTAAAGTTGAGCAAACTTTCCACTTAATGGGTGCCATAACCATTATGCCCAGATCAGCTGCAGACAAGAGAAAAGCTTTCAACAGAAATGTTAAACAAGTGGGATCAAGATCCTGAAGCATTTCCCTGAAGAACTGTAGTAAGAGATGAAACATGACTTTAACAGTATTACTCTACAGACAAGGCACAATCAAAGCAATGGCTACCAAGAGGTGGAAGTGGTCCAGTCAGAGCAATAGGAAATCAGTCAAAAACAAAGGCCATGGCAACAGTTTTTTGAATGTTCAAGGAATTTTTCTTGTTGACTCTCTGGAGGGCCAAAGAACAATAACATCTGCTTATTATGAGAGTGTTTTGAGAAAGTTAGCTGAGGCTTTAGCAGAAAAACTCTTGGGAAACCTTCATCAGGGAGTCCTTTTCCACCATGACAAGGCTCCTTACCATTTCTCTCATCAAACAAGGGCAATCTTGTAAGAGTTTTGATGGGAAATCATTAGACATCCATCCTAGAGTCATGATTTGGCTCCCTCTGACTTCATTTTACTTCCTAATTTAAAAAATGTAAGGGTTAAATTTCCAGGACCCTCACTCAGGTCTTTAGGGATGGACTAAATACATGGATGGTATCATTGCTTAGAAAAGTACCTTGTACTTGATGGAGCCTATTTTGAGAAAGTTTATATTTTTTATTTTTATCTTTTAGTTCCATTTTTCCATGAACTTTTTAAAGTCACCTTATATTAACAATTAGTGACTATTAGTGAATATTATGTGGGTGTTAATTGTTTTCTTCTTGCAATTTTCCTGATCTTTTAAAATTATCTTAAAAAGTTACAAAATAATACTAAAAATTTTAAAAATATATTGTAAATGTAACAGAAATTAGGAGGCAAGATATATGTACCAAAAAGAAAAGGATCTACAGCTGAAACAGTTTATTTTTAAATATAGCTATGAGCTTTCTAGCAGATCACAAATGTCTAATACTGGAAAGAGGTGGAAAATGCTGAAGATATGTTAAGTATTTCTCAAATTTTATCAATGTGAAAATGTAAGTCTTATAGTGGATTATTAAGGTAACTCATAAAGGAAATGAACATTTTTGATGTTGCCAGATGATGTATATACATTCTCCCCCTTAATGGTAATGTCCATGTGACTAGGGTTTATAGTTTTTGCATTGATGTGAGCTGCTATGAATTTCACAGAATTCCCACTTTGCTTCAACATGTGAAGGTGCTATTTCTTTAGGCTCAGAAAGACCAGGCAATTTGCCCAATATCTCACAGCTAAAACATGGCAGAGCCACAATTCAAAACTTGATTTGTCTGTATCAAATCCTTCACTCTTTTTCCTACTCCAATGCCATACCCCAATTCTCAATAAAGATATAGAGATGTTGCTAGCCCATGTCTAATCTTTGGTCAACCTAAGCTGTGACATCAATGCAGGTAATTATAACATAGTCAGCATAGACCTGCATGAGCCACTCTGTGGACTTCATGAGGCAGCCCTATGTCCTTAGACGAAGGGATAAGTAGATGATAGGAAATGCTCCAGTGTGCATGGCTATTGTGAATTTCTATGCTCTCCTCCTTCTTAAGGAAAGGAAGCATTCACGTGGTAGCTGCAAAGCTCTCTTCATGAATTGTCCAAATGTCTTGGTGGATTGCAAGCTCACCATGAGTCAAAACCATGGCCAAGAAAAATTAATCTGATTTTGAATTTGAATCCCTGGAGATTCAATGAATTTTATTATTTGATAGAACTCAGAGAAACCTTAGCAATCTAACCTGCTAATTTTTACAGATGAGGAAACTGAGGCCCAGGGGAGAAGGATGCCTTGGTTGGGGCAGCAAGCTAATTAGCAGAAGAGGCAAGCACAGAGCCATTAGATAACCAGTTCTTACTCTCCTGGGAAGATTTGCTGGTATTCCCAGGCTCGATTTTTCTTTATTTTTTAAAAATCATGTTCTTCCCCTTTTATTGAACTAGACATTTTCTGACAAGCTTGGAAATGTTAATAGACCATCTGAGAGACCTGGTACCTAATGCAGCTAAAAATATCAAAAAGTATAGGCAGTGCTCTTGACTTCTCTTTCCCTTCAGTGTAGCTGATAGGTTTCCAAAAGGAAGTATTGGGAATGGGTTTGGACAGGGCCTAGTGCAGCTATTAATGACATATTAACACAATCTCATGGCTAGGCAGGCTCTGCTAAAGAATGTGTTAAACTGATCGTGGGAATCGGGAGGTCAAAGGGACCTGGGACAGAAGTAAATTCCCCCGAACCAAACTGGGAAAATAGGAACCACAAATATCAAGAAATAGAGGGCATCTTCATGCACAGCCTTACAACATTGGAGGAAACCAAGTGTCTGAGGGTTTGGAAGGATAAGAATATATTGTCTTGCAGGGAGCAGGGTATAAAATCTCAAGGAAAAAGAAAAACCATGGCCAGATTTTCATATGTGGAGGGGGAGTGATGAGGCAGTGTGTTTTTTCTACAACTGATCTAGCAGAATTTGATCTGTTCAGTTTTTAAAATGATGCCCAGATAAAATCTCACTTAACTATATAAACATGTATATGTGTGTGCATGTGCATATATGCATGTTTGTTTGTATATGTGTATTATATGTGTGTATTGTGTGTGCATATATATGTGGATATGTGTGTACTGTGGTATGTGTATTGTGTGTGTGGATACTTTGCGTGTGTATCTATGTATTGTATATATGTATATGTACATGTGTGCATGTGTGCTTTGTGTGAAGTGTGTATTATATGTATGTATATATGTGTATGTGCAAATTGTGTATTGTGTATGTGTATTGTCTCTAGATCCTAGTCGCTACTCCCCACACACTCTTCTCCTCTCTTAGCAGTAAGCTAAGGTCTGGAAGATAGACCTAAAAGCCTGGCAGTTGGAATCCTATTATTTTTCCTCTTCCCACTTGGGCTATGTGGGATGAAATGCATATTTATGTTTGAAAGAAGTCCAATTAGCAGAATAATTCTGAAATGGCCCACTATTTGGCCCAGATTCATACACCTGGGCATTAAAGCAACTCTGAGACTCATTTCCAAGGCACCACTGCCAGGTGCTCTCTGGCAAAAGTGACTGATGCCCACAGCATCCAGAGTGTGGACATTTGCACAACAAATGGGCAAACTTTGGGTTTGAAACCCATCCATAACCCAGTGCATTGGTCCTAGTGGTGGCAGTGTCTAGAATGTGTGACTGTGCTTTGAGGGATGATAAATTTTATGAAGCAACCATCAAATTGATGTGCTATTGGGCTCCATCAGATATGCCAACATGATTGATGTTTGCCCATCAGTACAGCCAAGATACGATGTGCGGGCTCAGCATGTGTAAGCAAAACATTGCCCATTCGGAGTCTTAAGACCTGATGAGAAACTTTGTAGGGGGCTGTTTTTATTATTATTACTGTTATTATTCCCTCAAGGGGCCTCTATGACTACTGAATTATAACTGATTTATCTTGCAGTTTATTGCAATTTGCCACTTTGCTCCTCATGTCAAAAACCCAATATAATTTTCATCCAAAAAAATTAGGCACTACATTATGATAATGGCATTAGCATTTCATCCATCAGCAGAAACTGAATGCATTAACACATTTCAGAGACATTCATGATAAATTTGAAAAGTTGCTCTTTTGGAAGCGTGTACTTAAACCTTCAGATTATCGTTTAGGTTTGGGAAAATCCTGGCAGCCTGGCCTACTGGAGATGAGGAAGCCTTTTAGGGAGTTGCCAGGACTGCCTCATTCTCACTGATAGGCCAGGACAGGGATAAGAATCGGCTGGAAGGAAGTTTACAATCTGGGCGATGGCTGCTCCAAATCCCAGAGTCACTGGCTTTGAAAAGCCATCTGCCTAAAATTTATTGTCTCAGAATGCTGGCACAGAGAGATAATGAATCCAAAGTTATAGGGTCAAGTTCACGTGCATCTGAGCCAACTAGCTTGGGGAGGGTGGTAGGAAGCTATGAGACCACAGCCTCTGGATCTCCTCCAGCCCTGTTGGCTTTATGTACATACGGCGTTGGTTGCCAAGAAGAAAACTGGCAGAAGTGGGGGTGGGGGGTTGCTGGTTCACTCAATTCAAAAATCTTTGGTTGAGCCGCTATTTGGGAACATTATTCGCTCCCAACTAAGTAGACTTAGCAAAGATAACAAGGCCTGATCCCCGTCCTCAAGAAGCTCACAGTCTAGTGGTTGAATCACACGGGTAAACAAGCAATTCTCATGAGAGTTAGAGTAAAGGAAGAAGGTTGAGGTAAGTATATCCCCAGGTATCTCCTCTAATGGTGACCTCCTTTCCCTCCACTACAGATCTCTGCTCCTCAAAAGGACTCTTCTCTGTAAACCTCTACCCTTTCCAAGTTTCAGTAACCAAACCACTCAACTTTGTTTATTTATCATGGCCTAGAGATGACAGTGTTTCTATCTGGGCCCCCTCACAAGCATACTTTAAGCCAATAGTCAGCAAAAATTTTCTGTAAAGAGCCTAATAGCAAATCGTTTCACCTTCCCAGGCCATACAGTCTCTGTTACAGCTACTCAATCCACTCTATCACTGGAGTGCAATAGCAGCCACAGACAATACATAAAGGACTTGGCATGCATGTATTCCAATAAAACTTTATTTACAAAAACACAGACAACAGAATGGATTTGCCCCATGAACTGTAGTTCCAAATCCTCAGACAGACTGGGAAGTTTAACCTCTGGCTTCAACATGTTTGGCCTCAAAGTCTACTTTGGAAAACTAAAAAAATGTATTCCCCTGCAGACTTCTGCTGCAGAGTTTCAGTGACTATGAGTGAGTTACTTGAGGAAAAGGACAAGTTCTTACTTACCTGTGTCCCAAACACCAACTCTAGTGGGTAGAGCTTTGAACATATAAAACAAACAAACCAAAAAAGGTGCTTCTTGAATAAATGACAAATACAATAGATGCTGGCCACTGGAAGTTAGGCTGGCCCACATGGAAATGGCGAAAGGATCCCAGGAAATTTTGGAGAGTACTGCCAGCATCTAGGACAGTCCACCCCTGCACCGCTCACATCCAGCAGTGCCTCACATGAAGTTGACTCCTTCTTAAAACTAATTACTCACAAGAGTAACTAAAATGTCTCACAAAAAGAACATTAGTGGAATGTTGGACAAGCTACAGTCTCTACTACTACAGCTAAACCCAGGACACCATAGTTCATATTTACCATCTCCCTCCTCTCCATCCATTCTAGCTTTCTCTCATCCTCAGCCAACACTTTTGCCAAACTAGGCTACTTGCCAAATGGGGTAACCCTAACCTTAATTTTTCTTAACAATGCACATGTATTACTCTGATGACAAAATATTTTATAAAATATTGACATTATTAATACATCTTTTAGCACATTATAGGTGCTCAAAATTGTTAATTCCCTACCCTCAAATTATATTCACATGTTGAATGAAATGTGTTTATTTCACAACAAAATAGAACTCATTTAAAAAAAAATTTTTTTTTGAAACCCTTTTTCTGCCTGATTGCACATGCTGACATGTTCTTGCCAAATCCAACTGATGGCTCATCAAAAAAGAGTTCATTCGTGCTGATTCTTCTGGCACTTCCCTAGTAGATACCATAGTGTGCCTCTGGAATAAAGCAGTAGCATTGCTGGCTGATGGTGCCCAAAGCCAGGGAGATGATCCTCAGTCCAGAAGCAATTTCCTCCCTGTCACATTATCTGTTTTTCTTATCAGCTGCCCTACAGAACCCTACTCTATAAGGGAGAACAGTTTTTACCCAGGCATTACTGACTTTCCAGAACCCTGGGGGGCTTCCAAACAGCACATTTTCAGGCTCATTTCATTTCCTGCCTTTGATTTAATAGGCTGGAAAGGAATGCAGGAGAATGATGCCCAGGCCTTGGCCCAGAGGGCTTGCTGAGGCCATGACAGCCAAGTTAATGTCAATCTCTTTGGCAGGTTCATGATGGAGGTAGTATCCCTGGGTCCGTTGACACTGAATGGGCCCATGCACAGCGGCTGGTAGAATTGGCTTTTTCTGGCTCCCCACCATGGACAAGAAGAAGCAGGCCCTCAGGAATGAATCAGCATGGACACAGTGAGAGTCTGCAGAGGAGAAGAAGGAGCTTGCTCTCTCCCACCCCTCTTCCTAGCACAATGAGGGAGCTGCAGTCAGGGTATCAGCAAGGAGATATGGGTCTAACTCAGGAAGGGGTTCCAAAGTTCAGGAAGACACCATTGTGCAAGGCACCTAGTAATTGAAGCAGCACAGGAGATCCCAGTACGGAACGCTGGGTGGTCTCCGGGTTCCATTATCTACCAGCTATGACACCTGGGCAACTCACATCTCCTGGTGGCCTCAGTATCCTCACTTGTAGGAAGGAATTTGTAGTACATGCCATAATCATTTCACCAAGATTCTTGACAAAGACTCAAAAGTAAGATCATAGATATTTAACTGTCTTGTAAAATTTAAAACACCTTATAATTGCAACCCATTAGGATGAGTCTAAAGATGGCTTCAAAGAAAAAAACCCACATTCAGAAGTCTTAGGTTTGAATCCAGGTTCCATTTCCAATTAGTTAGAAGGCTTCAACATTCTTGGCCTCAAAGTCTATTTTGGTAAACTAAGAAATGAATTTCCCCCACAGACTTCTGCCATGGCATTTCAGTACCATGAGGGGAGTTAATTGAGGAGAAGGACAAGTTCCTCTCAAGCACTAACCCAGTGGGTAGAGCTTAGAAAGCATAAAACAAAAAAGGTGCTTCTTGAATGAATGAGCAACATTTTAAACAGGGTAACATAGCCAAATGTCAACCATGGCAATAATGATGACAATGATACTACAAATTTTGTTCAGCTGGGCAATATTCTAAACACTTCACTTGCATTATCACATTTAATCCTCATAACAACTGTATGAAGTAGTTCTGTTATCAGCCTGAGTTTTTAAACGGGGAAGACGAGGCTTAAAGGGGTGAAGTAACTTATCCAAAGCCACCGGAATTGTCCACAGAAAAGCCAGAATTCATAAGCACATCTCTCCGACTCTAAAGACAGTGTGTTTTAGGACAGACAGACCCCCAGATACATGCACTGTGGACTTGTAAGGGCAGGGCACAGAGCTTCATTCAGAATCGCAGCAGTAATGGTTAACCCTTTCTGAGTACATGCAGGCACGCTGTTGCTATTGACCTTTATAAGGTGCTATTATAATCCCTATTTTACAGATGAGAAAACAGAGGACTGGTAAGGTTCAAGGGCTTATTGCAATCCTTTTTTGTTATTATTATACTTTAAGTTTTAGGGTACATGTGCACAATGTGCAGGTTAGTTACATATGTATACATGTGCCATGTTGGTGTGCTGCACCCAGTAACTCATCATTTAACATTAGGTATATCTCCAAATGCTATCCCTCCCCACTCCCCCCATCCCACAACAGGCCCTGGTGAGTGATGTTCCCCTTCCTGTGTCCATGTGTTCTCATTGTTCAATTCCCACCTGTGAGGGAGAACATGCGGTGTTTGGTGTTTTGTCCTTATGATAGTTTGCTGAGACTGATGGTTTCCAGCTTCATCTGTGTCCCTACAAAGGACATGAACTCATCATTTTTTATGGCTGTATAGTATTCAAAGGTGTATATGTGCCACATTTTCTTAATCCAATCTATCATTGTTGGACATTTGGCTTGGTTCCAAGTCTTTGCTATTGTGAATAGTGCCACAATAAACCTACGTGTGTATGTGTCTTTATGGCAGCAGCATGTTTTGTAATCCTTTGGGTATATACCCAGTAATGGGATGGCTGGGTCAAATGGTATTTCTAGTTCTAGATTCCTGAGGAATCGCTACACTGACTTCCACAATGGTTGAACTAGTTTACAGTCCCATCAACAGTGTAAAAGTGTTCATATTTCTCCACATTCTCTCCAGCACCTGTTGTTTCCTGATTTTTTAATGATCGCCATTCTAACTGGTGTGAGATGGTATCTCATTGTGGTTTTGATTTGCATTTCTCTGACCGCCAGTGATGGTGAGCATTTTTTCATGTGTCTTTTGGCTGCATAAATGTCTTCTTTTGAACAGTGTCTGTTCATATCCTTCGCCCACTTGTTGATGGGGTTGTTTTTTTCTTGTAAATTTGTTTGAGTTCATCGTAGATTCTGGATATTAGACCTTTGTCAGATTAGTAGACTGCAAAAATTTTCTCCCATTCTGTGGGTTGCCTGTTCACTCCGATGGTAGTTTCTTTTGCTGTGCAGAAGCTCTTTAGTTTTATTAGATCCCATTTGTCAATTTTGGCTTTTGTTGCCATTGCTTTTGGTGTTTTAGACATGAAGTCCTTGCCCATGCCTATGTCCTGAATGGTAATGCCTAGGTTTTCTTCTAGGGTTTTTCTGGTTTTAGGTCTAACATTTAAGTCTTTAATCCATCTTGAATTAATTTTTGTATAAGGTGTAAGGAAGGGATCCAGTTTCAGCTTTCTACATATGGCTAGCCAGTTTTCCCAGCACCATTTATTAAATAGGGAATCCTTTCCCCATTTCTTGTTTTTGTCAGGTTTGTCAAAGATCAGATGGTTGTAGATATGTGGCATTATTTCTGAGGGCTCTGTTCTGTTCCATTGGTGTGTATCTCTGTTTTGGTACCAGTACCATGCTGTTTTGGTTACTGTAGCCTTGTAGTATAGTTTGAAGTCAGGTAGCTTGATGCCTCAAGCTTTGTTCTTCTGGCTTAGGATTGACTTGGCAATTCAGGCTCTTTTTTGGTTTCATTTGAACTTTAAAGTAGTTTTTTCCAATTCTGTGAAGAAAGTCATTGGTATATTGATGGGGATGTCATTGAATCCATAAATTACCTTGGGCAGTATGGCCATTTTCACGATATTGATTCTTCCTACCCATGAGCATGGAATGTTCTTCCATTTGTTTGTATCCTCTTATTTCATTGAGCAGTGGTTTGTAGTTCTCCTTGAAGAGGTCCTTCATGTCCCTTGTAAGTTGGATTCCTAGGTATTTTATTCTCTTTGAAGCAATTGTGAATGGGAGTTCACTCATGATTTGGCTGTTTGTCTGTTATTGGTGTATAAGAATGCTTGTGATCTTTGCACATTGATTTTGTATCCTGAGACTTTGCTGAAGTTGCCTATCAGCTTAAGGAGATTTGGGGCCGAGACAATGGGGTTTTCTAGATATACAATCATGTCATCTGCAAACAGGGACAATTTGACTTCCTCTTTTCCTAATTGAATACCCTTTATTTCCTTCTCCTGCCTGACTGCCCTGGCCAGAACTTCCAACACTATGTTGAATAGGAGTGGTGAGAGAGGGCATCCCTGTCTTGTGCCAGTTTTCAAAGGGAATGCTGCCAGTTTTTGTCCATTCAGTATGATATTGGCTGTGGGTTTGTCATAGATAGCTCTTATTATTTTGAGATACATCCCATCAATACCTAATTTATTGAGAATTTTTAGCATGAAGGGTTGTTGAATTTTGTCAAAGGACTTTTCTGCATCTATTGAGGTAATCATATGGTTTTTGTCACTGGTTCTGTGTATATGCTGGATTACGTTTATTGATTTGCATATGTTGAACCAGCCTTGCATCCCAGGAATGAAGCCCACTTGATCATGGTGGATAAACTTTTTGATGTGCTGCTGGATTCTGTTTGCCAGTATTTTATTGAGGATTTTTGCATTGATGTTCATCAGGGATATTGGTCTAAAATTCTCTTTTTTTATTGCGTCTCTGCCAGGCTTTGGTATCAGGATGATGTTGGCCTCATAAAATGAGTTAGGGAGGATTCCCTCTTTTTCTATTGATTGGAATAGTTTCAGAAGGAATGCTACCAGCTCCTCCTTGTACCTCTGGTAGAATTCGGCTGTGAATCCATCTGGTCCTGGACTCTTTTTGGTTGGTAAGCTATTAATTAATGCCTCAATTTCAGAGCCTGTTGTTGGTCTATTCAGAGATTCAACTTCTTCCTGATTTAGTCTTGGGAGGGTGTATGTGTCAAGGAATTTATCCATTTCTTCTAGATTTTCTAGTTTATTTGCATAGAGGTGTTTATAATATTCTCTGATGGTAGTCTGTATTTCTGTGGGATCGGTGGTGATATCCCCTTTATCATTTTTTATTGCATCTATTTGATTCTTCTCTCTTTTCTTCTTTATTAGTCTTGCTAGCTGTCTATCAATTTTGTTGATCTTTTCAATAAACCAGCTCCTGGATTCATTGATTTTTTGAAGGGTTTTTTGTGTCTCTATATCCTTCAGTTCTGCTCTGATTTTAGTTATTTCTTGCCTTCTGCTAGCTTTTGAATGTGTTTGCTCTTGCTTCTCTAGTTCTTTTAATTGTGATGTTAGGGTGTCAATTTTAGATCTTTCCTGCTTTCTCTTGTGGGCATTTAAGTGCTATAAATTTCCCTCTACACATTGCTTTGAATGTGTCCCAGAGATTCTGGTATGTTGTGTCTTTGTTCTTGTTGGTTTCAAAGAACATCTTTATTTCTGCCTTCCTTTCATTATCTACCCAGTATTCATTCAGGAGCAGGTTGTTCAGTTTCCATGTAGTTGAGTGGTTTTGAGTGAGTTTCTTAATCCTGAGTTCTAGTTTGATTGCACTGTGGTCTGAGAGACAGTTTGTTATAATTTCTGTTCTTTTACATTTGCTGAGGAGTGCTTTACTTCCAACTATGTGGTCAATTTTGGAATAAGTGTGGTGTGGTGCTGAGAAGAATGTATATTCTGTTGATTTGGGGTGGAGAGTTCTGTAGATGTCTATTAGGTCCACTTGGTGCAGAGCTGAGTTCAATTCCTGGATATCCTTGTTAACTTTCTGTCTTGTTGATCTGTCTAATGTTGACAGTGTGGTGTTAAAGTCTCCCATTATTATTGTGTGGGAGTCTAAGTCTCTTTCTATGTCACTCAGGACTTGCTTTATGAATCTGGGTGCTCCTGTATTGGGTGCATATATATTTAGGATAGTTAGCTCTTCTTGTTGAATTGATCCCTTTACCTTTATGTAACAGCCTTCTTTGTCTCTTTTGATCTTAAGACTAAGTGGCAGAGCCAAAATTTGAACTCAGGGAGTCTGACACCACTGAAGGTTGAAGCCTATGCTTCAACCACTCTAGATACTCTAGATACTGCTTCAGAGACATGCAAACGTGGAGGTGCATGGACGCACACACAGACTTCTAATCATGGACTCTTCTCCCCCATGGTGTCTTCTCGTGTGCTACCTACCAGGCCCTCGCTGGCATCAAAGGGAGACAGAGCCGCTGTCACAGTCAGGAGTTGCCTCTCTGGTTCTGCGGGACCCAGCCCCCCTGGAGGTGGGAAACTGCAGAGGAAGAGGAAGTGGGTTGTCTGGAAAGGCAGGGCTGGGCCACAAGCCTACAGTTCTGCAGGCTTTGCTACTGGTGTGAGTTTCTTCCAGATTCACAGGAGAAGGAAGCTTAGGAGCAGCTGGCCTCCCCCGGCATCTCTGCAGGGGCCAGATTGCGTTGCCTTTTATGTTGTTTGTGCCCCATCAGCAGTTTCTCTTTGCAGTGGAAAAACATCCCACCTTCAGGGAGGCCTCTCAGCTCAGGGGTCTTTAGTGACCTCAATGAGGTAGAAAAAGTGCTTATATCTCTGCAGAGGAAAGGGAGCATCTCAGAGGTAAGAAGAAAGAAGCCCAGCAGAGGCCAGAAGTGCAGAGGCACAGACTCAAAGGGATGGATGCACCAGTGCCACACGACATTAGAGGCTCTTGTCTCCCATGCACCCCACCCCACAAACTTCACCTCCATCCCCCCTAAATCATGCCTCCTCACAGCCCCTCAGGTCACGCCTCTGCACAAACCCCTCAAGGCCTCTCCATTGACCTCAGAAAAAGTCAAAACTCTTCAGTATGGTTGAAAGAGGGGTGGTCAGCCCACCCCTCCCTCACCTGCTACACCCCAAGCATGCTAAGCTACTTGGGCTTCCCCAGCAGGGCGTGTGCAGCCTCCACACCAGTATCCCAGCTGTGGCCTCTGCCTGTGACATCTCTTCCTCCGCTGGACATTTCCCAAATCTCTACACTTCAAGATTCCACTTAGTCATCTCTCCCCTGAGTATACACACACACATACACACACACACACACACACACACACACACACACACCCCTCCCGGATTTTAGAGTTCTGAGTCCCTCCTCTGGATGCCTGTTCTGACAATGCTATAAAGAACTACCTGAGACTGGGTTATTTATAAAGCAAAGAGGTTTAATTACAGTCACACAGGCTGTATAGGAAGCATGGCTGAGGAGACCTCAGAAAACTTGTAATCATGGTGGAAGGCGAAGGGGAGGCAGGCACATCTTACTCGGCTGAAGAAGAAGGAACGTGAAGGGGGAGGGACTACACACTTTTAAACAACCAGATCTTGTGAGAACTCACTCACTATCAGGAGAACAGCACGGGGGAAGTTCACCTCCATGACCCAATCACCTCCCACCAGGCCCCCCTTCCAACATTGGGAATTACAATTTGACATGAGATTTGGGTGGGGACACAAATTCAAACCCTATTAGTCCCCCAGCAGCCTGCAGGGTCCTCTCTCAGAAGGCACCACACTATATGATACCCACTGATGCGACTAGAATCTGAGCTCCTTAAGGGCAGGACTGGAACCGATTCACACCTGAATTCCCTACACTACACACAGAACTGGTATATATGACACGCTGAATAAATGCCTACAAATTATCCTAATTCACTGCATTGTTAGAATCAAATGATATGACAGATGCAGAACATTTGGTAACCTGAAAATAATTATATAAACTAAATGTACTACTTCATAATGACTAATGAGATAAAAGAAATTTTACCCAAAGCCATTTCTAACATAAAAAATGTCAGACACTGTTAAAGTGCTATTTCTAATCAGCAATTATGAGCAGGGTTTTTCTTCCTTATTAGCAGGATTGTTTTCCTTAAAATAAAGAGGTTTTGGGGTTTATTTCATTTGTATATTTAGATGTAGCTTTTGTTTTTATTTATATTCCTAAATCCAAAAAGATTTAAGGCAACTTTTAAAGGAGTTAACATTTTCTGTATTTCCCACCACCCTCAATCACACTGCATAACTTTTAGAATATTCAGAAATAATACTGAGAAACAATTTTGTTTGGGAGTTTTTCTGACTGGGGTCCACAGTGCCAAGAGACCTCAGAGAAGGGAATGGAAGGTAACCCCAGGGTTGACACTTGGCCCAGGCTTTGGATATGTTTGAAAATGATAAACCTGGGTCATTGAATCCTTCTTAGAAAGTGAGTGGTCAGAACTGCTAGACACTGCAAAATTACTTTCATCAAAACATAATAGAACCCTGTGTTAGATGCTTCCCATGCCTTTTCTTGTTTAAATCTCACTAGGAGGAAGTCCAGTTAGTTCTTCATTTTGTATTTGAGGAAGCCAGTGTTCAGGTAGATCTATAAGCTTGCCCAGCCTCAGGGTGGGAGCTGCACCCAGGACTTGTCCGCATAACTGACAACCTGAACCACTGTGCTGAATGCTGGCTGCCATTGATATGTTAAGGTGGAGGAAGGCTTCAGCTCACCTGTGCCACCTGAACTGAGATATAAACTGCGACAGTACGAGACAGCCTGTGAATGGCCAGAGGTAAGACCAAGGCCTCCTCAGGCGCAGAAGAAAGTCTAAAGGGAAGCTTCCGTAACACAGTGGGTATAGTAGAAGAAGAATAGACTTGGAGTTCAAAGAAACTAGGGTTCAAATCCCTGCCCCTCCACTTAGAAGCAAGTATCAAAACTGTGGCAATAACAATGCCTTAACCTTTATTTCCTCATCTGTTTAAAATGAAACAATGTTTAAAAATGAATTATCCTTACACTCGTACAAGGATTAATTAATCCCATGCACTTAGAGCACATTTCATATTGGCTCTCTTGGTTAAAGTGAGTTTCTCAGCCTACACACTATTGACATTGAAAGCTGGGTATTTCTTTGTCATGAGGGTTATTGTGTGCATTGGAGAATGGTAAGAAACATCCTTGGCTTCTACCCACCAGATGATATCAAACACCAGTAGTGACAACCAAAAATATTCCAAGTGTTGCCAATGTCCCCTGAGAGGGGGCAAATCTAGCCCTGGCAGAGAACCACTGGTTTAGATGAAAATTTGCTATAGCCATCAGCCAGGGGTGGCCCTTGCAGCCAAAGTTAGCAATCTCCACAAGACCAAGGCCTCCTGCCAGTCAGTTACACTTATCACTGCTGCCCCGGTAATGTCATAGCTGAAGGCTTGTGATGGATTTTTTCTTATGCCAGCTTGGCTAGGACTGTTTAATTGAATAACAGTACCAGTCATTCAATCAAAGGTGAATCTAGGTGTTCTGGGCAGATATTGCATAGATGTAATTAAAGCCCCTAATCAGTTGTCTTTAAGTGAGATTGTCTTGGGGGCTGGACACTGAATGAATTAGAAGGCCTCAAAAGTAGGTCTGAGATTTTCCTAGGCAAGAGAAGAAATTCTGCTTGTGCATGAGATGTTCAGCCCCATGCTTGTGGGTTCAACCCTACCCAGGGTCTTTTTCTGACCTTCTGCACTACAGATTTGGGACTTGGTTAGCCAGTCCCCACAATCGCATAGTGAAATATTACATGTGTAATAAATCTCTCTCTCTCTCTCTTTTGTTCTCATACAATGTATGTTTGTATATACAAATTTGTGTGTGTGACTGTGTTTGTGTGTGTGTTTGGTTTTGGTGTGTACTTGTGTGTATATCCTGCTAGTTCTGCTTCTCCTGTTGAATCCTAAATAATACAATGCTAGCACACTACACAAAACTTTGAAGTTGAACCTCATTCCCACTGAATAAGGGGCAGCTCTACAGGACTTCAGTGTTCAAATTCAAGTTGTCATTCTCAAAGGAATCCTGGAATTCTTGTTTTTTCTGAGAACTATACAAGCATGGATTAGATTCCAACTTCAAGCAGCTATGTAATCACGTACTAGTAACTTAACTTCTCTGGCCGTCTATTGACTCATCTATAAACCTCTTGAGTTGTAAGAATTCAATGAAAGAATATGCATAGTGCCTAAAAATATGGCTTTCTACATCTGTTACATACACTCAGACCTTAAAAATATTTTAGCAATCTTTCAAAAATGTAAATTATAATAAAAGGTCAGGTAAATATATTTCCATAGAGAGAAATATTAGCACATTCCAGTCTATTTTGAAGAATAGACTATTATGAAGAAATATTAGCACATTCTAGTCTATTTTGAAGAATAGACTATTTGCTATTATGAAATATACAGCAATTAAAGTTACCTATAGAAATGTCCACATTGAAAATGAAGACACATATTTAAAAGGTCACAGTAGTGTCACATAAAACATCTAGGATTCATTAAGGAATCTAAATATTCATCTAGGGGAGAATAACATTAATAAATCTCTTTGTCCATTGAGATTTTCAACCCTTAGAATATTCCATATGAAGTTCTATTGATTATGGATTTGGAAATGTTTGCATTTACGTCTTTCTGTGTAAGCAGGGTGGACGTTGCTGCTGTAACTCAGGAAGGCATATGGAGGTGGTGGAGGTGGGTGTACAGGGTGAGTAAGCAGTGCATTACAGAGTCAGAGTAAGGATGCAGTAATTGGTGGGAAATGGAGCAGGGATCCATTCACGTTTAGGTGATTGTGGGTCTGCCAAGAAGCATGGCAAAAGAATGAGGAGAAAAGAACATGTTTTGAGAGAAAATAATACATTTGATTTGTGCTGGTGGAAGTGTTTTTGGGGACGGCCCACAGGGGGATTTGGACCCAAAAAAAATGCAGCTTGCAGAGCATCTTGGTGACTTTGATGGTAACATTTACCAGCTGCATTTTAGCCATCTATGGGCCAGCTCCTTCTTCTCTGGGCTGTCAACACCTTGAGGGAAGAGGCCATATCTTCCTGCCATGGTGCCCAGCAGACATGTGCAGACACTCCATGACAGTTGACTATAAGAAAGGCACCATCAGTCAGTGAAGACTGCAGAAGGCTGCTGTGTCTCAGGCCAGAACTCCAAGACCTAAGGAAGACTGGTTCAAATAAGGCCAGCATCCTCAGTGGACTAACACTTCCAAGGCAGCTGATCTCCACAGGAGTGTAGGCTCATGTAATAAGAGAATTGGCAGGTTTCCGAAACCAGAGACAGTTGGCTCTTGGTAACCAAGCAAAACCCAGGCATAGAACCAATGGCAAAGGTTGGCCTCAGGACCATGAGGACAGGAGTGTGTGTGGCATCCTTTAGAGCTGGAGCAGAGATAGAAGTGCACCAGAGAAGGCTACATTTCTGAATTGTGCATTTAATTACAGTTGATCCTCATCATTCATGGACCACTCATTTGGAATTCATCTACTTGTTAAAATTTATTTGTATCCCCCAAACGAATACTTAATGGAGCTTTTGTGATCATTTACAAGCAGGTACAGAGCCGTAAAAAGTGTGAATCACTCAATGTGCATGTTCCAATGTGCATGTCACCTTAAGATGGGTCAAGGCAACACCCTGTCTCCTTGTTTCAGCTCTCTTACTGTAAACAAGTGCCCCTTTGACAGCCTATTTAGTGGCACGTCTTTCATATTTGAGGGTTTTTGTCATTTATTTTGCTGTTTAAATATATTTCCATATATATATCTATATTATATATATGGAAATATATTTATTTATATTTATATATTTATTTAAAAATTTATACATTTATTTAAACATTTAAATATTTATATATTTATTTATTTAAATATATAGATATATAGATATAGATAGATAGATAGATATAGATATATAGAGCCCCAGCACAGTGCTGAAGTGCTGTCCTGTGTTCCCAAGTGCTAGGCTGTGATGTGCCTTATGCGGTAGATAACCTTCGTTCAGGCATGAGTTGTTGGCTGTGTGTTTAATGTTAACAAATCCACAATCTATATTAAATAAAATGCTTTCAAACAGAAACACATGTAAACAAGTCTATGCATTGATTAGTCGACAAAACACATGACCAGGGGCTCATAGGAAACTAACCCCCTATGTCCCCCGAGGAGTAATGGCTCAGCATCTGCTAATTCTGTGTTCGCAATGAATTTATGAAATAGGACTACTGTGAATAATGAGAACCGACTGTACTTTGTCGCCTGGGATGAGGTTGTGTAGGCAGGCTCTGAATAATAATGCCTTCTCCATGTTTCTAAGGAGGCCTTGCAGGAAGATCTGGAGCATATCTTCTCAGTGGGGCGTTTTCTCTTTCTGCCTCAGACATCCCATCACCAGAGGGACAAAAATAAGAATTTGTCACCCCCACACCCTCATCCCTTTGGCCCATCTCTGGCAGCCAGGGCAGGAGGAGGCCAGTCAGACAGGAAAGTACATCCAGCAGGTGACAATTAAGGAAAGCAATCTTGAACTTCCCTATCCCTCGGACAAAGAAAGACAGCACCTGCCATACCACAATTACTGTCCTTGCCTCTTTGGGGTTATTATACAGCTCGATCATAACAATAAAAACGAATCTATTCCTAGCTCAGACTGCGGAGAGACAGCCTCAAAGGAGCAAAGCATCTTCTGCACCCTCAGAGGAAGCCACATTTAGTGAAAGTGTCTGGGGTGGCAAGAGTCCACGACTGAAACAGAAGCAGATGGCAGGCTCCCAGGCCCCATCATTAGGGGTGACTTTTAGGTAATTTTATTTGTATCCCTGCCACAGCAAAGGCCCATCTCCTCATAGCTCTTTTCCTGAAGACAATTTAGTAACTTCAGGAGCTGGATCTGTCTTTTTTTATGATCTTATAAATAACAACCATCTAGAGATGGCCTTGGCTGTTGTTCTCTCCAAATATTAAATTAGCTGCTGTGGTAGAAAGTAAATTTAAAAGACAAGCCTTATTGTTTCTATAAAAGTGAGGAGAAAAGAGAGTAGGGTCTGGAGAAGGAGAGCAGCCCAGGCTGGAGAGAGAAGCACCTCGTGTGGTCACATCCTCTGCCCAAAGTTCTTAGACCAGGCTGTCACACTTTTATACAAATTCTCAGATCATGGGTTCCTTATTGTTTCTCACTGGAAATAAGTAATAATGCCTTCTCAATGTTTCTAAGGAGGCCTTGTAAACTGGAGACCCAACATCTCTCAGCTTTTGCTTTCTATCCTGCTCCATGCAAGTTATTTGGAATAAGGGTACAATTATATGCAGGGGCCAGCTCTTCTGGAAGGAATGAAAGACCAGCTTTACCAAGAGCTCTTGCCCATATTATCAGAATGGTCCAAAAGTAATCCTTGTGATTCTTTGCCTGAAAGTGGAAGCCCTGAGTGCTTTCGCATGTGCATGCATGCATTCATTCATTTCATAAGTATATATTGTGTACCAACTGTATTCTTGGCACTGTGCTGGGCACTGGAGATATAGCCAGAAGCAAAGCATCATCCCTGCCCCCAGAGATCTCACAGCTGGGTCAAAGAGAAGGGCATTTGGAAAAAACCATTACCATTGAATATGTGTGCTGTCACATAGGAGAGTGAAGCATGCTGGCGAAACAGAAGAAGGGCACCCAACCCAGTCTCAACTGCTCAGAAAAATCTTCCCAGAGGAAGTGAAACTGAGGCCCAAAGAATAAATGTGAGCTGCTCAGGCAAGAGGGAGAAACAATATGTGACAGCAAGGCAAGGGTAACAGAGAGCCTACATGTTCCAGGAACATCATCAGATTGGCCCATGGAGCTTGTAGGGGAGGGGCAGCGGTGAAAAAATGACAATGGAGAGGTAAGTGGAGGTCCCATCATGCAGAGTCTAAAAACTTGGCACCCATGCTCAGTGGCAGATTCCTTAATTTCCCTGGAGGGCAACAAGGTTAACTGTCCTGTAAGCTCTGCCAGGGTCTACCAGGTGCCCTGTGGTCCTGGCTCATACCAGCAGTCCCTGGAAGACAGGACAGTATGGTATATAGCCCTGGCAGTTGTTCAGAGGCTGCTTTCCTCTTGCTCTTGGAAAACACTCATTTTCCTAGAACTGAGTCCTGCCCTATCTGGTGATGGGATTTCTGGAGCCACTTGGCTTTCACATGCTCAAATTTTTGTCCTCTTCTCCACCCTACCAGCCCATCTCAATTCCTCACCCTCAGTGGGTCCCCTTGGTCTCTCTGAGAACAGCACATGCAGATGCAACTGCTCCCCATTTCCCTAAATTCCTGATTCTCTCTTAGCATCTCCTCCTTCCCCAAATTTCTCCTTCTCATGCCCTCAACAGGGGTCACGGATCCTGGAGAGGGGATCCTCAGCCAGAATCTTCAGTTTGAAGATTCTGGCATGAAGCTTATAGAGGCTAAGGCTTACAACTCCATAGTTGCATGCATGTCACACTTGGAAGCTGTCTGTTATATCAACCCACAGCAGCCCAGGGAGAGGGTGTGAGGGGTCAATCCAGGGAGAGGGTGTGAGGGGCCAATGAGGAACCCAGTGCCTGGAGAGGTGTCGTGGCTTCCTAGGATCACACAGCCAGGCTCAGGGAGACAGGGCTCAAACTTCCATCCCCCAAACCCTCATTCAGTGTTCATTCCACTCTCCCTAGCTTTAATCACACTTAGTAAAATGTTCCGTTCAAAAAAAAAAAAAAAGTCAACACCTTCCAAAGATCTGTCCTTGTCAAATGGCTGTTTCATTTTCAGACCAGGAATTTGTGATGTCAACTACATCTTAGAAGCCACAGAGAAAATAAAAAGACCAAGATAAGTATCATTTATTTTATTTACTTATTTATCTATTTATAACTGGAGGTCTATCAGTGTGCTGGTCTCAGGCTATATAAGAGCATTTGTAACCCAGAGAAGAGCCTTTACTTCCCCAAATGAGGATCCATTCATCACCATATCATGGAAAAGTCAATCATCCAGATCATGGTGAACAATCTACTGACCCAGATGACGAAGACTGTTTATTACAAATGCCAAAGAATATCAAAGCTTCTGAGGTTCTGAGGCAAAATAGAAACAAAGAGAAACAACTGCCACTCAAACAAGGAGGCAGCTCCACTTCCTGCTGAAACACTCCCTCCCACACAGAAGATGCAGCAACGCACTGAGAGCAAGACCTACCGTGTGTGACATCCAACAGCGGCAAAATTGTGTGCTCTCACACCTCCTGGAGTTGCCCATGATGTTAATCCTGCCTGAAGTGCGTCCTTTCCCTACTTTGTCACTCAGCAAACTTGTCCTACTTCTTTGAGGCTCAGTACAAATTGCATCCTCTGTCTCCCCACCCCCTCCTACCCTCTCTGGCAGAATTAGTTGTTCCTGTACCTGGGCTCTCAGAGCATTTTGGTCTTAACACTAACATAGCTTGCCTTCACGGAGGCTCCAGGAACGATCATGTCTGTTGTCTGTGACATCTTGGCACCTAAAGGAGTTTCTAGACCACGGTGAGTCTCAAAGCAACATTTCTTGAATGAAAAAGAGAGAGAGAGACAAATGAAGACTTCCAATTGGAAGTTATGAGTTCTGGTGACATGATTTGAGGAGGAGGATTTGCCATCTGTTACATACCAGGTGCTTTGCTCTCGCTAACTTATTAAATGCACCTCTCAACAAACTATGCAGTAAGTTTAACATTTTTATGATGAAAGTGAAAAAGTAGAGGCTTAGTGGGTATAAGTAACTTGTACACAGTGGAGCCAGATTCAGCTCCAGGTCTAGCTTGACCCGCAAACCTATGCTGTTTTCGCTGTACTGACTTACTCCCCAAACATGATCCCAAGGATAAAGAAAGTAAGATTTCCTTTTGTTGCAATTGCTTTTGGTGTCTTTGTCATGAAATCTTTGTCCATTCCTATGGCCAAAATGGTATTGCCTATGTTGTCTTCCAGGGTTTTCATAGTTTTGGGTTTTATATTTAATCCATCATGTGCTGATTTTTTGTATATGGTATAAGGGGTCCAGTTTCAATCTTCTGCATATGGCTAGCCACTTATTCCAATACTATTTATTGAATAGGGAGCTTTTTCCCCATTACTTGTTTTTGTAAAATAAAACCTTAAAAAAAAGATTTCTTTCAGATTAGAATCTCTGTCACTGGCTGCTGCAAGTGTTGTATCTGGAAAAGTCATATAAAGGCCAACTCAGTTGAAATTTTAAAAAAGAAAGATAATTCATGCTCCACTGCTTGTTGTCCTGCACGCAAATACCTAAGTTGAGTCATTAAATTTTTCCACTTCTCAATGGACATATGAGGTACTTCTACTCCCTCACCCCATCAGGCTTCCTAGAAGATGCTGCACGATGCCTACTATTTTAACCAAAGGAGCAGAAAACACCCAGAGAAACCTATGGTGTCAGAAATTTTCTCTAAGGGGGTCTTTTTTCATGTTTGAGAGCTTTGGAGTTATATTGTCAGGGAAATTTCCTCCAGGGTCCAGCTCAGGGAAACACCAAGCTGTTCCTTTTAAAACTGACATTCCAGAATCAATCATATTTGCTATTCTGATTACCACAATTTCTCTCTTAGGCATATCATGAAAAGTTCATAAAGCAAAATTATTGCTTTTATACTTCACACTCTTTGGCCAAGTTGATACTTGTGAAAGACTGCACCAAATCTCACTTCTATAGATCAGCCCTTGGAATGAGTTAATCCATAAAGTTTAACATATGTATATCAAAAGATCTAGAATGCATAAAGTTACTAATACAAGCATACACACACACACACACACACACACACACACACACACACACACACACACACAATCTGGGTTACAAATTCAAGTGTTTAGAAGGGGAAGGCCAGCCACAAAAAATAAGTGAAGCTGGCCCAGTGAGGACTGTGATAAACTAAAGAACAAATGACCATCTAGAGGCACCAGCTACATACATGTGCCCACGTGGAAATATGAATCCCACATGTTAATACTTCAACCCACTGTCAATAACTTTGCTCCACCACTTGGCCTCATTGTCCGAAGTGTCTCCCTACTCCCTTATGTTCCCAAGCTGACTGGGCGGCTCTTGTGTGGTTTTACCAACTAGATTCCATCCCAGATGTTGTTGAGCTTCACACAACCCAGCACAGACCCATGTGACAACCCAAAGAGTAGAAAACCTCTTTCCCAGATGGGGATACCACGCCCTTTTTTTTTGAGACAGGGTCTCCCTCTGTTGCCCAGGCTGGAATGCAGTGGCACCATCAGAGCTCACTGTAACCTCGAAGTCCTGGGCTCAAGTGATTCTTCCATCTTGGCTTCCTGAGTAGCAGGACTACAGGCATGCACCACCATGCCTGGCTCATTTTTATTTTTTAATTTTTTGTTGAAGTGGGGCCTCACTATGTTGCCCAGGCTGGTCTCAAACTCCTGGCCTCAGGCAATCCCCTCACCCTGGCCTCCCATAGTGCTGGGATTACAGGTGTGAGTCCTGGCACCTGGCTGCTCTCACACTTTTGTAGCCTGAGTAACCAAGGCAGAAGTTACAGAGAACAAGCCAAGTGCCAAGACACTAACTGGATTTGTAAATATTAACCTCCTTATTAAAGAATAAAAAGGCTGCCTTTCTATTTTATAGGCTGTAGATGATTGGTAAACTCTCCATTGTAGAACTCACATAGTTCAGGTTAATAAAGTTAATTTGCCATAAGATTCTGAAAACACAAGTGCATCTCAACCATCTTTCAGCACACTTACCTCGCCTCTTCAGAACTTATCATGGATCCATGGCCCTTCTCACAGACTAAGCTTTTCCAGGTGACTGTCATTGTTTTCATTTTTGATGCTCAAGTTGTCTTCTCTACAAATTTTATAGCACATTTATAATCATTCGCAAAGATTTCTTTCTCTTTGACATTTTCGTAGCTTCTCTTTTGTCTTCTTCACCTTCCCTGCCTCCTGAGCCTCCTCAATAAGAGAGTAGTAGCCAGAGATCCAGCATCAGGACTCAGGCATCTGCAGGGAATGCCAACCATTCCACTTACAAGCCACCTTCCTAGTAATGAAGCCCATCACTTTTCCAGGCAAGAGAGGCTATTTTGGTTTCCTTCTTCCTAGAAGCCTTTGCAGACTTAGTACAGGTCTGACTTTAACTAGATTAATTGTTACCCCTTCTTTTCCACTGCTATCACGGACTGGAGGGATATTTACAAGCATCCTTGCTCCACCACACTTCTCTAATGCTTCCACTAATACCATGTCCAACCCCCATCACAAGAGCTGTCTTGTCCTAGGCTCCTGATCACAACACAAGAGTGGACACGGTCACCCCTCCCTCGTTGCTCCATGACTCACCTATCTAAGCACCTGTGACTCTTTCCTTTCTGGGGCTACAAGAATGTCTTCCGCCTGCATGTAGGGCAGTCCAGAAGTGCTAGGGAATCAAAGCCTTCAGAAGCTTAGGTTATAATGGATGAAAGTAGGGGTATAAATACAGTTCTTTTTTTTTTTTTTTTAAAGATGCAATCTCACTCTGTTGCCCAGGCTGGAGTGCAGTGGTGCGATCTTGACTTACTGCAACCTCCGCCTCCCAAGTTTAAGCGATTCTCCTGCCTCAGCCTCCCGTGGAGCCAGGATTACAGGCGCCCGCCACCATGCCCAGCTAATTTTTAGTAGACATAGGATTTCACCATGCTGACTAGGCTGGTCTTGAACTCCTGACCTCAAGTGATCTGCCTGCCTCTGCCTCCCAAAGTGCTGGGATTACAGGCATGATCCACAGTATCCAGCCTAAATACACTTCTTGAATAAGAACAGCATGTTCTACACTGTCTCTCAGAGGTCCCAGTGGGATTGAGCCCCGGTTATATGTAGAAGTAACCTGATCATTCATGCATGCTGAATTGGCTTCCTTCTCTGCTAGTCTCACTTTTCATCTTCCCTACAGGAATTTCTTGGGATCACTTCCCAAGTAAACTACTTGCAATTGAAATCTTGCCTCAGGCTCTGCATCTAAGGAAACCCAACAGAAATCATCACTGTTCTCTTCCCCTGTGCATTTCACTTCCTACTCCACCAATCAGAACTCATATCCAGCTTCCTCCAGGGATATGGAAGGGTCATACCCATTTGTCAACCTGACCCTGTAATAAATTGAATACTGACCCGGAAACAGCATCCCTTTGAGAAACTCAATCCCATGCTAACAGACTCACAGTTCATACTGGCTCAGTCCTGTTCAGTCACATGCCCCTCAGTGTGGGTCAGTTGAGCTCGATTACAGGGATCCCTACGGAACCATCTTATCTACCTGCTCACTGGACCAAATAGCTGATACTCTGTTCTGTTCACCTTTCCATTCTCTAGTTGATGGCGAGGGCATGGAGATTAAGGAGCAGACAACTACAAAGGTGCTGATATCAAACTAATTTTCACAGGGCACGAGGTGAGTGAGCTGAATTTACCAGAACATGTTGCTTCCAGAATGTGTTGCTGGTGAGTAAAATAGAAACCACAAGTTGGATGTGCAACTAAATTATTTATTATCTACACTATCATAAATAAGTCAGTGAGAGAAACAAGCATACAGTCCAAAATTCTCTCTCAAGTGGGGAGGCTCAAGTTCACATGCATGCCTATTGACAAATCAAATTACTTGCTTTTTGACCTCATTCTTTAGCTGTGGCATAAATCCTGCTGAGACCCCCACCTAGATATTCTCCAAAGAGGAGCTGGCGAGACAGGCTCTGTGTCTAGTTGCCACTTCCTTCATTTGTAGGCAGCTTCTTCATGACACTGTCATACTTGTGTACCCATTGTCAGAACTGCTAAGAATGAGGTTTAGCAGTTTCATCTTTCATTGAAACTAAAACCTTGCACCTAGCCAATTTCTCTTCACTGTGGTCAAAACAAGCCAAATCATTTCTCTCTTTTTGTCAGTTTTTCTCCCTCTTTTGCTTCTCTCTTTCTTGAAGAACTTGCTAATTTAACTAAGTTAAGTCACTTTAATATCTTGCTCTCCTCCGACATAAAAAATTCCCACTAAGAGTTCTCTTTCCTATCAATAATGCCACTCATTAATCAGATCTTTCTTTTCTTTACAATACTTGGAAAATCTTAATCTTTATATACAATTTTCAGATTTTTGAATGTTGTCAGTAAAATAAATAAATAAGTAAATAAATCACTCTTAAGTCCAAAAGGAGCACATCTTCAGCCTGACTGAGGCCTGCTTTAGTTGGTCTGTAGCTTCTGGTAATCAGATGAAAACATTTTATTTGCCTGTGGTTCTGCTAATACATCGTGATGCTTCAGAATTCCCTGCTTTCTTTTTGACTGTTCCTTTAATCTAGAATTTTCCTTCTATCTCCTCAAACTGGCTTATTACTTCTTAAAACCTTCCTCAGTGAGGTATTAGCTGTGAAAATGTCCCTTCTCCTCCCACCCCATCAATCCGAGTCTGTAATTCTTTCTCTATAATGCTTGTCTCTTCCACACACATCATCAGCTGTTTTTAACATGTCATATGGCTTCTTGGGGCATTTTGGTTTCTTCTACCAGACAATTCCTGGATCTCGGAACCTTGTACTGTACAATCAGTGTATTGATTTTCTTTTTTTTTTTTTTCTCTTTGAGATGGAGTCTCGCTCTGTAACCCAGGCTGCAGTGCAGTGGTGCAATCTCAGCTCACTGCAACTTCTGCCTCCCAAGTTTAAGCGATTCTCGTGCCTCAGCCTCCCAAGTAGCTAGGACTACAGGTGTGTGCCACCACACCTGGCTAATTGTTTTGTATTTTTGTTAGAGACAGGGTTTTGCCATGTTGGCCAGGCTGGTCTCAAACTCCGGACCTTAGGTGATCCGCCCACCTCGACCTCCCAAAGTGCTGGAATTACAGGAGTGAGCCATCGTGCCCGGCACAATCAGTGTATCCATATTTCCAACACCTGGAGATATGATACCTCCAGATACTTCCAGGTACCAAAATACAGTGCCTGGCACATTGATGGTACCCAATGAATGTGAATTGGATAAAGGATGAGGAGAATGAATGGATAAAATTTCTTAAATATACTACGAATTACAGTTCTTCATAGCAAAGAATGTAGTATCTAGTGAGAGGGGTTGGTTGTGTCTTCCTTCAAAAGTGTGATGTTCAATTTGAGGAATAGCAAAAGGGTATCCCTAACATCTTGCTGCTTATCCCATCTCAACAATCCCCACCTATTATTATCAGCACCTAGTAACTTGTTTGCTTCCTCTAATCCAGTGGTTCTCTGCTGGGAGTGATTTTGCAACCCAGATAATATTTGGCAGTGCATGAAGACATTTTTGGTTGTCAGAGTTGGGGTTTACTAGTAGCATCTAGTGGGTAGAGACCAGGGATGCTGTTAAACTGACTCAATGCACAGGACAGCCCCTTACAACAAAAAATTCCCCAGTCCAAAATACCATTAGTCCTAAGGTTGAAAAACTTTGGCCTAAGAGACACTCACTTTTGCTGCTGCATTAGTAGGCACCCAAAGAATGTTTAACAAATTGAGGTAATTAGCAGATCCATGATGATTCAGAACAGAGAGTGAGATGTAGAGGTGACAACTTGGAGATATATTGGCTTAGGCTAGAATGTTACCAAGAAGAAGCTGCCAACACCCTGACCTGAGCTTGCTCCTTTCAGAGCTCACAGAATCTCTCCAAGACTTCAGAATTGCTTTGTGCTATGCGTGATTGGTAGGCGACCTTTTCAGATGAATTCAGCTTGAACTGTGCAATTGACATAAAAGAAACAAATAGAGTAGGTTTTCCCCTGTGATTTTAATATGGAATTACAGCAGTTTCCCCTATAAAAGTTGACACCTTCTATCTGGCTCATGTGGAAAAATACCATTATTATACTAGTAAAAACTACACTTTACTGAGCACTTACTGCTGTCGGTTAATAGTGTCCTCCAAAAAGGGATATTGACATTCTAGCTCCCAGTTCCTGTGAATATTTCCTTCTTTGGATATAGGATCTTTGCATATGCAATTAAGTTAAGATGAGGTCACATTAGATTAGGGTGGTGTCTTTAGGAGAGAGAGATTTTGAGACACAAACACACAGGGAAGGAGGCCGTGTGGTGACAGAGGCAGGAATCCAAATGACACAGCTGCAATAAGGACTGCCAAGCAGCCCTTGAGAGCTAGGAAGAGGCAAGAAAGGATTCTTCCTTAGAGCCCTGATTTCACACTTCCAGCCTCCAGAACTGTGAGAGAATACATTTCTGCTATTTTTGAGCCACTCAGTTTGTAGCAATTTGATATGGCAGCCACAGGCAACGTATACACTTACTATTAATATATGCCTAGGGCAGTGTATGTATTACCTCGCTAAATCCTCACAGCCACCCTTAAGCAACATTATCCCATTTTACATGGGATGAAATTGGGGCATGAAGACGTTCCATCACTGCCCCATGGCTCCATAGCCAACAGCAATAGAGCCAAGATTCAAATTCAAGTCCATTGGATTTCAAGAGCCAAGCCCTAACCACACAGCTCAGTAGGTTCCATGCAAACCATTTTCTCCCCACCATGCCCCTGGCCCTTGAAAAGTCAGAATTTTGGTTAGAGCCTTGTTGCTTCTGTTTTTCCCTCAACATGTGGGGTGCAATCTCCATGGAACCTCTCATTGGGTTCCATTTTTTAAAAACTAAAGCATACTTATCTAAGGTTAACTCTTCAGTCATGTCCTTCACAGTGAGTCATCCGTTTGAATTCCCCACAGCTCCGCCATCTTGGACAGCCTTTGCCTGGGGCCATGGGGCTGAGGCAGTTGCTTCCCTGTTTGGCTGCCCTCCCTGAGCAGGCTTGAGGTGAGACCCCAAGGTGACACAGAAAGTCTCTAGGATTTGATTCCACAGACCTGCTCGGCTCAGAGTCTCCACTCAGCCTCTCCTTGGCTTGGCTTTCTGGTTTGTGTTCACAGATGAAGACCAGAGAGCCAAACCAAGGACAGACACGAAAAGGGATCCTTTCACTTTGACCAACTCATACCTACCATCTCATCACCTACAAGGGTGCTCAGGACCATAGTCAAGCAGCTTAGGCAAGGGGTGGTGAAATACACCCTCTCTATTTCAACCCTGGACTTACACCATGTCTGCATCTGTTTCCTCACTTATAAGCTGGAATACTGAACACAGAAACCCCAAAAAGGTTTCTTTTACTTCCTAAAGCCACAGCCACAGCCAAAACCAATGTCAGTCTCCCCCTCTCAAGCCTGATGTCTACTTTTGTCACCTCTCCAGGAAGCAGTTAGCACCCAAGCCAAGCAGAGGAACCTGTGTTCCTGGTGAGCCAGCCATTTTCCTGAAGTACTGACTGCCTGATGGAGGTTATGGGACAAGTGCTAATGCCTTTGACTCTTTCTGGAGCTCCATGAAGGAACCTCATGTGTATGAATCTGTTTTCATGCTGCTGATAAAGACATACCCAAGACTGGGAAGAAAAAGAGGTTTAATGGACTTACAGTTCCACATGGCTGGGAAGGCCTCACAATCATGGCAGAAGGCAAGGAGGAGCAGGTCACATCTTGCCTGGGTGGCAGCAGGCAAAGAGAGAGAACTTGTGCAGGTTTAATGGACTCACAGTTCCACATGGCTGGGGAGGCCTCACAATCATGGCAGAAGGCAAGGAGGAGCAAGTCACATCTTACATGGGTGGTGGCAGGCAAAGAGAGAGACCTTGTGCGGGGAAACTCCCATTTTTAAAACCATCAGCTTTCATGAGACTTATTTACTATCATGAGAACAGCATGGGAAGGACCCACCCCCATGATTTAATTACCTCCCACTGGGTTCCTCCCATGGGAATTGTAGGAGTTACAATTCAAGATGAAATTTGGGTGAGGACACAGCCAAACCATATCACCATGCCTTGGGCCACTGCTCACACCCCCAGGCCCTCCTTTCTTCCTCTGACCCTCAGCCTTCCTACCCCTCCTCCAGCAGCTACCACGGCCCCTCCTACCTTCTGAGTTTCCCTCCAAGTACTAATTAGAAGACCTAACATTTTGGAGGACTTACTCTATAACCACCAACCTTCTAGGCTCAAAACCATCTCACATAATCCTCACCACAGCCAACTGGGCAGGCATCACTATCATAGTCTTTGGGTGGGCTATACCCTCTCTCTAGAAGGTGATGGGCTGAAAAATGACCCCCAAAGATATCCAGGCCATAAGCCCTGGAACCTGTGGCTGTTACTTTCCATGGCAAAAGGAACTTTGCTAATATGTTTAACATCTTGCAATGGGAAGATTATCCTGGATTATCCAGTGAGTCCTAAATACAATCACAAGTACCCCTAATAAGGGGGAGGTAGATGGAGATTTGACACAGAGAAAAGGAGGCAACATGAAAAAAGTAGAGAGAAATTTGACAGTGCTCTGCTACTGGCTTCGAAGGTGGAGGAATGAGACATAAACCAAGGAATGCGACTTGAAAGCTGGAGTGACAAGGGAGTCAATCCCCTCTAGAGCTTCTGGAGGGCAGCACTGCCCTGCTAACACCTGGATTTCAGCCTAGTGACACGAATTTTGGATTTCCGGCCTCCAGAACTGTAAGAGAATAAGTCTGTGTTCCTCCAAGCCACTAAATTTGTGGTAACTTGTTACAGCAGCCACAGGAACCTCCTGCTGAATTCCTCGGGTAGGTTTCCCACGGCTGGCTGCTCCTTCTTACTCAGGTCTCCATTCAAATGGTGCCATCTAGATAGGCCCCAACTGACCAAAAATCAAAGGACCTGCCTCCTCCCCCAAGCCACCTTTTGTCATCCAGCCTATTTAGTTTCTCACCTGGAACGGTCCTGTTTGTGCATTTTTTTTTAGTCTAAAAAAAAAAACGGGATACATGTACACAAGGTGCAGGTTTGTTACATTGGTATATGTGTGCCATGGTGGTTTGCTGCACCTATTGACTTGTCCTTTAAGTTCCCTCCCCTCAATCCCCACCCCTTGACAGGCCCTGGTGTGTATTGTTCCCCTCTCTGTGTTCTCTTGCTTTTTGGTTCTCTCCCCTCACTAGATTGCGTTTCGTAAGGACAGAGACATTGTGTGTCTTGTTCACCACCCAATCTCAAGAGCCTAGAAGAGTGCCCAGCACATCACAGGGCTCCATGGAAGGTTGTTAATTGAACATATACTTTGAATATGCAGAAACTATAGCTCAAAGCTGCCCCAAGCCACCCAGTGAGGAAATGACAGATCTGGAGCTCAGACTTAGCCACCAAGTTCTTCCCTCTGCCTACCACTGCAAGGGGTCTCATTAACAGCTCCAGCTCCCTCTTGGAAGAGGCGAATGATACAGGGGTTGAGAGCATAAACTCTGCAGGGAGAGCAAATGGGTTCTCATCTTGACTATGACATGAACTAGCTGCTTGATTTGGGGCAACCAAATGCACTTGTCTGTACCATCATGGGGAGAATGATAGGACCTAATTTACAGGATTGTTGTGAGAATGGAGCAGTTAACCACAAGGAAAGCACCTACTTTAGCCCTGGCACATCATCCTATAAGGAAAGATTAGCTCTTCCTATTATTCTATGCCATTCCCAAAGGCAAAGCCATGAACCTCTAGTTTATGCTAAGCACAGAAGAGAGAGATTTGAATAAACTAACTTCTAAAGTCTAAGTGCAAGCACTAAGCCCAGAAGAAGGGGGAAAAAAAGGGAGGAAGCTCAGTAATTTGAACAACTGGATAATAATGGACTGAGCACTTTGGTGTGGAGAAGAACCTCTTCAAATGGACACCGATGGGCTGTCACAGTTTTATTCTCGGGTTATGGTTAACAGTAGGGATCTCAGCATAGAAATATTACTGCCCTGGGATGCCCACTGTAGCATTCTTCAGTGGTTTTCTACCATGCCACTGTGAAACCCCCAGTATGTTTTCCATCAAGATCTACTCTGAATGAAATGATGCCAATGTGGCTAACGTACTCCTCGGGCCCACAGAATGGCACATGGAGAAGGGGTCTCTGGGACGGCAGAGAGAAGTTCCACAGCTTCAACTGGTGGCCATGAGGTTCCACTTGGCTGGGAATTGTGAGACTGGGAGGGACCCATTGTCTCAGCAGAGGGCTCAGTGCCTGCCTATGGCTAAGAACATGGATTTGGGTTCCTAGATTCTATGTTAGGACTTTAGAAACCTTTAAAAGACACATGCTTTTTCAAAAAGAGAGAGATAAAGTCAGAGAGATTGAGGTTTTTTAAAATGTTTTTATTGTTGCTAAAATCATTGGAATACCAGGGCTTACATGTGGCAATGAAGTTGCTAATTTGCACACCCCATCCCAAAACACATGCCTCCCACTTGGAGAGGAAGCCTGTCCCACTGGGTTGTGTGGCAAAGAGGGGAGATTAGATTGCTCTGCTGTACAGAGATAGATCCCAACTGGAGGAGAAAAGAAGGAATTGAGGCAAGAAGCATAGTTAATTCTCCCAAATCCAGCCTTCAGGCAAGCCACTCCCTCTTACATGGGGATGAGTGAGTCAGAGGAGAGTGATGGAGCAAAATCCTCTGTGGAGGCTGCTCCACTGGAAAGATTAGGAAGGAAGATAGGTGTCACCTACCTAATCTTTTGGAGTATCATTTTTATTATCTTTAAAATAATACCCACATCACAGCATTGGAGTGAAGACAAAATATAAGAAATGCAAAGTAATTTAGCACAGCATCTGGCAGATAGTATGTATACCATAAGTCATTAATATATTTATTTGTATCTTTACATATGAGGGAAGGACTTGAATGCACCATTAGATGAGAAGAGAACTAGTATGTTTTGAGAACTTTCTATATTTCAGTTACATGCACCCTAATTTATTCCCTACTCAGAACAAAGCAGTAAGGTGATAATGTTCTTTTTTACAGGTAACAAAACTGAGGCTGAGAGGAAACATGGACAAGTAATTGAATGGGGGTCAGAACAGATCCACCCACTTTCCACTGCCAAAGTAAAAAGAAGACTCAGGTGGTACAATGTTATTCAGGAGAGGAAGTGATGGGCTAGAAGGAACAGCCCATTACAGAGCACTTCAGTTTGAGGAGACAATATTGGCTAAGAACAGGGCTTAGAGAGGGGCACTGCAAAGGGTGGTAAAGGCCACTGGGTAAGAAGGCTCCTGAGGTCGAGGTGCTGATGGGTTCTCACCATGGGCATGAACATCTTCTGGAAGGAGATTGAAAGTGGCATGCAGGAAAACACCAACTGGCAAGTAGACAGATTTTGAAGGATTTTCAGCAGTAGTCTGGGTAAATAACAGATGACTACATTGAGATGCATGCAGAAAAGCAGGATGAGAATTAGGTTATATATCTGTCAATGAAGCAACACTCTGCAAAGACTCACTATGCCCTCAGTCTCTGTTTCTCCAAATACTCATTACATACCATCCATTCATCCATCCACCCACCCACCCATCTACCCACCCACCCATCTACCCATCTACCCACCCATCTACCCATCCACCCCCCCACCCATCCACCCATCCATTCACCAACCCATCTACCTATCCACCCACCCATCTACCTATCCACCCACACATCTACCCATCTGCCCACCCACACATCCACCCATCCACCCATCCACCCATTTAGTAAGCATTGTATGATTGCCCCATATTCATTAGGTGCTGTACTGGATGTTGAGGTTTTGGCAGAGAATACACAAACAAGGGTCCTGCTGTCAGAGGGCCCCCACCATCCAGTGAGAAAGACAGATGTGAAACTAGAAATGACTCTAAATGGAGTCCTGGGTCATGCTAGGAAGTGCACAGGGGACTCTGTAAGCACAGAACAAGGGATCTAAAGTGAAATGTCAGAGAGGCTGTTTCTGAAAGCGTTGTTTATATTAATTCCTGAAGGACAAAGAGCAGTTATGCAGATGAAGAGTCAGGAAGGAGCCTGTACCAAGGACAAAAGGCAAACGGAAAGGTGGTGTGTCCAAGAAAACGAAAGTTCAGTGCGGTGGCACCACAAAGTCAAGGGGCCCAGGCATAAGCGAGAACCCTGCAGAAGTAGGTCAGTTTAGGCAGGGTCTTTTGAGGCATGTTAAAGAGGTTAACCTCAGAGCAATGGGAAGCCTTTGAAGTATCTCAAGCAGACAAGTGGTATAAACTGATATAGTTTTGCTGTGTCGCCACCTAAATCTCAACTTGAATTGTATCTCCCAGAATTCCCACGTGTTGTAGGAGGGACCCAGGGGGAGGTAATCGAATTATGAGGTCTGGTCTTTCCCATGCTATTCTCCTGATAGTAAATAAGTCCCATGAGATCAGATGGGTTTATCAGGGGTTTCTGCTTTTGCCTCTTCCTCATTTTTCTCTTGCTACCACCATGTAAGAAGTGCCTTTCACCTCCTGCCATGATTCTGAGGCCTCTCCAGCCATGTGGAACTGTAAGTCCAATTAAACCTCTTTTACTTCCCAGTATTTATCAGCAGCATAAAAACAGACTAATACAAACCATATCTGCACATTAGGATGGTCATTTTGACAGATATGTGGAGAATAAGAACATGACTTGAAACAAAATCAGTCAGGATGTTAGAGATGATGTTGGCCTGCACAATTACAATGATGTGGAATTGAGAGAAGCTTCCAGAGTTGAGAGCTATACAGGAAGTCAACTAATAGGACTCAGGGATTGGTGAACTATGGTAGGAGTAAGAGGCCTCCCACCCTTCTCAACTCACACTTCACTTTTATATCCTGATTTTTTAACTATCTTTTTCTTCAACATCACCCTGTCAGGTCAAAGGATGGGAATTACCAGCTTCATTTTGATGATGGGAAAACTAGGATGCTGACAGTTTAAATAGAGTCATTTCTCCTTACTGCTCTTCTTTGCTGGGTAGGATTACAGCTTCTGAGCTATTTTCTAAGGGAATATCTTTTCCTCATGTGTATGAGACAGGTTAGCTGTTCATCACACTTTTTTCCATGCAGATGGACTACATGTCCCAGCCTGCCATGCAGTTAGGGGTGATCATGTGACTGAGTTCTGGCCAATGAAATATGCACATGTGATATATGTCATTTCCAGGCTACTCCCCTATCTTCTAATGGGAGGTGAATGCCCAGCATGACCTCAGAAGCCAGAGAGCCAAACAAAGGTTTAGGGTCTCTGAATAACTAGGCAATTCAGTTTATCCTCCCTCCGCTTGCTGCCAAATGGACAAATGGTGAGCAAACTTTTATTGTGTTAATCCACTGAGATTTGAGGGTTTATCTATCAAAAGAGTAGCATTACCTCAACTGATGCAATTTCCAAATTTTCTAGTCCTCCACATGTTATTTTATCTGAGGAAATGCCTCAGATAAAGAAAATGCCCCTTTGACAGCAATATTTTCTTAGGATGAACGTTAATGTTGGTTAGCATTGTTCCCTTATATTGGCAGCTCATGATTTCTGTGGGTATTTTTGAGGAGCACCACATACGCTATATATGATGCTGCAGGGTCTCCAGGAGCTCTAAACATGCTCCTAGAGCATCCGTTTATGAAAACCAGTCAAGGAAGATATTCTTCATGCTTCTGAGTGTTATGAAATGCCTGCAGTGTGCTTCCTGCAATGCCTTCCAGAGCTCTTGGCTCTGGAAATCCTGTTCTGAAAGACCTTGGTTTCCGGAGGAACCAGTACTGCAAACAGTTACGACTCAGAATGGTTAATGCTTTGACAGAGTACATTATTAGTCAACTTTTTACTGTGGCATCACCAGACAATGAACAATCCTCAGATCCCAGTGTCCTAACAACAGACATTCATCTATTTTCACAGGTCTGCAGAGAGACTGTATTTGGCTGATCTTGGGTGGATTTGCCTGAGCCTGGTTAATTCCAGGCTTCAGGTTGGGGTCAGATCTGCTCCACATCTCTACATTCCAGGACTCAGGTAGAAGAGGCAACATCTGCATAGGGAAACCTTCTGTGCCTCTTACAAGCCCTTGCTCAGAGGGGCACACTGTCACTTCTGCCCACATTCTTTTGGCCAAAGAAAATCACGTGACTAAGTTCAACATCAAAGGGCCAAGAAAGCATATTCTTTGGAGGCTGGTGAGAGAGAGTGAGTACGTGCTGAACCATAATCTAGTCTACCAAACAGAGCATATATACCGCATAATTAGCAGTAACAGCATAGGGAAGGGGGCATCCATTGGCCTGGGGAAGTCAAGAATGGCCAGGCAAGGGAGGGAACATTAGATTTAAAACTTGTGAGACCAATGGAATTAGGCCAATTGGAAGGACAGAAAGAATTCATTTCAGGCAAAGGAAACAGTATGTATGGTGTTGGCAATACTATCTGTGAGAGTAAGCATTTGGAAGCTCTCTAAACATCCATCAATAAGAGATTTGTTTAAAAAATACACAGAATGACTAAACTGTGGAATACCATGCATGAGTTAAAAAAGAATTAAATTAACTTGTATAAAACGACAAAGAAATATTTTCAGGACACATTGTTAAGTGAAAAAAACAAACTTCAGGACAGTGCATGGAAGATAACATCATGTAAATAAATCCTATACATGAACACAATAAAAATGCTTTATATACAGATAGATATGTGTGTGTGTATGTATGTGTGTATATATACACACTCAGAGAGAGAGAGAAAGAGATTGAGAGACAGAAAAAAAGATAGAGGGGTTTTTGTATATGTAAAATCATACCCTTTCCAAGAAACCATCAAGAGGAACACACATCAAATGGCCAGCGCAGCTAGAGATGAGGTCTCTAGAGACTGCTGAGTGCTGTCCAGGGGGGACTCTAGCTTTCTCTGCAAAGTTATCACTTTTTACCAAAAGACGTGCTTGTTTGTAACCATTTCACTAAACAGGCTAGGGATGACAGGATACAAGCAAACAATGCCTTAACCCGTGTCCTCCACTAAACTTGCTGTCTTGAATCCTCTTTCCCTGCCTGCAGATGGACCTCAGGCAGGTTCCAATCACTGTGGTCACCGCTAAACAATAAAACATCCTCCGGTCACTTTGTCATAGGAATGGTCCTGGTTTTTAACAATTTAAACGCACCCAGTGTCATAATCAAAACCATGTCTTGTCCTATGTCACGCTTCCCCCGACACTGCAAACCCCAGGCCTGTCATAGGAGAGGGGAATGTGAGTGGGATATTTTTCTCTGTCCCTCACTCACCCACTCTCCAATTTCTTAGCAGCTCTTTCTAATACCAGCAGGAAATGGAGAAGACAAGGTGATGAGGGGCAAGGGCACAGGACAGTGTGGAGGAGACAAAACCCAGAATCTGTTCCCCCTGGTGGTAGCAGATGCACATTGGAGGCTCTTTCTGTCATGGGTGCTTCTATGCAGACTCTGGAGAGCCCCTTCCCCAGGGGGTACCTCCAACTACAGCTTTTGTTGCAGAAATAGCTGCTCATCTCTCAGCCTACTTGCAACCTGGGCTCTAGTGTCCCAGCTCTCCACTGAGCTCCCACTGCTGTCCTCTGGAGTTGGACCCCACGTAACTCTTCTTGGTTTGCAGAAACACTAGTGTATTTGGGTCCCATTTTAGGGTAAAGGGCAACTCCCAACATTGCAGCACCTCTCCTTCCCTACTCCCAAATAGGCCACCTGCCACACCCTTGCTCCTTGTGTCTCCCCAGATGGGATTCACACACCAGGCCTTATGATTCCTGAATTCCAGGAGACACTAGGCCAGCTCTCTGATTTTCCTCCATGAAGCCCCCCTGACTCAGCCTGAGGTAAGGACCAAGTGCAGAGGAAAAGAGAAATCAGTAGGGGTGCACACACCAACGCTTCCTGCAGATAAATCCCTTCCAATGGTTCATGCCACCTCTTCAGACGGTGGACGGATGGCTTCCAGTGATGATGAGCAGAGTTCCCATCTCTTAGCATCTCTGCGTAAGTGACCCAACATCCCACGTTAGGGTGTGGATGACCTGGACATCAACTGCATTAGCCTTTGGTTTCTCAGCCAAAACTGAGACAACTAGTCCTTTTTTAATACCCTCTTATACCAGTATAATGTAATAATCAAAGACTAAAAGATTTAAGTGAGAAAGAGAAGCACAGGAAAAAGATCAGAGGTCTAAATATGCTTCTCTCCTCACCTCACACTACATATACACACACACACACATGCATACATACACACATGCACACACATGCTTGCACATGCTCACACAAACACAAAAGACCAGGAGAGATAAAAGTTCTGATAAGCTCTGAAAACAAGGAAAAGTTCAAATTTGTGAAAAATAAAGAATCAAGAAGAGTTCAGATGGATGTGCAAGATTTATACCAAGTCCAAACATGGCTTCCAAATGTCTTTTAAAAGATATATAATACCTAAAAGAAATGGCCGGGCATGAAGGCTCATGCCTGTGATCTCAACACTTTAGGAGGCTGAGGCAGAAGGATCTCTTGAGGCCAGGAGTTCAAGGTTACAGTAAGCTATGATTGAGCCACTGTGCTCCAGCCTGGGTGACAGAGCAAGACTCTGTCTCTAAAAAAAAAAAAAAGAAAAAGAAAAAGAAAGAAAGAATTATTTGGTATTTTGACAAAACCCAAAAGTCTGGGGAATTGGAAATTAGAGTTTGATCAGGTTTTACTTACTATATAAAATTCATTATTTTTGAGCATGCATTCCCATGGTAAGCCTTTCCACCTTGGTTGCTGGCAAAGCTGCTCTGGGCTATCTAAAATGTGAGTTGATGCAGCATGCCACTCGTGGTTGGGCTGAAAGAGAACCAAAATGCTGCCATGACATCAGACCATTTGGGGGCCATGCACAGAGCACCTCACCCTTAATTCTGGGTTTCATCCTATCACCACCTCACCAGTAGTGCTGAAAGTCTTGTTTCCGAAGTGTGATTATTTCTGTACTTCATCATACAATGTTCCCCAAACACAGTCTGCTTGCCCTGGCTCCCCACCCAGGATTCTGATTTGGTGCCTTTTGTACACCCAGCTTCTCAACCGGGACTATAACTCAACCTGTTTGACCCATTCTGTGTGTTTTTCCTCTTGACACCAAATACTTCTTATTTTCCACACTAATAATTGATTATCCAGTTCCTCCACACCAATTGGTGCCCAACAATTCAATTCAGTTCCAACACTAACTACCCAGAGTTAGCAGAAGCCACAGGTAAAGGCTCAGTCCTACAAGACTGTCCCACTTCCAACTCCAGCCACAAATGGAGTTTCCAGACTACCCACATTTCTTCCCGGCCAACTATAAATTTGGAGGTTCCCACGACCCCCTCCTCAGGTTTGATAATTTGTAAGAACTCACAGAACTCAGGAAAATGCTTTCCTAACGTTTTCAGTTTATTATAAAGGATGGAACCCAGGGACAATCCAATGGAAGAGATGCATAAGGCAAGGTATGAGGGTGAGGGAAAGCGCAGAGTTCCCCTAATTGATTAGGCAAATCACCCTCCCCGCACATGGATGTGCACACCCACCCAGAAGCTCCCACACCCTGTCTGTTAACGGTTTCTATTGGGGTATCATTATGTAGGCATGATTAATTAAGGCATTGGCTATTGGTGATTGAACTCAACCTCCAGCCTCTCTTCTCTCCCTGGGCACTGGGGGTTGGAGCTGAAAACTCTCACCATGAAATCACTGAGTTGGTTTTTCTGGCAACCAGCCCCCATCCTGAAGCTATCTAGGGCCCTCAAGGAGTTGCCTCATTACCACAAACTCAGGTGTGGCCAAAAGGGTTTCATTATGAATTTAAGAAAAGACATTTATCTCTTTAAGGAAATTCCAAGGATTTTTGTTGCTCTGTGCCAGGAACCTGAAACAAAGACCAAATAGATCTTTTTATTACACCACACAGGCCACACAGCCAGCCTCCTTCCCTAATGGATCCTGCCCTGCTCTCCAAATCCTGGGTTTTACTGCAGATTTTCATTTCCGGAAACATGCCTTGCCTTTTCCCCTCCTGGTCTTCACCATTGACCATTGACCTTCACCAGCCCCTCTTGCTAGTTTGCTTTGCCCCTCAGACCCAATCCTCTTAAATGCTGATACCAGCTCAGGTCAAACCTGAGGCCACCACATCTCTGTCTCCCAGCCTGCTCCCTCTGAAGGTTCCCTCCCCTCCAGAGTGGATGCTCATAATATAATCCGAGTAGAACCTGCAAGGGAAACTGCCTCAGCTAGCACAGATAAGCACCTGGCACTTAACACCCATATTATCAAGATTTGTCAGTAATCAATTAGGCAAAACAAGAGCCTCTTGGGAGGCTGGTTTCTGTGTATCCAAAATAACAGTTTTCCAAAGCTGATCTCATTCTTTGTTTTTCTCGCTTTTTAAAAAATTTTTCCTGCAGGAAAAGTAATACATTCATAATGTTTTTTTAAAAGGATGATTAAAGTAAATATCACCTGCTATTATTCACCCCAGAGAGAAGAGCAGTTATCACTGTAACCATTTAGAGTATTTATTTCCATTGCATGGATGCACCGTGATTCCTTCCACAACCCTCCTACTTTGGACTGTTTCTTTAACATAGCTCTCAATAATTAGGGTCCTTGCTGTAATCACCCAAGAATCTTTCACTTAATGCCACTTATATATGGTCATTGCTGTAAGAAAATATCATTTCATGGGCCATTAATGGGCTTAACAGTTTTATTTTAAAAAGTAAAAATCCTCTCACTTAATATTTTTTAAGTGGGGTTGAAGGAAAAGCAATATGCCATGACCCCTCATTTCACTCCAGCTAATATTTATTTAACACCTTCCTGGGCCTGATTCCCTGTGCAGGCTGTGCTATTTGACTCACCCAGCAATCCCACCAGCTAGGCATTGCTGCCTCTCAGAAAGAGAAGTGAGTTCAACAAGGCTAAGTTACTTTGCAGATCTCACAGTATTAAGAAACTGCAGAGCCATGGTTCAACCCAAGCTGGGTCTGACACCAGAATCTGAGCTCTTTCCACTGTAACAGGCAGCCTCAGATAAGCCAATGGAAAAAAAAAAAAAAAAAAAACTCAGTAACTATGGTTAAGAACACTGAGTCTGGAGCCAGGCTCTTGGATTGAGTGGCTCCCTCTGGCATAAGCAAGCTGTTAAGTTAGCCTGTCAGTGTCTCTGTCTCCTCAGCTGTAAAATGAGAATAATAACAATAGTGACCCCATCAGATTGTTTGAGAATTAGATCGTGCACATAAAGCCCTTTGAAGGGGCCTGGCACACACAGCAAGCATTGAGTACACACAACCACTGTTGTTATCACCAACTCCTTAGCACCGAAGCTTCCACGACAGAACCAGCTGTGCATGTTTCACATACAGTGTGGGGACATTAACATGCCCTCCAGGACTCTCTTACGTGTACTCATGGCAATGGGTGTGATCAGGGTTTTCCTATTTAAAAAGTTAATCTTATGTTTCCATGCTTTGTGTATTTGTCTTCTAGCTCATTAAGAACCTTTACAGAAGAAAATATTCCATCCTTTCTTTTCGCACACAAATGAAGATGTCAGGTATCCTCTCCTCACCTCCCCAACCTACCCCAGCTTTTATGATCTGGAACACTCTTCCAATCCCCCTCTCCTGACCAGCAGCCACCACTTGTTGGAAGCCTTCCCTGATCCCCATCCTCCACTCCCTCCCTCCCCTGACTAGTCACCATGTCTCCTCTTTGCTTGCACTGGTTTGGGTCCTTACCTTTAAAGCAAATTTTCCTTCTGTCTCAACTGTTTGTAACTTTCTCCCTCCTTCCATTAGACAATATGCTGATTGCATTCTAAATGTCAATGAGTTTCATAATACTGTCTCCAACAGAGATGCATCCTCCTCACTCCAGACTCATGCTTATATTGACATACTTGCTATCACCACAAGAATGTTGCAGAGGTACTTGAACCCTCCTGTGGTCAGCCATAGCCCTTTATCCTCTGCTGTGAGAACAGAATATCCCAAATAAAATCTGCACCTTCACACTGGATCCCAGAATGAAGAGGAGACTTGGAACAGGGCCAATGCCATACAGTATGAGCAAGAAATAAAGCTTTGCTGTGGGTGCCACCAAGACATTGGGGAGATTGTTTCTGCATCTTATTCTAGAGAAAGCCAATTACTATGCCTCTAAATGGTCCCATCCCCATGCACTCGGCTCACATCCACTCTCCCACTGCACCAAAGGTGATGTTTTAAAAATACAAACCTGATTCGATTACTCCCCTATTTAAAAGTTTTCAGTGGTTTTCATTGCTCTCAGAATAAACATCAGGGCTTGATCATGGCTTTCATGGCTCTCGTCCCAGTATCCCTCTCCAGCCCCATCTCATCCCACTCTGCCTGTCTTGCCTGTGTTGCCATCACAGTGCCCTTTTCATTCCTGGAAGGTGTCACATTCCCTCCCACCCAGAGCCTTCGCACATGATGCTTCTTTTTCTTGGAATTCTTCACTTCTTTCTCTCTATATCTACTTAATTCCTGTTCATCCTTGGGCCTCAGCTCCAAGGAATTTGTATTCATTCAAGGGGTATTTCCTAAGTGCCCACTAATGCCGTGTACTCTTCTAGCCTCTTAGGATACACTGACAACATTTCAACCAACCAGGGAACATTGTTCTTTTGCTTGCATGGTGCCCTGTACTGTTTTACCATGGTCCTTATTGCACATGTAATGACATATATGTAGATGTGATCTGTGCTCATTTGAGTAATGACTGTCTCCCTCTAGACTAGATGGTTCATAAAAATGGGGCTTAAATCTGTATGATTCCCCACTGTGTTGCCTGTGTTTAGTACTGAACTGACACGTGGTAGATTTCATTGAGTATTTTCCACGATACAGCACTTGCCATGTGGCAAGCATCCCTCATAAGAACCATATGAACTAGGTACCATTATCATCACCATTTTATGATGAAACACACAGACGTTAAATGACTTGTCAAGTTATTCTGCTAATATGGGATGGAGCTGAGGTTCAAATCCAGGCAGTCTGGCTTCTAAGACCGTGCCCTTCACCACTATGTGAATGAATAAATGGATGAATGAATGAATGAAGCTCCCTGGAGCATGAACAGTATGCCCTATGTATTGCTGCACCCACAGTGCTGGTTCAGACGCCCTTAGTATTGAAAAAGGACTTGCTGAATAAATCAAGCAACCCATGGATGAACTAATGATTGAGTTGCCCCAAGTAGTTTGCTATTTCATGAGTGGCAAAGTGGCAAATGCCTTTCCCTGGAACTCAACACACAAACACTTTCTGAGGCAGCATAACACCTAAGTCTGTATGTTAATTACAAGGATCTTTCCTGCGGGAAACAAAAGGCCCATGCATATGAGGAAACACCCAGAGGGCCTCTCCTGTGCCTTGTATACCTCTCAGATGCCACATCTGAAGACAGTGTCTTTTCAGGGGAGGTAGGGAGGAGAGTGCCATCTATAAGCTACTTTCACTCCTCTAATCAGCAGGGGAAGGTGCCCTGCCCGAGTTCCCTGGGGACACCAATCAGCAGCCATTCACAGGCCTAACTTCAGAGAAGACGCTGAGCCTCACAGGTCCCAAAGGAGGGCCCAGGACAAGCTTTTGGCATTCCAGTTTCCACCAGGAAGCAGCTGAGGAAAAGCTACTTACAAAGCATGCATTTCCCCTGAAGTCACAACATGTCTTTCACTAAAGTAATCTGATATGAGTATCACACAAATACCCTTGGGTCTAATTGGTCACATCAATGCACCTTGTTTTGCTTCGTTCCTGAAAAGGAGTACAGCAGCATTGTCAAGTCAAAATGCATATGAAATGCACTTAGAAAATTTCTTTCCAAAAATGTTTGGGCCATTGAGACTCTGTGCTGGGGCTAAAGATATGCCTAAGACTCTGCACCAGGCCTCAGAGACTCAGCACGGGAGGAGAGAGACAAGTTCACTGGCAATTTTGAGCAGAAAGTATTGTGGGAGCCCAGAGGAGGGGAACATCCCTTAGCCTAAAGGAAGGCTTCCTGGAGACTGTGATATTGGAGTTGACCCTGTACTTCCTACATTGAAGGCATTTATCAAGAAAAAACAATGCTTTGTAAAACAAAGACTTATCTTTATATTTTTTAAAATACTGCTCTCTGTTATTCACAAATAATAATCATAATAGCCAAGGCACATTCTGACCCAGCCCAGCCTCACTTCCTGCCACATCCCTCACTGCAGCCTCTGACTAACATCCAGCCTTACACACCTACCTGTAGCTCTCCAACACCAGAAATGCCAAGCCTTCTGTTGTATTGCACTGTTGACCTCAAGCAACCCTCAGGGTCAGACTTTGCTGGAATCTTTAGGAACTGACCAAGGCTTCCCCATTCTCAGAGCCTCCACAGGCTTCCCTGGGAGGAACCAGATGTCTACAAACCCTCACAGGATCTTGAGTTCACCCTGGCTGAGAACTTGTCACAGTACATGGTAAGGCCATCAGCAAGAGGAGAGCAGGAACCTCCCGTACGCCTGGCACACAGGAAGCACCAGTGTCTCTTTGCTGAGAAACAACTGGTTTGATAAATTGATGGGAGAACAAATGACTGCATCTAGCCATCTCACTTACCTGAAATTCTAAAAATCAAAAGGGAGAAAAAAATCTGAATGCACAGAAAATATAGAACTAACCAAATACTCCCATTCCTGTGGCCCATTCATTTGACTCCAGAAAGGAACCTCAATCCACAGCCCATGTACTGTCCCTCTGGAAAAAATTCAAACATATCTTAGAGTCTATAGGTGTCACTTTCAAATCCCAACTCTGCCTCTTCAGTTTACTGCCAAAGCCACACTTTCCTGTTCTGTGTGTTTATAACAATGGTACATGCATACATTCATTCATTTGAAGCTTCAAATAAGTGCCAAACACTGTTCTAGTCCTCAGAGATTTCGTAGTGAACAAAACAGACAATGTTCAAATAGAGGAAGAGAGGCAATGAATAAAATAGATCAGTAATATATTGTGTGTTAGATGGTGGATGCATTGAGAGAAACACTGCAAGGAAGGTGGATAGGGAGTATGGATAGCCAAGGCAGGCTTTTGAGCAGAGACCTGAAAAGCACAGCATCTTAGTCTATTCTGGCTGCTATAACAAAATAATTTAGACTATGTGCCTTATATATAGCAAATTTATTTCTGACAGTTTTAGAGGCTGGACAGCTAAGATCAAGGCACTGGCAGATTTGGTGTCTGGTGAGGGCTGCTTCCTGGCTCATAGATGGTGCCTTCTCACTGTGTCCTCACATGAAGGGGCAGAGGATTTCTAATGGGCCTCTTTTATAAGGGCACTAACCCCATTCATGGGGGCTCCACACTTACAACCTAATCACCTCCCTTCTAGTACCATCACCTTGAGGGTTAAGAGTTCAATATATGAATTTGTGTGGGACACAAACGTTTAAAGCATAGCAGGGAGTGAGTGGGCCATTGGAATCCTGGGGGAACAATGTTCCAAGCAGGGGCCACAGCATGTGCAAAGGCCCTGAGGCCCAAATGAGATGGGTGAGTTTAAAGTACAAGAAAGAGGCAGATATGGATGACGTTGATGAAACCACAAGAGGGGAGGTGAAAGAGGAAATGAGAGCAGGACATCTGGACTTAGAGGGCCATGGTAAGTACTTTGACCTGTGCTCTGGGTAAGAGGGGAAAGGACATTCACAGGCACTGGAGCAGGGGAGTAAGATGAACTGATTTGTGTCTCATCTGATCACTCTGGTTGCTGTATTGGTAACAGACTAAAGGGGGAAGCCCAGAAGCAGGGAGGCCAGGTAGGCAGCCATGTGAGAACTGATGGTTTGGACAATGTGGTGCTTATGAGCATGGTAGGAAGAAATTGGATTCCAGATACATTATGAGAGTAGAACCAACAGGAATAATTATATGTAAGATGAAGAGTGGAGTTGAGGATGACTTCAAGATTTTGACCTGCCTCATAGGGTTGTTGTAGGGAAAAGGAAGAAAAAATACCCTTCAAAAGCACTTAGCAGAGGACCTAGCATATGGTAAGTACCACAGAAATATCAATGTTGTTATTATGACCATGATTTAATTTTTTACAAAAAGTTAATTATCTCTTTAATTGACCCACAGCAAGGTAGAAAAGGCAATTCAGGGGAGAGAGATACTTCTAGAAGACATCTGATTGGGGAAAAAAAAAGAAATCCCAGTTAACAATATAAGAGAAGGCTGAACAAATTCATTAAGCAGAGCTTAACAAATTCATTAAGAAGTCAGAAAAGCCACAGCTCTTCAGACCCAGTCAGTAGGAAGACCAACATTCTTACATGCCAAAGTACATTCCTGGGAATCATCTTTTAAAGGTTAATTTTCTTAATGCCAGTGAGTCATTCAGAAGATCAAATTATGTTTATTGTGTTCTCCCTAAAAGATCAGTAAACTGCAACCCATTATAGGAAGACTTTCATCTAAAATGTTTAAAGCAAAATACTTGGTACTTAAAAGCGTAATTCCTCAGACACCTAGAAAAGAAATGGCTGCCTCGAAGATCTAGGAAGATGCATCTTATTGTGACCACATAAATTCACTTACATTAAAACATAAAAGACACATTCACATCCATTACATACTTTGATGCTCATAAAAGCCCTAGGAGGTAGATAATTATCCTTAACTTCATAGGCATGAAATGTTACAGGCCCAGAAATATGAAGTGATTTGTCTGAAGTCGCACTGCAGAATTAGATTGAGAGCCAAAGCTAGGAACGTGGAAGAAGGATCCTCCTCCCTCAGGTTCTCTTCACTGGCCCATGCCCTCCCAGTGTCCATGTGCCTAGGAAAGCTGCTCACAGTGGGAAAAGCCAGACCTAGAATTGAAATCTCATTCTGCCACTAACATTTGTGTGATCTTTCATAATCTAAATAAGGCATGGCCAAACTTTCATTGCATGTCAAACTTAATTGCTCTATTATGGCTTCCAGGAGTCCTGTGTTGAAGGAATCCATGATCAGACAATCTGCCTGGAAAGAAATGTGAGTTTGATTAACAATATCTGCCATGAGCACAGACTGGGGAATGGGGGCATGATGCCTCATGTCTGTCATCACTGGGTTAGATGATCTATAAATTCCCTTCCAAATCTCATGTCAGATGATTATAACTAAACAGAAATGTCTAGATCCATGAATAAAGGAGAAATGCAAATGCACAAATACATATATATTTTTATATATAAATATATATATTTATATATGAGATATATATCTCATATATACATTTATATGAGATATATATATGTATATATGAGATATATATACATATATATAAAGTTGATATATGTATATCTATATATATCATATATATAAAGTTGATGTGTGTGTATGTATATATACATATATATATATCAACTTTCTGCAATACCAGAGAGACTCTGCCAGAGGCTTTTTGTATCATAACAACATTTTCAAATATTTATACTTCACATTTTTAGAATATCCTCACTCTGAGAAGGTCAAGGTAATATACCTTACTAACACTTTTGTGTATTTTCCAATTGCCATTTGTAGAAATTGTATCTTAAACTATAGCCAACAGGAATTTGCTCATATTTCCAGAATGTGTGTTGCCATTAACAGTGGAGGTAGCTTTATTGCCTAATCAGTTACTCTACAAATTCCATTTTGCAGAATATATGACATTTTGCAGAGAAATAAAACCATGGCCTAACAGTAATAAATACAAACTATAATGGGGGAAAGATTGTACTTTTTATACCTAACTCTACCAAGAATAATCATCACACTAAACAACATATGTTATCTTTGGGGTGGTGGTTTCTGCAGCTTAATTGTGACATCTCATTTTGAATCACTTTGTTACAATATACATTATTGGTATGTCTGTGTAACAAAGGTCACCTTTGATCATCTCAAAAGGCAAAAGTCTATGCACAGCTTTTTTGATACTGCTTTATTCTAGAAATAATCTATTATTGATTGTTCTGAACAAAATATGCTGTGAAAGTAACTTGCAGCAAGCAGAGAAAAAGTTACTTTTTTTTTTTTGAGACAGAGTCTTGTTCTGTTGCCACAATCTCTGCCTCCTGGGTTCAAGCAATTCTGTAGCTAGGACTACAGTCATGTGCCACCACACCTGACTACTTTTTGTATTTTCAGTAGAGACAGTTTCATCACGTTGACTGGACTGGTCTTGAACTCCTGGCCTCAAGTGATCTGCTCGCATGGGCCTCCCAAAGTGCTGAGATTACAGGCGTGAGCCACTGGGCCCAGCCAAGAGTTACATTTTTTCAGCCACAAATATATATCAAGGTGAGCTGTATCCCACTTAATTTAATACACACAACATTCATGGCAGGTTTTTCTTCCAAACCTTGATATTGAAGATAAGGAAACAGAGGTAAGCTCATTTATTCAACAAATATTTCTTGAACAGATATTAGGTGTCAGATGCCTATTATAAAACAAGTTATATAACTAGTAAGTAGCAAGTGACAGTAATCTAATTCCTAGATTAGAATTCAGCCACCTGATTATCTTTTCTCCAGCCCAGCATTTTTCGCAGCACGATCTGATATGGCCCACCTACATCAGAGTCAACCAGAGTATTTGTAATAAACATATCCTTAGCCTCACCCAGGCTTACTGAATCAGAATCTCATGTAGGAGCTTGAGAATCTGCCTTTTACCAAGCAACTCTGCTGATTCTACACACAGTAACATTGAGAACAACTGTTTTTTATTACATCATATCCCCAAGATACTTTAAGCAAGAAAACAGTAGGTATGGTGCCGGGTGGATTGTAGGGATTTGATAAATATTTATTGAATAACTAAACTCTTGCTGCATTTGGTGCATTGCTTAATTATATTAGGAGAGCTTTATCTAGGAAACTAGCAACATTTTCTTTATTAAACAAAGAACAGAGTAAAAATTTTGTGATGCCTTCCAAATAAACAGCATATTCACACAAGTACCTGATTTAGTCTCCAAGAAATATCTTATCAGTGGAAAAGTTAATTCAAATGGCTTATATAAAGGAAACAGCTAAAATGCTAGATAATTTACCAGAATTTTTTAAAATTTAATTTTAAGTCACAGGATACATGTGCAGATGTGCAGGTTTGTTACATAACCATGTGCCATGGTGGTTTGCTGCACCTATTAACCCATCACCTAGGTATTAATCCCTGCATGCATTAGGTATTTATCCTGATGCTCTCCCTTCCCCTGCACCCAACCCCAAAAGGCCCCAGTGTGTGTTGTTTCCCTCCCTGTGTCCATGTGTTATCATTGTTCAGCTCCCACTTACAAGTGAGAACATGAGGTGTTTGGTTTTCCATTCCTGTGTTAGCTTGCTGAGGATAATGGCTTCCAGTTCCATCCATGTCCCTGAAAAGGACATGATCTCATTCCTTTTTATTGCTGCATAGTTCTCCATTGTGTATATATACCACATTTTCTCTATCCAGTCTACCACTGATGGGCATTTGGGTTGATTCCCGTCTTTGCTATTGTGCATAGTGCTGCAATGAACCTACAAATGCATGTATCTTTATAGTTGAATGATTTATATTCCTTTGGATATATATCCAGTAATGGGATTGCTGGGTCAAATGGTATTTCTAGTTCTAGGTCTTTGAGGAATCACCACACTGTCTTCCACAATGAGTAAACTAATTTACATTCCTACCAACAGTGTAAAAACATTCCTATTTCTCCACAGACTTGCCAGCATCTGTTGTTTCTTGACTTTTTAATATCACCATTCTGACTGGCATGAGATGGTATCTCATTGTGGTTTTGATTTGCATTTCTCTAATGATCAGTGATGTTGAACTTTTTTTCATATGCTTGTTGGCCATAGAAATGTCTTCTTTTGAGAAGTGTCTGTTCATTTCCTTTGCCCACTTTTTAATGGGGTTGTTTTTTCTTGTAAATTTGTTGAAGTTCCTTGTAGATTCTGGATTTTAGACCTTTGTCAGATAGGTAGATTGCAAAAATTTTCTCCCATTATGTAGGATGTCTGTTCACTCTGATGATAGTTTCTTTTGCTGTGGAGAAGTTCTTTAGTTTAATTAGGTCCCATTTGTCAACCTTTGCTTTTGTTGCAATTGCTTTTGACATTTTCATCATGAAATCTTTGCCCATCCCTATGTCCTGAATGGTATTGCCTAGGTTTTCTTCTAGGGTTTTCATAGTTTTGGGTTTTACATTTAAGTCTTTAATCCATCTTGAGTTAATTTTTGTGTAAGGTGTAAGGAATGGGTCCAGTTTCAATGTTCTGCATATGACCAGACATTTTCCCAGCACCATTTATTAAATAGGAAATCCTTTCCCCATTGCTTGTTTGTGTCAGGTTTGTCAAAGATCAGATGGTTGTAGATGTGCAGTCTTATTTCTGACATCTCTATTCTGTTCCACTAGTCTATGTGTCTGTTTTTGTACTAGTACCATGCTGTTTTGGTTACCGTAGCCTTGTAGTATAGTTTGAAGTTAGTAGCCTGATGCCTCCAGCTTTGTTCTTTTTTCTTTGGATTGTCTTGACTATATGGGCTCTTTTTTGATTCCATATGAATTGTGAAGTAGTTTTTTTTTTTTTAATTCTGTGAAGAATCTCAGTGGTAGTTTAATGGAAATAGCATTGAATCTATAAATTACTTTGGGCAGTATGGCCATTTTCATGATATTGATTTTTCCTATCTATGAGCATGCAATGTTTTTCCATTTGTTTGTGTCTTCTCTCATTTCCTTGAGCACTGGTTTGTAGTTCTCCTTTAAGAGGTCCTTCACTTCCTTTGTTAGCTGTATTCTTAGGTATTGTATTCTCTTTGTGGCAGTTGTGAATGCGAGTTCATTCACGATTTGGCTCTCTGCTCCTCTACTGTTGGTGCATAGGAATGCTTGTGATTTTTGCACATTTATTTTGTATCCTGAGACTTTGCTGAAGTTGCTTACCAGTTTAAGAAGCTTTTGGGCTGAGACAACAGGGTGTTCTAGATATAGGATCATGTCATCTGCAAACAGAGACAGTTTAACTTCCTCTCTTCCTATTTGAATATCTTTTATTTCTTTCTCTTGCCTGAATGCTTTGGCTAGAACTATTAATAATATGTTGAATAGGAGTGGTGAGAGAGGGCACCCTTGTCTTGTGCCTGTTTTCAAATGGAATGCTTCCAGCTTTTGCCCATTCAGTATGATATTGGCTGTGGATTTGTCATAAATGGCTATTATTTTGAGTATGTTCCATTAATATGTAGTTTATTGAGAGCTTTTAACGTGAAGGGATATTTAATTTTATTGAAGGCTTTTTTTTTTTGCATCTATTGAGATAATCATGTGGTTTTTTTCTTTAATTCTGTTTATGTGATGTGTTACACTTATTGATTTGCATATGTTGAACCAACCTTTCATCCCAGAGATGAAGCCAACTTGATCATGGTGAATAAGCTTTTTGATGTGCTGCTGGATTCATTTTGCCAGTATTTTATTGAGAATTTTTGCATCAATGTTCATCAAGATATTGGCCTCAGTTTTCTCTTTTTATTGTATGTCTGCTAGGTTTTGATATCAGGATGATGCTGGCCTCATAAAATGAGTTAGGGAGAAGTCCATCTTTTTCAATTGTTTGGAATCATTTCAAAAGAAATGGTACCAGCTTCTCTTTGTAGCTCTGATATAATTCAGCTGTAAATCCATCTGGTCCTGGGCTTTTTTTTGGTTGGTAGGCTATTTATTACTGCCTCAATATCAGAATGTGTTATTGGTCTATTCAGGAATTCAGCTTCTTCCTGGTTCAATCTTGGGAGGATGTGTGTGTCCAGGAATTTATTCATTTCTTCTAGATTTTTTAGTTTATTTGAATAGAAGTGTTTATAATATTCTCTGATGGTTGTTTGTACTTCTGTGGGTCAGTGGTGATACCCCTTTATCATTTTTTATTGTGTCTATTTGATTTTCTCTCATTTCTTCTTTATTAGTCTAGCTAGTGGTATTATCTATTTTATTAATTTTTTCAGAAAACAAGCTTCTGGAATCATTGATTTTTTGAAGGGTTTTTCATGTCTCTATCTCCTTCAGTTTCACTCTGATCGTGCTTATTTCTGCCTTCTGCTAGCTTTGGGGTTTGTTTGCTTTTGGTTCACTAGTTCTTTTAGTTGCAATGTTAGGGTATTGATTTTGAGATCCCTCTAGCTTTTTGATGTGGGCAGTTAGTGCTATAAATTTCCCTCTTAACACTGCTTTAGCTGCATCCCAGAAATTCTGGTATGTTGTCTCTTTGTTCTCATTGGTTTCAAAGAACTTCTTGATTTCTGCTTTAATTTCATTATTTACCCAGGAGTCATTCAGGAGCAAGTTGTTCAATTTCCATGTAGTTGTGTGGTTTTGAGTGAGTTCTTCAATCTTGAATTCTAATTTGATTGTGGTCTGACACTGTTTGTTATGATTTCAGTTCTTTTGCATTTGCTGAGGAGTGTTTTACTTCCAATTATGTGATTGATTTTAGAATAAATGCCATACGGCACTGAGAAAAATGTATATCCTGTTGTTTTTGTTGGAGAGTTCTGTAGATATCTATCAGGTCCACTTGATCCAGAGCTGAGTTCAAGTCCTGAATATCCTGTTAATTTTCTGTCTCAATCTGTCTAATATTAACTGTTGGGTGTTAAAGTCTCCCACTATTATTATGTGGGAGTCTAAGTTTCTTTGTAGGTCTCAAAGAACTTGTTTTATAAATCTGGGCACTCCTCTATTGGGTGCATATATATTTAGGATCATTAGCTCTTCTTGTTGCATTGATCCCTTTACCATTATGTATTGTGCTTCTTTGTCTTTTTTTATTTTTATTGGTTTAATGTCTACTTTGTCAGAGACTAAGATTGCAACCCCTACTTTATTCTGCTTTCCACTTGCTTGGTAAATTTTCCTCCATCCCTTTATTTTGAGTCTGTGTATGTCTTTGCATGTGAGATGGGACCTTTGAATACAGCACACCAATGGGTCTTGACTCTTTATCCAGCTTGCCATTCTGTGTCTTTTAATTGGGGCACTTAGCTCATTTACATTTAAGATTAATATTGTTATATGTGAATTTGACCCTGTCATCATGATGCTAGCTGGTTATTTTGCATACTAGTTGATGCAATTTCTTCATAGTGTCATTGGTCTTTGTACTTCAGTGTGTTTTTGTAGTGGCTGGTATCAGTTTTTCTTTTCCCTATTTAGGGATTCCTTCAGAAGCTCTTACAAGGCAGGCCTGGTGATGATGAATTCCATCAGCATTTGCTTGTCTAAAAAGGATGTTATTTCTCCTTCATTTATGAACCTTAGTTTGTTCAGATATGAAATTCTGGATTGCAAATTCTTTTCTTTAAGAATGTTGAATGTTAGCCCCCAACTTTTTCTGGCTTGTAGGGTTTCTGCTGAGTGGTCTGCTATTAGTCTGATGGGCTTCCCTTTGTGGGTAACCTGGCCTTTGTCTCTAGCTGCCCTTAACAAAAGGGTTTTTCCTTCATTTCAACCTTGGAGGATCTGACGATTATGTGTCTTGCGGTTGATCTTCTCATGGAGTATCTTACTGGGGTTCTCTAGATTTCCTGAATTTGAATGTTGGCCTATCTTCTTAGGCTGGGGAATTTCTCCCTGATGATATACTGAAGTATGTTTTCCAACTAGGTTCCATTCTCCCCATCTCTTTCGGGTACCCCAATCAGTCATAGATTCAGTCTTTTTACATAATCCTATAGTTCTCAGAGGCTTTGTTCATTCCTTTTCATTCCTTTTTCTCTATTCTTGTCTGCCTGTCTTATTTCAGCAAGATAGTCTTCAAGCTCTGAAATTCTTTCCTCCACTTGGTCAATTCAGCCATTGATACTTGTAGTTGCATTGTGAAGTTCTTGTGTTGTGTTTTTCAGCTCCATTAGGTGGTTTATGTTACTCTCTAAACTGATTATTCTGGTTAACACCTCCTGTAATGTTTCATCATGGTTGTTAGCTTCTTTGCATTGGGTTAGAACATGCCCCTTTAGTTCAGCAAAGTTCATTATTACCCATCTTCTGAAACCTACTTCTGTCAATTCATCCATCTCAGCCTCCGCCCAATTCTGTGCTCTTGCTGGAGAGGTGTTGCAATCACTTGGAGGAGAAGAGGCACTCTAGCTTTTTGAGTTTTCAGTGTTTTTTCATTGATTCTTTTTCATCTTTATGAGTTTGTCTAGCTTCAATCTTTGAGGCTGCTGGCCTTTGTATAGGGTTTTTGTGGGGACCTTTTTGTTGATGCTGTTGTTGTTGCTTTCTGTTTTTTTTGACAGACAGGCCCCTTTTCCGTAGTGATGCTGTGGTTTGCATGGGGTCCACTCCAGACCCTATTCATCCAGGTCCTTCCTGCACCTGGAGGTGTCACCAGTGGAGGCTGCAGAACAGCAAAGGTGACTGCGTGCTCCTTCCCAGAGGGACACCAAACTGATGCCAGCAGGAATGCTCCTGTATAAGGTGTCTGGCAACACCAGTTGGGGGGTCTCACTCAGTCAGTAAGTTTGAGATCCAGGACCTGCTTAACAAAGCAGTGTGTCTGCCCTCTTGGGAGCGGGGTTGAACTGTGCTGGGTACAATCCCACTTGTCTGGGCTGCCTGGATTCCTCAGAGCCAGCAGAGGGAAAGACTAAGTCTCCTGATCCCTGGAGACCACAGCCACCCCTGCCACCAGGGGCTTAGCCAGAACTTGAAGACTATCTTGCTGAAATAAGACAGGCAGACAAGATTAGAGAAAAAGAATGAAAAGGAATGAAGAAAGCCTCCAAAATCTATGGGATTATTTAAAAAGACTGAACCTGCAACTGATTGGGGCACCTGAAAGAGATGGGGAGAATGGAACCAAGTTGGAAAACATACTTCAGGATATCATCCAGGAGAAATTCCCCAACTAAAAAGACAGGCCAACATTCAAATTCAGAAAATCTAGAGAACCCCAGTAAGATACTCCATAAGAAGATCAACCCCAAGACACATAATCATCAGATTCTCCAAGATCAAATTGAAGGAAAAACTTTTAGCGAATAGGATGTCCTTTCCCCAGTGTATATTTCTGTTGACTTTGTTGAAGACCAGTTGGTTGTGGGTATGTGGCTTTATTTCTGGGTTTTCCATTCTGTTTCATTTATCTATGTGCCTATTTTTATACCAGTACCATGCTCTTTTGGTTATTATAGCCTTCTAGTATAATTTAAATTCAGGTAATGTGATGCCTCCAGCTTTGCTCTTTTTGCTTAGGATTGCTTTCACTATTTACCAAAGCCCCTTTTAAAGCCAAAGATAGCAGTCAACTATTCACAGAGGATTTATGGAATTTATATTAATTCCATGTGAAACTTAATCGATATTATAATTGGCACCGACTTATGTACTGTCATATAGAGTAGAGCAGTAGAGCCACTATCAGGCAGTCAAGGGACCAAAAAAGAAGGGGAGAAGACCATGCTTCATGCCTGCTATATACCACCCTTTTATGATAAAGTGAACAAGACTAAGGTGAAATGGAGGTAAACACTATGTTCAGAAAGATCTTCCTTACAAAAAAAAAAAAAAAACCCAAACCAAAAAACTACGAAACATTCCAAAACCAATATGAAAAGAACACTCAAGAAGAATATCATGGAAGTATTAACCCAATGAGTTGAAGGAAAAGCATGTCTCTGAAAGTTATTTATTTTAAGAAATAAAGAAAATATTCAATACATGAAGTTTGTAAACATGAACCCATATTATTTTGCACTCTCTATCCTTTCCCTTTGGTAGTTCTTTTCCATACTAAATTCTGGGTTAGCCTTGGACTTAGCCTTGACTAATGAGACCTTAGCAAATGTGATGCAAGCCAAGTCTTACAAAGTATTTGTGTATGTGTGCTTGTCTTCTCTTGCTGCTCTATGGAACATTGGGATTGCCATATGCAGAAGTCTGGGCTAGCTTACCTTAGTATAAAAGACATGTCTCAGCTGAGGCCCCCAAGAATAGCATTCCTGTCAACTGGCAGACAATTGTGTGAGGCAATCCTAGACCACCTGTACCCAGCCAAGCCAACCTGGAGCAGAAGAATCATCCAACAAACTTCGGAAAGAGTAAGAAGTAATAATCATGCTGTTACATGACGCTTAGCTTTGTGGCATTTATTTCTCAATGCAACAAAAAATGAACTGATAAACATTTGCTTAGTTTCTCAATAATATGCAAAACACTTTTTAAAAGACAAACAAGAAGTCATTAAAAAGAGTACTAGAAAAGTTGACAATTGACTCCCTTAAGGAAAAACTGCAATGAGACTAAAAATACAATAATTATTAAAATCAGTAGTGAAAGAGAGTAAAACAGATATGCAAGAAATTAAGCAATGTAGAGAACAACCTACAGATTTCATCTCAGAATAGAAAGAAAAATAAGAAATTAAAATGAAAGCAAGTTGTTGTGTAAGACAAAGCTTTAAATTATGAGTAGTGCTAATTCCAGAAGAAGAAAGAAGAAACAACCAATAGAATATTATCCAGCCATAAAAAGGAATGGAAGATACATGACACAACATGGATGAACCTTGAAACATTATGTTTAGTGAAAGAAGCCTGACACAAAAAGTAATGTATGATTCCATTTACATAAAATGTCCCAAATAGGCAAATTCTCAGAGATGGAAAGCAGATTAGTGCCTCCATCAAGATCTAGTGGGTGGGGAAAATAGGCAGTTAGGGTTTCTTTTCAGGGTGATGAAAATGCTCTAAAATTAGATAGTGGTGATTGTTGCACAGTAAAATAACTACATTGTACATTTTAAAAGGATGAATTTTATGGCGTATGACTTATAGCTCAGTAAAGCCATTTTTAAGTCAGTAGCAACTAATGACTCTGGGCTAGACAGCAATATCAATGAAACAGCACATAGATCAGAAACAGACAGATACACACACACAAACACACACACACACAAGAATTAATATAAAGGATGAATAACAATTAAATAGGGATTGTATTAGTCCATCTTCACACTGCTGATAAAGACATATCTGAGGCTGGGCAATTTACAAAATAAAGAGATTTAATTGGACTTACAGTTCCACATGGCTGGGGAAGCCTCACAGTCATGACGGAAGGCAAGGAGGAACAAGTAACTTCTTACATGGATGGCGGCAAGCAAAGAGAGCTTGTGGAGGGATACTCCACCTTATAAAACCATCAGGTCTCATGAGACTTATTCACTATCACGAGAACAGCACGAGAAAGATCTGCCCCTTGATTAAATTATCTCCCACTGGGTCCCTCCCACAACACGTGGGAATTATGGGAGTACAATTTAAGATGAAATTTGGGTGGGGACACAGAGCCAAACCATATCAAGGATCAATGGATTGTTCAAGACATAGTGTAAAAAATGGCTTTTTCTTTAAAAGTACATCGAATTTAGATTCTCACCACCAGACAGCAAAATAAATCCTGTTTAGATTAACGATTTGGATGTATAAAGAAAGTAGGTACAAACATAAGAATATTTATTGCCCTACAGAAGAAGACAGACTTTCTTGGCATAAAGGCAATGGAAGCAGCCACAAATTAGAACACTGAAGGATATGCTATCTTAAGACATAAATAAACATCTATAGAACAGAAATGCCTACAAAATTTAAAGGACAGTAATAAAACTGAACAAAACATACCTCATAAATTCCTCACACAAGAGTTTAATATTTTTATTTTTAAAAATGCATTGAAATGGATGAATCCTTAATTAGAAAATGAATAACATTAACAGAGAGAAGAAAATCAAATTGCTAATGAATGTTAAATTTCACAAATAATAACAAAATATGGGGGCATTTTTCCACCTATCCAACTGGAAAATATTTATAAATCAGTGCTGTTGAGTTAGAAACTCTGGTAGAAGTACAAATCAGTACAGAAGCAATCATGCAATATGTAACAAGTTCTCAAAAATTTTAATACCCAGGTAAATATGTATCAATTAACATCAATTTATTAAAATAAAATTTATACTTTAAAATAATATATTATCAGATACACTTCTAGGAATCCATCCTAAGAAAAGTTTCAGATATGTAAAGAAAATGATGCATGAATATTGTATTCATTTTTTTCACAAATATTTATTAAGCATCTACTATGTGCCTGGGTCTGTTCTAGTTAATAAGAATAATAACAACAACAAAACAGACAAAAATGCCTGACCTTACATAGCCTATATTCTAGACAGACAGTAAACAAAATACATGCTCTATTTGGTGTTAAATGTACTGAAGCAGCTGAGAAGAGATACTGGAATGCACAGAAAAGTCTCCGGTCCACTTGCTGTTGAGGTCATTGCCGTGGATGCCCTCAAGCACGCAGTAAAAAGAAACACAAAGATTCTCACGTTTGGTACACACCTCCAAGAGACTCTTCTCAAGCCTCTTCCCCAGATTCCCTGGTGCCCGTTTTCCTAATCGTCCTCCATCTGGGTCCCTGACCATCTAGTCATGTGTCTGAGTCTACTTCTTACCTCAGCTCCCTCTCCCTCCACCCAGTGTCAGTGGTCAAGTGTGCCTCTGCAGCTCTGCCTGCTTGGAGGGTGGCTCTTCCAACACCATTTAGAGCCACCCATGAGTGGGGCTGCAGTATGGCAGCAGTATTTTTAGTTCACATCCACCTATTAAATAGGTGAGCCACGTCTTGCCTCTTCTGTCAGGAAGTGGTAGGGAATTTGAAAGGTCTGGTTTCCACAGCATATGTTTCCCCTGGTAAATGGCCTCAATTTGCTTGGAGAAACATTGTGAGAAATTGCTACTACATTTGTTTGCTGCAGTTTTGCAGGTTTCTTCCTTGAGAAATGCTATCTTCCCTTCAAACAATGGGCTCAGGGTATGAGAACTAATTCAGAGCTGGAACCTGGGTGACAGACCACCATCTTTACATTGCAATGACCAGCTTCAGCCCCCTCTTCATCAGCTTTTGATTTTTTCCAGTTATGTAAGCCAAGTTATGCCTTCATAGGTTTACCTGCACATCTCTATTGTTCCCTGGAACATCATGGTCTATCAGCCACTAATTTAGATCCTGTAAAAGTCCAGGGCACCCTGGTTGTCCCTCTGGCCTTGCTGTGCCCATATAGTAATTATGTCCTCCTAACTCTGCTGGTTAAGGGCTGACACCAGGCTTCAGTTAGTCTAGAAACTATTTTGCCCAGTTCAAAAGCATCATCATCCAATGTGAACCCATAAATAACATTGAGCTTTTCAAAGACTCTCTTCCACCCTAAGCAGTGTATGGTGGATTCCTTATTGGCCTATGCACCTTCCCAGGAAACATAATTATACAGTGTGCTTTCTGGACTCACATAACAAATCCAGTCTATTATTCCCATCCCTTCAAGCATCTGACTCCCTCCTTATTTCTCTGCTAAGATTGTTCTGGCATTTCCATCTCATTAAGCAATCATTGTTTCCAAGTCTCAGGAAGTCGTCCCAATAGAAGATTAGGATTGGCTCCAAGATGTCTTTGCCAGGACATTAAATCTTGAATAACAGCAGAATGCTCCTTTATTAATAAATTTCCTCCTATCCAGCCATGTGCACTCCAGAACCACCCTTGCTTGTGTTGCTCTGGTTCCAGCACACGCGTATGATCCAGATCCTGCAAAACCACAGTAACTAAGTGGTTTCCTCCAAGAGCAGGCACTGCATTCCCTGTTTAGACTCTGCTGAGGCCTGACTCTCTTTATTGGTATGAAGATAACAAGGAGATCTTGAGGGGAACAGAAAACATGTTCCAACTCATCTGCCTCCCAGTCTCTTCATAGGTCTCTAGGCAAGAGCAAGCTTCTTTCCTCTACCAGAGAGAAAGGAACTGCTTCTAACAACCTGGAAGACTCAAAGGAATTTAGGTACCCATAACACTAAGACACTCCATTCAAATGCCCTATCTCAGCTCTCAGGATATCACCCTTTCCTTATCAGGGCACTGACATTGACATTGGATGCATGCTGAAGTCTCATTTGCAGCTTTGCCACCCTTACAAGTACATCCTGGGCTTGACTTTCTACATAGTCTTTCCTGCTGCTGCTGGAATTGAGCGTATCTTTAAATTATGCTATAGAAGCATTCTGACTCTACATTGTGCCATGAATTGATACCTGATCTGAGCCTACCATTTTAATTTTTAAAATCTTTCAAAGCAGTCAACAGCATCTCGCCAACTTCTAAATCCTTATGATCACCATTTCCCCATGGCATTCATGCACTAGGGTTACTACATAATGAGAATATCATGGTTTACTTTCAACCTGTACTCATTCATTCCAGCTGAAATTTTTAGTAATTCCGATATTACAGAATGCTAGTTATTATCCACACTCCACTTAACATCACCAATGAGTGACCCAGAGCACCCACTTCTAGGGGAATTCCTAGTGTCCTCAAAAGCAGAGTCACAACCTAGGACTTGTGTGTAGGTGGATGATTCTGGAAGTATTACCGTGGAACAAGCAAGGGAGACTGGGGAGAGTGAAACAGGAAAAAAAGAAAGATCAACAGAAGGGTCAATTATCCAAGCCAACACTGCTATGGACAACTGGGGCTGAGTCCCTCCGGGATTGCTCAACACAAAGAATGGCTCTCAGAATTTTCTGTCCAAAGATGGACACAGGGAAGCATGTATCCATCAGCTTCCACCTCCCTTGGTAAAGGTGCCCAAGAATTTCTTAGCTCCCTCTGCTCTTATGAACTGCACCTGAATTCCGTGCTGTGGTATTAGAGAACTTCCGAACAGAAAGAAAAGGCACATGGCACAGACCCTTAAGGTAAGACCTTGTCCACAAGAAGAGGTAAATTAAAGCCCACGGGAAGTATAACAGAAGCCATGGCTGGAATCAGAGTGTGGTGGGCTGAACAAGGGTCTTCTGAGGACATTCACACCCTAATCCCTAGAACCTGTGAATGTGAGTTTATAAGGAAAAAGTGACTTTGTAGATGTGATCAAATCAAGAATCTTGAGGTAGGGGATTATCCTGAATTACCTGAGTGAGCTGTAAATATAATCCCGAATTTCCTTATAAGAAAGAGAAAGAGGGAGACGTGACTACAGAAAAGAAGGTAAGGCGATAACAGAAGCAAGCTTTGAGGCTGGAGGAGGGGGCCACAAGCTGAAAAATGCGGGAAGCCACCAGAAGCTCAAAAAGGCACGGAAACTGATTCTCTCACCAAAACCTCCAGAAGGAACCAGCCCTGCTGATGCTTAATTGCAGCCCAGTGAAACTGATTTCAGAGTTCTGATCTCCAGACAGACAAGGGAATATATTTTGTGTTGCATTAAGCTACTAAATCAATGGTAATTTGTTATAGCAGCAATAGAAAGTGAATACACAGATTTACAGCAAAGACACTATCAGATGATGTACGCCTAATTGCAGTCTCTGTACAATGGCCCACTGCTTGACTATTCCATGCCCTTTACTGCTTCATGACCTGTGTTCATGATGTCTCCTTTCTCTGAAGCAGCAGTCCCCAACCTTTTTGGCACCAGGGACTGGTTTCATCGAAGACAATTTTTCCATGGATAGTGGTCGGGGGTATAGAGAGGGATGGTTTCAGGATTATTCAAGCTCATTACATTTATTGTGCACTTTATTTCTATTATTACATTGTAATATATAATGAAATAATTATACAACTCACCAAATGTAGTCTCAGTGGGAGCCCAGAGCTTGTTTTCCTGCAACAAGATGGTCCCATCTGGGGGTGATGGGAGACAGTGACAGATCATCAGGCATTAGATTATCATAAGGAGCACACAGCCTATATCCCTTGCATGCACAGTTCACAATAGGGTTCGTGCTTCTATGAGAATCTAATGCCGCCGCTGATCTGACAGGCGGCAGAGCTCAGGCTCTAATGCAAGTGATGGGGAGCAGCTGAAAATACAGATGAAGCTTCTCTCCCTTGCCTTGCCAGGTGCTCACCTCCCTCTGTGAGCAGTCCACGGCTGGGGAGTTGGGAACTCCTGGGGTAAAGCACTCTGTGCAACTACCCGCATGCTTGTCTCCTTCCAATCTTCTGGCTGAAATTTAAATCATATTCTTGGAGGACTTCAAAGCCTTTCCAATCTAAAGTGAATTGCTGTGATTTTTTTTTCAAAGCCCTGCTTCCTTCATGGTAGTTATCGTTTGTTTTTATTTTGCGTATGTGTCTGTCTACTTGTTTACTGTGTTTCTCTGCCTGTCTATAGCAAAGCCCTGTACTTTTGGAATTACAGTAACTTTATTACTTTGATATTTTGATCCCCACCAGTTATCAAGGCATTGATGTTTACTCATCATGGGTTTGAATATTGAATAAAAAAATGGTGGTATGAGTGGTACCCACCCACTACCCACATGGTATGTCAGAAGGAAGCAGTTTCTCCTTCCTCCTCCACCATCCGGCTTGACCTACATGACTGATTGCTTTCACACTCTCCCTGGTCAGCACTCTAAATAGCCTTTAATGCACCTCTCTACCCCAAACCCCAGTCTGTTGGGCTGGTGTCCTGGCAAAGCCTATGGCTCCTGTCTCCCCTAAATGACTTACTCGAATCCACAGCTATTAGCTGGAATCAATTACAATTTATTCAACAAATTGTGGCAAGTCACTTACTCTCTTCCAGGCTAAGCTGGATTACAGAGATGAACAAGGCCCAGCGTCTCTTTTAGGGAGATCATTACCTAACCCAGAAGATTGTCAGATTTGCAAATTAAAGCAAAAACTTTCTCTAGGGGCCATGATACAAGGTGCCCAAAGGAAAAATGGGGTCATTTCTAAAGAGGATTCCAAGAAAGACTTCACAGAAGAGAAAACGCTTGATCTGAACGTCAAGAGCTAAAGAGATTTTCAAAAGGCAGGGAGAGAAGCATGAGTCACCATGAGTAACTGCATGGGGGCAGTAAGTGGCCAGGGCCACTGAGGAAAGGCAAGCAGAGCAATGTAGCCAGAGTGAAGAGTGAAAGGAAGTACAACAGGATGAGTCTGGAGGGGTGGAACAGCGTCAGTCGTGGAGAAGCTGTGTGCCCACTGAAGGTGCTCCCGCCACACACACGCGTTGATGCTCACTCCTCATCCCCATACTGGAAGGCTGACAATAATTTATGGGACTCAAAAATCTCCTTTAAAAGGCTGTGGTTTGAAAGGACAGATATTCATTCCAATACAAACACTGAAGACAGTCTTCAGAACTGAGCGGGCAGAGTAGACACTGCAGGGATGCTGAAGTTACCTTTGCATTTGTGTGGATATCCAAGTCTAGTGGGAAAACAGTGATTCTCCACCCCATCCACTGGCGATGGGGGCAATGCCTGGTTTACAGCCACCTTCCAGTCACGCTGGTGGCTGTTATTTATTGCTTCTATATTCTACACAATTTACTTATACTTTCTATATTTATTTCATCCAGGCAAAGAATCTTATGTGTTTCCCCATTTTAGAGATGCAGAAATTGAGTTTAGAGAGGTTCAATGTTGTACCCAAACTCTCTCAATCAGTAAGTGGCAGAACTGGAACTCAGACACAGGCTTGCATGATGAGTCTTTCACCTCCAGATCACAGTATTTCATCCAGCCCAATATGGAGATTGAACAGCATGACCTTAATGTTGCCACTCCCCAAGATTTGCAGCTGGGAAGCTACCTGATCAACATCTGCCAACTTCTCTGGGTTCTTAAAAAACAGTAGTAGTAATAATAATAGCATCAACAATGATAACAACACATATGAATATACATTGTCAATGAGTCAATAATTACACACAACAAAATATAAGGGGTTTGCTGATGTTTTTTACTAGTAATACTGATTATTTGTTGTATTTTTATTGTGGTCATCATCATTTTAATTTAAAATTGTAACAAGCTGAAGAATTATTAGCAAGGCAAGTAATAAAACCCATTATGGTGCTTTTATTTCCTACTTGGGACTATAAATTAAATGTGAGAAAACCAACCTTTACTCCTGAGGAGAGGTGATTTAATGTTGAATGACACCAACCCAGGTAAAAAACATCCCCGATGAAATAGGAACTCCAAGTGCGATTTAGCACATGGGGATGTCCAAGCAGGAGAGAATCTCCCCACAAGGCAATTAACTCTGGGTACCATGACCAATGAGTTTCCGAACCTTGGTGAGTGAAGGTGAAAAAGGTCCATAAAGTCTGCAGGGAGCCATCCAAGAGAAACACAGTTTGTAATCAAAACAGAGAGGGAGGAAGAGGACGCGTGGCATCTGGCAGAGAAGAATTATTTATCCAGATATTTATTCTACCTTGACACCAAGCATCTGGAGGGACCAAGGCATCTAAGTGTTTGCTCTGCGTGTGTGTGTGTGTGTGTGTGTGTGTGTGTGTGTGTGCGCGCGCGCGTGTGTGCATAAGAGAGCATACAGAATGGAATAAATCAAACGTCTGCAGAAGAGGTGGGACAACTGAAGCAGGAAAGAACAGTTATAAGTGCTCAGTTGCCTCAAATCCCAAACAATTATACTCAAATCCCAGCTCTGACACTGACTATGTGTTCCTCAGAAATTTTCCTAAGCTTCCGAAATTCAGGTTCCTTAGGTGCAAAGTGGGAATAGTAACCAATAGTGTTGCCAGGAGGCTAGTATAAGCGAACGCATGCTCACTGCATAATAAGTGATTAATAAATCTTGTCCATTAGTATAACCATTGTTATTGTTGCTAGTCTATTATGTGAGCACTGCAGAAGGATAATAAAATAAAAAAAAAGATGGACTGGATTTTCTCCTTTTTAGCCAGATATGTGCATCTCTAGCAAAAGCAGCTGAGATTAAAAACTATCAGGAAAGAAGAGTGGGTCACATTCAAAGAGCAACTTTTGAATTATTTCAAAGCCAATTTTTCACAAAACATAAGGTCCTTGCTACACAAAGGGTGATCTGCAACACCTGGGAGATTGTTAGGAATGCACAATCGCAGCTCCCGCTCCAGAGTCGACTACATCGGAGTCTGCATCTTAACGAGATCCCCACATGATCTGCAAGCACAATCAACTTTGAGGAGCACAGAGCTGGGACACAGTCTGCATTTGTCCACAATCATATCAAATCCTCTAATGAATGGAAAGGAAGGGTCCATTTAGCCAAGCAGCTGATCCATTCAGTCACACCTGATCAATTTACGCCCCACAAGTAAACAGCTGAGCTGACCAGCTCAAATGGAGCAATGCCCAAGGCAATCAGCCCTAAATGGGAAGCAGATGGTGTATGTGAAGGGCCATCCAAAAGTATTTTAACTGGGACATTCCCCACCCCTTACCCCTAGGAAGTTTACAATCTGTTAGGGGCAACAGAAGAATAGACCTTTAAGTCAAATCGCTAGATGAATAAGAAGAAGGGCTAGGGGTAATTTATTCTAACTTGTAAAATCAGAGTAGCCTCTTAGAGAAGGTACATGTGGACAGTGACAAAGGAATAGGAAGGGAGTGTATTAGTCCATTTTCACGCTGCTTATAAAGACATAGCCAAGACTGGACACTTTACAAAACAAAGAGGTTTATTGCACTTACAGTTCCACATGGCTGGGGAGGCCTCACAATCATGGCAGGAGGCAAGGAGGAGCAAGTCACATCTTATGTGGATGGGAGCAGGCAAAGAGAGAGCTTGTGCAGAAAAACTCCCATTTTTTAAACCATCAGATCTCATGAGACTTATTCACTATTCCAAGAACAGCACAGGAAAGACCTGCCCCCAGGATTCAATTACCACCCACCAGGTCCCTCCCACAACACCTGGGAATTCAAGATGAGATGTGGATGGGGACACGGGCAAACCATGTCAGGGAGGAAGATGCAATTCGACAGAAGGGATCCATGAGGAGTAATAGCAGTAAAGTGCAGGATATGTTCGTACAGAGTCTTGAAAGCTCAGGCAGGTGTTCCAGCAGCAACATTAAGGCAGAGAGAAGAGAAACACCAAGGATGTTTGTCCTACAGACAAATGACTTGGACATGTAGACAGCCACAGGTGCTATTTTCTTTAGTCTTTGCATAAGCAACAGGACAGAATCTTCCTGTGGCTGAGATGAGGCAATTCTTTATAATCTGGACTTGATTTGTCCTGTTAGGTGTCAGAGTCCTGCTGGTCCTCACTTTGAGGAAGAAGGAAACCATCCCTCTGATTTGGGGATTTCCAGACTTGTTTAGTTATTTTTCTAATGTACAAAAAGGGCACTTTGGGCCCTTAAGCCTGTGGCAGAGATGGCTAACTCCACACTAGAATGTATTCATCCTCGTGGAAGAGAGCATTGTCTCTGGAAAGCAGATTATCATTCCAGCCCTTTATTTCCCAACCTCCTACCCATGACCCCTTGCACTTACATGTAGCCATGAAGCTAATTCTCACTAAAGGATAGAAGCAGAAGCAATGTGTTTGAGCTCAGGCCAAGGCTTAGAAGAATAGGCTCTCTCTCTTTCTCCTATCCACAAGCTTGATGCAAATGATGGCAAGACTCTAGAGGACAATAGAGCCTGGGCTCCAAGTCTCCACAAGAAGTAAAGCCAACCACCAACCAGGAACAAGAGATAAGCTTCTATTGTATTTGAGCCACCAAATGTTTTGGGGTCTATATGTTATAGCAGCTAGCATTATCCTAATAGAGACTTTATAGGAGTAACTGCTAGGATTAAAGGAAAGAAGGAGAGAAAAGTGCATTATAAATTATGATGTCCTAAATAACACCACTGCTTCATTGAACATTCGACAGACATCTATGGAGCAGCTATTATATACCAAGATTATACTTGACACAGAGAAATCAGTGATGAACAGCACAGACATATGCTGTCTCCCAGATTAGTATTGAGCCACCATCCAATTGTGCTGGATGGAGCATAAGAATCATACCATCTATCTTTCAGCAGAGAAAATATTGCATCCTAGCCTCATTTATCTGTCCAATGGGACAAAAGGCAGGCAAAATTAGGGCCACTCCCATCAAATGGCTTTCAGCAGGTTTCTATATATTTATTTTTAAATGCATATCTTGCTTTATTCCAAACAAGGTTTAAGACAGCTTACAAGATAGCTTAAATTTAAAATGAAAGAAGAAAGTTATAACAGGGTGGGAATGACATGGTACCATGAATATAGCTAAATATGCAGTCACTAATGACTTACACACTTGCCACAAATTTAGATCTGAGTTTGTTTGGTTTTGGTTTTTTGGTTTTTGTTTTTTTTTTGAGACAGGGTCTCACTTTGTCACCCAGGCTAGAGTGCAGTGGTATATGATCATGGCTCACTGCAGCCTTGCAGGCTCAAGCAATTCTCCCACTTCAGCCTCCTGAGTAGCTGGGACCACAGTCACACACTACCACGACTGGCTACTTTTTAAAAATTTTTTGTAGAGACAGGGTCTTGCTATGTTGCCCAGGCTGGTTTCAAACTCCTGGCCTCAAGTGATCCTCCCACCTCAGCCTCCCAATGTGCTGAGATTCCAGGTGTAAGACACTGTGTCCAGCTTGAGCTTCCTGGAAGCCAAATCAAAATGTTCATCAGCTGTTATAATATTTGTGATTATTTACATATCTGTATTCTCCACAGACACGAAGCACCATGAAGGACAAAGACTATGTCTTTTGTTTACTTACTCTAGTATCCACATGACCTCCTGGTCCACAGTAGGTCCCTAATAAGTACATCCATAAGGAAAAGGCAGAGCAGCCTGACGTTCAAACATACCTGGCACTGGGACAAAGAGGCGTGTCCCTGCAGATCCTCAGAAGTATAAGCCAACATGCTGTGAAGACCAGCATCATTATCCTAGGCCTACAGTTGACTCATTGGCAAGCAACCTGTGGCTGGTCCTCATTTCCTAAACCCCAAGTATTGATGGCATCGGACCAAACGAAATACAGACAAAGCAAATTCTGCAGGGATCTAATATCCTGTGGTTCCAAACCCCCAAATCTCTGCCAGTCTGATGTGACCCAGGGGAGGACTGTTGACCACCTGGAAGGAACAGAAGTACCATATAACTTTTTAACAGTCTTCTCCTTCACTGTCTCCCAGGTAGTGTTTTAGATTCCATCAATGAGGCAGCTTTGGCTTCTAGAGGCCAGAGAAGCCATTTATTTTATTATTATGAGAAGCCATTTTCTGACCCTAGAATCTGCATTTTCCGTGGAGAAAACTGAACGCTACCATCTACTCTGTCACTCGGGGCTCCCATAGAAAGAGGTAATTAGTTGGATCAAAGTGCAATTTAAATGTCACTTTTGCTATGAAATTAGAGATACCATTCCTTTACATTGACTTGATTTTTGTGACTGACCTATTCCCTTTCTTGCTTTGGTCCTTGATTCTAAGAAAGTCAGCAGTGTAGTCCCAGCTAGTTAGAGAGATCAGAAGTGTAGGTGGAAGAGCTTAAAGGGGCAGCAGTGACATCAGAGGGCAGGGCTATGGCTGGGATAAGGCACTAAAGATGGAGGGAGATTTCTAAGCCCCAGCCCTGCATGGGGAGAGCATAGGATTCCCAAGTGGGTTTCCAAGAACACCCCAGTGAATAAGCAGGGCTGGTGGTGAGCAGGAAACTGTGAGCTCATTGCACAACTCCAAAGTGCAACTTGCATGGACCACATTGAGGACAATGTGATGGCGCCCTCTGGAGTTGTGTCATGCATCTGTCCTGCAGGACATAATTTGAGAGGGCTCACTAATAATAGCAATAAGAACCCACATGTACCGAGTGTTCAGGACATTCCAGCCATGATGCTAAGGACTTTATAAGTATTAGCTCATTTAGTTCTCACAACGTTGTAAGTAGGAACTATAGTCATTCCCATTTTACAAAAGGGGAAACTGAGACTTAGAGATGTTAAGTAATTTACCTGAAACCATTCCATTAGTACATGTTGAAGCCAGATTTTTAGCCCAGTCTGGCTTCACAGCTCATGCTCTTAGCCACTTAAATATATGGCCTTCCAGCAAGGTTGATAAAAAGTAGATACAAAATTTACTTTTCCAGACATTGTGCACAACAGCTTTCAATTCTGCCCTAGCAACCGAGGACCTATCCCTTAATTTCCCATGCTGATTCCAGTTCCTCGCCTACGAGTATGTCTCCATATTATGGTGCCAAGGCAGGTAAGAACACTCCTCCAAGACACCACCAGAGAGACATTTACAAAGGCGGAGCTGGCCCTGCAACGTGCTCCCAGCACAGCAGGATGGCTGCAGGTTCTAACAGACAGATCAGCAGCAGTGGCTGGTGCGTTTATTAAGTCCCACTGGTTAAATTCTACTTTCTGATGCAGGCAAACGGCTCCCATTCCCCCATAGTGAGAGCTAGGTGAGCAAGTCAAAGGCAGGGCACAGCAGGGGCTACATTCTGAAGGCAGAAAGTCAGGAGGAGGTGGCTTGTGACAGATTATTTTGAGATGGAGCTGTCAGTGCAGAATAGTCCCTGCCCCACCATGATGGCTCCAGTGTCCAGGAGACACCTGTCTACAATGTGAAGAGGAAATGGACTTTGCAGAGAGAAGTTGCACCAAGTGACATGTCTACAGCAAGTTGCCAAGGCATTTCCAGGCCCTTTCTACTCTCTCAGAGATAAATCAGCCAGGAAAGATGCAACTTAATCTGGTTCATCTTTTTGTTGTTGTTGTTGGAGACAGAGTTTCACTGTTGTCGACCAGGCCGGAGTGCAATGGCGCCATCTCGGCTCACTGCAACCTCTGCCTCTCAGTTTCAAGTGATTCTCCTGCCTCAGCTTCACAAGTAGCTGAGATTACAGGTGTGTGCCACCATGCCCAGCTGATTTTTATATTTTTAGTAGAGATGGGATTTCACCATGTTGGCCAGGCTTGCCTCAAACTCCTGACCTCAGGTGATCCATCTGCCTTGGCCTCCCAAAGTGCTGAGATTACAGGTGTGAGCCACTGTGCCTGGCCACCTTGTTCTTAAACTGTCATTTCAATCTTCTAAAGATTAGATTTAGCTTTTCAATCTGTTTGGGGCCTGGTTTCATTCAGTGTCCTTCCTTTCTTCCCTTCCTACCTCTCTCTTCCTCCTCTGTTTTCTCTTAATTCTTCTCTCTCTTTCCTCCCTTCTTCTTCTTCTTCTTCTTTTTCTTCTTCTTCTTCTTCTTCTTCTTCTTCTTCTTCTTCTTCTTCTTTCCTCTTCTTCTTCTTCTTCTTCTTTCTTCTTCTCTCTCTCATGCCCCTCATTCTCTGATCCCCCTTTATCTCCAGATAGCTAGCGCTCTGCCGACTGAACTGGGTCTAGGATGACCTGCTTATTGCACAAGAGCTCTGTACATGCAAACAAGAGTAGATAAGCAAACGACTGAACACAGTCCAACCAATCTGCGTTGCTGCCTTTCTTCAGCCTCAGCTCCTCCAGCAAACCTCCCTCTGGGGACCCACCACACCAGTGCTCTTTCAAGTCCTGAAACATGCCCTGTTTTACCCCAAGGACCCCACTCAGGCTGACCCTCTGCCTAGAGCAGGGCCTGTTGAGAGGCAGCAGAGACGGGTACTGTGGCTACACTGAGACTTCATCATCATTCTGGAGTCAACTGTTTTTTGGGTTTTTTTTTTTCTTTCCCTACATCTCTACTTTCATGTCAGAGGCCAAACAAAAAATTTTACAGAAAGTCAAGACAAGGCTCCCTTTACCTAAGCTGTTGGGTCAGCATTGCATGTGCTTTTTAAATGTCATAGATTTCTGTTTTTCTTTTACTTACAATTTTTAATCTTTGTCTAAACAACTTTTAGGGGAAATGAAAAACATTTCCTACATTTTATGCCTCTTAAAGGCCTTTATTTTTGTAATCATGCACAGCCAGGCTATTCAAATCCTCTTGGACACTCTAGTCCTATGGCTTTGAAGCATTTTCCCCATCCGAGGGGCAAACAAAGTAAGTGAAATAGTTGAAACAAAACTCAAAGTCTGGGATAATAAATACCTAACAGTATTGCATTTTATAGCAGATTTCTGTCTGTTTTCCTGAAATTTTGGAAAATACCTAATTCCAGTCCTCTCTGGACCCTGACAGAGCAATTTTAAGGGTGTACTGTATAATGTGCTTTTTCTTTACCTGAGTTGGGGGAAAACTAAGAAGAGGGTAGCTTGTTAAAGAAGTTAGATGAAAGAGAAAAAGATAAAAGGCATGTAAGTGGGTGGCGATAATAAAGCTGATGGGAGAAAGAGAGAGGGAGAGAGAAGGTTTCACAAAGTTCCAGGGCAAGCAGTTACGTTTTTGGGTTTTGTCCTTAAGAGAGATTATTTGAAAGTAAGTATTTCATTCTGAAGTCTCAGAATATTAGTCAAAGAAAGCTAGCCATTGACTGGTTGGTATATCTGTCCTCTTCTAGAATTACCATTAAGCCTATGGTTTATTGGCATGTCGAAAGTCTCCATGATGGCCGTTGAATTCTAAATCATCCTTAGGAAAATGTGACCTTTTATCAGTAGGTGTAAGAATGAGGATTGTAGTGAGTGAACACTTAGGAAGCAGGGGTTCTGCAGTCGGAGGCTCTGATTTTGATATAGATGAGCCAATGACAAACAGAAAAATAAGCCAATGCAACTGGTCAAAAACGTGTGCCTATGAATAGCGTTTTTCAACGAAGCAGAGCTTACGAAGGAACCTCACTACTTTTATATTACAATCTGACCACACAAGAAGCGTGTTTATGAAGGTTTTAGTGAGGAACTCAAGGCAAATGTTGACCAATTGCTTCTGCTTTCATTCTTCTCTAGTCTAATTAACCTATAACCATTGGTCACTGCTCTAATGGACCTATAAACATTGGTCAGTGGGGCCGGCTTGGACCAAAAGCTTAGGAAATTTATGCCTCCACCATGAACCTAAGAAGCACTTCCTTGTAGCGTTCAATATATACAACACAATCAAGGGCAATACAAAAACGCAAAGGCTAAAATGACCTATTAATAGAAAAATGAAAAGTGAAAGTAAAAGCAATGGAAGAATCAATGGATTAACAGAAAATATCAGCCAAATGATTTACCTCTAAACCAAAATATGTACAATATTAAATGTCTAGAATAGGCAAATTTGTAGAGACAAAAAGTAGATTAGTGGTTGCCTGGGGATGGGGATGGGAACAAGGATTAACTATGAATAAACATGAGTGATCTTGCTGGGAGAATGAAAATGTTCCAGAACTGATTTATGGTGATGGTTGTGCCACTTGGTACAGTTGCTAAAAATAAATGAATTACAATTCGTTTACTTAAAATGGATGAATTTTAGGTTAGGTAAAATATAATTTAATGAGGCAGCTAAAGAATAATAGAGCATTCAGTGTTATGGACTGAATGGCTATGTCCCCCCAAAATTTATGTGTTGAAATCCAAACTTCCAACATGATGGTATAAGATAGGGTCTTTGGGAGATAATTGGGTCACAAGGGTAGAGCCCCCATGAATGAGATTAGTGCTCTTGTAAAAGACTCAAGAGAAGAACACTCTTTTCTCCTTTCAACCATGGGAAGATACAATAAGATGGAAGTCTGTAACCTAGAAGAGAACCCTCACCACAACCTGAGCATGCTGACACCCTGATCTTGAACTTCCAGTCTCCAGAACTGTGAGAAAAGAACGTCTGACCCATGGAGTCTATGCTAATTTGTTATAGCAGCCGAAGTTGACTAAAACATAGACTATGGCAAAATATCAACCTGTGTTAAGTATAGAAAATGGATAGATAAGTGTCTGTAATGGTAAGTGTCTAATTTTTCTATGTTTTCATTGTTCACAATTTTTTAATTTGAAAAATAAATAACAATGTTTCCTATCTCAGATATGGCATTATCCTGGGACCATATATTTGCATGATTACAAGGCATACACAATACTTTTTTAAAAAAAAATTAAGAGTTACTGGCACAGTTATCTGCACTTAATAACTACCCAGTGTTCCTTCTGCGTTGTCAACAACACCTGGCTCAGAACCAGGCTCAGTTAACTTGATTCAATGCCTCCTGTTTGCCGAGATCCAAGGAGAGTTTTTGCAAATATCTTGGCCATTCAAGAGGTTTTGCCTGAGACCTTTGCAAATCTATTAGGAAATATTACTGTAATAATAAAGAATTATGGTGGTTTGAGATAGAAGTGCCACGCCAAGGAATGAACAGACTCATTTGTTCAGTGATTTCATTCTGTACCCCAACCTAGCTGCTCCTGTGATTGATTCTTACTTCAGCAAAGGTACAAATCATTGTATCTAGTGAAACCTCGGGGTCAGATGTCAAAGTAGCAAACCCAACATTTTCATAAATTAGTAAAATATTCTTTTACACACATTTTATTGATTCTCTAAAAGACTAATGGAATCACATAGAACATTTCTATCATAATATTGCCATATTTCTAGGAGGAAATGGAGACACAGAAGATATATGATACAGTAAATGTTGGGCAATATGTGCAATATGCACATAGCAGAGCTGGGAAAGAAATTCCGTTATCTTGTGTGTTAAAGTCAGGTTACAAAAGAATACATGGAGTGAGACCCTATTTATGTTGCTATTAGATATGCATTGACAGCTCAGGCTTGGGATGTCCAAAACCACATTTCTGATCTTCATCACCAGGGCCCAGCCTGCTCTTCCATAGTCTTCCCCATCTCAGTTAATGGTAATTATCCCTTTAGTTATTCAAGACAAAAAAGTTTCATCCTTCCTTGACATTTCTTGTTCTGTCATGCACATCCACTAGTCAGCAAATGTCTATCTTATCAACACACACCCAGAAACCTACTACTTCTCAGTAGCTACCTCAACCTCAAGAGCTACCACCACTTCCAATAGCTACCACCTTGGACAATTGCAACAAGTCTCCTAGTAGATCTCCCTATTTCAACCTATGCTACCCCCAAATCTACTATTAACTCAGTGGCCAGAGTAAATTATCAGGAAGTCAAAACATCGTACACCTCTGTTCAAAACCTTCCAGTGGCTTCTCATAATCCAAGTCTTCATTGCATCCTACAAGTCCTCTATTAGGAGGCCTCAATCTTTTCTCTCACCTCTATCTTCTGCTCCCTCTCCCAGATCTTCTTGTTATTTCAAGCATACTACACATGCTACTGCCTCACCTTTGCAGTTATAAAGGAGTAACAACTCCATCACTTCCTTCATATATTCAAATGTAATCTTCCCAGCGAGGCCTTACCTGAGCACACCTTTCCATCCTCCCTGATGGATTGCAAGAAAAAAGGTTTTGGTTCCTGTACTTGTCTCTCTTGCAATGTGACTTTGAAGCTCCTCTCATCAAGAGAGCAGGACTCTATCATTTCCCTAGTCAATAAGATGCTGGGTTTTGCAAAGGCCACATTTTTGGTCTCTACCTTATACTGACATGGTCTTCTGGGAAAGGAGTTAAGAGAGAAATTAATTATACAAACATGGAAATTAAAGAACAACCTTATTCAAGCTTTCAGTGGCAGAGCCCAGATTTGAACCCAGGTCTCCTGCCTTTTAATTCACTTCTGTTTCCAGAACACCACCATGGCTTTCAGACAGTTATTTACCAGTCCCAACCTTGAGCATTCACAGAGAACTTAAGCCACATTCTGCCAAAGAAATATTTCTAAGCTTGTCCTCATGATATCCCCAGGAATGAAGCAAGTCAACCAGGCCATAAGCTGTGCAAAGGAAGTCATAGAGCCAAGGGTATAAATAGCCTTTCACAGCTGGTGCATGTGGGATTACAAGTAATAGCATTTCATCACTGAAGACATTGCACTTCATTGCGGAACCACTTCAGTTGTTTCTCCAATGTGTTTATAAGTAATCCAGGGCTCTCAGAGTGTCAGCTTTACTAGGTTACTACTCTCCTATCAAGAGCTTCTTGAACCTCAGTAGTGCCAGTCATGACTGAGTCCCTAGTTAAATCCTGACCTACTTTAAGCAATTCTGACCCTAAAATCTGGGTGGTACCATCAAGTCATTTACTGATTATGTGTAGCTAATATGTGACAAACATTATAATTGGAAGATTATGGGATGCCATGGGAACATGGAGCAGGGGACTGAACTTGCTGTGGTCTAAATATAAATTTGGGGAAGGTTTCAGCATATAGCCAGTCAATTCATGGGAGTAAGTCATTTTAGCAAGAGGAAATTTGAAAGATAAAAAGAAGAGGGCCAAGAGTAGAACTTCAAGTAATGGAAGCCAGCAAGGGAGAATGCGACGGAGACAATGAGGCAGAAGAAAATCATTTGAGGGATGTCACATGCTGTTGTCTGAATGTTTGTGTGCCCCTGAAATTCATGTTGAACTCTTAATCCCCAAGTTGATGGCATTAAGAAGTGGGACCTTTGGGAGGTGATGATATCATAAGATTAGAGGCTCCATGAATAGGATTACTGCCCTTATAAAAGAGACCCCAGATAGCTGGCTTGCCACTTTCACCAGGTGAGGAGACAGTAAGAAGGTATTTGTATGAGGAACAGGTCCTCACCAGACACCAAATCTGCCAGCACCATTGATCTTGGACTTCTCAGGCTCCAGAACTGTGAGCAATATATGTCTATTGTTTATAAGCTCCCTAGTCTATGGTATTCTGTTGTAGCAGCCCAAACAGGCTAAAACATCATGATAGCCAACTTGGGATATAAATTTTTTAAGTAGGCAATAGATAGCAAATCCAGGCAGTGCCAGGCTGGTTTATGGCAGATCAATATTCCTGCCAAGAATAAAGCAAATCAAAAGCAAAATCAGAAAAAAAAAGTGTTTTTTAAAATATAACTTAAGTCTGTCGGAAACTACTCAGTGAGAGCACACGAACCAAGATTCTAAGAGGAAGGAAAGCACAGAAATGTGAGCCCAACATTATATGCCACTTTTTCTTTATTTCATTTGCTGATTTGAACATAGGGTCTCAGAGGATAAGATGCTTAGCAAAAACTCCAGTGGGCTTTGTGAGGCTGGGGAAGGAAAACTGGAATTCAGAGCAAAGAATAAGCTTTCTTGGTTATGCACCCCAGGTTTTCAGTTGTGACCCCCTAAGGACAGAACCCTATGAGTTGGGGAACACCTGAAACAGGCCTTCTGTCACAATGCTGATGCCCATCTTTGATTGGCTGTGCTTATCCAGTACAATGTTCTGCAGCCGTGGAAATGTCTGATATCTATGCTGTTGAATATAACACAAGCCTTATGTGGCTACTGGGCACTTGAAATGTGGCTAGTGCAACTGAATTTCTAATCTTAATTTTAATTATTCTAAATTTAACTTAAAATATCCACATCAGGGTTGTTTCAGCTGAAGAGAGCAACCTCACCCAAGATCTGGCCTGTTTTCCAGGGTGACCCACATCAATGAATGGTTCACACAAAAGGTCCCAACCCAGAGCAACTGAAAAGGAATTTCAGACTCAGAGTTTCCCCATGGGGTTGTAAGGGCTCCATTGGGGCTGCCTCACAGCTCACATGCTCCCTCTGACCTCCTCTTCCTTTCTTTTCTTCCCTCCCCTCCCCTTCCTTCCCTCCTCTCCCTTTCCTCCCCTCCCCTTCCTCTTCCCATCCCTTCCCTTCCTTAGCCATTCATCCCCAAAGCATCCCCTAATAAAAATCCCACATGTAAATCTCCAAGTCAGAGTCTGGGTCCCAGGAAATCCAGCTTCTGACATTTGGCACTTGGAGTAGTCCAAGAAAGCAGATATTACCTTGGGAATTTGAAGCTAGATCCATCCAGCTGTCCAGTGGGACCCCCTTACTTATGGAGGTGACACATGGTCTCTGGAAGAGTGACATCACAATTATTAAAACTTTCACTAATTGTGAACTAGGAAGGGATAATGAAGGGAAAACTGTATACTTAGCTAGGTGATGTATCACCTATTTGAGAAATATGGGGGATATAATTGCTATAAGGACAGTGGAATTGAGTGCCTTTGCTAAGTTTTTATGGAGATTCTGGAACAAATTAATGAACAGCCGAGAGTAATTAAACAGTGATTAAAAGGAAAGTGTGAGAGTTAGAGGGCTTCCTTGGTAGCATGTAGGGAGATTGTCCTCTCCTGTGGTAAAGGAGTTGAGAACTAGGCCCCAGGTTGAATTATCAGAATGGCTAAGCTCCAAAGATGGTAAGCTTCCAGTGAAGCCAAGTCTGCCATGCCAAGGACAGAGTCCTGATTGCAAAATAATGGGCCTCTGATGCACGGAATGGGTGATACCTGGATAAAAGAGCAACACCCCAAACCTTGAGAAATGACCTACCCCTCCTTATTAAGAGCTGGCACCTCCCCCCAACATTAAAAGGTAATCAAGAGTCCTCCTGCCTACAAGAAAACAGACACACCCTTCAGGGTCATATGAATGGTCATGTCATGGGCCGACCCAGAAAAAGTCATGTTTTTCAAGAGGCTATAATATACCGACTGACCATTTTGTTGTCAAGTACCAAATTTTTGGAACTGGAGGGTAGACCTTTACAGCAGTACTGCCTTTAGACCAAGGCAAAAGAGGTCCTCTTCCTTGATCCCACCATTCTTTAGGTGGAGCCACCTACCACATATGTAAGCAGCAACAGATTTATTAAAGAACACAGGGGGGCATCAGTCACAGGGGACCCAGCAGTCCCAGCATCCTCCTAAACTCCCGTATCCAGGCCCCAGAGAAAGGCTCTTCCACATCTCCCTCCAATGTTCTTGAAGCAAAAGGTGACTGTATCTAACTGCTGTGCAGGTTTGGGTGTCCTGGGCAGAGGGCAGAGGACACAGACACTGTTCAGAGTGCAGGTCAGGGATTGGAGGTGGGATAGAAACCAGGAGACCATCGAGGAGTTTGAAACTGCCATCTTGAGAAACCTGAGGAAATGCCAGAATCGATTCAGAACACCCTTGCCTTTGCTCTATGTGGGCTTCATTAATTATGTTCAGAGCAGGTCGTCTCTAACATTCCTAACTCTGGCTGGGTGTCAGCTCACAGCACACAGTCCAGTCCCCTTGACAGGCCCATTTCTGCCTCATTTTCTTATCAAGCACTGGCCTCAAGTTCCCCAAAGCAGTGTGGTTGAATTCTCAAGGGTTCTGCCAAATGGACTTGAGAAAGAAAAAACCAAAGTCAAGCCCATTGATGACTAACAAATGCACCCTAACTTCCCACTGAAAACGAGTGTGGCCTCTCCCCCACCTAGGGACACAGAGATCCAGGGTGTGCTATCAATTCTTGTGGTAACCTCCAGCCTTGGATTCCTGACTCAGTGTCATCTCTCCCTACTTCCCGGCAGGAATCTTTCTAGAGTGCAAAGCCAACTGTCTTATTCCCCCACTGAAAGTCCTCTGGTGGTTTCATATTGTTGAGGGATAACGGATAAATGAAGGAACCGGACACTTGGGTCCCTCACCCCATGCCCAGATTGTTCATTCAAGCCTCATATTCTCCCACCCTCTACCACCTGCATCCCTGTCCCTAGCACAGGTCCCCTGCCAGCAAACACCACTTCAGACTTGAGTCTAACTCAATGCTTTCTAATCTCACCTCCCCTCTAGCCTGTGAGCTCCTTGCAGTCAAGACCAGGTGTATTCACCTTTGTCTCCTCAGCACAGAGCAGGTCCTCAACTCCTGTCTGAGGGAAGAAGTGCATGAAACTTTTGGGTATATAAACTGAATTTGATGAGGCTGGGATACACCAGAATGCCCCCAAAATGGACTGCTATGGTGAAAAATGGTGGAAGATGAGGACTATGTCTTATCCCTCTCCGTATGCCCCCAACCTGACATCATGATGCTTGGGGTGAAGGTCCCTTCAACATGTGGTGCCATGATTGAACTGCACGACCTGCACCTCACCCTGCTCAGGATTGCCCTGGGGACAGCAAGAGAGAGAGGCCTCACTGCGATTCAGGAAGTCTTACTCTAAACTCAGGCTCTGCTACTGTGACAGTAAGTAGCGAGTCAGACATGAGCAGGGCAGGAGAGGGTCCCACCAGGAATGTCAGGCGACCATCAGGTGATGGTCAGGGGGTTATAATCTGTCTCTCTAAAATAATAGTTGGTCTCAGCCAGCACCAGGGAAAGGCAGTCTCCTAACAAACAGAAACACCTGAAACTGGTGATCAGCAGCTTCCTGGTAAGAACTCAGGAGTTGGGCGAGTAGACTCAAGCATGCGTATTAAGAGGCAAAATGGTGCCATTTAACTGGTATATGACCTTCCTCCAGGAACACTCGACTGGTAAGGGAAAAATGCCTCAAGTGAGCATGTGTACAATTCCAATAAATACACTGTACATACAGCTTCTCCTGAGTGCTAGCAGGCCACTATGCATGCAGACAGCCCATTCTAAGGTATTGCGGGATCTGGCCAGCAGCCCGCAATGCAACGGGGCTCTCTCTTTGTTCCCAGGTGAATCGGCAGGTTGAGAAATAATAGACACACACAAGATAGTGAAAGCTGGGTCCAGGGGGGTCACCGCCTTCTGGTCCCATGGTGCCAACAATGCACTGGATATACCAGCATTTATTATTAAATTTAGTGAGGGCAGGGGTAGGTTAGTGAGGGATTTAGGGTCATTTGATTATGAGGTGAGATGGTCACATGAGGATGAAGTAATTCTTCAACATAACATCTGTATGCAGAAGTATAGTATACAGAGATAAGAATTTACAATACAGTGTGTGCATCAGTAATTTCTAACAGAGCCTTAAAACAGAAACACAGTCTTTCCATAACCTATGATTAGCAAGATATTAATCAGAGTAACAGTTGCAGCAAAAGCTGGTTACAAACAATCCATAGAAACCGGACGTGAAGCTAGACAACCGATTAGACCAGAAATTCTCAGAAGGGAGTATGCCTTCACCCTAAAGAGGCCTAGAAGAGCTGCGGCAAGATGAGGGCATTTATAGCCCTATCTTATCCATATGGACAGGTGCCCCCCATGCATCCGTTTACAGGCTCTCCACAAGGTTCGCATTCCATTCCCAGAGCTATGAATATCTGCTTTTCTGGGATAGGAATCTTGGTGATGTGAAACCTCCCTGACTGCATGCCCATTCATAGGCTCTCTGCAGGGGGAAGCACATCACACACTGTTGGCTCATTCTGGCAGTCCAACCTGGCATTGTCTTTACACAATCCTGCATGCAATTTTGTATTTACAATAATCAGGAGCATTCCACCTTTTATTCCGTAGCAATAGTTTCAAGGGGTCTCCCCTCACCAAGGGAAGAATTGGGGAGAGGGGAAACAGGCCCTAGAAGTATGCCAATGTATAAAATCCCAAGTCAAATGTCAAACAGGGCACTCCATCTCTCAATCAGCCCGCTTGGCCCTCTTCCAACTGCAGTGCACTTTACCTACTTTCTTTCCCACTCTACAGCTTTTTAATAAATTTTCACTCTTGCTCTAAAACTTGCCTGAGTCTCTCCTTCTGCTTTATGCCCCTCAGTCAAACTCTTTCTTCTGAGGAGGCAAGAATTGAGGTTACTGCGGACTCTAACGGACTCACTGTCGGTAACACTGCCTCTTCCCTGTGATTTTAATCTGTGTATTATTTAATATGTTATTTAATGTCTATGAATTTCTCTTTCCTTATTTATACAATGGAGATAAAAATATCTACCCTGCATGGCCATTGTGAAGATTAAATGACATCAGGTAGGTAAAGCACTGAGCTCAATGTCTGTAACATGGCAGTGCTCAATAAATAGAATCTATCAAGCTTGAAAGATCAAATGAATCAAAATGAAGAATTCTGTATTAGCTGTGATTTTTCATGAGAAATCAAGAAGCTTTCACCTGTGATGTAGTCTCCAAAGCTCACATCAGAAAGAACATAAGCCCTAACGCAGTCAGAGATGCTGAGTGAGGACCCTTCAGGGCAACCCTATAGTTATGTGCTTTGTGAAGTACCTCACCCACTTTTTTTTCTTATCAAATTGAAAATATTGCAGTATTTGGGCACAATCCCCATCTTTGAATTTATGTAACTCTCAAGATGTGCACTTTATGGCTATTACGTGATTGAGTTTTGATACTATTTGAATGGTGTCAGGGTTAAATTTCTACACCTGCGTGCAGCAAGGAAGGTCGCTCCTAAGTAACTAGTTCACCGTCTAGATCTTTGAGGAATCAGGAGCCAGGACAAGATGTCCTGGAAGTTGTGTCAGTGCATCAGGGGAAGAGCCTGGACATCCTAAGAGCATAGGGTAGGGAGTGAAGAATCTCAGAGCAGATGATCTATGACCTGATGCGAGTGAACCTTGCCCTTGGGAAATCACACCTGGCTTTTCATCTATTTATTGCGTCATGTGCTCCCCTAGTTTTCATTAATCTCTACCTCAAAAACCTACCCCGATTCAATGGTGCTCAGGCCCAGGAAGAGAAGAGGTGGAGATTAAGGATGGGCCTGGAGTCTTAAAGGGGAAGCACAGCCACACTTACCCAAGAAAGCAATCTCTTTTAAGCACCAAGCCTTGGCTAGCAGTGGGATTTCTTCTGGTTTTGTTTTTGTTTTTGTGTTTGATTTAACTGTGTTGTTTAATATAAAAGGGAGCACAATTCTGTAAAGAGGAATTTTGGGTTGGGCACATTGGCTCACGCCTGTAATCCCAGCACTTTGGGAGGCTGAGGTGGGTGGATTGCCTGAGCTCAGGAGTTCAAGACCACCCTGGGCAACATGGTGAAATAAAATACAAAAAAAGAAATACAAAAAATTAGTCAGGCGTGGTGGCAGGAGCCTGGAGTCCCAGCTACTCAGGAGGCTGAGGCATGAGAATTGCTTGAATCCAGGAGGTGGAAGTTGCGGATTGCACCACTGCACTCCAGCCTGGGAGAAAGAGCAAGACTCTGTCTCAAAAAAAGGAGGAATTTTGAACTTGATGAGCTAACCAAGAGGGAAAAACTTTCTCCCAAGTAAAAAGATAATATTTGGGCCATAACAGTAAACAAAGTGCTTCCTCTGTGTCAGGTTCTCTTCTAAGATCTTTACATACATTAAACATTTTAATTTTTACAACAACCTAATGAAAATGAGTGTTCTTATCCCTTTTTACATATGAAGAAACACCAACAGAGAGAGGGTAAACAGTGAGCATGTGACAGTCAGGATTTGAACCCAGGCAGCCATCCGGGACCCATACTCCTAACAGCTGCATGATATCATCTCTTAGAAAAGCGCAGAAACAGATCTCAGTAGCAGGAAGAAATTCAATAGGAATCCCACGTGCTGTAGCTCTCCACTCTTCCCACACCCTCATGCTACCCCTCTCAACAGCACAAGCTGGGAAGTGGGTCAGAGCTCTGTGGGGGCTCAGTGGTTGTGTTTCAGGCTGAAATGGAGCAGAACAGGATGAAAGCCATCTCTAGAGCTGTCAGTGCTGAGCTCAGCAGGTCAGGGCCAGGTGGGGCCATGCATGGAGGGCAAGAAGTCCAAATTGAAGTGCTTTACCCCACTTCCCACTGCTGCAAGGCTTCCTCAGCACCTGTATTCACTGTGCACCAGCTGGGGACCCCCGGGAACCAACATGAGCAGCTGTAGAAAAGGTTGGCCTTCATTTATGAGGGGATTTTGCTTTTTTAATTAAGAGAGTGAGCACTTATATTTGTTTTCAGTAGCCATCCTCTAGACAGTAAGATGTTGATTTCTCCAGTCCCCAGAAGAGGAATAAAACAGGAACCCAGTTAAAGAAGGCAGAGGCAGAAGACGCAAGCCCAGGCTGTGCACAAAACCCTGTGAGCTTAGGGCTCCTCCTGCCAGAAACATGTTCCAGCAGCAGGGGCCACCCTGACCTGCTCCCGTTCCCTGTAGAATCCCACCACTCTGCCTTGGCCCAGTCTCTGTCCTTGAGCCAGGACACCTCCTATCCCCACCTCTCTCATTCAAACCATCTCTGACATACAATGCCCAGCTCACATGCTATGTCCCCACCATCTCCAGCAGGAAGTGCCATCTCCCACTCGGCTCCCACAGCATTAGGTCTCTTGGATCATGGCATGCCCACATCATACTTTTACTCCAAACTCACATGGGTTCATGTGCTTCCCAGAGCTCGTTCATGGGAGGCATCCTTCCTTCCTTCCTTCCTTCCTCTGCAGCAGGCAGGGTGGGTGTTAGTCTCTGCATTGACAGAGTCAGGAAATTAAAGACCAGAGCAGCAGACTTGCTCAAAGAAATGTGGGTCTTAATAAACATTGTCCTGTCTCCAGGATGAGTCTTCTAAGTCCACAGGCCAACACCTGCCACTTACCTTGGTTCTTCCTAGAGAGCTTCTCTGAACACTTTATCCCCAATCCACTCTCCAACCTGCTGTCCAGGGGTTTTTTGTGCTGTTTGTGAACTTCATCCCTAAAACTCATAATGTGGCTCACAGCTCCTGTGAAATATGCTTCCTGTCTAAAACTGCCAGCTCGCCTCTCGGCCCTCTTCCCTCCTTGCCACTTGCCAGCCTGCTAGCTTGCTCATGTTTCTCTAACATGGAAAACTCCACTCCCTTCCAACTCACAACCTCAATGCCTGTGGGGCCTTTGCCCAAATTTTATCTTGCTCCCCACCCACTTCAGCACCACTCTTCTCCCAGCAGCCTCCTACCTACCAGTCCTTCTCATCTCAGCATAAAGAACACTTCCTCCCAGAGGAGCTCCTGGCCCTAACTAAACAGGTGAAGGCAACCCACTTCATAATCTCAGAGATCCTTTATGTTCTTGATAGCATGAAGCATACTTTGTGGTTATATATTTAATTTGCTATAATTTATTTTATGTTTGTTTCCCTCACTATATTGGCTACATCGTGTAAATTTGCTTCTTGTGTCTGATATTGTGCCAGCCAGGTATCTATGTATCTACATACATACAAACACACACACACACACACACACACATATTGAATAAATCAGTAAAAAACAAGATAAATAGCCACTGGAAGGATATTGGATTTTCCCTTTGAAAATCCCTCTTACTTTTAGAATTCAGTAAGAATATTTTTTTAGACAAGAGGGGAGACTCAGGTTCTGTTCATTTAGAAAAAGTCCACTGAAAAAAATTAGCTTTCTTATCTTGGCTGTCTAGCAGGGTGTCCAGGGGTTCTCCAGGTTTAATTGTGCCATCTGTGGAGTATGCATCTTGGTTCATGTCTCAGGAAGCAAGAGATAAAGATATTGAAAGGTGCTTGTTCCATTTAAGGGAGAAACACACTGGTCACAGCCAGCCAGAAGGGCAGGCTCTGGAGCAAGCCCAGAGCAAATGAGCTTCTAAATGGCCCCAGCTGCAGAGGAGGAGTCCAGACAGGTCCTCTCAAAAGTCAAAGCCCCAACACATGAAGCTGTTCTTTCAGCCACTTTCTCCACTCATCCACAGCAGCAAAAGAGAAAAAAAGACTTCCAAGCTTTGTTTTAATGCACTCAGTTGAAAACAAATATTGAGCCCGCCTGTCTTCACTCTCAGATTTAAGAGAAGAAATCATGACCAAAGAACGGGCTTGTTTATCACCTTTGGCCACCTCCCCTCCTACCCTGGTGGTCACCCAAAGAAGCTGTCATTGAATGTATATTCTGGCCCTTAAAAACTGAACTACAATGAGATATATGAAAAACATGGACCAAACTGGCTGTGCTACTAACTAATTAGTAAGTCTCATTAATTGGCCTTGGAAGGATTCTGTAGCTTTCCTGAAAGTTGGCTTCTTTATTTACAAAATGAGGATTTAAAGATTTTATGTGAATTTTCTTTCCCATAGGATTATATCAGGAAAGGCCCAAGTGCACCCAGAAGTGGTACAGGGTCATGGTCTGGAGGCAAAGAGACATGGATTGAATCTTGGTTCTGCCACTGTTCAGCTGTGTGACCTTGGACAAGTCATTTAACCTCTCTGGACTTCAGTATCCTCATCTGTACATAGGAATACAAAAAGCACCTACCGATTACTGCAAGGGCTATTTGAGATTAAATTTTAAAATGTACATAAAGTGTTGAGTGCATGACTGGCACATGGCTGGAGCCCAAGAAATTGCAGTAGCAGTACCTGTATAAACATCCCTAAGATAATGTGAACTATAACTCACTATAATATGTAAATATAGTCGACCATCATTGATTACCTGCCAACTCAAAACTCTATCACCTGCTGACCTTTCCTTTTCCTCTACTCCCACAGAACATCCTCTCCGTACTGCATAATTGGAACTTAACTATATTCTCCCATATGTTTACTCTATGGTTTGGTTACAGTTAGAAACAAATGTGGCTCACTCAGGTCAAACCTCCTGTGCTGGGGTAGAAGGTGGGTGAGCTGCACAAGGTGGAGTCACCTAATCCAGGGCCTGGTTCCCCTCCGCAGGTATAGGAACTTTATTTAGAGGAGTTCACTCCCAGGACTGAGCAGTCTCTCAGGAACTGACTCACACCAACATGCTCCCTCCCTTCCCCACCACATATAAAAGCAAATGCACAATTACAAATAATCCTGAATTCTAGCACATCCTTTACAGTTGTAGAGTTTTCCCTCCAATGATTGGAAAATTTAGAGAGTGATGGTGCCTGGCATGAAATAAGTGATCAAGAAATATTTATCAGCCAGGCAGAGTGGCTCATGCCTGTAATCCTTAACACTTTGGGAGGCTGAGGCAGGCAGATCACCTGAGGTCAGGAGTTCGAGACCAGCCTGGCCAACATAGTGAAACCTCATCTCTACTAAAAATAAAAAATAAAAAAAATCAGCTGGGCATGGTGGCACATGCCTGTAATCCTAGCTACTCGGGAGGCTGAGGCAGGACAACCACTTGAACCCAGGAGGTGGAGCTTGCTGTGAACCGAGATCACACCACTGCACTCCAGCCTGGGTGACAGAGCAAGACTCCATCTCAAAATTAAAAAAAAGAAATATTTATCAAATAATATGATCATTATTAATGAAACGATTGTTGGGTGGAGTGTCAGTTATCTATTGCCACAATAATGCTGCAGAGCAATCTACCAAAATGCCTCGGTGACAAACCCTAGCATTTATTGCATACGTAGGCCAAGTCAGCTTCAAGTAGGTTAGGTGGCTGTGCTGTCCTGACTGAGAAGTTATGTGCTTTGCCAATGGGCATCTTCAGTAGAAGAGCTGAAAAACAGGAGCCAGGTTCTCTGTCACCCAGCCCCATGCCTTCCTAATAACCCAGGTTCTCCCAGGTCCCTCTTAGGACTGAGTAGTCCCTCTCAGGGCTAAGATTCTGTGTTAGGACAGATGGAGCTTTTGGAGGCCCATAATATGTGCACATAAACATAAGCTTCCCCATTGTATGCAGAGCCAGTCACAAATTCCAACCAGCTGGGCCAGGACTGAAACAAGCTCTAGCACAATTGCTGAGTTCTAGGAGGCAGAATTCGGGCCAATGTTATTAATGGGCTAGATTTAATGATGGGCCAGGGAGTGGGAAGGACTCCACTGGGGAGAAAAATGTTTGCCTCCAGGAGGCAAATCATTAATCTCAGCCACTGCAAGGGAAGCCGTTTGCTTGGCACATGCATGCATTACCCCCCCAAGGGAGAGTTTCCTCTTCCAACTCACAGATAAGAAATGTTCAGGTGGTGAATGACTTATTAAGTACCTCTGAAAGCCTGGATCCAAGGCTCAGAATGGTCTCCCCGGGCTCAAGACTGCAGTTACACACACACAAACCACTGTGACTGAATTAATTTTAAAAGATCTGTAGAATTCAGTCAAAGAGCCATTTATCTCCTCTTTCTAGCTCCAGATAATTGGTTGAGCAGAATTTTTCAATCTTTACTAGTTAGTTCACATAGAATCTAAGAAGGAGTGAAGCAAAAGTCAGCCTGTCTTCAAGGTCATTCCAAGCTCCAAGGGCATCTTTCTATATGACATGATTTAAAGATGTAAAATCATCACTATTTCTCATGATTCATTCATTCATTCATTCATTCATTCATTCATTCAGTAGACATGTATTAGAGCCATAGATGCCAGCCATTGAACTAGACACCAGGGTTGAAGAATGAACAAGCCATAGTCTCTAACCCAAAGAGCTTCATTTTTCCCTAATGGGGAAAAGAGAAACATAATAAATTATAAAAACTATTTGGAAAAACATTATAATGGGTGTATGTGCTATATGACATGAGATTAACAAATAAGCACTAAGGAAGAGGTGGCATTGGAGGTAAGTCTTGAAGGATGAGGAAGGAATTCTAAGCAGAGAACATGCATGCTGGTGCTTTGTGTATCAACTCATTCAAACTCCTTCCTATCATCCTTCTAGGGGAGACTGGAATGCTAGAGTCCACATTGTGCTGACTCCCTTGCAGCTAAGATCTGCACACAAATTAGATTTTACCAATTAGATATATATGAGTTGAAAGGCATAAATAAGCTAAACTACTCTATCTTCTCTCTTTTTGAGTTGGGTTTCTGCTAGTAAGGAAGGTCTTAGGAATATGAAGTTTTTCTACAGTAACATTTCAAGGTCTATGTTCCAGCATTTGGTCTATGCCCCAACAGGTATTTGAAATGAGAGCTGAGATCCTTGATGCCAGAAACCACCCTGGGCAGCCTCAGAAATAGAAGCTCCCCTGTGAATCAATTCTATGCTGATCTGAGAGTGATCCCTTTCAATGATTTTGTTAGCACTGAATTCCTATACTAAATGCCTGTCTGCTTAAAATACATATTTGCTGTATTCAACTTTTACTTGTTTGAAACTTGGAAGTAAACAAAGACTTAAAGATGGGGACTTGAGATTTGTTATCTGAGCTTAGTGGGTTTGAAGGCAGAGACAAGGACATTACCATTTGAACATAGGTTACATGGTATGCAATGACAAAAATGACTTAAAGGATCACCTCTGAACCTCCAGATATAATGGTCCAACTGGTATCAGACTTGTCTTCCTGCCATATATAATTATAAAACTAAAAAAAGGAAATAAGACAATTCTTCTCAGGCATGTGACAATAGGCTACAGAAGACTGAAATTCCAAGAGAAGAGAAATTCACAGGTGAGCCTCATGATTGCCCAGCTCTCTGCAAGGGACAACTTCCCAGCTGTGCCCTGGAGTCCAGGCATAGCATACTAACCTCACTGATATAGTTTGGCTGTGTCCCCACCAAAATCTCATCTTGAATTGTGGTTCCCACAATTCCCACATGTTGTGTGAGGGACCCAGTGAGAGGTAATGGAATCATAGGGTTGGGTCTTTCCCAGGTCGTTCTAGTGATAGTAAATAAGTCTCATGAGATCTGATAGTTTTATAAAGACGAGTTCCCCCGCATAAGCTCTCTCTTGCCTGCTGCCATGTAAGATGTGACTTTCTTTCTCCTTTGCCTTCTGCCATGATTGGAAGGCCTCCCCATCCATGTGAAACTGTAAGTCCCTTAAACCTGTTATTCTTTATAAATTACCCAGTCTCAAGTATGGCTTTATAAGCAGTTTGAGAACAGACTAACACACTCACTGTGATGAATGTGCACTGGGGCTGGAATATGGGAATCAGGTATTGGAGGACACAAAGCTGTACAGATTGTGAAAGGAGAAGTCACTTGTGAGTCACTGACTCAGAGGTGGGCTGCACAAGCTAAAGGTGAGACTACCAGAGGCTTACCCTAGTCAGTAGAACAGAGACACTGCAGGCTGGACAGTGCCCAGGAAGTTGAAATTATGGTCCAGCAAGAGAAAAGCCAAGACCTCATTAACACCTTGCTAACAACCTAGTCACCAAACAGAGGAAACAGAAGGGTCCAGATTTAGGTTTAAAGACCACAGGCTACATAGAGTAAGCCCTACACTAGACACACACTAACAGATGCTAAAATTATGATAAGATCTACAACAGAGACAGAGTTTAGAGATTGGATCCCCCAAATTATAGGGCTTGAGAAATACCATAGGTTTTTCCAGATCAATCTTTACAAAGCACAAAACCAATATAAATCTAAGGTGATCAACTATTAATTGAACCACTTCCAAAAAAACCTCAATCTACATTATCTATTTTGTTCAGTAAAAGTTCAAAAGTATTAGACATGCATGGAAATAGAAAATATAAAAATATAACATTTAGTGAAGAAAAAAAATCAATAGAAAACCAAACCTGAACTAGCACACATGTAGTATTTCACAGATTAAAATTTTGAAGCAGCTAATATAAACATGTTCACTTAAAGGAAAATGTGATCTAAATGAGTGAACAGATAGGGCATCTTAGCAAAGAAATTGAAGCTATATTACAGGATCAAATGGAAACTTTGGAATTAGAAACTGAGATAAAGTAATTGAATGGGCTTAATAACAGATTGAAAATACAAAAGAATGAGTCAACAAATTTGAAAGTAAATCAACAGAAATTCTCCAAGCTGAGGAGCAGAGAAAAAAAGATTGGGGTAGGGGTTGAAAAAAGACAGGTGGGACAGTATCAGAGACCTCCTCAGGGACTGGTGGAATAATAGCACATGTGTACTAAGATCCCAGAAAGAGAAGAAAATGAGAAATGGTTCAATAGGTAAAAAGCAGAAATTCTCAGAACGCTTAATAAGCTATGCATTAAAAATCTACAAAATATTCAAAAGAGCAGCATAAGCACAGTCTGCCAAATATATTTGACCCTAGAACCTTTGTACCATGGAGCAGATTACAGAACCATGTTCTGCAGAATGCAATTTGGGAAATATCACCCTACAGGTTGAAAATGCAGCTCAGGTACTTTTTGGAGATGACAGTGATTCTGGACTCTCAGAGGGTGATACTATTCAAAGAGTGGGTGATGGACACTATAAGAATACTACAGGAGGTCGAAGAGGACACAGAAAGAGAGGTAGACGGGGCTAAAGACAAATGTCCTCCACACATCCTAGTCCTGGGCCCTGAGCCAGGCCCAACTCAATCTCTGCTTAACATCTCCAGGTCCTCAAGCACCACTCAGTGTACACAGCCCCAGGAGCCCCAAGGGAAATCTGGGTCCAGGACTCAGAAAACTAATTTTTACCGAAGGAGATAGGAACCTTGAAGAAGTGCCATATTCCAGGTGGAGAGGATTGCCTTGTGTTTTCATTTCATTTTCTGAAAGTGACAAAATTGGAGGAAAAGCCTTTTAATATGAGAGAAATAGCATGAAACCACAAATCACAGGACCCTGGATCACAGCTGAGTCTGGCCAACATTTTCCATGAATCAAATGAAAGAATCTATGGGATATTAAACAGAACACACCACAAAATATAAGACGAAACCTCAAGTAGTATCTAAGAGAAAATGTCATGTGGTCGTCTGCATAATAAAACCTGCAAATACATAACCTTCTTAATTACAGAGCACTTGGGAATTTGCTGTTACCTTTGAACTTTATGACAACCCACAGAAATGTGGCATTGTTTTCATGTTACAGATGAAGAAATCAAGACTCAGGGAAGAACTCTGAATTTCTGGAGACCATGTAATTAGTTCACAACAGAACTGAGACTCAAATGTAGCTCATTTTTCTTAATAACCCACAGCCAAAAACAAAACAACAGCCAAAGCTAATATATTGCAAAATTATAAAAATTATTTTTCATATTGCTTTTGCCATGTTCTTCTCCCCACTCCAGTTCTCTTACACCACTGCTTGCTTCATACTCCCTTCCCAGAAATGCCCTCAGTCCGGGAACTCTTTCTTTCTGTGGCACCAATGCTTATTGTATATAGTGCCTGCCTATAGGAGAGAGAGAGTGACATCAGCAAGACAGCTGACCGGAGACACCTGGCACTCATTTCTCCCACAAGAAAGGACCAAGACAATGAATAAACAGCTAAGATGTAGGAAGAATGTCAAAGGGAAAGCACTGGTGTGCAGCACGGGAGTGGAGAGGCACCTGTGGTAATTGGAAGTTCAGGAGGGCAGGGTGGGTGTGCCAAGCCTCTGCAGTACCATCTCTCCCACCCAGGTTGGATCTGCCTGAAGTCAGGAAGGACTCTCCCTCGTGGGAAAAATGTGAGCAGAAGAACAACCCCACCAGCTCCAATTGCCACTATGTACCTACAGTCCTTACTACAGGAGGATTCTACAGTCCTCACAGGCCATGTGCCCAGTTTGTAGAGCTACCAGGAATTCATGCACTGGCATTCCAGGTTATGAGCACATTAGGTGAATTTCCCACCTGCCACTCACCTCTGAATGAGCCAAGCTGCTGCAGCACAGTGCCATCTTAAGACTGAAGCCACCTCAGGAGTGTGGCCTCCTCTGGGGCCAGTAGCCATTGCACCATTTCAGCACTGGGGCTCCATCTTCACACCACCAAGCCCACACAGGTGGCCGAATACCACAACCCCAGCTACACGGAGCCTGTGCCTAGGATCAGCTGTAACTCTGGTCCTGCAGATCAGGAAAACCAACCACTGCCACCTGCACATCTATTAATAGCTAGAGGAACAGTCTGCCAGTCCTGCCCAGGGAGAATCTGCCCTTGAGCCAGCCAAACCATGGCCTGCTCTTCCCTGAGCGTGACAGGTCCCCAGGCCACAGAGTAGTTGACCTGCCCCCAACCAGTGGAGCAGTTATGAGCCCATGCCCAGGACCTAAGTAAAAATCCCCAGCATCCCCCCACAGCACATTCCCAGCCCAGCCCAAAGGTCCCACACTCATAGTTAGGGAAGGACCTGGAGAAGAAGGCAACAGGGAGAGATGTGTTTAAGGATACAAAATTACAGCTAGATAGCAGGAATAAGTTCTAGTGTTCTATACCAGTGTAGAATGGAACAATAATACATAGTTAACAATAATATATGTTTCAAATAATAGCTAAAAGGAGAATATTGAATATTTCCTACATGAAGAAATGCTTCAGATGATGAATATTCTAATCACCCTGATGTGGTCACTATATATTATAAGTATTGAAACATCACTATGTAACCCATACATAAGTATAATTATTATATGTCAATTTAAGAAGTAAAAACAAATTTTAAAAATGGGCAAATAAATTCTGCCATGCCTATTGGGATAATAACGCAGGCATACCTCATTTTACTGCACTTCACATTATTGTGCTTCCCAGATGTTACGAGTTTTCCAAATTAAAGGTTTGTAGTAAACCTGCATTGAGCAAATCTATTTGCACCATTTTTTCCAACTGCATGCACTTACTTTGTGTCTCTGTGTCACATTTTGGTAATTCTTGCTATATTTCAAACATTTTATTATATTATGGGGAATCTGTAATCAGTGATCTTTAATGTTACTATTGTAATTTGAGAGGGAGGAGCATCACAAACCACACCCATGTAAGATGGCAAACTTAATCAATAAATGTTGTATGTTCTGACTACTCCAATAATCAGCCCTTCCTCCATCTACTTCCCTATCCTCAGGCCTCCCTATTCCCTGAGATACAACAATATTGAAATTGGGCCAATTAATAATGCTACAATGGTCTGTAAGTATTCAAATGAAAGGAAGAGTCACGTGTCTCTCACTTTGAATCAAAGGCTATATATAATTGAGTTTAGTAAGGAAGGCATGTCAAAAGGTGAGACAGGCCAAAAGCTAGGCCTCTTGTACAAAATAGTTAGCCAAGTTGTAAGTGCAGAAAAAAAGTTCCTGAAGGAAACTAAAAGTGCTATTCTCATAAACATATAAATAAGAAAGTCAAACAACCATATTGCTGATATTGAGAAAGCTGTAGTGGTCTGGACAGAAAATTGACCCAGCCACAACCTTCCCTTTGGCCAAAGCCTAATCCAGAGAAAGGTCCTAACTCTCTTTAATTCTATGAAACATGAGAGAGATTAAAAAAAAAAAAAGCTGTGAAAGAAAAAAATTGAAGCTAGCAGAGGTTGGCTCATGAGGTTTTAAGAAGCTATCCCTGTAACATAAAAGTGCAAGGTGAAGCAAAAAGTGCTGATGAAGAAGCCGCAGCAAGTTATCCAAAAGACCTAGTTCAGATCACTGATGAAGGTGGCTACACTAAACAACAGATTTTTCAATAAAGACAAAACGGTATTTTATTGGAAGTCGATATCATCAAGAACTTTCACAGATAGAGAGAAGTCAATGACTGGCTCCAAAGCTTCAAAGAGCAGCCTGACTCTCTTAATTTTTTTAATTTTTATTTTATTTTCATAGAGATGAAGGCTTGCTAAATTGCCAGGCTGGTCTCAAACTCTTCACCTCAGATCCTCCTACCTCGGCCTCCCAAATTGCTGGGATTACAGGCATGAGCCACCACACCTGGCTTCTGGCTGTCTTGTTAGGGGCTAATGCAGCTAGTGACTTTAAGTTGAAGCCAATGCTTATTTACCATTCCAAAGAAATCCTAGGGCCCTTAAGAACTATGCTAAATCTGTTCTGCCTAGCTCTGTAAATGGAACAACAAAGCCTGGATAACAGCACATCTGTTTATAGCATGGTTTACTGAATATTTTAAACCCACTGCTGAGACCTAGTGCTCAGAAAATAACATTCCTTTCAGAATATTGCTGATTATTGACAATGCTCCTGGTCATCCAAGAGCTCTGATGGAGATATACAAGAAGATTAATGCTGCTTTCATGCCTGCTAACATCGTACCTATTCTACAGCTTATGGATCAAGAAGTAATTTTGACTTTCAAGCCTCATTATTTAAAAAATGCATTTTTAAGGCTATACGGCTGCCACAGATAATGATTTCTCTGATGAATCTGGGCAAAGTAAATTGAAAACCTTCTGCAAATGATTCACCATTCTAGATGCTATTCAGAATATGTGTTATTCGTGAGAGAAGGTTAAAATAGCAACATTAACAGGTGTTTGAAAGAAGTTGATTCCAAACCTCATGGATAAGTTTGAGGGGTTCAACACTTCTTTGGAAGAAGTAACTGCAAATGTGGCAGAAATACCAAAAGAACTAGAATTAGAAGATATGACTGAATTGCTGCAATCTCTTAGAACTTGAGGGATAAGGAGTTGCTTCTAATGGATGAGCAAAGAAAGTGGTGTTCTAAACTAAATCTACTACTGGTGACAATGCTATAAATGTTGTTGAAATGATAACAAAGGATTTAGAATATTACATCAACTTAATTGAGAAAGCAGTGCAGGGCTTGAGAAAATTCACTCCAAGTTTTAAAGTTCTTCTGTGGGTAAAATACAATCAAACAGCATTATTACATGCCACAGAAAAAGGAGAGTCAATGGATGTGACAAACTTCATAGCTGTCTTAAGAAATTTCCATGGCCACCACAACCGTCAGTAAACACCAACCTGATCAGTCAATAGCCATCAACATTGAGGAAACACCAGTGAAAAGACTGACTCACTGAAGGCTCGGACGATTCTTACCATTTTTTAGTAATAACTACAGCATTTTTAAATTAAGGTATGTACATTGTTAGACACAATGATATTGCACACTTTATGGACTACAATATATTATAAACCTAACTTCCATATGCACTGGGAAGCCAAAAAAATTTTCTGACTCATTTTATTGTGATACTCATTTTACTGAGGTGGCCTGGAATTGAACACGCGATATCTCTGGCGTATGCCTTTATATTCTGTGCCATCGTCAGAAGTATCCAAAAAATGAATAAATAAATGGAACAAAGGCATAAAGAAGGTACTTGAAAATTATAAAATACTACGTAAATTCAGATACATTTTCTCCTTGTCCCATTCTACCAACAGAATCAGCTGATTTTTCTCCAAAATGAAATTAGCTCAATTTTTCTAATTATAAAATAATTCAAGAAGATTATGGGTTTAGACATATCAAAAAGTATATAAAGTGCAATATCAGTTTTACACACACACACACATAAACATACTTATATATACATACATAGCTGATACTATATCTTCACCATTTCATAATCTGTGATCTTTGAGGTACTGCATAATATAGGACAGACAAAGAACAACCTGGATCACAAAATCTTAGGCAACTTTACTGATGCAAGATGCTTCCAAACATTATACAAACAAGGCTGTTGGCATTTTCCAACAGCTCAAAGGTTTAGGCTGACACACAGCACAAAATCTCTCTAGTTCCACATCACCATCACCAAAGTAACTAAGGACCCAGGAAAATCCGTACACCATTTAATAGTGAAGTAAATACAGAATGATCAATGTCTACAACAGTGTCTAAATTTAGAGGACAAAGGAAAATACACAATGCAGATGACTTGACTCCTAGCTTAGGCAGAGGCACTGCAATTTTAAGACATCTCCAAAAGATTTTCACCAAATACTGGATAATAATATATGTACTATTTAAAAATCCATGACTTTCTGTTAACAAATATCATGGGGGAATGTATATGTTAAAGAATCTATGTACGGATTTGCCTCTTCAATTCATTTCATGTAAATGAAATCATACAATATGTGGTCTTTTGTGACTGGCTTCCTTCACTTAGCAGAGTGTTTTTAAAGTTCATTCATGTTGCAGCATGTATCAGAACTTCATTTCTAATTCTGAACAACATTCCACTGTATGAATATACCACATGTTATTCATCCATTTGTCAGTTTTAATCAGCCATGAATAGCAGTCTTGACTGGCTGCACCCTCACTGCTTCAGCTGATCCCCAATGATGGACACTGGATCTTTCCAAATGTTTAATTTCTTTTTCTTTTAAAATGGAATCTCTCTCTGTTACCCAGGCTGGAGTGCAGTGGTGCGATCTGGGCTCACTGCAACCTCCGCCTTCTGGGTTCAAGCAATTCTTCTGCCTCAGCCTTCCAAGCAGCTGGGACTGCAGGTGCGCGCTACCACGCCCGGGTAATTTTTGTATTTTCAGTAGAGATGGGGTTTCACCATATTGGCCAAGCTGGTCTTGAACTTCTGACCTTGTGAACTGCCTGCCTTGGCCTCCCAAGGTGCTGGGATTACAGGCGTGAGCCACCATACCTGGCCCAAATGTTTAATTTCTATGGGCATCAATACAAATTATATACTTATAAAATTTTCTTTATACACATATGGTAATATTCTTAAACTTCTAGAATTGAAACCTCTGATTTAAAGGGTATACACACACTTAAGCCTTCTTTGTATATATTGGAAAATCCCTTTCTACCTAACTGTTTCATAAAATGGATTTGTCATCAGTGGTCTGTCTTGTAATTCTATATAATAGAAATAGAGTGAAAACCTGTCCCTCCACTCATACCTTACCACCCCAATGATCACATGCTAAGAGAGACTTCCTATTCTGTTCCCTCAAACTTCTCTCTTAAAGCCAGCTTGTAGAGTTCACTATGCCAGTGAAGGAAGGGCCAATAAGGGAGACATTTCTACTTTCAGGATGTCAGACACAAGGTGCTGATAGAAGAAGAAAGGCCCCTGTTGTAAAAATGTAACGAGGCATAGTGGAGTGCCCTGAACATTGACTTCATAGTTAGCCATGGGTTTGGTTTCGGCTCTGTCATTCACTGTCTGACTTTGGGTGAGCTGGTAAACGCCTATACCCTAGTTTTTTTCGATCTAAAAATGGAAACAATAATACCACCCAAGCAAGACCATTTTTGATAATAGAGATGGTGCACGTAAAATGCCTGACAGAAGGTAATGTTCAAAAATACTCCTCAGAGCTCCCAGAACCCCGTGCCACATTCACTTACCTATAGATCACATTCACATTAAAGGTTTCATTGTTGTTACTAGCTTAACTTCTGAATTCTGAAAGATGACACTCAGGTGTTCTCCAGGAAGAACTACAGGCAGCAAAGCCAGGCAGGCTTTTCTTCAGATGCGGCATGAATGAGAAGATTGTGGGGTCCTGTGGTCTTTCACGGATTCATTCCTGGAAGCCTGGAATATGAGATACCTGGCCTGACCCAGCCCCAGAGTTGAGTGATGTAGAAAGAATGCACAAAACCACCCTCCAGGGAAGCACACGGGGAGCTAGCACCCCCAGCACAGCTGGAGTGTTGTGCATCCTCAGCCGGGGAGGACAGACACTCCTTCCCTTGAAACTCTCTGCTCCGCAGCTTTGCTGACTCCACTCTTTCCAGATACCTTTCTACCTCTCTGACCATTTTCTAATCTTCTTCAAAGACACCTCTACTGCCTCAGTATTCCTCAGTGTCCTCTTTTCCAGTTTCCTCGCATACTCTTATGGGAGTTCTAATCCCACTTTTGTCCCAATGGCCTCATTCAACACTGCATGTTGATAATTCACAGATCACAATTATCAATCCCTATCCTAGGAATCATCTAGCTGACTGCTGACTGCACTTCACAACTCAAACAAGCCTCACACTCCTTAAACTTACCCAGAGTTACAGAGCTGGCAGGTGAGAGCCAAAACTCAAACACAGGTCAGCCTGGTTCCAAGAGCACAGCCCTTCTACAACCCACCTTACCTTCACTGTCTATCGTAGATTCAGTCACACTTTCTGATTTTGCTTGCAGAACTACCTCCTCCTGCAAAGTTTTCTGTTTTTAGTTCGGTTCAATTCAATAAGTGTTTGTTAACCATCTCCCTATAAAATATAGATGCAAAGGGGAGCTAACAAGCTGTTTTCATGACCAGGACAAACATGGGCTTACATACAAGTGGCCCTCTGCCTCCACACCCAACAATTTACATCTTAAAAATCCAATCTCTGATTATCAAACAGTAAAACTGCAGGCTTTGGGGACTGCACTTCCTTCCTTAGAATGCTATTATAACATCCTTATATACTGTTCATCCAAGTATTTCTCTTCCCTCAGACCAAGAAAGATAGGTAAATAAGTGAGATCACTAGGATAGTTCGGCTTCCAGCTGTGATGAATTAGTTTGTTGCAGACCAAAAAAACTAGAAACACTGGATAATTAAAAAAAAAAAAAAAAACTTATTTGAAGGCATCAGAAAGCTGCCATGACAGGCAGGATACCAAGTGGCCAAGGTGCTACAGAGAAGAAAAGTGCGTGAGATGGACTCAACATTGACACGTGACTTGTTTCATGTGGGAATGTTTGCAGATTCTTGGCATGGATGGGGAGGGGAAACTGAGAAAGTGAACTCTAAGAAACAGCAGCTCTCAAAAGAGCTTTTGTCATCTCACAGGCTGGAGAGATTAAAATTTGAGGTTGGGACTGCCAAGGAAGTCAACACTGAAGCTTGAAAATCCATAAAGAAAATTATTTCCTTTTAAGGGCTTTTGCAAAAATTTTTTTATTTTTTTTTTGTTTTTGTTTTTTACTTCAAAAGGTAAGCCCTAAAGGAAGCTGGAAATACAATGCACCACTAACCAGTGGTTCTCAACTTCATCAGACCCAGGAGGCTCCCTTTCTTTTATATTTTATTTTATTTTTAAATGACAAATAATAATTGAGTATATTCATGGAGACAGAAGGCCAACAGCTAGAAAGCCAAGTGGAACACAGTTGAAAGTACTGACCAGAAGACTCAGGATTTTACTGATGTAAGTAAGTTATCTCCAAATTGATCTAAAGATTTAAAGCCGTTCCAAATCCCAGTAGGTTTTTCAGTGGAAATTGACAGCTGATTGTGCCATTTATATGGAAATGCATGGAGCCAAGATAAACAAGAAAATCTTGAATAAAAACAAAGTTGAAGATTTTAGATTACAGCTTATCAAGCTTATAGTAATTAAGATGGTATGATATTGGTACAAGGACAGAAAACTGACCAATGGAACAGAATAGGGAATCCAGAAATAGACCACACACAGATAGTCACTTAATGTAAGACGAAGGCAGAGCCATAGGAACAAGGTGTTTTGTTTTGTAAATGATATTGAGACTATAGAATATCCCTGTGGGAAAAAAATAAGAAATCTTGACCCCTATCTCACACTGTAGACAAAAATCAATTCCAGATAAACTAGATCTAAATGTAAAAAAAAATTATAAAGCTTTTAGGTGACAATATAAACATGGCCTCTTCTCTTAAACAAGACACAAAAGCACTAATCACTAAGTAAACAATTGATAAATTGGACTTTTTCAAAATGTAAAACTTTTTTAAATTCCAAAGTCACCACTGGATAAAGTATTTGCAGTACATATATCCAACAAAGAGCTCATATTCAAGATACTGAAAAAACTCCAAAATCAGTAAGAAAGACACACATAACCCATTGATTGTGATTTAAAGACTCAAACAAGCACTTCATAAAAAGGATCTCAAAATGATCAACAAACATGTGAAAAGATTCTCCACACCATTGGTCACACCGAAATACAAATTAAAAGCAAAATAAAGTACCACTGTACACCTACCAGAATAGTTTTAAAAGGCTGACAAGGATGTAGAGCAACGAGACTCTCTTACACGGCTGTTGATGTGAGTTTAACAATCACTTTGGAAAACTGTTTGGGTGTACTTACAAAAGCAAACATGTACTCTAAGACCCAGAAATGCCATGCTTAGGTATAGATCCAAAAAACTAACACATATATGCACCACAAGACATGAAATAGAATGTTCAAAACAACATTATTCACTATAGCCTGGTATTGGACAAAAATGTTCAACAGCAGCCAAATATATAAATTGTAACATACTCATATAGCAGCAAATAATGCAGCAGTGAAATGGTGCCATTGCTACATGAAAAAACATGGATAAACCCCATAAACACAATATTAAACCAAAGAAGCTAAACCCAAAATAGTAGATACTGTATAATTTCATTTATATAGAATAAAAAACAGGTGAAGATATTTGATAATGAATAAAAATAGTGGTTAATTTTTTGGTGATAGTGATTTTGGTCACCCAGGTGTGTTCACTTTGTAAAAATTCATCAGGTTCTACACATATGATTAGTGCATTTTTTTGCTTGTATATTATGCTTCAACAAAAAGATTTAAAAACAAGTGATATCCAAGACCACTGGATGAATTTTCAGGGCCCCACCCTTGCCAATACACAATGGTAGATTTCCTCTGTCATTGCAAAACAAATCCTCATGATGGATTGGTGAGTCTCCACACCCACGCATAGCACCATACAGCCTTCCTTCACAGAAGAAGGACATAGTAAAGTCAATGTGGTGTGATGGGCAAGGAGTTTGGAGAGGAGCTTGGTCCAGGAGAACAGACTCTAGGACCTCAGTTGTCTAGAGATTCACTGGTGCCCTTTGTCACCTGGATTGAAGAGAAATGGGTTTAGAGAAATGGGGACCATTATTGTTTCTCTGTCTAATGTGGAAGAAGGGTATGCACCACCAACTGCCACGGAGTCAACAGAGACCTGATTCTCCATCACGTGGCCACTGGCAAGCAGCACATTGCAGCTCTCACCCCCTAAAGTCTCAAAATCATCATTAGGAGGTAGTGACTAAAAGGCCTAATTCAGTGCATGGAAAACTATTTGGGGACATCAGAATGTAATATGAAAATTGTAAATTATTGAAAAATAAAAGAAAGAAAACATGGAAGTTGAGGATTTCCTGTAACTCAGAAACAAGACAGATCACAAGTGAGCACCACAGTACTTTTTATTGAGTAGCTCCCCTGAGCTCAGCTGCACTTGTGCTGCAGAGCTCTAAATTTCATGGAGGTTGTGGATGGCCTCTTTTATTTATCTGTGCAGTCTCCTTCTAGGCAAGGAATCTCAGGAGGGTCCTCTCTACTCTTTCCCCAAAGAGAAGGTGTATGCAACTGTGTTCTCCTCTTGCCCCATAATGAGAAGAAGGAACTCCATTCCTTGCCAATAAGGGAGCTGGGGAAGGAGAGTGGGACCCCCATTCCTCATTACTATTATTAAGTTCTGCTTATTCCAAGTGCATGAAAGCAAACATATCCATACTCAACTCTGACAAAGTACTAAGGGGTTACAAACGCAAATACTGTTGATGGGATCAATTCAAGAGTCAGAGGATAGAAAACAAGGTAACATGAATCTAGTCAACCAGACAATGGTAGAGAGGTGAGTGGACCTGCCAAAATCACAAAAGTTCCCTGTTATGGTCCGTTTGTATCACCCCACCAAAAAAATTATATGTTGAAACCTCATCACCAATGTGATGGTATTAGAGGTGGGGCCACTGGGAGGTGATTAGCTGATGAGAGTTAATCACACAATTAATATAACTAGTGTCCTTATATAAGAGGCCCCAGAGATCTGCTTTGCCCCCTTCATCATGTGAGGACACAGTGAGAAGACACCATCCATGAACCAGGAAGCAGGACCTCACCAGACACTGAATCTGCCAGCAACTTTATCTTGGACTTCCCAGTCTCCAGAACTGTGAGAAAGAATTTTGTTATTTATAAACTACCCAGTCTATGATATTTTATTATAGGAGTCCAAACAGACTAAGACACTCCCACAGAACAAGTCACCTCCATCTCCCCATTCAGATGAAGACACTAACACGGACACCCACCACAAATGACCCAGGTGGGGCTCCATGTCAGTGGGTCTACCCCAGCGCCCATGCTCTTAACCCTGCAATCCACAGTGTTATTTCCAGGACTGAGTTGTTCTTCAGGAAGGCTTTGTAGAAGTGCCAGGACTTGAGTCAGCTGCATAAGCCTTTCACAGCCTGTGTTCCACACTGGACTTTTCTGACTGCTGCACAAAAAAGGAAGTGGATGATTCTCTTCACAGTGGGACTGCTGGCTCTCTCCTTCCAACCCATTAAGCATGGTGAGGAGCCGTGTAACTTTGCACATGCTGTGCTGTTCTGTATAAATAGGGACCATCCATCAGAAATATCACAGACAGGAAGTCAATGAGGTTTCCACAACCAATTTACAATCAGAATCTCCTGTGAAATACACACAGAAAATGCCTTAACAGACAGAGAGGATGTGAAATACACATTATGTATGGCTAATGAAGCCATGTTAAATTTGAGGGACCCAGCACAAGGAAGAAAATGTGGAAAATGTACAAAAGTGAAGGAACAAACAGTGAAGAGTAGGTGGGGTCTCTATTCATATTTAGAAATGAAAAACAACAGCAAAAAAAAAAGGCAAATAGAAACAATGTTCTTTTTTTTTTTTTTTTTTTTTTTTTGCCATTCTGCAAACTCAGCAAACCAGGGGCACTCTTGCAAATAAATGTTCTTGATGCCGAATTTATTACTGCTAAGCTAAAAAAGTATAAAAGATTGAAGATTTCTATTTAGGCAGGAAATAAATTTAACCAAGAAGATGGCAAAGCAGGTTTTTAGAGGCTGGGCTGCCAAGTTGCCTCAACCTTTTCCTGGAAGATTCACTTCCAAACGTAAAATTTTGACTGGAGTTCAGACACACAGTTTCATTTTTAGAAGCTTCAAAACTATCCTTCCAGGCTAAGGAAGAGCTTTTTGCATCATCCCCCTCATAGGCATCCTGATCACACAGGTCCAAGTCATGACCCTCCATAAGGTAGAGATTCAATACAGTTCAATTACTTTAATGAATGACTAGCAGTGTCTTTCTTTCCACATATATTGATGCAAAGAAAAGAGATGTTCGAATGCTAACAAGATCCTTATCAACATCATCATCATCGTCATCCCAGTGAATATTTAATGACAGCTGGTTTTAATGCTAGAATCTCAAGATTATCACAAGAATTGATTTCATACAGGGTGAGTACTATTGCATGCCCACTTTACAGATGGATAAAATCTAGGCATAGAGCCAGGGTCCCCAACCCCAGGGCTGCAAACCGGGTACTCTTCCATGGCCTGTTAGGAACTGGGCTTCACAGCAGAAGGTAAGCTGCGATTGAGCATTGCTGCCTGAGCTCTGCCTCCTGTCAGATCACCGGCAGCATTAGATTCTCAAAGAAGTGTGAACCCTATTGTGAACTGCCCATGCAAAGGATCTAGGTTGCACACTCCTTACGAGATTCTAATGCCTGATGATCTGATGTGGAACAGTTTCATCCCGAAACCATACCCCAACCCCTCCATGGTCCATGGAAAAATTGTCTTCCACGAAACCAGTCCCTGGTGCTAAAAAGGTTGGAGACCACTGGCTTAGAGAGATTATCAGTAAAGTGATAGACTCAGGATTCCAGCACCTACTTTCTAATGCTAGACGACCAAGAACTGTGGTCAATGGACCTTCTGCCATTAATCAAGGGCATTTATAAACCCCTTACATGGGTTATTTGTCCATTTTCTTCTCAAGTGTCTCTGAAACAGAAAAATCTCTCCTTCTTAGCCTATTCTTGCAATCAATGTCCCTCCCAGTGAAGAATGAGTCAATCAAATAAACTTTTTCCACATGTAGAACACTGATAATAATAGCTAACTTTACTGGGTGCATGCCAGGCATGGTGCTAATCATTTTATGTGGGTTATCTCACTCATTTAGCACACTGGCCCTGTGAAGAACCTGCCATTATTAACCAACATTTTACAAATGAGGAAACAAATTTTGCATACTCCCAAAGTACCCACATTCCATACATGGCAGAGCTGGAATTACTCACTCCCTTGGCAATCTCATCCAGAGTTTTAAACACCATCTACAGGCTGGCAATTCCCAAATTTGTTTCTCTATTCCAGACTCATCCCTCTAAATCCTTAATACTATAGCTGATGTCTAACAGGTATCTCAAACTTAACAGTTCCAAAGCAGGATTCTTACAACCCTCTTACTTTGTCCAACCCACAGACAACAAATCTGCCCCCCACCATAGTCTCTTCTTCTTGGTGTATAGCAACTATATCCTTGGAATTGCTGGAGACAAAAATTTTGAGATCATCCTGAATTCCCCTCTTTCTTTCACATCTCACACATCACTCATCAATAAGCCCGTTAGCCTCTATCTTCAAAATATAATCATAATTGGATCATTTCTTAGCATTGTACTGCTGTCACCCTGCACCAAGAAACCACTAAGGATTACAATAGCCTCTGAATTGACCTTATTGTTCTGCCATTCCTCGTTCCCCAAGTCTGCCCTCAAGAGAGTAACTAGAGAGTGGTAGCTGACTACACTAATTTTCCCCAATGAACCATGCCTTCTGGTATCCACACCCACATGTTGTCTCACACTGACTCTGGGCTGACTCTGTGACTTAGCACATATGAGGCAAACAGAAGGTTAAGGAGTGCTTGCTCTCCAGGAATGCTGCCAGCATCACAGAAGCAATCCCAACCTGGTGTAGCCTCCTTGAGGGTGAAAGTCCACATGGAGAGTGGGGGCCAGACGTCCGGGCAATTGCAACGGAGTTCGGCCCCTAGCCAGTCCTTCGGCTGATGCAGCCACTTGAGTGTGGTCAGATGAAACCATCACATAACTGCCCAGTCAACCCACAAGACAGGGAGAAAAATAAACCACCGCTGTTCTGAGCCACTGGCAACAACTAATTGACACAGAATCCTTTCAAAACATGCTTGTTTAGTTCATTCCTCTGCTCAAGATCCTCCAATGGCTTCCCATTTAACTCAGAGTAAAAGACAGTTCTAACAACAGCCTCCAACATCCTACACACCCTGTCCTCCTGTCACTTTCTGATATAATCCGCCACCGCTGCCTTCTCCACCCCAACACATTGTCCTCTTCGCTTTTCCTAAAGTTCACCAGGCACAGGATATTCTTTTCCCAGATAATCCCCTGGCCTCTTCTGTTTCCTCCTGATTAGAGGAGTACCCTCTAACAACCTATAGACAGCCCCATGCCTTCCTCCAGCCTCTCTTCCTCCTGCCCTGGGTGCTGTTTCCTGGAGTTCTTGTCACCGCTGCACCCAGTACTTGTTCATCTGGGTGCCTGTCTATTGATTGTTTCTCCAAGTGGAATGTGAGCTCCATGAAGGCAAGGGCTTTGTCTTTGTTCTCTTCTGTATCCTCAGCCCAGAACGATGTCTTAATCCTGGTAATGGTCAATGAATATTTGCTGAAGAAAAATAAATGAATGAATAAACTCATTTATGAGTTCAAATGAGTGAACTCAAAATGAATGAATGAACTCAATCTAACACACATCCTTACTCCACACCCAAAGGACCACTCAAAACTATTCTACCGTCCATGTTATCGTTACTCAAGCTTAAATTGAACATGCTCACAAGATCCATAGTGAAGTGAAGGAGTCATGCCCTTGAGAAACCCATAATCTAGACCAGCATGAAAGTAGGACACGTAAATACTCCCAGGATGGTCTGTAGGATGCTACGGCAAGAAACATAATGGAATATTTAGAAATATTCAAATATTTGGAATATTTGAGAAATATTTTCCCCAGTATTAGGAAACAAAAACCTAGTCTTTAAATTACAGCACCCTAAAATCATAAAGTATTAAGCAAAAGTAAAAATGTTTAGAATGATTCTTTTAAAGCTATCTCAGAGATCAGTCCTCATTCTCCAATTCCCCACAAGTAAGCAGTTTTGTTTTCAAAGCCCATGAATATCCCCTTAATAGATTTGTGTGCCTCCAAACACAGGAAATGTGAGCAGGAGTGTTTTGTCACCAAAGATGAAAAGTCAATTTCACATCACAGCAAGAAAATCATTTTCCAAGAAGTTACACAAGTCAACAAACAACAATATTCAAACCTCTGGCACTGGCCTTGTCCAAGGAAATAACACTTAAATTTAAGGAGAGAAACAACCCAAAGAGATTGGGGTGAAGTCACCTGTCTAGAAATTGACAAGATCGGTGACAAAACGTAAAAGCCAAGTTCTCAAGCTTTGCAAGGTTAACAGAAATGTCTGTATAGATTGCAAACTGTAGGCCACTGGATGCTGTAACTTCTCCAAAATGCATAAAAATCCTGTCAATTATAAGCTAGTGAGCTTGACTTCCATCATAAAAACTGTCAGATGAAAATGAGAAACTTCTTTACAAGCCCAGTATTAAATATGACTTGTCAAATCAGTTGTGTCCTGAGCTTGCTGATGGCAATGACCTCATGGCCCTGCAGTTTGCCATGTGTAAGCTCAATAAGGCTCCACTCCAGCAATGCAAAAACCTAATTGTGGAGAGCTGCAGTAGAACATGTTTGATGGTTTTGCCTTCCTCACATATCTCTCCTGGAGAAAGAGGGTTTCCTTCACTCTGCCCTGTCAGCAACTGTGCTTCACTTGCGGGTCCCCAGTGGGCATGTAGCCTAGCCCATCCAATCTGAAAATTGCACCTGCCAGCAATAGGAATTGCTTTGGTTTTGATCACAGGACTCAAATCCACCCAGTGAAGTTAATCCTGATACTTGGTGGAACTACTGAGAAAGAGGCTCTCTTTTACCTGTAAATCACTAAACTGATTAAATATAACCAGGAGCTTCTCTGAGCCAGTACAAGAAAAGAAGGTGCTTAAGAATAAAGACAACACAGAGGGAGGCAGAGCTGAGAGATGGAGCAAGAGGGACTGAGGACAGATCCATAATTTTCTGATTCTGCCTTAACTGAAGTTAGCTCTAACCCCAGTTCTTTGCCATCAGTGAGTAAACTACCCCCTTTTTCGTTAACCTGGTTTGATCAGCCTCCTACTTAATGTTAGTGCTGGGCACTTTGCCCCTCAACCAGCACCTCCCCCTATTGATTCAAATCTTCAGGCTCATCCTTGATGTAGCCCAGGAACGAGCCTGCTCTTCCCTAGGCTAGCAGGGGAATCAGGGAATGAGAATTCAAAATCTCCAATAACCTCACTTTACATATTGCTGATCCCAGCCTGGACCTGTTTCAATAACTGAAATTTAGCCTTGCTCTTATAAACACCCGGACTCCAGTTTCAGGTCCCGGGATCCTGTCTCACTAATCCTGTGCTTGAAAGTTCACCTTCAATAAATTTTTGCCCAGACACAATTCATCCATCTTTGATTTCAAATCGCCCAGAAAGTGTCTAGGATGTAATAGAGGTCTATTAGATGCTTGAGACATGTAATAACTACCTAATTGAATATTTTGAGCAGATGGTATTGTTTCCTGCCCAAAGCCCCCTTATCCAGCTGTTAGTGTTGCTGCTAGTGGCTCGGGCTGCACCCTTCTCTGAAGGCTATCCCTTGGCTTACCCATCATAGCAATTCCCCTGGAAATGCCTGGAGGGTACACTTTCTGCCACAGCATAGAACATCTCATAGGCAATGGCTGATTGGCAGTGAACTTTTTTAAAAAATAAATCTTATTGCATATATTTAAGGCATACAACATGATGTGAGATACATATATATAATAAAATAGTTACTAGAGTAAGACAAATTAACATAGCCATAATCTCACATAGTTACCCATTTTCTTTTCCCTGTGGCAAGAGCAGCTATAATCTACTCATTTACCAAGAATCCTGACTACATGACACTGTTATTACCTACAGTCCTCCTGTTGTACATTAGGCCTTTAGATTTGTTCATCCTACATGTCTGCCATTGTATATCCTTTGAAAAGTATCTCCCCATTTTCTCCTTCCCACCCTGACCCTGGTCATACCATTCTACTCTCTCTCTTTGCATATATGATCTTTCATATATGTATTCCACATATAAGTGAGATCATGCAATATTTTTCTCTCTGTGTCTGGCTTTTTTCACTTAGCAAAGTGTCCTCCTCCAGGTCCATCTATGGGTCAAACGGCAGGATCGCCACCTTTTTAAAAACTGAATAATATTATATATAAATAAATATATATATTCACAGTGTTATTTTTGTTTTTGTTGTTGTTTTTGAGACGGAGTCTCCCCTCTGTTGCCCAGGCTGGAGCGCAGTGGTTCGATCTTGACTCAGTGCAACCTCCGCCTCCTGGATTCAAGTAATTCTACTGCCTCAGCCTCCCGAGTAGCTGGGATTACATGCATGCACCACCATACTTGGCTAATTTTTGTGTTTTTTTTTATTAATAGAGATGGGGTTTGCACCATGTTAGCCATGCCGGTCTGGAACTCCTGACCTCAAATGATCCACCCCCTTCGACCTCCCAAGGTGCTGGGATTACAGGCATGAGCCACTGCGCCCGGCCTATTCACAGCTTCTTTATCCATTTCTTCGCTATTGTGATTAATGCTGCAATGAACATGGGCACATGAAAGTCCAGATATCTTTATGAGATAATCATTTCATTTCCTTTGAGCATATATATCTAGAAGAGAGACTGCTGGGTTATATGGTAACTTTTTCTTTGGGTAAGACAACTGCTGTGCGCAACTCACACTCCTGAGCCTTCAGTGGGATCTGCCCAAGGCCAACTTCCCCAGAAGCCTAGCTTTCTTTCCTACCTTCTTTTCTTGACTCATCCTGCTTCCCTTCCTCCCTCCTAGGTCTCTTTTGAGTGGTCCCTTAATAAATCACCTGTGTGAGAACTTCTCAGATTCAGCTTCTGGGGAACCTGGATGAGACACTAATGAAGCAGTATCTGTTAATGTTGTGGTTGCACAGAACAAGGAGAGGTCACATCACACTTCACGGGACAGTTGTCATTTGATATAGATGTTGAAGCATGAATAGGATTTCACAGGTGGAGGTGAGGAGAAGGTGCGACATTGCAAAAGGAACTGGTTGAGGAAAGGCCCAGAGACAGATCAGTGTAGCAGAAACATTAAGTGTACATGAAAGAATGAGAAGCCAAGAGGACATTTTTCATTTCCTGTTTTTACCTTCCATAAGTGCCCCTCCATAGTGTTGTGGCTGGTCATACATTGAAAGTTCAGTAGAGTCACGATTTTCATCCTATGCTGTTTGTTAGTGTCCAGAACCCAGAAGAGCCAGCTGGAAGAATACGTGAATCAGTGCCAGACTGAACGTATGGGCTGAGGAGGGATGCCAAAGCTTTACACTCAATAGAGAAAGGGAAATAATCCTCCCAATGTATTTATATTCACTGGAATACTCCTAGGGAGAAAGAATTTCAGTGGCTAATTCCAAAAAGGAGAACTGAAGAGTAAAGGCTTTGTAATGGGATGAGAGAAATTGGAGATGCAGTAAACAGCAGATCAACTAACAGGGAAGGGGCCTGGACATGTTTGGGATCGTGTCTATGAGAAATCATATTTATTACTCATTACAATCTTAGGAGAATGTTGTCCAGAAGCTGAGGATGAGAGATAAGCAGCAAGCCAGTGCATTATCAGGGTGGGCAAAGGCTTTACCAATCAACTCCCAAAGCTTGCTTCTTCTTTGTCAAACAGTTCAAAACGAACACTCCTGAGCAGATAAATACTTTTCTTCATCATGTGAGAAAGGAAGGGTAGATCCTAGGAACTGTTTAGGTTAAATAAGTGTTGGAAAAGCAGAACTGTATAGAGGATAGGGCTGGTCTCTTCGGTGCCTGCCGTGGAAACAGAGTTTAACAACCAAGTGACTAAGAAAAGAACCAACTTCACAGACTCCAAACTTCCCTCCCTGAGAGGCGAAACCCCCACGTGGCCTGCATATGTATAATGCAATGCTCTAATGAGGCAAAATTCCAGTGATAATAAACATGGGTTGGGCACAGTGGCTCATGCCTGTAATCCCAGCACTTTGGGAAGCCAAGCCAGGAGGATCACTTGAGCCCAGGAGTTTGAGACCAGCCTAAGCAGCTTGGCAAGACACTCATCTCTACAAAAAATAAAAAATTAGCCAGGCATGGTGGTGTGAGCCTATAGTCCCAGCTACATGGGAGGCTGGGATGGGAGGATCACTTGAGCCCAGGAGACGGAGGCTGCAGTAAGCCATGAGCCAGGATCATTCCACTGTACTCCAGCATGGCCAACAGAGTGAGACTCTGTTTCAAAATTAAAATTAAAATTAAAACATGAATGAAGAGAGGGAAACACCCTGGTTGCAAGAAGCTAGACAATCGAGAATTTCAAAGTGATATTTTATTGTACTTGGCATAGTCTCACTGCCCACTGCAAAAAGTGGATTGTAATAAATACTTATTTTATTAAGCTAACTTTCTCTTGCTCTAAGCATTTGACCTTGTTAGGCTCTAGGTCTCTCATCTGTAAAATGTACCTATAATTGCCATCATGCCTTGCTTCACAGGATTGTGTTAAGTGAGATAATTCACCAGAGTTTTCTTTGTAAACCCTCAGGCACCATGCAAACATATTCACCTTCTCTAAAAGCAACAACCCAGCAATATTAAGATGTTAATTATTTTGCATTGGTTGTAATTAAGAGGAAGGTCAAAATGGTGACTTAATAAAAGTGCCAAGAACACAAGAGATAGAAAAGGAAAACTGCTTTTTATGAGAAATAGCATTAACCTATGGCAATCTCATTTTATTGTGTGCTTTCCATGCTCTATTCCAAGCTTGGGACAATCAGTTTTCTGAGGAAGCAGATGGATGTTGGTGGATATGTGACCTGCCCACAACAACTACACAGTTTTATGGTGCTTTAAAGCATCCCAAAGATCAAAACCAAAAACAAAGTTTCAGAGCTTGTCAAAACTAGTCTAATTAAAGCAGCAAATGTGCTAACTAGCAAATGCGCCTCTGCAGTGAGATAACTCAGGCACTGTCAGCTGCAAAGCATGCTGGAGTCTTGCTGACTTGGGTTGGTGGGAAGAAGAATAAAGCTAAAAATGAAGGATGAGGGATGTGGGATGAAGGGCTTCAGATTCTAAGGGAAGTGGGTTCCAGTGGCCCAAAACAAACCATTCAGGGGTATAGTGTACTAAGTCTTAGTTGGGCCTGGCTGTAGTGCTCCAGAAACTCCAAGCTTGTGGGGGGAGGATATAAGAGCCAATGGAGAGTTCATTTGAAAAGAGGGCCCTAGCCAGTGGTTGGTAGCATTGGTGTCAGTACAGGAGCTTGGTCAAGAGCTGTCCAAGGTGCTGAGAATACAAACATGTATCAAACTCAGTCTTAGTAACCAAGAAACTAACAGGATAGTGGGGAAGACAAAAACATAAGCAGGGTGTTTTGACACAATAATAACAACAGATACCATTTATTGATTCTTTATGCAGTGCCAGGCTGTGTGCTAGGCATTGTTTCAAACATAAATAGACCTTTACACAATCCTTCACATACTGGCCCTACCAACATCTCTAACCTCTTCTAAGTAACATTTATGAAACAATCCCACATTCTCAGGCACACTCCTGAGAATATTATAAAATCTAGCTCAGGAACCATATGAGCACAAGGGTGGTCCCCAGAACTTGTTATAAAACTTGTCCAACCCTCCTGGAAAAAGATTATTGGAGTACTTACTCAAATTGATCTAATAATAGTGCTTTTTTTAAAAAGAAATTGGATTGGAATCCATTATTCTTGCCTCATCCTGTCTCTTAAAGAGAGACAATGTAAGCTAGGGAGTCATTTGTAGTCCTGACGACTGAGAAGCAGGTAAATCAGCCTGCAGTGAGAATTATCCAATAGACACAGAGAAAGAAACAAGAGATAGAAAATGGAAAACCTTTCCGATCTCTTATAGTTCTACAAACACTAATTTGGGCTCCTACCAGAGGTCCAGCTGTATTCCTCCTTTGGAACCCATGACATGGCCATGAAACTTGATGACAAATGTCCCCATGTGGTTAAGTTGCTTAGGTAAGCCTCTTTTCTTGCAACAAAGAGTCATGACTCTGCATCACCCAAGGACACCTAGACTGTAATCCAGGATTCAAAGCATAGTTACTACCATACATTTTAACTTCTTCCACTTCCTCTTCTGATAATTTCCCTGCACACCCTTATTCTATGCTCCAGCCATACCAAACAACTGGCAATTATGTAAACCTTCCCTACATTCTATTATCTACCTTCCACTGCAAATGTTGCTCTCTCTGCCTACATAAAGTTTCCTTCCTTTCTTGCACTGGTGCACTCATATTTAACATGCAGGACTCAGTCAAAAGCATTTCTAAGGCTCAAATGTGATGTTTTGTCTCCCAGTCACATCCCCATGTCAGTACTCCTGGCTTTTCCAGTATTCCAGGCTGCTGCCAGGTTCAGTGTCTTCTCTGCACACAGCATTAACCAGTCTGTCTTCCCCAACACATGCAGCAGCAAGGACCATGCCTTTTCTCTCTTTGTCAAGACTGTCTGGCATAGCACAGATATACAAGCATTTAGAAACACAAGCAGTATTCATTGTGGGGATGAACAATTAAAATTAACATTTTTTGTTTTACACACTTCTTCCAGTACAATGAAAGATGGTTGAAACTTGGTTCAGGTAAGAAAAAAATACTGACTGAGTTTCTTTAGATAAATCTCATGCCATCATGGGATAATAGGATTCAAAAGAACTACAGAGGCTAGCTACATGGTCTTTATTGCTGAATAAATTACCCCCTAACTGGTCTGCCTGAATCTTCTTTTGTCCCATCACCATTCACTCTCCACACAGGAGCCAGAATGATCTTGCTGGGAAATGCAAATCAGACTGTAACCCTACTTAGTTTAAAACCCTTCAGTAACTTTCTATTGACTCCAGAATGAAGTGCAAACATTTTGCCATAGTCTATAAGACCCTACACAGTCTAGCCCAAGTGTACCCCTCTTATGCCATTTCTTCTCCCTCAGTTTATTTCTAGAACTATTACTAATCTTTCATTCCAACTTGCCAAGTTTGCTTCTTCTTTAGAGACATTGCATTGTTTTTTTCTCTCAACTGGAACAATCAGCTTCTACATTTTCAGATGGCTAAATTTTAATTCAAATAATACCTCTCTTAGAGTCCTCCCTCTTCCTCAGTCTAAAGTAGCTTCCTCCCTCCCCACACCACTTCCTACATCACTACTCTCTTCTATTATTTGCACACCTATCACATCTTTATCATATTTGTTGGTTTGTACCTGTACTTACTCTCTTTTCTAGAATATAAACTCTTTGATGGCAGAGACCATGACTATTTTGTTCATTGGTCTATCCCAGTACCTAGAATACTTTCTGACAAATACTGTATGTTCTCAATAAACAAATATAAATGGAATCACTGGATGAGTTCAAGTGCTGGCTTTTATTATTTGGATGACCTTTGGAAAAATCACACGTTTTCTCTGAGTTTTTGTTTCCTCATCTATTATTTAAAAAATTAAGAACCCTAATAAAAAATACCTTACCTAACTTCAGAGTGGCATGGTTCCATGATGGTGAGCCATTAGTGGATATTAGAATAAAGGGAACTTGCCCTTGAGTAACTTTTTAAATGACATATCCTTAATGCAAATACTAAAGTTGTACAAGTCTGATGTCAAGACTGCTCATCATAAACCCAGCTGAGTATGTTTAGCTGGAGTAAAAATGAAACCTAATCATTCACTTAATAATCATCTCAGTATTTCTAGAATATTCATCCTGTCCATTTTATAGCCTGCAAATTGCATCATAAAATTCACAAACACGTATGATCTGCTCTTGCATTAATCTCTGCCTGCCAGCCTATGTGGAGAGGAGGCATCTGAGTTTATCTAACATTAGTGATGGCATCAGCTGTTGGTCCCATGGCCCCAGCTCGGCAGCTCTCAAAAGCAGAAAGGATAAAAGTTTGAGCCTGACTAGAACTAGACCATCATTTATCCTCCACCCTATTTCCCAAGCAGTCAACTGGACTTTCAGAGAAAATTACTGTCAAAGTCACAATTCTCCCCAACATTTAATGGTGGCAGTATGGAAAGAGATTAATGGACCACAGCCAAGAATGCCTCATCCCTTATCATACATATTTCCTCAAGCAATTTACTTAACTTGTTTAAATCTAGTTTAGCTAATTCCACATTACACATTTTTCTTGTAGTTTTGTTTTTTGTTTGTTTTTGTTTTTGTTCTTTTTTTGAGATGGAATCATGCTCTGTTACCCAGGCTGGGGTGCAGTGGCATGATCTTGGCTCACTGCAACCTCTGCCTCCTGGGTTCAAGCGATTCTCTTGCCTCAGCCTCCTAAGTAGCTGGGATTACATGCATGCACCAACATACCCAGCTAATTTTTATATTTTTAGAGACAGGGTTTCACCATGTTGGCCAGGCTGGTTTCAAACTCCTGGCCTCAAGTGATCCGCCCACCTTGGCCTCCCAAAATGCTGGGATGACAGGCATGAGACACCATACCGGGCCGCTTGTAACATTTTTAAATTATTACTCCACTGTCTTCTTGACTCAACTGTTACTGTTGTGAAGTCTAATGCCGAGATGATTTGTGTTCTTTAGTGGGTAATTTCTCTCTCTCTCTCTCTCTCTCTCTCTCTCTCTCTTTCTCTCAGCTTTTCAAGAAGCAAGAGTCCCTGGTGGTTAAAATCCCAGACACTGGAGCAAGAGATTGCTGGCTTCAGGTCTCAGCTGCCACATGTCCTGGCTATAAGATCTGGGGCAAGTTATTTAGACTCCCTGTCCTTCAATGTCCTCATGTGTAAAATGGGGATAATATGAGTGGTCACATCTTAAGACTGCTCTAAGGGCTAAATAAGTTCACCCATGTGAAGTGCTTAAGACAGTGACTGCCAGCAGCACTGGATAAATGTTATCTGTTATCATCTTTGGATTTTCTCTTTTTCTTTGATAGACTTAAATCTTTCTCTAATATGTAAAAAGTGTCTGTTTCTCTTTGTCCACCCTGTCTTGCACTCAATAAAGCTTTTCAATCAAGAGAGGGTTTTTGTTGTTGTTGTTTGACAGAAGTTTCACTCTTGTTGGCCAGGCTGGAGTACAATGGTGCGATCTCGGTTCACTGCAACCTCTGCCTCCCAGGTTCAAGCTATTCTCCTGCCTCAGCCTCCCGAGTAGCTGGGATTACAGGCACATTCCACCATGCCTGGCTAATTTTTGTATTTTTCATAGAAACAGGGTTTTCACCATGTTGTTCAGGCTGGTCTCGAACTCCTGATTCAGGTGATCCACCTGCCTCAGCCTCCCAAAGTGCTGGGATTACAGGCATGAGCCTTGGCCTCCCAGAGTGCTAGGATTCCAGGCGCCCAGCTGGTTTTTTTAAATTTAAAATTTTTCTTTAGAGACAAGCTTTCACTATGTTGCCCTGGCTGGCCTTGAATTCCTGGGCTCATGTGATTCTCCTGCCTCAGCCTCCTGAGTAGCTGGAACAACAGGAACATGCCATATTGCACATAATTATAATCAAGAGTTGTGATCATTCTTTAATTCTGAATAATTCTAAGTCATTTTTTCCTCCACTACTCTCTCCCTTCCATTGATTTTTGCCTTTCCTTCCAGGACTTCCAGTATAAGATGATGAACATTTCTCCAACTCATTACTCCTTCTTGATGCCTTTGGGAGAGTTCCTCAAACTGGCTTTCTAGGTAATTTGTTCTTTGGCCACAGGCATTCTGCCATGTAGCCTATCTATTGTGTTCTTTATTTTCACATAATATTTTTTCCCACCATACATTTCAATTTGACTCTGTTTTATTAACTCCTTGCTCCTGCTTCCTATCCTGTCTTATCTCTGTGGGAAAATTTATTATGCTTCTTTTGAATTTATGACCTATCTAGACCATTAATTTTTATTTGTATATTATAGCTGAATCTCATTATCTTGTCTTTCTTTTATAGTGACTGTGTCCCTCAGGTGTGTGGTTAGTTTTTTCTGTGACATTATTTTCCCCTGGAGAGTATCAGGCACCAATTGATGCCATTCATAGTAAAGGGCTATTAGGGGTATTAGATAACACTACCCACACAATTGTAGAGTGTTCTGCATTATGAAATTTTGTTTCTCACCACAATTTGTTGTGTCCAATTGTTGTGTCCCATAGTGACATCATCCTTCTCTTTGGGGACTAAGATTTCTAGACGATCAGATGCCTAAATTCTTGAGATGGAAAGCAAAATCTCTGCAAGTGGATTATTAACATAGAGGTTGCAGTCTCAATTTCACCCCTTCATTTCTAAACCCATGTATTCTGGCTATGGAAAAGATATGTAACCGTCTCTGATTCAAAACATACATGGCCAAACATACATTGCATCCTGTAATACAAAATCCCAAATTTTAAAGATGTACTTACAGTTGTCTCCTAACTCATTACTCCAGGGAATAGTTGTCTCCTAACTGTAAGTACATCTTTAGTAAGCCATTAGCATTTTGATTAGATCAGAGACTTCTGGCTGAGTGTAATACCTCTGGCTGGTAGTAATACCTGATCATATCATGGTTATAAGTGCATTGTTGCACATTTTTTGGCTAGGAAATGTGTTCCTGGGTTAGAAACAATTCTATGCAGAATGGCATGATACTGGACAAGGCATTCTATGAGTGTGAGGGTGGTGATGTTAGCACAAACACTGTGAGCAAGAAAGGTAAATCTATACCCAGAATATGTTTATTTCAGCGCAGATAAATCTTTATCCTCTTTATGATGGAAGAGGTTCAACGCAATAAACAAACTGCCTGGTGGCTGGCTGATCCTCCAGGGAATGGTGCAATGTCAGTGCTTATTGCTGCTTTCCACATTTGGAAGACTAGGCACTTAGCAGTAGTGTTAGCCAGGTCAGTCTTGGCAATAGCAGGTCCATGGTGCTGAGCTCACAAGTTGAGGGAAAGGAGGCAATGCAACAGTGTAGAAGGAGTCAAAGCCATCTGCTCATGCAGCTTATTTGTACCTTCCAAACCTGGCCAAGCTGTCTCATACATATCATTTTCACCAGATGATATATCACCGCTATGTACTCCCACAGTGTGTCAGAAACACTCAATACATGATGTGAAACTCAGCCCACATGGTCTCCGGGTGTTTCATGGTTAGGCAATCACAAGGACCAGGAGCAAGCCAGAATATATCTCTCAAAAGAAAAATAGTTACTTTCAGAAAAGGGAATGGATTTGCTCCAAAGCCCTAGAGGTCTGCACTGCAATTCTTTTGTTGTTGTGGTCCAGAGGCTTCATACAGTCTCCCTATTTTCACTGGCACTCTAAGTATCATTGTATCTGCTAGATCATGAGACCCCAGTGACAGAGAAAGTTGCACTGTAGCCTACCTTACTGCAAGAGGCTTCTCTTGTCCTGGTCTCCAGTTGAAAATGGCAGCCTTGCAATAACTCTCGATGTGTCAAAGTCGCACACTCAACTGTATTATATGTTGCCTCCAAAATCCAAAAAGACCTAACTTGCTTTTAAAAAATTTTTTTTCCAAGGTAGGTATTGTGTGGTACAGCAAAATGGCTCTCATCTTGGAGGTGATATCTCAGCATTCTCTTTCTTCTGCTTTTTATTTTTTTTTCAAATCCTTGTGTCGAGGGCTGATGATATCTTAGCATTCTCAAGACCATGGAATAACATTCTTAAGTTCATTGTAGATTCTGGATATTAGCCCTTTGTCAGATGAGTAGGTTGCGAAAATTTTCTCCCATGTTGTAGGTTGCCTGTTCACTCTGATGGTAGTTTCTTTTGCTGTGCAGAAGCTCTTTAGTTTAATTAGATCCCATTTGTCAATTTTGGCTTTTGTTGCCATTGCTTTTGGTGTTTTGGACATGAAGTCCTTGCCCACGCCTATGTCCTGAATGGTAATGCCTAGGTTTTCTTCTAGGGTTTTTATGGTTTTAGGTCTAACGTTTAAATCTTTAATCCATCTTGAATTGATTTTTGTATAAGGTGTAAGGAAGGGATCCAGTTTCAGCTTTCTACATATGGCTAGCCAGTTTTCCCAGCACCATTTATTAAATAGGGAATCCTTTCCCCATTGCTTGTTTTTCTCAGGTTTGTCAAAGATCAGATAGTTGTAGATATGCGGCATTATTTCTGAGGGCTCTGTTCTGTTCCATTGATCTATATCTCTGTTTTGGTACCAGTACCATGCTGTTTTGGTTACTGTAGACAAATTTACAAGAAAAAAACAAACAACCCCATCAAAAAGTGGGCGAAGGACATGAAGAGACACTTCTCAAAAGAAGACATTTATGCAGCCAAAAAACACATGAAGAAATGCTCATCCTCACTGGCCATCAGAGAAATGCAAATCAAAACCACTATGAGATACCATCTCACACCAGTTAGAATGGCAATCATTAAAAAGTCAGGAAACAACAGGTGCTGGAGAGGATGTGGAGAAATAGGAACACTTTTACACTGTTGGTGGGACTGTAAACTAGTTCAACCATTGTGGAAGTCAGTGTGGTGATTCCTCAGGGATCTAGAACTAGAAATACCATTTGACCCAGCCATCCCATACTGGGTATATACCCAAAGGACTATAAATCATGCTGCTATAAAGACACATGCACACGTATGTTTATTGCGGCACTATTCACAATAGCAAAGACTTGGAACCAACCCAAATGTCCAACAATGATAGACTGGATTAAGAAAAGGTGGCACATATACACCATGGAATACTATGCAGCCATAAAAAATGATGAGTTCATATCCTTTGTAGGGACATGGATGAAATTGGAAACCATCATTCTCAGTAAACTATCGCAAGAACAAAAAACCAAACACCGCATATTCTCACTCATAGGTGGGAATTGAACAATGAGATCACATGGACACAGGAAGGGGAATATCACACTCTGGGGACTGTGGTGGGGTCAGGGGAGGGGGGAGGGATAGCATTGGGAGATATACCTAATGCTAGATGACACATTAGTGGGTGCAGCGCACCAGCATGGCACATGTATACATATGTAACTAACCTGCACAATGTGCACATGTACCCTAAAACTTAGAGTATAATAAAAAAAAAAAGCAGAAAAAAAAAAGAAAAAAAAAAAAACATTCTTAAGAAACTCATCTGAGGTAGAAGGACTTCAGTTTTTGTAGAAAGCTTATCCTCTACCCTCTAATTCACTCACATCTCTCTAGGGCATCAAAAATGCTTGCTACTCAATGGGGAAATTATTCCCTATTCAATAAATGGTGCTTGGAGAACTACCCAGCCATATGCAGAAGATTGAAACTGGACTCTTTCCTTATAACATATACAACAATTAAGATGGATTAAAAACTTAAATGTAAAACCCAAAACTATAAAAAAAAAAAAAAAACCTTGAAGACAACCTAGGCAATACCATTCAGGACATAGGCAGAGGCAAATATTTAATTATGAAGAGTCCAAAAGTAATTGCAACAAAAGCAAAAATTGACAATTGGGATCTAATTAAAGAGCTTCTGCACAACGAAAAGAAATGACCAACAAGGTAAACAGATGACCCGCAGAATGAGAAAAAAATTTTTGCAAACTATGCTTCTGGCAAAGGTCTAATATCCAGCATCTGTGAGGAACTTAAATGAATTCACAATGAAAAAAAAAAACATAAAAAGTGGGCAAAGGACATAAATAGACACTTTTAAAAAGAAGACACACATGTGGACAATAATAACATGAGAAAAATCTCAACATCACTGATCATTAGAGATATCTAAATCAAAACCACAATGAGATACCATCTAACACCAGTCAGAATAGCTATTGCTAAAAAGTTAAAAAAAAAAAAAAATAGGCCAGGTGTGGTGGCTAATGCCTGTAATCCCAGCACTTTGGGAGGCCAAGGCAGGTGGATAACCTGAGGTTAGGAGTTTGAGACCAGCCTGGCCAACACAGTGAAACGTCATCTCTACTGAAAACACAAAAATTAGCCGGATGTGGTGGCAGGTGCCTATAGTCCCAGCTACTCAAGAGGCTGAGGCAAGAGAATCGCTTAAACCTGGGAGACGGAGGTTGCAGTGGGCCTGAGATCACGCCACTGCACTCCAGCCTGGCTGACACAGGAGACTCTGTCTCAAATAAATAAATAAAAGTCAATAAATAACAGATGCTGGCAAGATTGTGGAGTAAAAGGAATGCTTATACACTGCTGGTGGGAGTGTAAATTAGTTCAGCTATTGTAGAAGACAGTGTGGTGATTCCTCAAAGACCTAAAGACAGAACTACCATTCAACCCTGCAATCCCATTTGGGTATATACCTAAGGAATATAAATCATTGAATGATTGAATGAATATAAATCATTCTATTATAAAGACACATGCATAGGTTTATTGCAGCATTACTCATAATAACAAGACATGGAATCAACCTAAATGCCCATCAGTGAGGTTGGATAAAGAAAAGATGGTACATATACACCATGGAATACTATGCAGCCACAAAAAAGAACAAGATCACGTCCTTTGCAGGGACATGGATGGAGCTGGAGGCCATTATCCTTAGCAAACTAACACAGGAATAGAAAATCAAACACTGCACGTTCTCACTCATAAGTGAGAGCTAAATGATGAAAACACATGGACATATAGAGGGGAACAACACACACTGGGGCCTTTTGGAGGATGGACAGTGGGAGGAGGGCAAATCTGTGACAGAGTACTATTGGTCCTGCCATGTATAAGCAGGCTGCTTCTCGTGGTCTTAAAAATTGGTATGGAAAAAAAACAAGCTAGGTCAATAGCTCCATAATGAGTGTAAGGGGTCATGTTAATTTGCTCTAGTGAAGATACTACATCTGGAACAGTAACTGCAATTAGAGTCCAATATAGTTAAGTTTATGATAGTCTACAGGCATTCTCTAATATTTGTCTGACTTTTGGATAGACTAAACTGGTCAGTTATGTGGAACAGTGATAGCTATCAGCACTTCTGTGCCTTTCAAGACTTTAATGGCGACATTAAACTCTGAAATTTCCACCATGAATAAAGTATTGCTCTGGTTTATAATCTTGATAGAACAGAGCTTGGAAGTTTCTAGGATCTTTACTTAACCCTTCTTACCAGAAAACCCCTCACACCTTGGGTCAGAGGTCCAATACAGGGATTCTTCCAGTTGCTACAAATGTCTATTCCAATTACACTGAAGAATTAGGGACATGACCACAGGGTAGATCCATGAAACAGCTGGACACACTGTGAACTGGATGTGAGTTAATACTTCATCATCTGACTGCTATAAATCCCCACTGTGACTGGTGGGCCACAGTAACATTTGGGGTTCTCAGAAGTTACTGTAAATTCAGAGCCAAAGCCTCAAATCCTCAAATGATCTGGGCAGTCTTTTTTCTCAGTGTATAGTCACCCTGGTAAATAAATAGGCATACATTCCTTTGAAGAAGGCTTGGAGGAAGATTCACATTATGTACCTGTGGCATTGTTGCAGAATCCTTCCTCAAAATGATCTGGTGTCCCCTTTATTCAAGATGCTTTAGATCTGTGAACTGTCTTAACCTGGAACCTCGGTGAAAAGCCATAACTCTCTACCATGACAACTCAAAATTAGGTTATTGGCTATCAGACCTAGAATTTTGAGTTTCAGGGTTTGTGTGTGTTTCTTTTATATAGATCCTGCAGTACTCTAGTATCCTGGCCATTTATTTCATTCCTAGATTTTTAGGAAGATGATGATCAATTAACAATGCCCAGTGGTACCTACAGGCCAAGACTTTGTGAATATCAGTGTTGCCTTTATGGTAAATGCACCCATCTTATTTTTCTTTCCAGGAAGTGCTCTTGACTTCTACTACTCCAGATTCCTATAATCTGAAATGAAATCAAAGAGTCCATCTCAATAGGATTCCCCTATTATCACACTTGGCCTACTAAGAAGAAAAATTAGAGATTTTTAAGGAGATAGGTGCTCCCCTCAACACCTTAGTTAAGGGGAATGCCTTCATACCACAACTGTGCCACATAGTTGGAGGTGAGTACACAGGCCACACATGATACTTCTACTCCAATATTTATTTTTTCCTAATCCTTTGTTTTCTCTTCCATATCATGTCAGGGAAACTCTGGCATCTCAATGTCATTAAATATATCCCACCATTAAGTCTAAGTTGCAGTCAACCAATCAGTAAGCTGTCAGAGCCATTTCCTGCTTCATGAATAATACATTAAATTCAGAATCTTCAGAAAGCGTACCCATATCTATTAGTTCAGTCTAACATAGTGTTATATTCTGTTTTCCTTGATTTAACATCCTTAGAATCCACTCTCACTATATTGGCAATGTTTTCTAATTCATTTTGTACATAAGCTATTTTGTCCTGAGTCATAGAGTGCATCTGCCCTCCAAAACATAACTTAATATTATTTTCGGTCTACTAGAAATAAGTAATTGCCATTGTGGGTTTTGAGGAGAATTAGCATCTGTCCTAGGTGAGGTTATCGCTGATTTTCAAGCCACAAAAGACTAATCTTTTCAGACAGTGGAGGGCAAGCTATTTCTACTGGCAAGAGAAGATCAAGTTGACTTGGATTTCAATATGGTCAGTTTCATGTGGGTTCAACCAGATGTCCCCATTCAAAATTTCAGGATCCCATTCTTTTTGTAATTAACTTTCACATGGGAAGCTTGGTAAGACTCATATGATCAATGGATTAAAAGTCCTAATGTAGTTGAGGAATTGTTGCAGTTGCTATAAAAGTGTAAAAGTAAAATGATATGAGGTGGAAATTAAGGAAAACAAATAATTTCTTAAATCCAATTCCAAACCTGAGGAAAAAACTCTGAATGGTCAGCTTGGGTTTGATGGCTGCCCTAGAGAATCAACAATGAAGAAAGAATAAGCAGAGGGTGTCACCGTGTACTGCAAAATGGTTCGTATTTGGTTCAGGTTCAAATTCTCGCTCCACTTCTCTTGCTTTACTACCTCAAGCAAGTTGCTTAACCTCTATGCCTCTTTTACTCATAAATAAAATAGAGATAGTAACAGTACCCACTACATGGGGTTGTGGAGATTAAATCAGTTTATGTATGTAACACACTAATAATTGTGAGTTAAATTAGATAAGCGTGGCTCATCTACCGGTAGCTATATTGTGAACCAAGTGAGAAAACTATTTCTATCAAATGAGCGAGAGCATTTTTAAGGGAAATTGTGAAAAAGGAAGTATCCATGAAGCCCAATTTATACATGAAGAAACTGAGATGCCAAGAGATTTAGCAGCATGGTGGGTAAAGAGTGTAGCTGGAATTCAGGTCCAGGATCCTCTAACACCAAGTATCCACTCAGATTTAACCTCTTTCTTCCTGTATCACTTGTAAGGTAGTTAATAAAGTTAGGGTGTCCAAAAGCTCATGAGCAGCAGAGGCAACATGGGTAGTCTGTGTCAATTATTTAGGAACAATCTCACTGTTCATAATCCTCAGACAATATTTACCTTCCCAAAACTTAAATTTGAATTACAGTACCTTGCATATGGAAGCAAGTCACTGTGTGCAAATGAAGCAGGCCAACTGTCCCCCATCCATGCCTTCCTGTTGCCTTTTCATGTTCCCCTAGACCTAGTAATGCTCAGAAAACACTAACAGCTTTGTTGTAGCAAGGGCTCTGCAAAAGAAGTCAGTAGCCAATGGAATGGAGATGTATGAGGATTTGGATAAGATCTTATGAGAATCTTATGCTGGGACAATGATACCTGGTAGGATTTAGGTCATAACAAAGAACACCCCCAGGACCAGAGGGCACCAGAGCTGCCCAGATCCTGGGGCAAAACTGATCTATGGAGTTGATTGATAATGTATTGATATAGCTAGCACTCACATGTACAGACAGACTCTCTTTAACTGTTCTAGATGTGGGCATTGCAATGAGACTGACTTGGGTTCAGAGCCCTATTCTGCTACCTTATTAATTTTGTAGCCAAGTAATTTAACTGCTTTGCTTCTTTACTTTAAGTCATGCTGTGAGCATTATAAATCAAGCACCTACTATAAGCCAGTCACTGTTGAAAATAATTCAAGAATGGTCCCATCTTCTGGGAGTTCACAGTGGCACAATAGACAATAGACACACAATTATAATAAGGTAATAAGGGCTGTGGAAGAGGTGGATGTGGCTGCTTCATGAGCGTGGGGGTCATGGATGGCTTCTTCATAATCCACATTGCAATCTCTTTTCACATTGATCTCTCAGCCTGAAATCAATTGCTAACTCAAGCTTTCAATAATCATAGCACAGTGTTATTATAGCAGCTATTTTAGGGATACAACATTCAACCCAGAATCTTGTTCACATGCCCTTTCTTTTGTACTTTCCACAAAGGGCTCTGGGAAGCCCTCAAAGGATTGGGTTCTCATTCCTTCTGTATCCCAAAGACCTTCCTTTGACCTTAGTTTCTGCCACAAATTTCATAACCAAAGTGGGATGGATCCTGAGGCATGCTGGACCCTTGGATCCTATGTCCACAGAGTTAGGAGAGAACAGGAAGTTGGCAGGAACAGATCAGGAGATATTGTGCCAGAGGTGGGGGTGGACACAGAGGGGAATGGTCATTAGCAAGGGCCATATAGAGTGTTAAAGGGATACCAGTGAATGAAAATTCAATATGACCTAGGGCCATGCTATGGTCAGGGACACTCCAGACCTTGGAAATAGTCAGAGATGGGCAAAGTGGCAGCACCAGGCAACCAGTTATGCACTGGAAAGTCAGAGATAAAGAGGGGCCTGTTCCTGTCCTCAAGTAGTTGCCAATCTGGAACTGGAGAGAGCAAATGCATGCTTTGCAATATTCTGGTGCCATAATGTCAGTCTTCACAGGCCTAGTTGGGACACAGAGCATAGTGACCTCTTCAGGGGATTGGGGTGAAGGAATATGGTTTTGGGAATGTGACTCTTCTATCTGGCAAAGTCTCCCTCTTACCTCTGTTCAAACCTGTTTGATCCCAGTGATTCAGAACATGAGTTTCACTGTCAGATAATCCTGTTGGCAATGTCAGGAATACCAACATTCCTCCAAATATATTTAACTAGGAACCCTTTGATATATGACACTAATTAACATCCTGTAGAACTAAGGCACCAAGAAAGAGCCTTAAGGAACGTGGCTTTTTGGCATTTCTACAAAATGCAGCCCGTAATAAACATGAACTTATATCAATCACTAATGACTTCAATTAATCAAGGATGAATTAATTTATGCAGATCCAATTGAAAGAAAAGGTCTATAAATTTAACATGAGCTATGCCCCAGCTTATTTATGACCCTTATGATGTGCATGTGGTCATCCTCCTGCCTACAAAGTTTTCTCCACAATCCCCTTCCCAGTCCATGGTTCATCATCCCAAACCCTACTCGTTCTTTAAAGCTCACCCCAAACATCTCATGAGAGCATTCTGATTTCCTCAGGTAGTTCCATGCCTGCCACCTGCCTCCCTCATGCATTATAAGAGTCCAGGAGACATTCTGCACCTCGTACTGAAATAATGAGACTATCTTTCTCACTAGAGAGAGGGGGTTCCTATAGGAAATCTTGAGGCAACCGGTGCCTATAGGGTCTTAAGATGATGCTCTCCAAGTCCAATTTGTTAGAGGATAATAAGATGACAGTAAGGAATTCACAGTCCTGCCACACAAAAGCTGCTACATTTATCTGGGAGCCAACTTACTCATCCCACTTCCCCCACTCTTGCCCTCCTACATTCACCTCCACTTCATTATCCTTACTGCCACCCAGTGCAGCTTTTCTAAAACATATAACTGATCCTGATTACAGTCCTTTAAAATTTCTTTTCCTGCAGATTCAAGCTTAAATTATCTGCCATGACATATAAGGCCATTCACAATTCCAGCCTTTCTCACCATTTCCCAACAAGGGGGCTTTGTTGGAATCCAATTGATATCATCATCCTTCGTTTCTGAACCTAGCACATTTCTACACCCTTGCATATGTTGTATGCAACTCCTCCCCTCAACTCGTCCCAATCAGCCTGACCTGCCTTCTCTCCCTTCAGAGCTCAGCTGATGGTCTGCCCTCCATTCAGCCTGCCCAGGGTTGCCCCAGCTGGGGTAGGTCCCCCTCCTTTAAGCTCTTATGATGCCGTGCATGCCTCCTGCTCAGCTCCTGTAACTGTGCTCTGTCCTGCCTCTGTCTGCAGGACAGTGTGGGCTCCTCAAGGGCACAGCCTTATCTGGTTCGGGCATTTGCCCGGCCCTCATGAGTGCTCAATCAGCAAATGCTGCATGGACAATGAGGGAGATGAATTACAGATAATACCTACTGCCTTTCTCCAAACTGAAGGGTTACCAGTTCTGTCGTTTTAATCTAAAAATGAGAAAGTGTCTGACATAGTAAGAAGACACACTCAAACTTGAGGCAGGGGGATCTTGGACTTGTGATAGAAAAGAACTGGATTCCAGTCCTAGTTGTGTTGCTTGCTCTCTGTGTGACCATGGTCCCATTACTCAGACTCTCAGAGGCAGACAGAGCTGGACTGAGGCCCCTCACAGATAATTTTTAAAATAAAATGATCCAGAAAGACATCCAGGGAAAGGACAATCGCAATACTTAATTTATCTTTGTCTCCCTTATCACAACAAGTACAGGTACCCAGTTGCTACAGTTCTGAATGATTTAATGAATTAATTGACAAGTAAAAATGGATTCCTCCAAGCCTGGAGGTAAACTTTCAAAGGCCAGATTTAAATGTTCCCTTGGTTGTGTTGAAAAAGACAAGTGCCGAAAAACTCAGAGGCTGTATCAATTTAATCTTTCCCCAGAGAAGCGGAAATGGGGAGAAGCCAAAAGGCACTATTTACAGAAAGAGCCCCTATTCTGCTTTAATGCGTTCGTTGCAAACTCAGAACCAGCTGAGGCTTTCGCTGCCCTAGCCTCAGATCACAGGCTCTGACTGTTGGGAACCAGTCCTGGCTTTAATAAAGCGGCATCAGGCAGGATTACATCCTCGACCCAGAAGAGCCTCTCACTGCCTTACAACTGAGGCCAAGCAAACAAAGCCAGCCATCCGTCCGCAGCCTGAATGTGCATCTGGGACATGGAGAAATAACGCAGACCTGATTCTGAGGAGTGCTGGGAGAAGCCCACACTTTAGGGCCAGGCAGTCACTCCAGAATGTTTCATGCAAACATGAGCACTTTGCATGGAGACAACTATAGGGTCATTGGAAAAGGTTGAATTTATTTGGCTAAACTAGTAGGTGTAATACAAGTTAAACCCAGAAGACTAGGAGTTGGAGACAGCTGGGCTGGAATCCCAGCTTGACTGTTGAGGCATGTTGGCAAGTTGCTGAACCTCTCTGAGTCTTTGTTTCCCTATTAGTAAAAGAGGAATAATAAAAAATATCCAGCTTGCAGGGCTGTTGTGAATTGTGAGAATTAGAGAGGACGACACATGTAAAGCAGCCCCATGTCATTAGCCCCAGCCGCCGTCCCTCCAGCTGACTGTGGATGCATGAAAGAGCCAGCCCAGTGTGAGTTCCTTCCACACTGTGGTTCTGGAAGAGGGGTGATGCCATTTTGGCACCTGGAAGACAACAGAACATCCTGCCCACAGCAGGAGCATTGGCATCGTATTTTCATAGCAGGCTCTGGCGATGGAAACCAATGGGCTGAGACCACAGCTAGAGCAGAGTAATGTATGGAACTGTCCTTGAGAACTTGTGAGATCCCCCAGGCCCCTCAGAAACAACTGCAGTGTTTGCTTACATAGGGGTGATGGGGGTGGTGAGCAGTTGAATGTGAGGGGCTGACCTGTGACGCAAGCCCAGCCAAGTGATGCTGGGAGCACAAGGCCCCACTAAGGCACTCCCGCCCTTCTAGGGTTCAGGCAAACTGTGATGATCCCCAATGGCAGCATGTGGGGACAACAGGAAGTCCTCAATGAAGTAGAAATGTGATTTCTCCACGTCTAATTCCTACTAAATGCTCCAAAGGCTATTTATTGATTTTTGTTTTAAGGAATATGAAGCAAACCAATGTGGCTGGAACATACCATGCAATCCATAAAGGTTCCTTGAATGAATTACAGCAGAATATATAATTTCATTACCTCAGGGATGCCATTCAAAAGGACTTTGGAAAACACTTTTATGTAAGTAACCAAAATGATCCAGTATCTATAGAAACAACAGCATCGTACTGTTGAAAATCAGCAGTCACTTCTTAAATGTGCATTATTCCTGGATGTGATCACCTCATATTAACTCATTGAATTAGCTAAAAACCGGAATTATTAAGCATATTATGCAGATGAGGAAGCTGAGACAGATACATGATAAATGCCCAGGTCATCTAGCTGGCGAGTGACAAAATCTGCTGTGGCATATTACGTGCATCTTCTTTGATGGTGATATAGGGAAAACGTGTAAAACTCATTATTCAGGACAAATATTGAGGCAGCTACTCTATACCTTTGTTATTCATTTCAGTATCACAATCAAGAAGTAGTCATTTTTTTCTCTTTTTTTGAGATGGGGTCTCGCTCTGTCACCCAGGCTAGAGTGCAGTGGCGTGATCTCGGCTCACTGCAAGCTCTGCCTCTCAGGTTCAAGCGATTCTCCTGCCTCAACCTCCCAAGTCACTGGGATTGCAGGCGCCTGCCACCCAGCTAATTTTTGTATTTTTAGTAGAAACAGGGTTTCACCATGTTGGCCAGGCTGGTCTCAAACTCCTGACCTCAGGTGATCAGCCTGCCTTGGCCTCCCAAAGTGCTGGGATTACAGGTGTGAGCCACCGTGCCTGGCAGAAGTAGTCATTATTAATCCCACTCTACAGGTGAGGAAACTGAGGTTCAAACCACTGAGTAACCTGCTGAAGGTCACAGTGCTGGCAGATGGCAGATCCAGAGCTGGAGCAATCCAAAGTCTTTGTAGAGCACCTTCCCTCTCCAAGGCAGAGGGTTGGAGCAGGGGATCACAGACCAATCCAAATTGCTTTGTGCTTTGCATACAACTGAATGAAGTAGCAAATAACTAGTTGGCTATGCTTTGGCAGAGAATGAGGCCATCAAATCCTGTCGCCATGTTCAATCATAACTCAAGTAACACAGGAACGCAAGCTCCCAAGGCTAGTGGAGTTAGGAATGAATAGAAACATCATCGTCCCTGGTGTGGACATTGAGCCCACCTTCCCAGGTACAACATTCAGTTTAGCCCTTCCTTCACTTACTTGATGCTCAGAAAATTGCACCCTCTTCTTGAAAATTCCCTGGGAGAATACAATTAATTTCTTGATTAAAATTATTAAATCAAGTGTCATTTGCAGTAGAAACATGCTGAAAAAGAAAATGCACCATATAAATAGGATCAGTGACAGTCTCATGTGCCATCTGAGGAACCACAGTGGAGGGAGCCAGTATCGAATAGAGGACAGATGAGGCCTAGGCCAGAGGTCTGAAGAACTGGGATTAGGAAGCAGCTGTTATTGAGGGGAAAGAACAAGAGTTCTGGAGGCTGAAGGTTCAGGGACAAGTTCCAGCTCCACCCATTACTAACTGTGACACTGGTAAGCCATTTAACCTATCTGTCTGTCTGTCTATCTTTCTTTTTCATTCTTTCTTTCTCCTTTCCTTCCTTCTCTTCTTTTTCTTTCTTTTCTTCCTTTCTTTTCTATTTTTTTTCCTTCTTTCAACAAATATGTTTTGAGCACTTACCATGTACAAGGTACTCATAACTTGGAATAGATCAGTATGCAACATAGGCTATATCAAAATGGGGACGCACACATATAAATAATCACAGATGAATGCAAAATGATATCTCTGATAAGTTCAATGAAGACAGAAGACAACATAAAAGTGTATAATTGGAGCATCTGGCCAAGGCAGTAAAGTCAGGGAATGTTCCCGCAAAGAAGCACAGATAAGCTGAGACGTGAGGAGCGAAAGGAGTTATCGTGAGCAAGAATAAGAAAGACTGATCCAGGCAGTGAGTGCACAGGTCCTGTGTTGGGAGGAAGCGTGATGTTCCTCAGAGCATTAGAGGGATATAAAGAAGTCCAGTGTGTCTGACACACAGCATGTGAGTGGGAGGGTGGCGCATGATGGGGCTAGAGAGGTAAGCAGGGGTGAAGCAGCAGCACCCCGTGGAACATGTTAAGACTGTGAGTACTGCATTATAAAAGTAGGATATGGCTAAAACTCCAGGATCCAAAATGGGTGGGAGGCTCCAAAAACAGGCAGATATGCAGGAGAATGCCAAAAAAAAAAAAAAAAAAAAAAAAAAAAGAGACCTCCTCTTCAGGTCTTCAAAAAAGCCAGCAAAAATACACTTTCTGAGATTGAGGGGCACTTACTGGAGTGTAAAACCTATAAAAGCTGCTGTCTAAAATGCAGTCATTGAGAGGTGTAGTGGGGATAAGCTGGCAGCAGGAAATTCCCTGCATCAAGTTCGATTTAAAGCACAGACACAGAGCTAAACAACAGGCACACAGAAGACATATTTGCAGGAAGCACTCTATAGTATAGCAGCAGCACAAGAGAAGAGAGCTTTGCATTGCAATAAAACAATAGAACAAAATAACTGCCTGTCTTCATTAACACTGGAAGGTTAAGTGACCATACACACAAAACCCTAGGTCATAAGAAAATATTCTAAATAACCAAGGGCACGACTTTGGTCCTTCCCCTGCATGAATGCCCTACAAATAGTTGATCTAAGGTGGAAAAAACTAAAGATCCAAGCCTCCGATTCTCCACTGATGATACGTAAGTAGAGCAGCCCATAATCCATATATATATCAGAAGGAAGAAGAAAAAAGAACAGATAAATCAAATAGACAGACAAAGTATACCTGCCAGAAAAATATAGCCACGAAGCATGGAGGTTTATGTTCCTCTAATACAGGGCTTCTCAAACTTTGTTCAGTATCAGAATCATCTGGGGAGCTTGGTTAAAATTCAAAGACCCAAGCCTTATTCTTCATCCTTGAGCCCAAGCCTGTGTTCTTGATGAGCTCCCCACGAGCTTCTGACTCACACCAAGTTTGAGAACCACTGCTATAACAGAAAACCAGCCTTAACTCACACAGTGCATCTGGCCCCTAAAATACCATTACTGTGCTCAAGCTATCATGGTCCAGTAAGACTGAAGGGTTAGATTTTTGTTCCACACTGAGGTTCCAAGATCTCCTTGGTTTCAAATGAGGAAGCAAGTAGCTCCTGTTGCTACCTGCATCTGTGCAGCTGCTCCAGAAAGAGCTACCATTAGAAGGAAGCTGACTTTGCACATGGCAGAGACTAATGAAGGAAAGCATTCAGGTACCATATGATGTTGCTGAGCTCCTCCATTGACAAGCCCTGACACTCCCCTGCCTCGGGGCTTCCACCACTAAAAGCCAATAAATTTTGTTGAGTAAGCCAGACCAAGTCACAGTTTCCAATACCTGCTACCCAAAGCATTTTTACTGATACAGTAAGACTTTTGGCACAGGGGATGACTTGAAAATATAGTTCTTTCTGTTAGTGATTTTGACTTGAGAATCCTCCACCCTCAAAAAAAAAATAGCAAAAGCTACTTCAACATCCAATTCAACAATTCAGACGAGTGGCCATCAGGTACTTACCGTTCACATGGTATCAGCTTTCAATGAGGGTAACGAGGTACAGAGATTCATGTGGTATCCCCCATAGCCACACAGAACATGGTTATACTGCAAGACATAGTGAAGGAAATATGAGACATACATAAGAATGGATACAGTCATCGGAAAGATTTTGAGGCTGGATGCAGTAGCTCACACCTGTCATCCCAGCACTTTGGAGGCCAAGGTGGGAGGATCACTTGAGTCACGAGTTTGAGACCAGCCCGCACAACAAGGCAAAGCTCCATTTCTACCAAAAATTTTTAAAAGCCAGGCATGGTGGCCCACACCTGTGGTCCCAGCTACTCAAAAGGCTGAGGCAAGAGGATCACTGAGCCCAGGAATTTGAACTTGCAGTAAGCTGTGATCACACCACTGCAATCCAGCCTGAGCAACAGAGTGAGACCCTGTCACAAACAAACAAAAAAGGTTTTGAACCAAGTGATGAGATGAGAGAATGTAGAGTTAACAGCACAGTTTGTGAATGGAGACTCATTCAGATCCTTCCCTGCCATTTACTTGCTGTGTAGCCTTCAACAAAGAACTCATCCTTCCTGACTTTGATTTTCCTTATTTGTAAAATGAGGAGAATAATGGTGTCTTTGAATTAGGGTTGACATGGAGGATTAAGTGAGATACTCTACATACAGCAATTAGCACAGCACCTAGCCCCTAGCAAGAAGCCAATCAACGTGAGCCATTAATAACCATAGTTCTATTGTTTTTATTATTGTTATTACCAGTCTGCAAAGGGGAAAGACATGAACAGATAATGGCAATGAAAGTAGAACACACAAGCATTAAGGAGCTCCAGGGCAGAGAGTGACTAGCACAGGGGCACATGAAGGACAAGCATTCAGCACAGGTTGGAGCAGGCAATGAGAGGAAGGAGGAGGAAAGAAAAGAGAAAGAAAAACATAAGGAGCATGGGAGATCAAGCTAGGAGAGAGCTGAGAAGGGCACACTCTCCAAGCCAAGGAACAAGTCTTCAGGAAGCTTTGGGAGAATGTGTCACTTTCTGGGATTGACATAAAGTTCCACACTGGACCCGAGACTGCATGTTCCTGTGTGGATCTGGGAGAGATGAAGGTAGACGGACAGAGAGAGGCTGCACCAGGAGACCCCAGGCTGGTGAGTCAGGACTCAGTACTTTGAGAAACTGAAGCCACTGAAGGTTTAGGGTTTTGTTTTGTTTGAAAGGCCAGGCCTGTCCTGATCAAGCTTTCACTCATTTGCAGACGTCCTCTCTGATGACAGTGCAGAGGATTCACTGCAGAAGACATGGAAGTGGGCAGGTGGCTGGATTCCAGGGAAAAGGTCAATGAGATCCTGAACAGAGATCAGGACAAAGGAAGCCATGAGAACAGCAACGAGTGCTCTAAGGAGGTGATGTAGTGAATGTTCCATGAGGATGCCTCCCAGGGAGATCGGGCTGATAGGGGTGCCCTTCCCTGGGACAGGGAAGACAGGAGGAGTTGCAGGTTTCAGGGAAGGTTTGCTGTGCCTGGGGAGCCTCCAAGTGGAGATGTGCATAAGACAGCCACCTGGATGTATCTGATGCTCAGGAAGACTGTCCACCCTGGAGATGTGCGTCGTGAAACTTGGCTGCCCAAGAGATGGCACTTCCCACATCATTCCATAAGTGAGCTGACCTCCTATTATAAGCCTCCATTTTCAGGGCAGCAGCAATGCAATCTAGGCTTCCTCTCACTGCAGGGGTTGTTTCTAAGTTCCTGGCCCCAACCAGCTGTGGTCTTTGCCCACATAGGTGGCTTTGTGCCTTGCTCTATGCCTCTTCAGGCCCTTGCTCTAGGGGGATGAGAAGTCTGCTGCAGCTCTCTAAGCCTTCTTGGGAGAATGAGGACCCTGTGGAGCTGTGTCTGGCCCGTCTGTCTGGACACCAGTGTCAGCCATTTCTACTCTGCTCCAGCCCCTGCTGAGTAGAAACTCTATGCCTTGCCACATTCCCATGCTGTGCCTGGGAATGGATAACACAGCTCCTCTATACCTTAGGTTCCCTGCAGTCTGGAACCTTCATTCCCGTCCCGTTCCCAAGGCTTGCAGACATGAAGCAGGTGTTCAGCATCTTGCTCTCCTTGCTGAGTCTACAGAATCTTTATCTGAGGATGGCAAGGTCTGGCCCCCTCCCTGTTCTTACGTGGCCTTCACACCATACATTTGTATATCCAGAGTTCTTTAGCTTAGGTCTGTAAAATCCCACCCCCAACCTTAACTCAAAAGCCTCGGCTTTGGAAATCCACAATCCCTTCTGTTTCTCTGGCTGTCATCCACCCGCTGAGGCATTGAGTGCTGCTGGTGGAGGAGAGACTGGGGCAGGAGAAGGAGAAACCATGGAGGAAGGGCCTGAGTTCCCATCCCCAACCATCCTGCCACCCAGAAATGCAAGAATCCTGTGCACACAGATGATAATGAAGATATAGGACTGGATGAACTTACTACCCAGACAGAGCACAGAAGGGAAAGAAAAGGGGCACAGGGTAGAGCTCTAGGAGTCAGAGATGCTTTACAGCAGGGGCATGCAAACTTTTCCTATAAAGGGCCAGATAGGAAACATTTTTGGCTTTGCAGGAACCACTCAAATGTGCTGTTGCAGGCCAGGAGCAGCCATAGATAGTACATAAATAAATGTGTATCATGGTTCCAAAAAAAAAAAAAACTTGAATACAAAAACTAGTGCTGGGACAGATTTGATCTATAGTCTGGAGTGTATTGACCCCTGTCTTTACAGATAGGCATGAGATGAGGCCTCCGAGGAGGAGCAGAGATGGGAGCCAAGTGAACGCTGTCAGGGTTAGAATTTGTCCCTGGGATTGGTTCGTGCCAAAGCTTGTGCTCTTACCGAGGTCTAGCCCTGGCTGCATATTGCAATCACCTGCAAGACTTTAAAAAATTCCAGTGACTCTGGCTCAGTCCCTCAAGATTCTGCCATAAATGGTCAAGGCTAAGGCTTGCAGCGTTTTCAGAGCTCCCAGAGTGATTCTAACAGGTGACCGGGATGGAGAGCCTGTCCGTGGCTCCTCCTTGCAGATGCGGGCCATCATCTCAGTGCACCTCCCAAGTCCCAGCACCTCCTCCCCATCAGTGCAGCAAACATGGCAGCTCCCTGCAGTCTGGGACTTCTCACACTTGATTTCTCTGTCTCAGGGGGTCAGAGATGATTTCCCAGGACAGAGCCAGGTCAGGAGGAGGAAGGGTCAGAGGAAACCTGTTGTGTTCTCTCTAATGTTATGATTCCAGTTGTCATGGGAAACAACAGCTTCTTTTGGGCTGGCTGGGGCACAGATTTCTTTTACCTTTTTTTAATGTGGTTTTGATTGTTTTTGCTTTAAATTGAGGCCAGTGGGAAAGGTACAGCTTGGAGCAGAGCTGGTGAGAGGTCGCAGGCCATGACCTGAGGATTCTAGGCTAGCTTTCAACTGCCCACCAGGGTATGTTTGGACTGGTCACAGGGCTGGGCTGCCCAGGGGAGCTACCCCCAAGGACAAAGATGGAGAGAACAGGCTGTTGTGCCCGACCAGGCCCCAGGGTGCACCTGCAGCCCGCTGCTGGGTGAGAGCCATACAAACTGGGGTCCTTGATCTCATTAGCAGCCCCTGCAGGGAGCAGACTCCTCCACCCTGCTGTCCTCCACTGAACAAGCAATCACTTTCGACCTCTGACCCAGCTGCTCACCCACCTGGCCTCTCTGTCCCCATGCCCAGCAGGAGAGGAAGGAGAGGATCAGATGCACCACATGGAGAATGACTCTAGCCCCTGCAGAACGCCTCGGTGTGTAAAGCGGCTGCATGAGTCATTTCATAGTCACAGTAACCCTCACAATAACAGAACGGAGGCTCAGGCAAGCTAAATGGTCCAAAGGTACATCACTAGGGAGTGGCAGAACCAAATTTGGACCCAAGTTAGCCAGACTTCAAAGACCATGTTCTTTCCAGAACATTCTGCCACCTGATGTCTTCCTTCTGAGCGTTTGCTAGAGGATCACTCAGCAGCATGGTGAGGCCAGGCCCGAGAATACCTGGCTGAATCCTCAGACACAGTGGACAGAGGCAGTCCCTGCCCGAGGCAGAGGACAGAAGGCCTGACTCGGGGCTCAAGGCGCTTCATGGTTGAGATGCAAGACAGAGTCCAACATCTGGTTCAGAAACAGTGCTGCAGAGCTGCATTGCCTGGGGCCAAATCCTGGCTCTGCTGCTCACTAAATGTGGGATTTTGGGCAAATCACTCAAACTCCTTAAGTCTCAGTTTCCACATCTGTACAACAGGGATCGTCATATTAGTGCCCATGTCACAGAGCTAAGCTGAGACTTAAATGCAATTTGAAAGTGCTTCCTAAGTGTGCATTAAGCCAGGCATTCCCAGTGAGGCCCAACCTCCAAAGGGTGAAAACTGATTCTTGGGAGGTAAAATACATTAGATATTACAATAGTGTGTGGCCCACCAAAGTTCAACTCTACTCAACAAAAATGTATTTCTTACTATTTCATTTCTTTCATTAGGGAGAAATTAAATTCAAATTTAATTTTACTCCTTAAGGGGACAATAATGAAATAAAGGGTGAAAAAAATACTACAATAAGTACTGGCTCCCATTAGCTTTCCCACCTCATCCCTCCTTCCCCTCCTGGTAGAATCAGCCCTTCTCACATGGCCCTAAGATAGGTTTCTGCTGCTTTTGTCTGTCGTGCACTCTCATTCAGGAAGGTTCCTTCCCACTTTTGACCTGATGCCACCTTATTTATCTTTCACAATTAGCTCAATCCAACTCCACTGTGGAGCCCTGCCCTGTCTTCCCAAGGAGAAGTAATCTCTTTTTCAAAGCCTGCTGATTAGACCTCTGTGAGAGCACTCAACTCAATGTGTGCCCTGATGGAGTTAGTTATTTACATGGCTGACAATGAAAAGGGGAAAGCTATTAAATTGCAAGCCCCCCACTTCCACCACACTTCATTGGCTAGGAAGAGAAGAAGCCTGCCTGCTGTGTTAGTCCCTGAGCCTGCAGGTCATGTAGACTCTGAGTGAAGAGAAGGGCAAGAAAATGCAGTGGCTAAACTGGCTGATAACATGAAAAAGAGTCAAGACCCAACAGGGAAATCTAGAGAGACAGAAAGTAGATTTGTGGTTGCCTAGGGCAGTGGGGTACTCTGGGGAGACAGGGGCATGACACCTAAAAGGTGTGGAGTTTCTTTTTGACATGATAAAAATGTTCTAAAATGGACTATGGTAACAGTTGTACATATCTCTAAATATAGTAGCAACCATTAAATTGTACATACTTTAAAGGGGTGAATTGTATGGCGTGTGAACTGTGTCTCAATAAAGCTTTTTTGTTGTTTGTTTTTGTAAAGAGCTGATCCCAGAGAGAAGGGGGAAAGGACGAGCAAAAGGGGGGCTGTATGAGTGAGAGCTTTGGGGAGGACAAAGGATTTGGACAGAATCTGCAGGAGATAGTGGCCTGCACCTGGGGTTTAGTGTGAGAAAGATGAAACACTTTCAAAAGTTTCTTGTGTCTTATGAGTGCATTATCTCTTTGGTATTTTTTGGAAACATCACTATAGAGATTTCAGCTTCTTTCCCATTATTAAGGACACCGGATTGAGATTTTCTTTCTTTTGTAAATTCAACACTGTGCCAAGATTGAACCATGAAGGAGCTGGGGTCCTTGTGGCTTATTCATGTCTTTCCAAAAGACAGAGAATGCTTGGAAAGTCCAGGCAGCATCTCATGCACTGTTGTTCCCCAGCGCCTGGCCCCACGCTGCACCTCACATCATGGCACTCTGCATGTGGGACGCCCTGGGCTGAACCCCACCTCAACCTGCCTGAGCATCAGACTGTGGGCAAATCACTTCCCTTCTCTCAGATTCCTCACCTGCACACAGCAAACAGACCATTTCAAATCCTTTCATGTTCTTAAATTCTGTGAGGTCAATGGGTAGCTCTTGAAAGATGTCTTAGTCTGTTTGCTGTCATTATAACAGTACACCTGAAATTGGATAATTTATTTTTTTAAAAAAAGAAAGTTTATTTCTTGCAATTCCGGAAGCTGGGAAGTCCAAGATCAGGCAACTGCATTTGGTCATTCTCTGGTGAGGGCCTCGTGCTGTATCATAGCACAGCAGAAGGTCTTCACTGAGAGCCAAACTGGCTTTCGTAACAGACCCACTCCCATCATAACCCATGAAACCATGAATGGATTAATGGATTAATCCATTCATGAGGGCTGCTTTTGTCTGTCATGCTTCCTCATTCAGGAAGGCTCCTTCCCACTTTTGAACTGTTGTCACCTTATTTATCTTTCACAATCAGCTCCAATCCCACTGTGCTGTGGAGCCCTGCCTTGTCTTCCCAAGGGGAAGTAATCTCTTTTTCAAAGCCTGCTGATTATATCTCTGAGAAGTATATCAATGTGTGTCCTGATGGAGTTAGTTGGAGCCCTCATGGCCCAGTCATCTCTTAAATGCCCCACTTCTTAATACTGTTACATCAGGGATTAAGTTTCAATGTCAGTTTTGAAGGGGACAAACCGTCCAACCATATCAAAAGAAAATGAAGAGAACTTACCTAGGAAGAAAAATAGAGTAGACTGTAACTTTATCAGAAATGTGTTGCTATGTAGAAAACCTGAAACAAAAATGACAAAATGCTAACATTTGTCCAGGTGAAGGATAAAAATGTCACACACACATGCCCACATCCACACACATACAACCTAAATCAAAGAGAGTAAAACAAAGGACCCTTGAAACAAGTTCATAAATACAAATAAAGAATCACGAAGAAAAGAGTTGGCCAGCAATCTCCCCACCTCCCACACCGAAGACTTGCCCTTGCAAGGGGGCAGCAAAGGCTGGGAGACAACTGATGGCTTCTGCCACTTGCAGGGCACTGGGAACTCAAATCAAATATGTCAGCACCTGTGTCTAGAGTCAAAGAAGGCCCCATGGAACAAGTCCAGCCTGAGTTTGAATGATGCACAGAGAAACACAGTATTCTAGATTCATAAACTCCCAACCTCATGGAATGAGTCTGGGCTTTGGAGTCAACAGTCTGGGTCTCATTTTTAGCTCTGCTCCCAACTAGCCATATCACAATGTCTTCCTGGGCCTCAGTGATCTCATCTTTAAAATATTACAGAGAAATCATGGAAAGCTTCTAGCAGAGTGCCTGGCATGTAATAGATGCCTAAAATAATATAGCTGATAATAACAGCAAATACTAATGTAGGGTCTATAGGTACCAGGTGCTAAAACATATCTACCTTTACAAGTCTCATAATTACACTCCTGTGAGGGAAATACCATTATGACTATTTTACAAAAGAGAAGTTGAAGCACAAGAAGATTAATAACTTGTTGAAAGTCACACAGCTAGTTACTGGCAGAGTTGGAAGCTAAATTTGGGCAACATTAAACGTTCTCTCACACTGTTCACAGTGTAGTAGTGGTGGTAGTAGAAGAATCATCTGTTACAGTCATGGGCTCTTGGGGAACAAAAAAAGCCCAGGATTTTATTTATTCAACACACCTTAACTGAGAGCATTCTCTGTGCCAAGCATTGGGCCCAGTACTAGGTATACAGTGATGAGAAAACAGATACATTTCTTTCTTAAATTCATTATCTCTGGAAATTCCTAACTGGGGGAAGAAAAAGGAAGAAGCCACAGTGTTACACTTAAGCCAGCTCATATGGGCTCACAAAAGCATATTATTAAATTTTCAGAAATTTTTCATGTGGTTGTCAAATCCAGCCATTATTGAAAATTAAATTATATAAATTTATAATAAATTAAAGACAAACATAAATCCTAAAAACTTGCCACACCCTAATTATTTTACTATAATTTACTGAATCTATGTTGGGAGGGCTGTCTGCACCTATTGAATCTATATGGTGGAGACACTGTGTGGTGGTGGCTACTGAGCATATCTTCCCAGTTCCATGTCAGGGGCATCACAGGCAGTGTGTTAAGAGTGTTTACACCACAGTGATGCGCAAACTCTGAAACTCAGTGCTTGGCTGATTGTTGATTGTCTAAGCTTAAGAGATGAAGAAAATGTCAATACTGCAGATTAAATGTAAAAATGTATTATGTCTTGCCACTACATTGTGAGTATCACTATATAAGAAAACAGTCTAGAATTCAAAAACTACTAGCTGACTCAGCAAAGAAGTTGTTTGCACCATTGAAAAAGGAGCAAAGTTTGGACACACAATTTCATTGTTTCACATTCATGTTACTCATTATCGTAAACAAAATTATCATGTTGAAACTGCTCATTTATCTATTGTAATCAGAGGTTTCTTATAGATAAAATCAACAAAACTGGCAAAAATCAACTAAAGCATTCTGTGAGAATCTATTGGTTATATGGAATTTATAATAAAAATATTGTACATCTTATATTTATAAATTGTGTGCCCATATCCTTTATAAGTAAAATTTATGATGAGCTTATTTATGTATACATATGCATCATTTCTCCCACAGAGCCAATTGTTAAACACTTACCAGCACACTTTTAGAAAAGGGTGAATTAGATCTAATTAATAAGGAATATGGGACAGACATGTATATTTAGAAAATATTCTTCCAAAAAGATTTACAGGCCTCTCCATGACCTCTATTGAGTATGCTGTCTTAGAATTATAAACCCACATGCACTCAGGGCTTTTCTCACTTAAAGTTGTAAGTAAACTTGGTTTAAACCTCCCTTTGCATGGAGTATGTGTACTCAGGGTCTCCCTAGAGCTTCAATAAATCCTGCCCTGTCTTCATCTTGGTGGACTCTACCCACTTCCTTCTCCTTCCTGTTGTCTTGGCTCAGCTTTGGCCTGCCTGGAGCCATTCCTTTCCAAGAAAGAGTCCACCAAGCCAAATGTCTAGAGTTAAAAAAAAAAAAAAAGATGTGGTGAGAAATTCATGGCCCATGGAGCAATCCTCATAATTAATGGGATTAAATGGAAAAATACTCTAGCTTCCTCACCCCTTGGATGAGGCATGGTTGGTAGTGCCTCCCAGAAGAATCACATGCCAATTGTCCCCATCAGTAATCTGCTCAACACAAGTTGAAGAAAGAAAAGCTTGTTTCTTTTTGCTAGCTCACTTTCCCTATTCCCCTACTAGTATTTCCTGGGATCACCTTCTGTCGAGCCATGGCAGAATCAGTTTCATGGCTGTAATGGATGAATTGCAAAACTGGTCCCAAGTCTTCATCTCTTTCTGAATCCAAGTCTTTGAAATATAACTTTGCAGCCCCTCCCATCAGGCCTGTGGCTTCCTCTGGTCAATGGAATACAGTGAAAGGTCAGAAATGGATTATAGTAGAAGGTCAGAAATGGAATGCAGTGAAAGGTCAGAAATGGAATGCAGTGGAAGGTCAGAAATGGAATGCAGTGGAAGGTCAGAAATGGAATGCAGTGGAAGGTCAGAAATGGAATGCAGTGGAAGGTCAGAAATGGAATGCAGTGGAAGGTCAGAAATGGAATACAGTGGAAGGTCAGAAATGGAATACAGTGGAAGGTCAGAAATGGATAACATGGTGAAACCCCATCTCTACTAAAAACACAAAAAATTAGCTGGGCGTGGTGGCGGGTGCCTGTAGTCCCAGCTTCTTGGGAGGCTGAGGCAGGAGAATGGCGTGAACCTGGGAGGCAGAGCTTGCAATGAGCTGAGATCGCACCACGGCACTTCAGCCTGGGTGAAAGAGTGAGACTCCATCCCAAAAAAAATTAAAAAAAAAGAAAGAAATGGAAGGCAGTGGAAGGTCAGAAGTGAAAATACAATGGAAGGTCAGAAATGGAATGCAGTGGAAGGTCAGAAACGGAATGCAGTGGAAGGTCAGAATGAAATACAGTCGAAGGTCAGAAATGGAATGCAGTGGAAGGTCAGAAATGGAATGAAGTGGAAGGTCAGAAGTGAAATACAATGGAAGGTCAGAAATGGAATGCAGTGGAAGGTCAGAAATAAAATACAGTGGAAGGTCAGAAATGAAATACAGTGGAAGGTCAGAAATGGAACACAGTGGAAGGTCAATGTGCCAGTTCTGAACCTGGACTTCGAGAAACCTTGTGCACTTTTACTCTCTCTCTCTCTCTCTCTCTCAATCCTTTACCATCAGAACACACTTGGTTATCTTGATGGGGGATAAGACATTTGAAGTAAAGCCAACCCAGCGCTGTTGCCCAAACCAAAGCCTCAGACATGTGAGAGAGCTCAGACAAGATTAGCCAAATTTCAACTGGCCACAAAAGTATGAGTGAGCCCAGCCAAGCCCAGCTAAGATCAGCAGAACCAGTCAGCTGAACTATAGACATGTAAACAAAAATAAATATTTATCATCGTATGCTACAAAGATTTTGTGATTAGTTATTCCACACAAGACTCTAGCAAAAGATAACTTGACTATGGGTCCCATTTTCCTGTTTCTTTATATCCAGTAATTTGGAATTATATCCTGGACATTGTAGAAGATATACTGTCTGGATTCTGGATTCTGTTATGTTCCTCTCAAGATTATTGATTTTCATTTAGGCAGGCAGCTATCTTGGCTGAACTCAAACTTCAAAGTCTGTCTCCCCTTCAGCAGGCAGCAGTGAAATTTCTACCCAATTATTTTCATTTTAGCTGGACTACTTGTAATTTGCCCTAAGTCTGCATAGTTCAAGCCATAAATTCAGGGAGAATTTATACACAGAATCTGGGCTTCCCCTTTGTGTTTCTCTTCATTGCGGGATTTTGCCTATCATTTCAGACATGTAGTAGTGGTCCCAAACTCATTCTTCTTGATCCCTCAGTAAGCAAGGCTTCAGGTATCTATCTAAACTTCTGTGACCCTGAGGAGCAACAACTGGAATCTGCAGGTTCAAAACTGTAGAAATGAAAAGCACATTCAGAGCTGATTTATTCTTCCAGGTTTCTGAAATCCCCTGTCATTTCTGCCTGTTTTTGTCACTCTTTAAGACCTTCACATTGTTACTTAAAAAATATTTTGGTCAGAGTTTTACAGTTGACCTTTGAACAAACACAGGTTTAAACAGTACAGACCCAATTATATGCAGATTTTTCAATAAATATAGTGAAGAATTTTTGGAGATTTTTGACAATTTGTAAAGACTTGCAGATAAACCAAGTAAAAAATATCAAAAAATTAAGAAAAAGTATGCATGCAATTGTTAATTCCAGCACTATTCACAATAGCAAAGACATGGAATCAACCTAAATGCCCATCAATGGTAGACTGGATTTAAAAAATGTGATACATATACACTATGAAATAGTATGCAGCCATAAAAAAGAATGAGATCATGTCCTTTGCAGGAACATAGATGGAGCTGGAGGCCATTATCCTTAGCAAGCTGATGCGGGAACAGAAAACCAAATACCACGTGTTCTCACTTATAAGTGGGAGTTAAATGATGAGAACCCATGAACACAAACAAGGGAACAAGAGATACAGGGGCCTACTTGAGGGTGAAGCATGGGAGGAGGGAAAGCAGCAGAAAAATAACTATTGGGTACTAGGCTTAGTATCTGGATGATGAAATAATCTGTACAATAAAGCCCCATGACACAAGTTTACCTATATAACAAATCTGCACATGTACCCCTGAACCTAAAAGTTAGAAAAAGTTAGGTATGTCATGAGTGCATAAAATATATGTAACTATTTTATCATTTACTACCATAAAATATACACACATCTATTATAAAAAGTTGAAATTGATCAAATCTCACACCCAGACCATACATGGTGCTATTTAAGAGAAATGTAAACAAATATAAAGATGAAGTATTAAATCGTAACTACATAAAATCAACTGTAGTAATTTACCACTGTAATAATTTTGTAGCCACCTCCTATTGCTACTTCAGTGAGCTTGAGTGCTGTATCTACAGAAAATGCCATGTGTCACTAATTATCTCCCTATGAGCAGTTACTCTCTTTAGTAAATTGTGTATTATAGTAAAAAGTGATCTCTCACAGTTCTTATGTATTTTTCATCATGTTTAGTACAATACCATAAACTTGGAATAATACCACGGGACTCATGTCACTAGTGATGCTGGCAGTGCTGCCAAGAAGCAGAGAAAAGTCATGACGTTACAAGAAAAAGTTAAGTGGCTTGATATATACCTTAGACTGAAGTCTGCAACTGTGGTTGCCTGCCATTTCAAGATAAATGAATCCAGCCCACAGACCATTGTAAAAAAAAAAAAAAAAAAAGAAGAAGAAAAAATTGCAAAGCTGTCACTGCAGCTACACCAGCAGGCACAAAAGTCTTGCACTTTTTGTGCAATACTTTTTTATCTTATACTGAAAATACAGCTTTTATGTGGGTGCAGGATCACTAAGAAAAGCATGCCTATAGATTCTAGTAAGATTTGAGAAAAAGTGAAGTCACTACATGACAATTTAAAGCAAACGGGAGGTGAAGGATTCAAAATGGGAGAATTTAATGCCAGCAAAGGATGGTTTGATAATTTTAGAAAGATGTTTGGCTTTAAATACATCAAAATAACAGGAGAAGCAGGTGCTACTGACCAAGAGGCAGCAGATGAGTTACCAGAGTCATTAAGAAAATCATTGAGGAGAAAGAATATCTGCCTGGACAGGTTTATAATGCAGATGAAAGTGCCTTAATCTGGAGGGAAAATGCCACAAAATACATTTATTAGTAAGGAAGAGCTAGCAAGCATCAGGGTTTAAGACAGGAAGAGACAGGCTAACTCTACTGTTTTGTGCAAATGGAGTCAGGTTTATGATCAAGATTGCCCTTATCTATAAAGATGCTAGCCCCTGAGACTTGAAAGGAAAATATAAACACCAGCTGGTAGTCTTTTTTTGTACAAGAAGGTCTGAATGAGAACCAGTTTTCTGGACTGGTTCCATCAATGCTCTGTCTCTGAAGTCAGAAAATACCTTGCCAATAAGTGATTGTCTTTTAAAATTCTTTTGATAATGGAAAATGCCCCGGCCACCCAGAATCCCATAAGCTCAACACCAAAGTCATTGAAATGGTCTACTTACCCCCAAACACGACATCTCTAATTCAGCTTCTAGATCAGTGGGTCACAAGGACCTTTAAAGCTCATTACATATGTACTCTATGAAAAAAAGGCTGTCAATGCTATGGAAGAGAACACCAATAGAGAGAACATCACAAAAGTCTAAAAGGATTACACCACTGGCAATGCCATCATTTTTTAAGAAAAGGCCATGAAAGCCATCATGCCTGCCCCAAACAATAAATGCCTGTTTGAGAAAACTGTGTCCAGATGTGCATAATGTCACAGGATTTACGAAAGAGCCAATCAAGGAAATCAAGAAAGATTGTGAATTTGGCCAAAAAAGTCAGGGGCGAAGGGTTTCGGGATATGGATCTTGGAGAAATTCAAGTGCTTATGCACACCAAACCAGAAGAATTAACAGAAGACAACTTGATGGAGACAAGTGCTTCCAAACCAGTGCCAGATCATGAGGAAGATGACACAGAAGCAGCAGTGCTAGAAAACAAAGTGACATTAGACAGTCTGGCAGAAGGATTCCGATTACTCAAGACTGCTTTTGACTTCTTTTATGACATGGACTCTTCTATGTTCTAGGCACTGACACTAAAGCAAAGGGTGGAAGAAGAATTGGCACCAAATAGAAACATTTCTAAAAAAAATGAAAAAATACAGAAATTGTGATGTATTTCTATAAAGTTACACCAAGTGTGCCTGCCTCTCCTGTCTCCTCTTCTACCACCTTCACCTCTTCTGCTTCTCCCACCCTTGAGATAGCAAGACCAACCTCTCCTCTTCTGATGGGGATGAAGACCTTTATGATGACCCACTTCTACTTAATGAATAGTAAATACATTTTCTCTTTCTTATGATTTCCTTAATAACATACTCTTTTCTATAGCTTACTTTATTATAAGAATACAGCATATAATATACAAAATATGTGCTGACTGACTGTTTATGTTACAGCAAGGCTTCTGGCCAACAGTAGGCTATTAGTAGTTTAAATTCTGTAGAAGTCAAAAGTTATTAAATACGTAGAGTTTTGACTGCATAGGGAGCTAACACCCCTAACCTCCTTGCTCAAGAGTAAACTATAATTGTTATTGGCAAGAGGGTTGGTTTACCAGAATTGACTTTGTAATTCCCAGAATAATTACATACATAATTACAAACTTTCAGCAATAGGTAACTAGTGCAATGGGTTAATAGAACTACAGCACTTTCTGTTATGGTAGCTTAAGTTCAAATAAACAAAAAGCCTTAAAGTTGGAAAAGGACCATTAGAGTCATCTAGTGTTTGCTTAAGCCAGGTATTCAATCGATGTTTGCTAAATTAAGTTAAATGACAAATGTTAGGATCTCAGGGACTGATTTGTACAGCTGTAACATGGCTGTAATCAATGGCTTATTGACTGTTGTCCAGCCTGATGCTGCAAGAAACGCCTGTTGAGGCTGCTCGTGAAAGTCAGAGATCAAAGGATGTGGGAGAATTGCGCACCTTTACTCCAAACCAGGGAAATCATCTCCCCACCCTGCAGACATTGCTAATGCCTTTATTTACTCTGGGAAAGTTCACAGACCTTGAGGCAGCATTGGGAGAGGCCATAAATGAACGTTATAGTTTGGAGCCTCTCAGAACTAGCAAATGTATTCTCGTAAGCAAAAGTGTTCTAGCATACTGGGATAAAATTAATGACAATATAATTTATCATCTGAAACAAGCACTTATGAAAGTGAAGGGGGATTCTAGTATTAATTATGCTAGGGAAACAGGCCTGAAGTGAGACTGCCACAGAAAAATTGTTATGTATAAGACCTTGAATGATGTTGAGTATGTGCTGCTCTCCCACTGGCATTTTGGGAAATAACATACCCTTGGTGCCCTAGAAGCAATTAAATCACAGGCAATGCAGTTGCTCCCAGGCCCTCTCGTGCACCAACAACACAGCTCCATTGGTGTAGGGCAGGCTCGAACTTCGGCAAGGAGCCCTTGGGAAAGGCAGGAGACTGGAACTGAATATACTGGCCCCATTTTAAAGCTGGTCCCGAGAGATAGCCAGATATCCAATTTTTAGTGTCCAAGGAGCCTGGAGAACTTAAGTCACACAAAGGCTGTTTTACTGAATAGTTGAATGTGGCAAGTAGCAGCTCATTCTGTGGCAGTCCTAGAAGCCATAGACTTCTATTTTGTTTCATTTATTCATTCAACAAACACATATTGGGCCAGGGTACCAGGCCGGGAGATGAGGATACAATGGCAGCTTAGTGTCACCATAGTTTATAGGAGTAGGGGTCTAATCTCTGGAACTTGGGCTTCAAGGGCTAGTCAGGTGGTCAGGGCTCTGCAGCATTTGCTGAGGTTCAGCACTGGGCTGCAGATAAAGTAGAAAATTGGCAAAAACAAAAAGACAAGACAAGAACTAAGGCAAAACCCAGATTTACAAAAAAACACGCACCTTGGGACAAAGCAAAAAACTTGGTGGTGGTGGTGTGCTTGTGAGCACCAGGCTTACTCCTGGCACACCTGATGCTGGGCTTGGGCGCACTGAGGACTCCCAGACCCAGACCCCACCTGCCACTGCCTGTGGATGCTCATGATCTCCAGCTGGGTCCAGGTTGGCTGAGGATAGATGTGTTGAGCCTGAGGCTGACCCGCAGCAGGGCTGGCGAAGCCAGGCAGGCAGCTACCACTGCAGGGCTGGGCTCTCAGGGAAGCCAAGGCCTGTCTGTGGCTAATGATGAGGGAAGGGGAGCAGGAGAAAACCACCAAGAGGTCAGGCACAGCAATGCAAGCCACACCTTCTCCTTCATCCAACTGTGGGCCAGCCCCATTCAAGGTAGACCCAGGGCTTACTGGCTCCATCTAGCATTGCTAACCCTCAAAGACATTGGCATTACTGGTGACACTTTCCAGAAGGACAAGACCACAGGGAGATTTTTAAAACAAAATGCTTTCACTGAACTATTCAATTCAGTAGTTTTACACACACAGAAAGAACCAGTTTTCTGCTGGGCTTACCTGGCTGTAGGGATTCCAAGGATGAAAAGACTCAATCTCCGCCCTCAGGGCTCACAGGCTCGTGGAAGAGACAGTAATTGTATTTAAATGAGCAAGTAGAGGTTTGTTAAATAGAGGTTAAAAGAAGGCACCTGACCAGGGTTAGATTGAAAGGGTTCAGTATCACTTCTAATATTTTCTTAAGCAAAGAAGAGATGCCCTGTTTGGGCAAAGTGATTCTTCTCTAAAGTAACATTTTTTAAAAAAGAAACAGGGTCTTGTTCTGTTGTCCAGGCTGGAATGCAGTGGTGCAATCATAGCTCACTATAACCTTGACCTCCTGGACTCAAGCAATCTTCCTGCCTCAGCCTCTTAAAGCACTAGGATTACAGGCATGAACCCCCATGCCTGGCCCTAGAGCAACATTTCCAAATGCCTTTGAATCATCACCATTAATCCCTTCATGCTTCATTTATTTGTGACAACTGAGAACTTTGCACCATATGTATTCTATACCTTCTTATATCAGTCAATTTCTGTTGAATGCCTACTTTGTGTCAAGGTGAGGTGCTTTTATATATGTATCGGTCAGCTATTGCTGCGTAACAACCACAAAATCTGATGTACAATAAGCATTTGTCACACATCGTAGGGATACCCTGGGGTTAGGTGAGCTTGGCAGGGCTTGAACTGGAGGCTCTTCCTCAAGCTGCAGGTCTGCAAGTGTGCTACTTGATCTGCTCCATGTCTCTCACTCTCCTGGGCAAATGGGCTAGCCAGGGTATGTTCTTCTCCAGGTGACAACAGGGGTGGAAGACCACAAGCCCTGCTGTGTGGGCACACTGTGTCACATCTATCAATATTCCACTGGGCCAAATAAGCCACATGGCCGAACCCAAGGTCAAATGGTGGGGAAGTTCCTCTGTTTTTCTGTGAGAGGAATTGCTAAGTTGCCCGACAGTATTTCTGGATTCAGCAGTGGGTGAAGAACAGAGGTCAAGGATTCAGCTTACCATATTATATACGGTATATCTAATGCCCTCAACACCATGTGAGCTGGATAACACTATCCTTATTACAGAGAGAAAGCTAAGACTTGGGATATTAAATCACTTACCAAGATTGAAGAAAGAGCCAGAATCAAAACAAACACACACCCTGTGTGCTCTCTTTCCTTCCAGTCTTCCAGGCTTCATGCTGATATTGAAGGACTGACCCAGAGGAGGAGCCTTATGTACTTATTTTCTAAGGATAAGAAAAAGAGGACGCCTCTTTGTGCCCTAGAGAGGCCCATGGAAGATTGCTGTGGATTACAGACTCCTGTGTAGAAAGGTGGGAGAGGGGGCTACGTAAAACCCAGGCTGCCTTTAGGGGCTGGGCCTTATATATCCCCTCACTGACAGCACCTGAGCCTGGTCATTCCAAGTGGAGACCTGGTGATGTGTGGAGCCATGTCTCATCCAACTCGAGCCCTTCAACATCAATGATAACTGCCGTGGGCCAAAAGATGTTGTTACAGAGCTAACTGCCCAGGAGGATGAATGTGTCCAGGCTCTGTCACTGAGAAGGAGAGGATGGTGGGAGGGTGGCCAGGGCAGACTCGAGGGGCTAAGCTCCGTCTCATTCCAGCCTCCTGAAGAGGCACCTGGCTCTGGCATTAGGCCGAAAGTTGAATTCTGGCTGCAGCACTCAGGCTCCTCGTCTGTGAAGGGAGAGGGTTGATTTCCACCTTCCAGAGCCTCTGGGGTGCAGGAGGGAAGAGATGAGTCAGGGCCCAGCTGGATCTCTGTACCTTCGGTGCACACAAGTCCCAGCTGCTGAAGGGCTGTGGAGAATTCCACCTGACAAGGATGCTGGGATTACCCTCCAGAGACCCTCTGGGCATCATGCCCCAGCTAGACTTTCAACTTTCCCCTCCTTCCCCACCCTACCTGTATTAGTCACAGTTCTCTAGGGTTTTCAAAAAATTGGCTTACATGTTTTGGAGGCTAGCAAGTCTAAATCTGCAAGTGCTCCGGAAGGAGGTGCTGCTGCCATCAGCAGTAGTGTCTCTTTCTCCTCAGGCAAACCTTAGTTTTGTTTTTAACGTCTTTCATTGATTGGATGATTTCCCATCCAGATTACCTGGAATAATACCTATTTAAAGTCAACTGGTTGTCCATGTTAACCACATCTACAAAATACTTTCACAGCAACACCTAGATTCATGTTTAATGGAATTAGTGGGTACTAAAGCCTGGCCAAGATGCACTGAATTCACCAGAGCCCACCCTTTTTACCTCACAGGCTTTTCCTGAAGAGCTGCCCTCATTAAATCACATGCACCTGGATCCTCCTGTTAGGCTCTGCTTCTAAGGAACCCAACCCGAGCCAAGGGGAAAGGGGGTGCCAAGGGACCACTGGTCCTGCCTTAAGGTATTAAATGATTGGAACAAACCAGTTATTCCATGTCCCAGAAGCAATTGTGTTCTAATGAGGACTGTTGGAAAGAAAAAGGACTTCAGGACCTAAAGGAAGTTCTGTTACTGTAAAGCGGTCCCAATCCAGACTCCAAGCGAGAGTTCTTGGATCTCATCAAAGAAAGAATTTGATGTTCCCCCTTCCTGTGTCCATGTGTTCTCATTGTTCAATTCCTACCTATGAGTGAGAACATGCGGTGTTTGGTTTTTTGTCCTTGCGATAGTTTGCTGAGATGGGTGGGGGTGAGGGGGGAGGGATAGCATTAGGGGATATACCTAATGCTAAATGACGAGTTAATGGGTGCAGCACACCAACATGGCACATGTATACATATGTAACAAACCTGCACGTTGTGCACATGTACCCTAAAACTTAAAGTATAATAATAATAAAATAAAAAAAGAAAGAATTTGAGACGAATCCATAAAGTGAAAGCAAGTTTATTAAGAAAGTAAAGGAATAAAAGAATGGATACTCCACAGGCAGAGCAGCCTCAAGGACTTCTGGTTGCCCATTTTTATGGTTATTTCTTGATGATATGCTCAACAAGGGGTGGATCATTCATCCCTCCCATTTTAGACCATATAGGATAACTTTCTGATGTTACCATGGCATTTGTTAACTGTCATGGCACTGGTGGGAGTATAGCAGCAAAGACGACCAGCGGTCACTCTCGTCGCTATCTTGGTGTTGGTGGGTTTCGGTAGTCTTCTTTACTGCAATCTGGTTTATCAGCAAGGTCTTTTGACCTGTATCTAGTGCTGATCTCCTCATTCTGTGACTTAGAATGCCTAACCGTCTGGGAATGCAAGCCCAGTAGGTCTCAGTCTTATTCTACCCAGCCCTTATTTAGGATGGAGTTGCTCTGGTTGAAACGACTCTGACAGTTCCTCTATGTTAAGGCTTGGCTCAGGGATTCCCCCTCTGCTGGGAGAGAAGTTGGAACCCAGGATTCTTAGCCAGGAAGTGTGGTCACTGATTTCCTCCATGAACAATGACAAGACGTTTGTCTCTGACAATGCCCAGCTGAAAGCTCATGATTGGAGAGGCCATGTTGAGCCTTACCTACATAGAAGCTATGAGGAAGCAGGAAACAAAAAGCAAGCAAAAGCCTTGAATTCTAGACAAGAGGTGCTGAGTAGAGATCATGTCAGCCAGGCACTTAGAGTCAGAAGAGGAAGGAAGCAGACACACTGCTGGAGCAAGGCCACATGGCCTATGACAGAAAGAGACAGAGAGAGTCACTGAGCTTCTCACCCTACCCTAGGCCTCACACATATCTCTCTCACCCCACCTTTCCCTAAGGTGGCCCAAATTGATAGGGAAGGAGGCAGGGAAATTCTGGGCCAAAGAGGGTAGGTCCCCAGCGAGGGCCCCACCCTCAAGCCGAAAAGCCTAATACCATGGCCCAAAGTGAGAACTGACAGCCCTGTTTCCCACTCAAATGTTGCCTTTTCCAAAACAACCCATGGCCTGCCCCACCCCCCATCGTTTGCCTATAAAAACCCCAGAACTCAGCCAGCAGAGAGGAGAAGCAGCTGGACTTAGGAGACTACAGTTGGATGTTGGAGAGAAGCAGCTTGACTTCAGAGGGACAGCTTAATGATGTAGCTTCAGAGAGGAGTCCAGCCAGGGATGGGTGGACTCTGGGGGAAGAATACCTTCCCGCTCCATCCCCTTTTTAGCTCCCCTTCCCGCGGAGAGCTGCTTTCATTGGCAATAAAATCCCCCACATTTACTATCTCCAATTCGTTCATGCAACCGGATTCCTCCTGGACACTGGACAAGAACTCAGGTGCCACAAATGTGGTTGCAAAAGGTTGTCACACTGACCCTCCCCTGAGCTGTTAACACTTAAGCCATCTGCAGATGGCAAAGGTAAAAGGGCACTGTAACACTCCATCTGGGGCTTCAGGGGTTGTAGGCACCACCCTAAATGCTGCCATGGGGCCTGCACAGACTTTTGCTCCTGCCAGTGCCCAAAAGCCCTCACCCAGGTTCCTGCACCCACTCACCTGCAGTCTCCCTCCTATGAGGGGTGGAATGCAGCAGGGCAGCAGGACCAAGTGAGTGGAGTCCACCCCCACCAGCACCAAAGCAGCCAGCTAGTTCTAGTGCCCATTCACTCCAGTTCTGCCCATGAAGGGGTCAGGGAAATATCCTGCTTCAAAATGACTTTTGGTACCTTCCAACCAAAAGAACCCACCTGCATAGCCTGGGCCATCCTTCTTCCTACTTGTTTACTTGACCAACTTCTAGTCACCTTTGGATCTCAGTACAATCACAACCTCCTGGGGGATGCTGGCCTGACCTCTTAGTCTGATCCAAGTGTGCTGACCCTATGTTCCCATACCCCTCTTTCACCCTATCCTGGAGCCCTTGTGATATCTAATTTCTTCTTGGTCTTCCTGATTAATCTGAATAGACTACGAGTACCCTCCAGGACAGGGCCTATGTCTTATCCATCCCTGGGCCTAAAGTACAGTGAGCGGTGCAGTCAGTGCTCAGTGAATGAATGGTGGCTTGGAATGCCCTGCTCACAGCACTCCTGTCTTGTGGAAACGGCGGCTGCAATCTGGTTGTCATAGTGGAATTTTGCAGACACATCTCCAGGGAAACACAAAGGAGAGGTTAACTCCAAGCAGGCCACTCCAAGAGGGCTGTCAGGAGCAGGTTGCGTCTCAGCTGGGCTTTGAAGGATGAGTTGAGTACTGACAACCAAACAGGAGGGGCTTAGCCACGTGGGCCCTGGAGCTAATGTGGGAACATGAGAGTTGGGAAGAAGTGAGGTGTCCTCAGACAGGATCTGGCCCAGAAGGAGGCTTCCATGAGCCTGCCACCAGCATCTGCCCCATCTTTCCACCAGCCAGGCCTGGCACAACAGCAAAGTCCATCAATCAGCTGGTGTGAGTGGAGGCTGAGGCCCAGCCTGGATTTACAGTGACACACATTGATTTTGGCTCTCAGAAGGTGTCAGCTCCCCTGTAAATTAGAAGATTTATCTGCAAGTGCTACAAAGATAAGTAGCTTTGCACATAAATACCTTTCCTTTGTTAAAAAAAAAAAAAAAAAAAAAAAAACCTAAGAGAACATTCCATTGAAGAGGCTTTAGGGAGCTCCTGCAAAATCTCTGGGATCAGCCCTGAACAGCATGTGGAGATGGTCAAGGATGCCTGCAAAGCACCCAGCCTTGGGGCTACGAGAACTTGGTGCCACAACGTCATCCCCATCCTTCATCTATCATCATATAAGGAAGGGGTGTGCTGTCAGTCTTGTGTGCCTTGCTGGGTTCTAAAGGATTCACTCACTCATTCATTCATCAAATATTGCCTGAAGGTCTACTATTCTGATCTCAGGGCCAGGAACTGCAAACAGATGCAGAGATGATCTAGTCAAAGTCCCTGCCCTCAAAGAGCTCCCACGCCAGTAGAGGACACAGATGATCAATAAATGGGATGATAGCAGGTGTGATCCATGCTCTGAAGAAAGTAAATTGATCTATGTGAAAGATATTACTCAGGCTGGGGTGGAGGCTACTCACATGGGTGGTCACAGTGACTGGCCCAGCCAGGGCCAGTGAGGTGGCAGGGGAAGTCAGACACGGGTCTCGTAGAAAGATTTTCTCCACTGATGAAAAGAAATGCCGAGCAGAAAACACTCCCATTTTTGTCTTTGCCGAAAGCACCTGATGCCTCAATTGGGCATCCTATCAAGGCTGTTTATTACTATGTAACTGACCAAAAGAACAAGCTGAAATGTCAAGGACAAAGAGTGAAGGAACCAAATGAGCTGATGCCGGGACCACTCTACCTCCAGGCTTCCCTTCTTATGTTTGTAAACAAATGCCCTTTAGTGTGTAATGGGTTTTGAGGTGGGTCTTTTGCAGCCCAAGCCCCTGGGCAATCCTGTTCAGATGTGTTCCCACAGCAGGCAGCCCACTCCTCGAGCCATTTCTAACCCGGGTAGTCTCCATGAGGTGATGCCAAACAAGGCTGCTTCTGCCAGGCAGAACTAGGCAAAGGAGAATCAAAGGTACTTCTGGTTCAAAGGAGACACTTTGATTTATCCAAAAGAGGTGACCTCTGAAGGCAAAAAGGGAAAGGAAGCAGGGGTGGGTGACATTGCTATGGATAGAAGGGGAAGAGAGTGCTAGGGATCCTGGGAAAACACAATTGCATAAGACATCCTTGAGCATTGGATGAGGACTCCCCGGCACGGCTACCCCTCCACGGAAGGTGTGGCAGTGGGCATGGCCATTGGTGTCTGTCAGGATCACAGCAGGATACTGATGACTGGGTGACCTGAGGAGGGTTTAACATACAGGAATTATCAGCAAAGGGGATACAGAGTGTGGAGAAACCCCAGGGAGAGTGGGCTACATGGGAGCACAGTTACTACCCCGAAGCCCCACACTGCAAGAGGCAGGGCCATTCCCGGCACTGAAGCAGAGAGGGCTTGTGCAGGGAGGGCTGCCAAACAGGAGCTAGGACCTTTAGTCAAGGGACAGCTCCAGCCCTCAGTGATGCTACAGGGAGGTAGCAGGGGAGTCAACACCACAATCTCTCTCCCTCTCCCTCCTCCGGCCAATCTCCTGCTATTGCTCCCCAGTGGCCAAAACTCCTGGGAGCAGAGCACAAGGGCACCAGTGGAGGCGGTTTGTATCTACATGTTTCCTCTTGCTGCTGCAACAAACAACCACAAACTGGATGGCTTAAAATAACATGTATTTATTATCTTACAGTTCTGGCAGCCAGACGTAGATGTGCAAAACGAGTCTCAGTGGCCTAAAGTCAAAGTGCTGAAGGGCTGCATCCCTTCTGGAGGCTCCAGGGGAGAATCTATTCCCTCACTTTGCCCACTTCCAGAGGCCACCCACATTCACACCGCATCGCCCTGAGTCTGATACCTGCTGCCTCCCCCTCACCATAAAGGACCCTTGTGTCTGCATCGAGCTCTTCCAGGTAATCCAGAGTAATCTCTCCATCTCAAGACCAACTGATTTCCAGCCTCAATGCCATCTGCAACCTTAATTCCCTTTTGCTGTGTATGTAATACATTCACAGGAATGAGGACATGACATCTTTGTGGGGCCATTATTCTGCCTACCATAGTGTAGTTCAGCCTCCTGGGCACACAGAGCACGGTGGAGATGGAGAATAGTTCTGGTGGGAAAACCTGCTCTTTCAGCTGGCACCCTGAGCAAAGGGTGGGGACACAGTAGTCACTCAACCTGAGTCTCAGTTTTCCTAACTGTAAGTTGGGGATAATCATGCGAACTCTAGGTTGTGCTGATGAGGAAACGAAATGTATGCACAGGATCTGAGCACAGTGCTTGGCAGCTAGGATGTTCTCAATAAACGTCATAGCACTGTAGAGGGTGAACAAGAAGCATGGTATCAAGGATGGGAGGTGTTTGCTGCACAGGAAATGAATCAGTTCGCCATGCACCTATCTCTCCTCAGTGCCATTCTGAGCCATGTGTTCCCAGTGCTACCGTAGACCAACCTGAGAGTAAAGAAACATACAGCTTCCCCAAGAAGAAATGGCCTTTTAGCTCTGGAAACTGAACACTCATCTTCTGTCCACCAAAGAGTCAAAGGGTGAACGTTGCCCCCTGGGGCTCTGGGACCCCACCTGCTCCAGTGGCCTTGCTGGGTTGGCCTCACTCTGACCCAGTCTGTCCTGTACAGGATCTGGACTTTGATGGAAGGCAGGGTGGCAGGAGGCTAAATCAGAGGCACCTGGAGCTGGTCCTGGGAAGGTCTGGCTTCTGGGCCTGCTCTGCCTCCATCTGTGCGGTGACCTTAGTTGAGTTGATTCCTCTTTCTGGGCTTGTTTCCTCACTGCTAAATAGGGGGATTGGATACAAGGCCCCTGAGAGCCATCCAGCCAGTGATGCCACCCGACGCCATGCATTGCAGGAGGCCTCTGGGTGTTGCAGGTTCCTGGGTGCAGTCTGAGCTCTTTGTCACTCAGGGGGAGCTGAGCCTCCGCCAGTGCCGTTCTCCCTGTGGCGAGAGCCTCCTGGGCCTGAACTAGGACAATCAGACCCATGCTATCTATCTTATATTCTTCTCAAGAACTTGTAAATATATTATCCCAATTACATGTTATGATCATCTTTCAGGGAAGATCTTTTTTCCACCTCCAGATGAGGAAATTAGGTCCAAAACTAATAATGGTGGGTCACATGAAGCTCTTATGTGCTAGGCTCTTGGTAAACAATCTTAGCATTTCATCTTCACAGAAGCTCAAGTGTTTGGTGCCTTCCCTGCATATCATAGATAAGGCCATGAGCAGCAGAGCAAGTGGCCAGTGCTGCAATTCCCAAAAGGGAGTGAAACCTGGTGCAGAGCCTGGCAGGGAGGAGGTGACAGAAACCAGCTGACAGTTGGACGAATGGAGGGGCTATGACTTGAGGCCGGGCCTAGCTAGCTGCAGAACTCATGCTCCTGATCACAACCCTGTAGCGTCAGGGCTAGGCTGGAGCCTGGAGCTAGAGCGGCATGGAATCACACCCGCATCCACGGATACCAGCCTGGAGCTAGAGCGGCATGGAATCACACCCGCATCCACGGATACCAGCCTGGAGCTAGAGCGGCATGGAATCACACCCGCATCCACGGATACCAGCCTGGAGCTAGAGTGGCATGGAATCACACCCACATCCATGGATACCAGCCTGGAGCTAGAGCGGCATGGAATAACACCTGCATTCACAGATACTAGGAGAAGCCAGTTTCTTATCCTGCAACTTGGAAAAAGAATCTGACCTACGGACAGTTCTTTCTGGAGAGGAGGAGGCAGAGGGAAGCATACTGGCCTGTGGGGAGTCTCAGGTTAAAGGGTAGGTCAGGGAGGATGTCAGGGAATCAGGTTTGGAAAGTCTGAGGTCAGAAAGTGGAGTCCTAATTTCTTCAACCCACAGCTCATGAACAGGGGCATGGAGACATCCAGAAAGGTCCAGGTGACCACAGGAGCACTGAGACTAGTGGCTGCCTCTCTGGCCAAACCCAGGGTGCCACATATCTCTAGAGGAAGCTCGGATCTAACTAGGTGCCATCAGCAGCACGTGCAGATCCCCAGCCACCCTGTTGCTACAAGGTCATTAAGACCCTAAACACTGGGGAAGGAGAAAAATCCGAAGAGCAGAAAATGTACATGGAGGAGGCAGAATAAATATACAAGACTCCTTTAAACTGAAGAAAATAAAGCAAAGATACACTGTAAATTGGCAATTTGAGAAGCCCAATCCTCTAGTCCAAGCAGGGTGTGGGCTTGGGAGGAAATCTAGAAAATACAGAAGTTACGTTTCCCTGCACACCTAACTCTAGTATGCTCCCATGTATTTGTGATGGCTTTTCAGTAGCTAAGTGCCCTTGGGTGTGTCACTAAGTGCCTTTGGGTGTTTTCTTCAAGTAGAAGCTCGGAGAGGCTCAGCCATAAAATAGGGAAATGATACTGGGCTCCGGGAAAGTTTGAGATATGGTTCCCATGAAATGTAAATTAAACGGTGGCCAGGAAGGCACACCCCAGTTAGGAAGGTAAGGAAAGACCCCACGGAGAAGAGAGGACACGATGGGTACCTGACAAGGAAAGTGGGATTTTGAAAGAAAGCGGTGAGGGAAATAGGGTTGCAAGTGAAGGGGCCGGCAGGTGCAAAGGGGCCCGACAGGCTGGGCAGCCACGGCCATCAGAATGTCTGTGTCTCAGGAGAGTCTCAGCATATTGAAGGCAAGAGGAAAGGCAGGCACTTAGGAGACTGAGCCTTCTAATGGGAAACTTTCAGCTTCAGATCTGCCATTCACAGGAGTAGCCCCAAATGCCTGAGAACTTTCTGGAATGTTTGCCTACAGAACAGCCTGCCCTCTAACCTTGCTGGGTTTGTGTGTGTGTGTGTTGTTGTTGTCTTGGCAGTTCTCGGGGAGGAAAAAAACTCTGCTCTCTTTCTCAGTTTTCTCTTTCCTGACAGCGCATCAGGAGGATTAAAGCTGCAAATCCAATCCCTGGTGCAGGAGCTATTGGTCCAGATGCAGCGTCCTGGGCTGTGGAAAGCCTCCACCCAGAGGCAGCCAGGGACCTGGGAGCTGCAGGGGGCAGGGGCACCAGATAGTGACAAGGCAGACAAAACCTTTCCTTCAGGCACAGAGAATGGCTGGGGAAAAAAGAGGAAAATCAGGAAAAGGAATGAAGGGCTGGGGAAGAGGGCCAAGCATTTACATAAAAGCACTGAGGACTACTAAGAGCCAACCACAGGCGGTGCCCCTGTCATCTCTGGAGACTATGAAGGTGAAGTGGCAGGATCTCAGTGCCACTCCTGTCCATGATCAAACGGAACCTTTATCTTCACAGTACAGAAAAGAGTACAGAGCTGAATGATGGCAAAATGATGCTCAGCTCTGTGTGTGTGTTTTATAGCCAGCCATTAATAATTCATGGAGCAGCTAAATGACGAGAGTTGGAGCCCCCAGCTCCGGCACCTGCGCCCTGTCACAGACCCCTCTGCGGGACTGCCAGTCCTTCTCTCTCCGCCTGGAACCAGAGGCGCCTGCCTGCCGCGTCATGCAGCGCCTGACATGCTCGTGACAAAGGCTGACATTCCCTTGACAAAGGCTGGCATCCCGTCTCAGGTTTTTCCTTCAACCCACCCAAAATCAAACGAGCTACAATGTGGCGATTGACCCCCCCTCCCACTGTGCTCTCAGGACCCTGCCCTCAGATGACTGGGCCAGCTGGGCGGGCCTCTGGGACACAGGCCTGAGTTCTGATTGGCCCTGACCCGCCCACGGCAACCTATCAGCTGCGAGGCTTTACGTCTTCCCCTGGGACCAGCTTTTAGTGACATCCCAGGTGCTGCGTGAAGCCTCTGGGCAGGCTGCAAAGGGGAATGACGAATGTATATTATTTCCTCCCGCCTGCCCCCCGCCCGACCCTTGACACAGTTTGTTCCAGCAAATTTCCGGGCGGAGTTTTCCATTCCTTGGGTGAAGGGAGGTAGGGAACATCTGTCCCTGCTCCATCCACTTCTCTCTCAAATTGGCACTGGCTTTCATAGGGATGGCCATGCAGTCCCCCCGGGGGACGGGACAGAGATCTGGACTCTGGGGAGGGGAAATGCCGGCAGCCCCAAGGAAGCCTCTCTTCCAGACCACACCCACCCCGAAGTGGGACTCGGAATGTCAGTGCAGCCACCAGTAACACCAAGGCCACAGGCAGGAGTGGGAAACAGATCCATTCCTGCAGATGTCGTAAGAGACCAGGAAAGATGGCTGACATCACGCAGCAGACCACAGAGCTTCGTACATTCATTTTGTAGTACCACTGTTCTTTCTCCGTTTGCCTCCCTGTTCATTTGGTGTTCTTTTGTTTCATTCAACAGACATTTGTGGGACGCCTACCTTATGACAGGCACTGTGCCCAATACTAGGGATACAGCAGTGAGCAAATAAACTCCTTGCCCACTTAGAAAGTACGTTCCAGTGGGTGGGGGCAATTATGCAATTATGCTATAGAGAGAGAGAGAGAGAGAAAGAGAGAGGTTAAAGGCGGAGGTAGATGCAGATAGAGATACTACTCAACATTATGCGATGGGAAAATACATCGGGCAGGAGGAATGGGGAGAATTAGGGGGAGGGTGTTGCTGTTTAGCTGCAGGTGATCAGGCGGCCTAGTTAACCAGGCCTGGGTCAGGAAGAGCAGGCACTATGACTGGCAGGTGAGGAAGGGCTCCAAGGAACAGTGGGAGCTGGGAGGCTGGAGGGAGGAGGGCCCAGGAGACAGGTCAGAGAGGTCCCGGGCCAGGTGAGGCAGGGATGCTGGACACAGTAGGGACTTTGTGCCCCTGATGGAGAGGGGGAGAGGGTCTTGAGCAGAGAAGCCACCTGACCTGATCAGGCTTGCTTTCCCAGGACCCCCCTGGCTGCTGGGTTGTGGATGACTGTAAGGGATAAAGGCAGAAACAAGGAAGCCAGCCAGGGGCTAACAGAATCCTCCAAGCGATGACGGTGCTCAGAGCTGGCTGATAGTTCGGAAGGTGTGAAGGGCGGCCTCCGGATGCTGCTCCAGGTGTGGATGTGTGTTTGCCAAGGGACCGGATGTGGGGTGAATAGAGGCTCCCTCTTCAACAGGCTTCTGCCCTTCCTCTCAATAGAATCCATGTCCACATTCTGGAAGAACGGGGCTGCCTGCTGCCCCACCACGCACTCCCACTGTGGAGAGTAAGGAAATCCCTGGGCCCTCATGCACCGGACAGGCTCTGACATGGGTGAGATGTTACTTCTACTATTCTCGAAGGGTTATGTATAGAAGACAGAGAAGCTTTACTGAGCCCCCATGTACAGCATGAGGCCAAGCCCTTAGCACGCACACCCCATGTGAGTCCTCAGCATCAACCTGTGAGCTGGAGCTCCCCAGCCCCACTTGACAGATGGGGGTGCACAGACATCCTAGACAGCTATGGTGGCTGTCGACAGCCCTGCAGAGTCCTTGTCCCCAGGAACTGCCAGGGGTGAAATCACGCCCCATACCTGGGCCACCTGACTCCAAACCACTTCCTTTTTCCCCTAAGAAATGTCTGGTTTCTCTCTCTTGGTCCATAGAAAGGCAACACCATGGCCGGGCGTGGTGGCTCACGCCTGTAATCCCAGCACTTTGGGAGGCCGAGGCTGTCAGATCACGAGGTCAGGAGAACGAGACCATCCTGGCTAACACAGTGAAACCCTGTCTCTACTAAAAATACAAAAAATTAGCCGGGCGCGGTGGTGGGTGCCTGTAGTCCCAGCTACTCGGGAGGCTGAGGCAGGAGAATGGCGTGAACCCGGGAGGTGGAGCTTGCAGTGAGCCGAGATTGCGCCACTGCACTCCAGCCTGAGCAACAGAGCGAGACTCCATCTCAACAAAAAAAGAAAAAAAAAAAAAGAAAGAAAAAATAAAAAAGAAAGGCAATACCACTAGCCTGCAAACCTCTGGGCTCAACTTCTTTCCTGACTTCAAGACAGACTCCTCTGTGGTTTCTTCCTCATTTCCTCTTTCCTCCTCTCTGGGTTTTAAGTCTCAGAAAATGAACTATTTCATGAAAAAGAGCTGCATAGAAAAATCATATAGATAATGGAAACCCATTCTATAAAATACGTTTATAATTATATGAATAAATTGAAAATAAATCCACCAAAAATGTCAACAGTAGAATTTTCTAGAAGTATTGTTCTTTCCTGTATATTGCAAATTACCTACAATTCATAGGAGCCATTATTGCCTGAGGTTTACAAACATGGACTCCGGATTGGACAGCCTGGAATCACCTCTGGCCCATGATCTGTGCTGATCTGTGGCCACTCCTTGGCCTCTCTGGGCCTCTCTCTCCTGTTCTATGAAGTAGGGATTCTATGAATATAAAGTCAAGCCTCCCTCCTAGGGCTGCAACCAGGACACAAGGAGGAAGCCCAGGTGAGCATGTATCACACTCCGGCACATAGCAGAGCCGAATGAATGACAGTTCTCACAGTGAGCCAGTGTTGCTCTTAAAAATCACGGGGTACGGAGCATTTTTAGAGGAATAATTTAAAAATAATTCAAAAGCCAGGGTTGAGAGGAGGAGAATTAAACTTTGTTCTAACCTTCAAAGCATGTGATTTGGAGGCTTCTGCATTTGGAACATTTCAAAGCTTCCTGGAATCTATCTTCATTTGGTACCCAAGCACTGGGGAAAGATGATAAACAGCCCTGCAGGAAGAGAGGCAATTAGTAAGCCATGGCTGGGGGCTGCCCGGGAGGCTGCGGTGCTCTTGCTCCCGTGTGTGCGTGCGGTTGTGTCTGTGGGAGTGTGCGGGCCATGTGTGTGCTGTGTGACACGTGTTTGAGCGTTTATTTGTATGTGTGATATACTGTGTAGTATATATGTGAGGTGTATTACTGTAGTATGTGTGTATGTATGGAATGTGTTTTGTGTGTGGTGTTTGTGGGGACTGCAATGTTTTGTGGTATGTGTGTAATATGCGGGGGCTTTTGTATGTGTGGTATTTTGTGTGCTATGTGTGCCGTTTCTGGTACAGGTCTATGTGTAGAGTGTGTTTTCTATGTGGCGTTTGTAGTGTGTGTGATATTCAAGAAGGTGAGGGTGTTTTACGGTGGGTCTGTGTGTGGTGTTTCTGGTGTGTTTGTGTGTGCGGTGTGGGAGGGTGGGGTGTATATGAATGGCGTGTGTGGTGTGTAATGTGGTGAATGTGGGAGTTGTATGTGTGACGTATTGTATGTGGTGTGTATGTGGTGTCTGGTTTGTATGGAATGTGTTTCATGTGTGGTATATAGTGTTTCTAACATGTGGTATGTGTAGTGTGTGCAGTGTGGTGTGCGTGTGGAGTTGTATATGTATTGTGTGTGGTGTTCATGTGTTGTATATGTAATGTATTGTGTGTGGTGTGCGTGTGTTGTATGTGTGATGTGTGTGGTGTGTATGTGGTGTCTGTGGTTTGTATGTACAGAATGTGTTTCATGTGTGGTGTATGGTGTTTCTGACATATGGTATGTGTAGTGTGTGCGGTGTGGTGTGCATGTGGAGTTGTATATGTAATGTATTGTGTGTGGTGTGTGTGTGGAGTTGCATATGTATTGTGTGTAGTGTGCGTGTGGTGTCTGTGGTATATGTGAATGTGTAGAATGTGTTTCATGTGTGGTGTGTGGTATTTCACGATGTGTGGTATTTGTGGTATGTGTGGTGTGGTGTGTGTGTGGAGTTGCATGTGTGATGTGTGTGGTGTTCGTAGTATGTATGTATGGAATGTGTTTTGTGTGTGTGGTGTATGGTGTTTCTGACGTGTGGTATGTGTGGTGTGTGGAATGTGTTTTGTGTATGTGGAATATGGTGTGTGATGTTTATGATGTGTGGTATGTGTGGTGTGTGCAGTATAGTATGTGTAGGGAGTTACATGTGTGACATATTGTGTGTGGTGTTTATAGTATATGTATAGTATGGGATGTGTTTTGTGTGTGTGGTATATGGTGTTTCTGACATGTATGTGTGGCGTGTGTGGTGTGGTGTGTGTGTGGAGTTGTATGTGTGATACATTGTGTGTGGTGTTCATAGTACCTGTGTATGTATGGAATGTGTTTCGTGTGTGTGGTACATGGTGTTTCTGACATGTGTGTGTGGTGTGTGGGATAAGGACATGGGTTTCCAGCACTGGCCTAGGTGGCAGTGGTGGCGCACACATCTGGTTCCCCTCCCTCATTCACCTGCATGCTGCGCCACGTGTGGGCTGGGCACTGGTGAGCCAGATGGATGACAGGCACGGGGGTCAGATCAAAGCCACCTGGTGACTCAGCCAGGTCTGCAGTGGCTGCCCTGGGGACCCCTCGGGCTGCCTCTGAGGGACGATGGCCGACTAGATGGCCTGCATTGACTGTCCAAAGGCCAGGCTGAGCTGGGTGGGCCATGACTGCCTTGTCCACAGAGTGGATCCCCACAGCATCCACTTATCAGCCACTGATCATTGCTCAGCAGGTCTTTCCACTGCATGCTCATCTGCCCACCTCCACCCCCACTGCTCATCTGAATCACCAGCTTGTGCAGACTGGCTGATTCTTCCATCCTACACCAGAGAGGTCCAGGGGCCTGGCTTGGGCTCATTCTGGTCCTCGGTGCTGGCACATGGGAAGTGGTGGGGAAGAGCACGGAACCTGGACCCAGCTGCCCGGCAACGTGTCAGCACAGCTGTATGATGCGGCATGTGCTTAGGTGACTTTCCTCCCCTGGGGACAGGTTTTATGAGGTCTAGATGAGACTATGCACATCAAGTGCTTAGAAACATGCCTGGCACATGGAGAACAGTCAACAGATATTAGCCTAGGAGACAACAACCAAAACACAAAGGTGTTGAGTAAAGGGATGCCAAGCACCCCTTCCTCTGGCTCCCCAGCTGGTCATTTGGGGCTCCCCAATCTGGCATGGCTTCTAAACCCCATATCTGAGCATTGATCACTCTTGTGGCAGCTCTTACCCAGCTGCAGGGGGACCCAGATAATCATGGAATGAGTGCCTCCTGCCTTCCTCCAGGTGGACCACAGGACCAGGGAGGGACTGAAGCCAAGGCAGGAGGCAAGCACTTTGGGGCTCTGCGACAAGAGCTGGCACCGAGGGCAGATGCAGATTCAAGACCAGACAAAGGATCCTGACAGTCTCCCAGCCCCAACCCAGCAGGCTGTGTCACACTCACAGGGCATGGGAGGGCTGTGAGAAGGCAGTGCGCTGACAGTGGAAAGCTGTGTGGCCCCATGGATGGGAATGGAAGAGCGGTCAGCTCCTGCCCTATTGGGGATGGCAGAGGGAATCACCGCAGGAAGTCAGGGCAGGCAGGCAGAACCCAACAGACTCCCTGAGTTGAAGAGGCAGAGGTGAGAGTACAGGAGAGTTTGCAGGACACAGTACCAGGGAAGAGGAGGCTGCACAAAGGCAGAAGCCCAAAGATCTGCAGAGAGTCCCTGTGGGATGCCAAGGAATGGTCTCCAAAGATGGCTACATCCTCATCCTCAAAACCTGGGAACAGGTTACTTTCCATAACAAAAGGGAATTAAAGTTGCAGAGGGAATTAAGGTTGCTTGTCATATGCCCTTAAAATAGGGGGATGATCCTGGATTATCTGACCCCAGTTGGGTCAGAGAGGTGAGAGGAAGGAGAGGTTCGAAGTGTGAGAGGTGCTCAGCCACCATGGCTGGCTTGGAGATAGAGGAAGGGACATGAGGAGGAATACAGGCGGCCTTGGGAGGCCTGCCATGTACAGCAAGCCAGGACATGGGGATCTCACAGGTCACTGAATTCTGCTAAGAACCCGAGTGAGCAGGACATGGATTTCCACCAGAGCCTCCAGAAGGTAACAGAGCCTGCAGACATCTTGATCTCAGCCCAGTGAGACCTCATCAGACTTCTGGCCTAGGGAACTGCAGGATAATAATTTTGTGTTGTATTCATTACTAAGTGTGTGATAGTTTGTGATGGCAGCAATACAAAATTAATAAAATCCCCTGGAGTTCTCATCCTGCAGAGTATTGAAAAGCACATGCACACACAACTCAGAGTTCTTGCCCTGCAGCGTATCGATCGATGAGCACATCCACACGATGCCCTGGAGTATCAATAAGCACATGCACACAAAGCCCTGGAGTACCCACCCTGCAGAGTATCGATGAGCACATGCACACAACGTCCTGGAGTACTCGCCCTGCAGTGTATTGATGAGCACATGCACAGGACGCCCTGGAGTACTCGCCCTGCAGCGTATTGATGAGCACATGCACATAACGCCCTGGAGAACTCGCCCTGCAGTGTATCCATGAGCACATGCACACAACGCGCTGGAGTACTCTCCCTGCAGAGTATCGATCAGCACATGCACACGACGCCCTGGAGTACTCGCCCTGCAGCGTATCGATCAGCACATGCACACGACGCCCTGGAGTACTCTCCCTGCAGCGTATCGATGAGCACATGCACACGACGCCCTGGAGTACTCGCCCTGCAGTACTTGCCATGCAGAGTATCGATGAGCACATGCACACAACACCCTGGAGTACTCACCCTGCGGAGTATCAACAAGC